>NC_000007.14:125006779-125631779 GCF_000001405.40 Homo sapiens | reverse complement strand
CTCCTGCCTTAGCCTCCTGAGTAGCTGGGACTACAGGTGCATGCCACAACGGCTAGCTAATTTTTGTATTTTTAGTAGAGACGGGGTTTCACCATGTTGGCCAGGATGGTCTCGATCTCTTGACCTCGTGATCTACCCACCTCGGCCTCCCAAAGTGCTGGGATTATAAGCATGAGCCACCACACCTGGTATACAATAGCATTTTTAAAGAAACGTATCAAAAGAAAATAATCTGATGTAATTGAGATGAAGATTGTTCATTACAGAATTTTATATTATAATAACGGAAATTTAGAAGGAACAAATTAATATCTACAGGTTGTATTGTTATAAGTAATTATTCTGTATGCATATGAAATAATGTTAAGAATTCATTTGAAATTATACCTTAGAATATCTAATTACTTTAAAATTATTAAAAAATAGCAAAGGTGAAAAATACAAATGTGAGATTATAACGCTGTGCATTTATATTTTATGTATATATACATGTATATCAATTACATTGGTTAATTTTCTTAATATCTATGGAGGTTTTAAGTGTTCCTTTTTTCTATGTGTTCATATTTTTGCATTTCTAAATTTTTCATACATTTTGAAACAAATATAGATTACAATTATAATTTAGAAAATACTTCCTCAATAAGCAGATATATTATAAGGTAAATGTCTCATATTTTCCAAATTATAATATGATAGCTTTTCAGAAACTATAGAGAAATAATGTGTTTTCTCACTATAGTATGTGCATGATACTCTCAACATTGATGTGGATATTTTGTGGAAAGAGACTCTCAACATCGATATGCATATTTTGTGGAAAGAGCAAGAGATATAAAATCCCAAATATTAAATTTAATAAATCAATGCTATAAATTTAAATAGTCAAACATTTACTCACTATTTAACTAGACATTTAAAAAATAATTTGAGAGTGAATACATATATTTTCTCATTTTCCATTTTTTTGGCTGATCTACTCCACACTCACAACAATTTATTCTCCCTGGTAACAAGAAATGATATAAGAAAAAGTTGTCAGCATATTTTTCCTCTTTAACAAGAAAGATCAAAAAGATAATTAGCTTACCCAAAGATCCTAGAGTCTGTTACCTTTCCAAGGTGACTCAGAGCCCATTTTGAGAATCTCTGAGTACAAAGGCTGAACTATTTATAGTGTGCTGCTAGTATGTCCACTACATAAAATCATTATAGTTGCGTGAGGAAGTAAATATTCCATCACTTTAATGGTCAGAACTCCTTCTAATTGTTTTATTATCAAATATTAAATATGGGCAACCTCTGGGTTAATCCTGATTAGCAAATCTGTCTTATGCTATCAGCATAGAGTTTTAAAAGTTTTCAATTACTTAGCAAAAGCTAAAAATCAGATAATTCTCATTTAAATATAGATTTCTATTCTTTGCTAAGAACCAGATTTGACAACAATGAGCCTACATTCCCAGTGGAAAAAAAATCAGCTGGAGCTAAGTAGCTGCCATCCATCTGACTCAACTCTTTCCAGTTGGTCAAAAACTCCATCACTCTCTTCTATTTAGACCTAGGATGCTTCATAAAATTGTCTGTTCCCTGTTTGGGTCCTATAAGTAATTTTTGTTTTGCTTGATTTTTGCCTTTTAATTTTCCTGATTATTAGAAAGATGACTATTTTATTTTTATTGTGTAATAATAAAAATATCATTTATAATGATAAAAGCAGTGATTTCCACACTTATTTTGTAGAACATCTTTTTTTAAACAAAATATTACTAAGAAATAATACGATTGAAAATAAATATTTTTCCCTTTGAAGGATTCCACTTAGTGTTCTCCTCTCATCTTTTCTCACCTCCAGAGGTGTTCTTTGGTGTGAAGAGTAATCTCTACCAGGAAAAGCAAGGCATCTAACAATCTCAAAGCTTCCTAGAAGTAGAATTTGCAAATACCCACTAACATAATTATTCATATTGTTGTATATGATGGATATCTTATTTTAGTGAAGATTTTCTAAATTGAGACATAATTTTAAACATTTATATAACTCTGTAACTTAGTCCATCAACTGTAGAACCAAGCATCAAGATCCTATACAAACTTCAAGGATGCAGAAATACTATAAAGAGTCTCATTCTGAGTGAAACAAACCCAGAAAGTGTTCTCACAATGTAATTCACAGCTTGGCACCCCAAGACTGTGCTTTAGGATGTTTACCATGTGTTTACTTTTGTCTCCAGTTACATACATACAGCTTCGATAATGAGTGCTAAACTCAGAAGTACTCAACTGTTATTTTCCTCTTCATTGATTTTTTAATCTCAAGGTGACCTAGTCTGATTTATGCCTGTATCTGCTATACAAAAGTCCCAACACATCCTAGCAGGCTATACTAAAGGTAATAAAAGTTACAAGCCATCTATCTAAAACTACCTGGTTAATGAAAGCTCATTTCGGGGAGCTGAATAGATAAGATATTGATTCTGGTAAAAGATAATGTATGCTTAACTCACGGGCTGGTAACAGAGTGAATGGAATTAGAGAGGCTGGCTGTCACCACAAATAACCTAAATCTCATGAACTAAGATGGTTTCTAAATGTGTGAAACTTTCAACTTAGAGGAACTTAAAAAATATAGTACTGTCAAGTAAAGCTGAATGAATGTTAAAAAGAATTTCCTTATTTAATAAGGATCAAGATACTTGATATAGCTCTTCAATTAAAATTAGCCCGTTACTATTCTGCCCCATATATTAAACTGAAGAAACTTCTTTCTTCATTACTTTGTTAAACAGAATCTGAGTGCTTTTAGTTGTTTTTTTGTTTTGTTTTGTTGCTTATTTGCTATTGTTTATAGGGCCTTTTTGGGACCCAATATTGAATAGTGAATGAAATATAAATAGTGCCTGAGTTTATAGAATTTATATTCTAATGGAAGAGACCAAAAAAGAAAAGGTTAAATGCACAATGTGATATTCTGTAATAAAAAAAGAAAAAAGTGCTACAGAGGAAAATTAATCAGTGTAAGGATAGGGTATTAGGGAAACGGATACTTTTCTCAGTAGAGTTGTCAAGGAAAGCCTGTTTGAAGATGGTGGTATTTGAGCAGAGAATTGAGTGAAATGATGCGACAGCTTTGTTAATATGTGGACATAAATTTTCTAACCTGTGGGAATATCACTTATAACTCCTTGGGAAAAAATAATAGGCATCTTTTTTTTTTAACAAAAAGAGAGTCCGGAATATTTGAAAAAGAAGATGACTAATTGGGTATGAGGTCTTAGAACTATCCAGGGATCAGGCAAACTAGGGTCTTATGGGGACCCTGTTAAATAATGTAGATGTTGATCTAAATATGTTTGGAAGGCCATGCAGAAATTTTGAGTAGAAGAATGACAGTCATTTTCAAAGGAATTGTCTGGTTGTTGAGATATTGTAAATTCAAGTTCTGATTTGTTCTAGTCCTGGTTAGTGAGCTATATTAAGTCCCTTCTATCTTTGGAGGCAGCTGTTTGAGGAGGGAGTGTTGGTTAAAGGCTTTTAAATGTCTCTCCACTCATAGTAGAGCACCTTTCACACTTAAGTTCTACATTCTGCTCAGTACACATTAGAATTCCTGGGTTACAGCAAAACATAAATTAATTACTTCACCTTGCATTTCAGCTCCAAAGTCCACTAAGTCTGTAGTTTCACCCTGATTCCTCTTAATTGCTTTTGCTCCATGGAGAAATTTTCCTTCTTTTTGAGTATGTCTACCATATATTAATTTATATGTGCATATTTTAAAATTATATTATTAGGACAGAGAAGAGTAGCTTAATACATAAAACCAGAGCACCACTGAGAGGACTTCAGAAAAAAGAATTTATTATTTTATTTTCTTGCTGCTCTTTGTCAGGATGGTAACTACTAAGTGATCACTTTCCAGTTTCTAATTGATCTTCTTCTCACTTGCTTTAAACCAGTTAATGATATTTTACAGGTTGTGTTAGCAACTTTCCAGTCTTCATCAAAATATTATTTTTTGCTGTAGATGTTCACTTGTTTTTAATATTCTATGTATATAATTAAGCAGGTTATCTAAATTGGTTTAAACATGTCTCTTCTTTTTAATATCTCAGTTTATATCACCATATACTCTGCTCCAGAAAAGATGACTCTTAAACCCCACTAAATATTGAATGTCCTGCCAGAAAATCCAAGATAGAATTAGTACCACTAATAATATTATTAACAGGTACAGTTTTGTACACTACTGATGATGTAATTAAGATATACAATATCATCAATTGGTTATAGCAAATACAACATGCTCACTATAGCAAAATACACTGTTAAGTATATTATAAGTTGAAAATCAAGAAGGTCAAAAATAAAAGGAAATAAAAAATAGTGTTTTGGTACATTTGAGATACTATAAAAATACTATAAACTGGGTAGCTTTTAAACAACAGAAATTTATTTCTCATAGTTCTGAAAGCTGGGAAATCCAAGAACAAGGCACTGGCAGATTTGCTGTCTGGTGAGGGTCTGTTCCTCACACATGGTAGCTTCTCCCTGGGACCTCAAATGGTGGAAAGGGCAAACAAGCTCCCTCAGGCCTCTTATAAGGGCACTAATTCCATTCATATTGGCTCCACCTTCATGATCTAATCACCTCTTAAAAGTTCCACCTCCTAATATCATCACCTTAAGGACTGGGATTTCGAAGTATGAATTTGGGTGAAACACAAACATTCAGGCCTTAAGAAGTATGATAGCTTAGAATGATGAACACTTAGTTAATGCAATTTTTAGTCTGTTTCAATATATGATACAGAAGGAAACATGTCACTAATTATTTTTATATGTCTGACATAGCATGTGATAATTTAAGTAAATATCTTAGAATACTTATCAGTAAGCTTTTACTGTCTAAAAACACCTTTTTTTGCATTGCAGTAGTCCCTCCTTATTCACGGCTTCACTTTCTGCAGTTTCTGTTACCCTTAGTTAATCGTGGTCTGAAAATGTTAAATGGAAAATCCCAGAAATAAACAATTTAAAACAAAGTTTTTAAACTGTGTGCAACATAATAAGTAACGCGATAAAATCTCAATCAGTCCTGTTCAATCAGACCTACGCAGGTCACGAAATAGCCCTTTGTCCATTGTATTCATGCTGCAGATGCTACCTGTCCCTTAGCCACTTAACAGCTGTATTGGTTATCAGATTTTAAAAAGAACCCCCCCCAGGTTCAAGCAATTCTCCTGCCTCAGCCTCCTGAGTAGCTGGGATTACAGGAATGTGCCACCAAGCCCAGCTAATTTTTGTATTTCTAGTTGAGACGGGGTTTTGCCATGTTGGCCAGGCTGATCTCGAACTCCTGACCTCAGGTGATCTCCCTGCCTGGGCCTCCCAAAGTGCTAGGATTACAGGCATGAGCAAATGCACCCTGCCCATATCTCTGAGTTTTGACTCATACTTTATGTTTTCAAATATGTTAAAATGTTAAAGTTCTAATTAAGTTTACAATCAAACTCATAGTTATGACATGTTATATAAAAGGTATTAAAAGACAAAAGTTTGGTTAAAATCTAGAGGAAAAATATAATCTATAGATGATTGTTTTGACAGTTATTGACATTATATAGGCATTTACTTTTGTCAGTGTTTTTATTTCTTTTAGTCCTACTTAATGCTCTTAAATCAAAGCTTACTTAGTTTAAATCTTCAAGAGATTATAGTATAAATCTTTTGATAATTTAAACTCTTAAGACCTTTGAGTGCAGAATAGCAATTTACACTCCTAAACTGATGTGTGTAAAAGAAAACATAATGCATAATTATTTCCTGGTATGTGTTCTATTCCCAATACCCCTTTTCAAATAGAAATCAGCTCCTTTGACTGCTGAGCATTTTATTAATGTAATTTAGAGGACATAACGTAGTTTCCAGAACATTACAGTGACAGAGATGCAACAGCCATATAACTAATTCCCTCACGTTTATTTCTTCTTTCCTGCCACCACATTTTTTCACTGATTACTTGATTCCCTTAAGTCTAATTTTAATGATGGCCCTTCAGATATCTGGACACTTGAGTACCCATTTAGTCAATATAGCCTCCCTCACTACTTAATAAAAGTTACGCTATGCATAGATGGCCTTCAGCAAAATGGTCATGCATTGGGCATTCTGATTTCTAGTTTATTATGTCACTAATAGTCTTTTATATTGATCATAATACTCTGACATCCCTTCATTATTTTGTAATTGTTTTGCTGTTGAGGTGCTGAAGGTTTGAATTTCTCATATCAAAACATCATGTATAAAAATAGTAATGGAAGGTAAGAGTGAAATAGGTAATTGGGAGCAGTTGAGATAAAATATTGTGGGGAAACCCTAAGGAATTTGACAAGAAAGTCAAGTTAGGCCGGGCGCGGTGGCTCACGCCTGTAATCCCAGCACTTTGGGAGGCCGAGGCGGGTGGATCATGAGGTCAGGAGATCGAGACCATCCTGGTTAACAAGGTGAAACCCCGTCTCTACTAAAAATACAAAAAATTAGCCGGGCGTGGTGGCGGGCGCCTGTAGTCCCAGCTACTCGGGAGGCTGAGGCAGGAGAATGGCGTGAACCCGGGAAGCGGAGCTTGCAGTGAGCCGAGATTGCGCCACTGCAGTCCGCAGTCCGGCCTGGGCGACAGAGCGAGACTCCGTCTCAAACAAAAAAAAAAAAAAAAAAAAAAAAAAGAAAGTCAAGTTAAAGGACACCCTTAGACACAGTCCAATGAGATAAATTGGTAGCACCTGTATTGCGTTTGTGAGCGAGTAACCAAAGGAAATGATTTATATAAAATTGTTACAGGAAAATGGCTCTCTAATAATCACGTTCACCTTAAAATAACTCCCTGACTACTCGTCTAAGTTTCTCAAATTTCACCACTGACTCAAATTTTTTTTTCTTCTAGAATTATTAGTTAAATAAAAGGTAACATCAGCTTTTAGTAGTGTGTGATTTAATGTGATTAATTGAGAGTAAGAATATTAATAAAACATTTCAACTTATTTCCTGATATGCACACAATAAAATATGATTATGATGTGGACATTAACTTTGGATGACTTAACTTGTATTAAAAGAATAAAAAGAAATGTGTGCCTAGAAGGATATAATCAATCTATTTTAAAAGCATAAAGACAAATTGGTTAAAGTATCAGTAAGATGTTGGGGAAGGATTCAAAGAGAAACATGAATTTAAATTCAGCCTTAGGGGTGAAAAATTGTTTTAATATGCTGAATGCCCTGATTCTATTGAGAGAGAAAAAGGGAGAGAAAGGGAAAGAGAGAGAAGTACTTGATTTTAGAGATAACCTATTATAGAGATGTGCCCTTCTGATCAAAAAAATTTAGACCGAGACGCTACCAGATACTGTGTAATTTCTTGGTAATGACAAGTCAAGAAAAATGCATAGGTGGCTTTAGCAAAATAAACCAAAATTATTATATGTCAAGGGTCAAATTTATATAAGGTGATTAGGAATAAAACCAGTTACAGCCTTACAGGTGGTGAAGATAAGCTTTCAATTTGTGTTATCTAACAAGAATTGCTAGCAAATCTAACTGGTTTGTGAAACTCAGATATTTTAGTTTTGGTTTAATTCTAAAGTAAAAATTTCAGGCTGAGGCGTGTCCAGGACATGTCAATTGGACACATGTCATACCTTGTTCAGAAGCCCTGTCTCAGAAAAGTGGATTTATTTTAAAATGGATGGATCAAAAAAGGTTTAGATACTTTAATTAATATATCTCTATCTATCTATCTATCTATCTATCTATCTTTCCACATACCTCCAAAAAGAGTTCAGCTGGCCTATATATGACTTCTCCAGGTTTATTCCAAAGCTAAAAACATATTCCTTAAGGTAATCCAGTACAATTGGCTCACTGAACTAAACAATTCATCCAGGAAATATTATTGTGTACCTTAAAAATATGAGTTGATGTAGGAGCTGTTAAAAATAGGAAATAAATAAAACAATTCACTTAAAAAAAGTAAAAATTGAAGCAAAGCAGTCTATGATTTCATGTATTCATTTATATTATCTGCTGTCAAACATTTGAAAGTATTTTATGCATAACCTTGTCAACTATCTGACCTGATTTTCTTCTGAATTGCAATATGAATAAATAGACAGTATTGGTTTAGAGAGAAAAAAATATATTTAGAAAAGAGTGATTAAAATTATTATGGCTTGGATCCTATAGAGCATGCATTCACCACTTCATTTTGTATGTTTTAAAGTTTGGAGTGAAGTATTTAGCCAGATTTAATAACTATGTACAATTGGATCAAAATTCTATGTTTATCCTGTTGCACAGTAAATGCAGTTAGAAGTCACCTAAAGATATTTTTAGAATTATGTGGTATATAAATGAATATGTGAATATTTACAGATATTATTTTTATATCAAAGGCATAAATGTGGGTAAGCTCCTTCACATGGAGCTATTACAAAATGAAAGGT
Organism: Homo sapiens; assembly: GCF_000001405.40. NCBI lineage: Eukaryota > Metazoa > Chordata > Mammalia > Primates > Hominidae > Homo > Homo sapiens. The sequence continues at coordinate 125,623,278 of NC_000007.14, read as the reverse complement.
TAGAATAACAGCTATCACATTCGCTGGTCTACCATCTCAACACTTGTCTCTCAGTGCAACCGAGTGTCACACAGCTCTCCTGAGGCAACAGCATAGGAGTGATACTTTATTTGATCCTATTTATCAAAAACACAGATATCAGTGTTTATCACAATGTCCACTGTGATAAAATCTTGCTGACAATAGGATAAATAAAGAAAAGCAATCGGTAAGAAAGATTCAGTTTTGTGAAACACAATGAACAGAGGTGAATAAGAAAAGGGGGAAAAAGTAGCAAATAGATGATGAGAAATTACATATGTCTCAGATAAACAAATTTCTCTGCTGAAATCAATGGTATAATGTCATGAAGAATATAGAAATCAAATTTTACTTTCATTTTCAACTTGAAAAAAAAGAAACAACCCTGCAAAACTGAACAGCTCCCCAAAGCTTCTCTTTGATCATTTCCCCTGAAAATTATTTTATCGCAAGCCATGTCAACTATATTTAGTTACTTCTTTTTTTTTTCCTAGAAAATTGTTGGCCCAATCCCATCATGCCTTCCTTCCATTCTCAGTTCAGTTGCAGTTGCCATGACATAAAACCATCTCAGGTGATTTAAATCTCCAAAGATGTTATTTCCATATTGTTCAATATATCTCCTTGTGGTTGAGCCAAACTCCCATACTATTTCTATTTCTATTTCTCACTTTACCAGACTCCTTCAACAAGCTCTCTCGAATTCAGTCCTCCCTCACCAAACTCCCATACTATTTCATCAAAAATCCCTAAACTTGGTTTGCCCTTTGTCTTCTTATTCTCAGTAGGACCTGGCTGGACATTGAGCACATAATGTCTCTTTGGAGTCCATTCAAGTATAGGCTGATTTTGTTGTTTCTCTCCAACTACCCCAGGTTCTAGAGAAGTATAATACATTAGATGCACTGTTACTTGCTCATTTCTACCTTTAGGCTTTAAAAAAAATTTTTGAATCTCTTTCCTCCTTCAAAAGAATCAGGTCTTTGAAAACATGTCACCATCTTCAATCCACGTATTTTCTCTTTTACCACCACTTTGTCATCTTTTTTAGTTACATCAATATCCATGTAAATGATAGGTTTAAAGCATAAGTCTTTCAGTTTCTTTGTTTTCGTAGGTCAAATAAATGTTTCCTTAGTCTAATTTCAAGCATGCATCCACTCACCTGTTTATTAGGTTGAATGTATCTTCCTTAGCAGTAGCAACATCCCTCCGATCCCTCAGATTGTACTTTCTGACATCTCACTTTCTAGTCACCATCTCTGATCCTTCCAGTTCACTTATGCCTCTATTCCCAGGCCAGTGATTGTCCAAACTCCCTAAGAGTGCTAATTCATCACCCCATGGTTAAACCACATCTTTACAAACAACCCCAACTTTCTTCTGTCTCTTCTACTACTATATCAGTTTATAAAAATGCTAAACCTGTTTGATCCAACCTGTGGGCATAATTAATGCTTATAAACAAACAGCTGAACATTTATAGTGAGAAACAACCATACTGACTGGTTTGCTTTAGATTTGTGGTTGCCAATTCCAAATAGGCATTGAACACCGAGAGAAAATTATACTTTGCTGCACATAAATTATAATTTTTATTTTTTGATTTAACAATTCTCCTGAAGAGTTTAGTATACACCTCAATCAATTATGTTTTCAGGGACAAAATTTGATGCAAACGATTTTCTCATTCTCACCATATAATCTGTATCTACCTATGCTGCCTTCCTTTCTGTTCTGTGAACATAAAAGTATATCTACTCCTATTATGGACCATGATTTTATTCATAGATAGAACCTCACTCAGTCTATCTTGAGAAAATATTTTCTTTAATTTTCCACTTCTTTCTTGTATCTGTATGTTCCTTCTATTCTATTGTGACATTCTGTGTACTTTTAAACATACTTGATATCCTCTGAGCTAAAAAAATAAAAATTCCTGATACTTGTAACAATACGGTTGCCTCCTCATTTTTCAAATGCTTTCAAAAGTTGTCTATTATTGCTACCTTAACTTTGTCTTCTTCCATTCTCTTCCAAGCCACTAAATTTGTATTTTTATTTTTATAACACACTGAAATTGGTCTTGGAAAGGTCACCTATTACCAGTAATTTTTCTTAAGCTGGTATTGAAGAGTTAGTTCTCACCTATCAAAACTCTCAGTAGAATTTTACACTACTGATTACTCTCTTCATTATATTATATAATACAATATAAATTGTGGATGCTATGACATGGCAATGATATTTATCTGGCTTTCCTCCAATATCCCTGAAAAGTCCCTCTTAGTGTCCTTTGCTAGTTCTCCTCTTCCATCAGATCCTTAAATGTTGAAGCTCCTCCAAGGTTTTTTTTTTTCAACTTTATTCTCTATTTCCATGGTATTCTTTTCTTTTTTAATTATTATTATTATACTTTAAGTTTTAGGGTACATGTGCACAATGTGCAGGTTTGTTACATATGTATACATGTACCATGATGGTGTGCTGCACCAATGGCATTCTTTTTAAAATTATATTTACCCCTTTGTTTCTTTGTGTATATACATGTTTGTCTTTAGAATTTTCAAAAATAGGTTAAATATTAATACACTTAATTTTAAAAACCCAGCTGCATAATAACCAATATATGATCAATCTTAATTCATTTGGAATGAACTAAGATTATTGTTATCCACCCAGTCCAAGCTGAACCATTTAAAACTAGGTATATTACTTTAAAAAAATTCAGTTTTCTTTAAGTTTAACCATAAAATAATCATATAATTGTTTTTTAATATTCATTCAGTGTTAAAATATCTTTGATTTTCCAATTCCAATCATTCTATTTTTGTTTGCTTTGTTTAAATCATGACACTAGGAAGTTCCACGTGTTGAGGGTTTATTTGCTATAGCTTTAAATTTTCTTTTAATTTAGAATAGACCTCACTGTTTCTTTCCCAATTCGTTTCTTAAGGGAACCAGTTATTTGTTCCGTAGAATTTCTAACCTTCTTTATTTGGCTAATTGCATCTCCATGGTGCCACTGTGCTCTTAGCTCCAATGCATTACATAAACTTAATTAGAACTAGAGATATGATGAGATACATGTTCTATATTTAGACATGAATATTTCCAGGTTGTCATCATTTATATTTTGTTGCTGTGTATTTCAAATCAAGAGATACATCATATCTGCCTATTTAAGAGGTCAAAATTGATCAGCAGTTTCAGCAGGTCTTATCTATCTATTATAATATTTATCTATGAACATTCCACTCAATGATTTTAGTAGTCATTAAAAATATTTTCTAATCATTAATTCACATCATCTACATGCCTTTAAATACCATTTATATGTTGGGGACTGATTTTAAATTTATAGCTTTACCTCTCTTCATTTATATCTAACTATTTACAAACCACCTCTGCTTGAAGATCTAATACATAAATGAGAGTTAACTTTTCCAAACTGAAATTTTAGTCTCTATCTTTAACCCTTAATCCATAACCAAGACTTTGCACCTCAGTAAATGACAATATCAGATGAGTTGCTCCTTTCCTAAACATGGGAATATTTCTCTACTTTACTTTTTGCCACATTGTATACAATAAATCTATTATTATATCTGGTTGGCTCTATTTTTCCAAATATGTTTAAAGTCATGTTGTTTATTCTGATACAACACTTACCCATTTCACTATAATCTCACACCTAATCTAATGTAAGAGTCTTCTACTTACTTTACCTCTTATCTCACTTGTTCTCTTACATTTCAGACAAAGTGATCCTTTTAAAACCAGTTCCCCTTTTGGCTCTAAAAATCTTCTGGTAATAAAGTGTTTCAAGATGGCTGACTAGAAGTACTTTATGCTCATATCTTTCACTTAGAATAACTAAAATAGTACATAGACAATCACATTCCAAATATATTATTGAAGAGAGAACACTGGAATTCAATAGAAAAGTGAAAGGAAACACCAAAAGCAAGGAAGGAGAAGGAAATGAGGTGGCCTGCTTGGGTGGGATTGGCTGGGAGCTGGAAGTGACTTCCTAACATGTGGAAAGGGTAAGTGAGTGAGTTCCAGTAGCCCAATCCTCATCATGGAATTCTGCAATCCTAGCAGTGGGAGAACCTCTCAAACTTCTCAACCCCTGAAACTAACATAAGGTGATCCCAGGAGACCAAAAGATGGAACTGCTCCAGAGATTGAGCTCACACTGTATACTACACACTTTTTGAGATCTAAGTGGCCAAGACAAGGCTCTCTTTTCATACCCAACCCTTGGCAGACTCTATGCTATCTTGGGGCCTATTATAGCAGTGACTGAGGCTTAAAAGAAATCAGTGCTTTTGCTGCTGGAACTGTAGTGCAAGCTGAGGTTATTCCCACAGCTAGGGCTGAAATATGAGAGAGCCATGGGTAACAGCTGTCAGTGCTGAGAAGCGAGCAATGCTGAGACAACTGGCAATGCACAAGTTGCTGCTGGAACTTAGTCATGAGTGAGGCAGGGCTTTTGCAGCTAGGGATGATGTTCAAGCTAGGTGCAGGCTACTGCCACCAAGGCTAGGGAATGATCCCTTCCTTGACTGGAGTGTTAGAGGGATGTATGCTCCACACCCACCAGCCAAGGCTGTGGCCACAGAGACCAGCCTCTCCCCCTCCAGCGGCAGGATATCAGTGCAGCTGCTACTGCCCCTCAACTGAGCATTCTTCCTGGGGTAGAAGGATCACCCTGCCCCTGTCCACCACAACTGGTGCCTACTGTCACCATTGAGAGGTCTGAGCACAAGCCTGCCCAGCTTAGGTTTTCCCCCACCACAACACACAGAACATAGCCCAAGGTCCTGGGGGGTTGCCAAACCCAATCCACCACCTTGGACACCTAAGCACTTCTTCAGGCAGCTTGAGACTGGGCCTACACTCCTAGCTGCTACCAACTCAGGTGTCACCCACTTATAAGTGTCACCTGCAGGCCTGGAAACTAGCCCACTCAGCCCACCACAGCCATTGCCAATACCAATGTATACTGCTCAGAACCCAAAGAATCATCTTGCCACTGCAACTGTGATCATCCATATCACACCATCTGCCCAGTGGCCCAAGAACTTGCTCATCCAACTGGTCCACCACTGCTACTAAAGGCATCTGACATCTGAGCAAACTATGTGGAGGCCCAGGAATCAGCCTGAGAGTAAGAGCCAACAGTGGTATTAGTGTACACCACCCCAGGATGCAAAGATTGTCAGCTTCAGCACACTACTGACACTTCTGGAGCCTGAGGACTGGCCCACCTGACACCCCAGTCCCTAATATACCTTCACCACAGCCTCCTCTAATAACTTCACCATAACTCATGAAGGAATTTGCAGATACCACTAATGCTCTTTATAAACCCCCACCACCAAAAAAAAAAGAAAAAAAATCATAGACACTTCACTGCTACGTGAACCTAGAACCAAAGCCAAAATGTCCAACTCAACAAAAACTGTAGATATATCTTTAGGAAAAATCCCTTTCCTACAAAGATAAATAAAAAAATAGGAAGACTTCACAGATATCAAAATAAGGACACAGGCAACATGAAAAAGCAAGAAAAAATGGAACTTCTTAATGAATATGATAATGATCTAAAATAGATTTTATCAAAAAGAAATCGTTAAAATCTTCAGTGAAGAACTAAAAATATTGATTTTATAGAAGCTTAGTGTAATACGAGTGAATTCTGAAAAACAATACAAGAAAATCAGAAAAACAATTCAGGATATAAATGATAAATTTACCAAAGGGATAGATATTTTAAAAGATAGAGCAGAAGAATGCATATGCATTCATATATATATATATATATATATATATACACACACACACACATATATACGTATAGATATATATATGTATATATACGTATAGATATACATATATATCTATACATATATATATGTATATACACACACACACACACACACACACACATACACACGCACACACACCTTTGAGAGCTTCAACCATAGGCAAGCTCAAGCAGGAGAAAGAATCTTAGAACCGGAAGACAGGTCTTTTGAAATAATTTAGTCAGACAAAAATGGAGACAATAAAAGGAGGAAGTGACATCTTTGTGACATTTGGGACAACATAAAGTGATCAAACATTAAAATAATCAGTATCTCTGAAGGCAAAGAAAGAAAGGATTTGAAAACCTATTTAACAAAATAATAGATGACAACTTCTCAATACTACAAGAGATTTAGACATTTAGATAAAAGAAGCTTAGATATCGCCAAGAAAATACAATGCGAAAAGATCTTTCCCATTATAGTCAGACTGTTTAAAGTCAAAGATAAAGAATGGATTCTAAAATCAGCAAGACAAAAGTGTCTAGTTACCTAAGAAGGAAAACCTATCAGACTAACAGCAAGATGTCTCAGTAGCAACCTTACAGGCCAGAAGAGAATGGGATGATATATTCAAAGTACAAAAATAAATAAATAAATAAAATATATATATATATATATATATATATATATATATATATATATATATCTGCCAACCAAGAATACTATATCCAGCTAACCTATTCATGATAAATTAAGGAGAAATCAAGTCTTTCATATCCTAGACAACCAAATGCTGAGGGGATTCATTGCAACCTGACAGGTCATACAAGAAATGCATAAGGGAGTCCTAAACTTGTAAACAGAAGGATAATATCCACCATGCTGAAAATACATGAAAATATAAAACTCACTGGTAAAACAATCACATAAGGAAGGAAGCAAAAAGACTGAAATATCACCTATAGAAATCCACCAAACCACAAAAACAAACAATAAGAGAAGAATAAAGGAACTCAAATATATCAAACAATTGGAAAACAATTAACAATATGACAGGAACAAAACTTCACATACCAATAATAACCTTCAATGTAAATGGATTAAATTATCCACTTAAAAGATATAGAATGAAAAACTAGATTTAAAAAAAAAAACATAATCCAACTATATGCTGCTAACAAAAATCTCACTCTATTAATGAAGGCATATATAGACTGACAGGAAAGGGCTAGAAAAAGATATTCCACACAAATGGATACCAAAAGTGAGGAGCAGCTACACTTAGATAAATCATATTTTAAGTCAAAAACAGCATAAAGGGAGAAATAAGGTCATTACATAATGATAAAAAAGTCATTGAGAGGATATAAAAACTTTAAAACAGATATGCACCTAGCACTAGAGCATACAGATTCATTAAGCAAGTTTTACTAGATCTAAAGAGAGCAATAGGCTACAAAATAAATATAGTGGAGGACTTTAACACACCACTCTCAGAATTAGACAGATCACCTATACAGAAAATCAACAAATAAGCATTATGTTGAAACTCAACATTAGATAAATTAGACTGAACAGAAATCTACAAAACATTCTATCTAACAATTGCAGAATTTACACTCTTTTCGTCAGCACATAAAGTACTCTCTAGGATAGATCATATTATAGGCCAAAAAATACTTTGAACAAATTTTAAAATATCAAAATTATATTAAATGTCTTCTTAGATGAATAAAACTATAAATTAGTACCAAAAGGACCTCTGGAATATATCAAATACATGGAAATTAAATGACATGCTATTGAATGATCATTGGGTTAATGATAAAATTGGGGTGGAAATAAAAAATGTTTGAAATAAATGAAAATGAAAATACAGCATCTTAAATCCTACAGGATACAGCAAAATCAGTGCTAAGAGAGCAGCTTTGAGCAATAAATGTCTACATTACAACAGTAGAAAAATTACAAATTAACAACCTAACAATGCACGTTAAAGAACTAGAAAATCAATAACAAATCAAAACTCATGTTAGCAGAGTAAATAGTAAACATTAGAGTGCAACTAAATAAAATAAAGACTAAAAAATATAAAGAAGCAAATAAAAGAGAAGTTGGTTCTTCAAAAGGATAAACAAAATTGATAAACCACAAACTAGAGTAATCAGGAAATAAGAGCTCCTGACCTCAGGTGATCTGCCCACCTCAGCCTCCCAAAGTGATGAGATTACAGGCGTGAGCCACCAAGCCCAGTGAGAGAGGATCTTAATAAACAAAATCGGAAATTAAAAAAGGACACATTACAACTGACACCACAGAAATACAAAAAAATCGTAAAAGACCATTATGAACAAATGTACACTGACAAAAAAACCCTAGAGGACATGGATAAATTCCTGGAAACATGTAACTGCCAAAGATTGAATCAGAAATAAATAGAAAACTGGAAGAGACCAATAATGACTAGCAAGATTGAATCAGTAATAAAAAGTCTCTCAACAAAGAAAAGCTGAGGACCAGATGGATTCACAGCCATACCAAATGTACAAAGAAGAATAATATCACTTCTACTAAAACTATTTCAACAAATTGAAGACTAGGGAATTTTCCCCAAGTCATTCTATGAGGCGAGCATCACCGAGATGCCAAAACCAGACAAGAATACAACAGCAACAACAACAACAACAACAACAACAACAACAAAAATTACCGACCAATGACCCTGATGAACACACTGGCAAAAGTTCTCAACAAAATACTGCAAACCAATATACCAGCAAATCTAATTCTAGCAAAATCCACATCAAAATGATAATACACAGCAGTCAATTAGCAGCTTCAATAGGGATGCAAGAATGGTGCAACATATGCAAAGAAATAAACATGATACCTCACATCAACTGAAGGACAAAAACCATGTGATTATTTCAATAGATGCAGAAAAAGCATTTGTTAAAATTGAGAATCCTTCATGATAAAGCCTCTCAACAAACTAGGTTTAGAAGTAACATACCTCAAAATAATAAAGGCCATATATTACAAACTCACAGCTAACATCGTACTGGATGGGGAAAATTTGAAAGTCTTTTCTGTAAGAAATTGAACAAGGCAAAGATGCCCACTTTAACCACTCCTATTCCGCATGGCACTGGAATTCCTAGCCAGAGCAATCAAGCAAGAGAAAAGAATAAAAGCTATCCAAATTGCAAAAGAGGATGTCAAAATTTCACTCCTTGCTGATGATATAATCCTATATTTAGAAAAACCTAGAGACTTCACCAAAAATTTCTTAGATTTGATAAATGAATTCAAAAAAGATGCAGAATACAAATACAAAATTGACATACAAAATCCACAGCATTTCTATGAACAAATAATAATTCAACCAAGAAATAATTTGAAAAGACAATCCTATTTACAATACTTATCAGAAAAGTACCTAGGAATAAATTTAATCAAGAAATTGAAAGATCTCTGAAAGGAAAACTACAGAATGCCGATGAAAGAAATTGAAGATAACACAAATTGAAACCATCTCATCATCCTGAATTGAAAAAATTAATATTGTTAAAATAACTATATTGCCTAAAGCTTTCTGCAGATTCAATGCAATCCCTATCAAAATTCCAGTGTCATTCTTCACAAATTAGAAAAAAACATTTTAAAGTTTATGTGGAACCAAAAAAGAGCCTGGATAGTCAAAGCAGTCTTAAGCAAAAAGAATAAAGCTGGAGGCATCACATTACCTGACTTCAAAGTTTATTACAAGGCTATAGCAACGAAAACAACATGGTACTGGTACAAAAATAGACAGACTGATCAATGGAACATATTAATTTCCAGGTATCTGAAGGGACTTGAGAGTTGTAATCTAAGTCTTTGGTCACTGCAGCCATATTTGTTTTGGGGGCACCCCAGGCCCAGTAACATTGTGGCTCTTTCAGACTTGTAGAGGTGCCACCTTGGTGATCTTGGCTGAGATCCAGGGGTATACCCTGGGTTACTAGGCAGAGACTCTTGCTCTATTCCTTTACTTTCCCCCATTCAAACAGAGCCTCTCTGTGCTGAGCTTCATGGAGCTAGGGGAGGGGTGTCACAAGCACCCCTGTGGCCACCAGCACTGGGGCTGTGCTGATTCAGACCTGAATCCAGCACAGCACTGGATCATACCCAAGGCCCATGTGGACCACTGTCTGGCTACCACTTATGCTTACTCAAGGTCCAAGGGCCCTACAATCAGCAGGCGGCAAATCCAGCCAGGCTTGTGTCCTTCTCTTCAGGGCGGCCAGTTACCCCTGGCCCAGACAGGTCTAGAGATGCTATCTGGGAGCCAGAGTCAGGGGTTGGTAACCTTAGAAATCTAGGAAGCTATCTGTTACTTGATTCTACTGTGACTGAACTGACACCAAAGCCACAAGACAAAGTACTTTCCATTCTTCCTTCCCCTTTCCTCAAGCAGGGGAGTCCCTTCCCATGGCCACCACTGCCCCAGACCCGTGGTGACTACTGCCTGGCTACTATCAATGTTCACTCAAGGCCTAAGGGCTCTTCAGTCAGCTTGTGGTGAATGCAGCCAGGCCTAGTTCGCTCCTCTCTGGCCCAAGGCAGATCCAGAAATGCCACTCAGAAGCCAAGACCTGGAATTGGGTACCCCAGGAACCTGCTTAGTTCTCTACCCAACTGTGGTCCAGCTGGCACCTAAGCTCCAAAACTGTATTAGTTGGGGTCCTCTAGAGGGACAGAACTAATAGTATCAATGTATATATAAAGGTGAGTTTATTAAGGAGTGTTGACTCACACGATCACAAGGTGATGTACCACAATAGGCAGTCTGCAAGTTGAGGAGCAAGGAAGCCAGTTTGAGTGGCAAAACCTCAAAAGTAGGGAAGCCAATAGTACAGCCATCAGTCTGTGGCTGAAGACCTGAGAGCCCCTGGCAAATCACTGGTATAAGTCCAAGAGTCAAAAACCTGGAGAACTTGGAGTCTGATGTTTGAGGTGGGAAACATCCAGCACATGAGAAAGACGAAGATTGGAAGACTCAGCAACTCTAATCCTTCCATGTCCTAGCCACGCTGGCAGCTGATTAGCTGATGCTCACCCAGATTGAGGATGGGTCTGCCTCTTCTAGTCCACTGAATCAAGTGTTAGTCTCCTTTGGCAACACTCTCACAGACATACCCAGGAATAATACTTTGCATCCTTCAATCCAATATTAACAATCATGAAGATCAAGTTTCCTTTATTCTTCCCTCTCCTTTTCTCAAGCAGAAGTCTCTCCCCATAACCACCACATCTGGGAATGTGTTGGTCACACCTAAAGCCAGCACATCTCTGAGTCTCTCCCAGGGTTCATGGCAAGTACTCCCTGGGTACCGCTGCTGACTATTCAGAGCCCAAGGGCTCCTTAGTCAGTAGATAATGAGTCTTTCCAAGAATAGGTCTTTTCCTTCAAGGTAGCATGTTCCCTTCTAGACCAGGATGTGTTCCTGGGACTCTGCCTGGTGCCTTATTCTACTATTGCTGAGCAGGTATCTAAGTTGGAAGACAAAGTCTTCTTTACTTTCTCCTCTGCTCTCCTCAGCAGAAGGAGTTTCTCCTGGAGCTGCAAGCTGCACTGTCTGGAGTTGGGAGAGAGGTGATGCAATCACTCCTGTGATCACCTCAGCTGTTGTCTCACTGTGTTGCATGTACCCAAATCCACTGGCTCTGAGTCCTGCATAGCACTAAAAATTGCAGTCCTCATAGTCTAGAATGTCTTTCACATTTATTTTGGACCCCAGATCACTTTAGCCCATGGCAGTGTGGCTTGACAGAACTCAGGTTCTGACCACTGGGATGGGTGATTCCCCTCTGGTTAGAGCTGGTTTAAATGTTCCCTTTGTGGGCGCCATCTGATTTCTGTCCCACTGTTGCTTTCCACTATGACAGGGTAGTACTGAGTTCCAATGCAAAGTCCCATAATCACTGCACTCTCTCTCTCTCAAACACAGAATCTCACTCTCTACTATGTGGCCACTTCTGGGGAATGAAGTAGGGGTGGTATAAACTATTCAAGACTGTCTTTCTTGCCCTCTTCAGTGCCTTTTTCCCTTAATATGATGTTAAAACCAGGTACTGTGATCACTCACCTACCTGATTTTTTTTGTTACTATGAAGGTGATTTTTTTATGTGAATAGTTCTTCAGTTTGGTGTTCTTGCATGGAGGATGATTGCTGGAGGCTTCTATTTGGTCATCTTGCTCTACCCGCCTCAAACTTTTATATTTTAACCAGCACGAAATACAAATTTCTTATTATGCCAACCAAATTCTACATAATCTCTCAAACCTAATTTCCCAAACCTCCTTTTCTGTATAGCTCACTTACACTTGTCTTCATTCTTTTTAGCATACAGAGCAACCATACTCCCATCTAAAGCCTTTTGTACTAGCCAGTCTCTACATTTAGAATGCTATACCCTAAGATCCTCAAAGGAATTGCTTCAACCCATCATTTCACTCGAAACTCAGTAGATCTTACCTTAAGCCTGCAGCCCAAGCAGCAATCCTACTCATTGCTCATCAATTTCAGTTGTATTACTATAATACTTTTACATAGCAATTACAGTAATTTAAGTTTATCTTATAAATTGATTAGTCAGTTCATTCATTCATTCATTTCTTATTTGTTTTCCCAAATACAGTATATGTTCAACTTGTTTGAAGAATACTGTGTTTTTCACCACTGAGCCTAGAACAGTGCCAGACACATAGTTTTTATTAATTTGTAATTTTAAAAATCCACTCAAATAATGTGCAAAGTAAAGTTTCTAGTGATTCAAAAATGCAAGATATCATAAAGTTGACTAAAATGAAGCTAGCTATGAGGTACTCAAGTTTTACCAAAAGGCACTGAAAACAGAAGAATATCTCAGCATTAGGTATGATAAAGTCTGAAAAAGAGAACATCTCAGAAACTAAGATAATAGTATAAGTGCTTCATAGAATTAAGGAATGACTTTGGAGAAGCTAAATAATTTCCCAAGAATATTTCTCCAAATAAGTTATCTTTATGATCTTCTTTTTAAGCCAAATACTATGTAAAATGTCCTATTACTATAAACTGTTTCACAATAATTATGCCCAAAATTAAATACGCAAACAGAATCTATGCTATTAAGTATATTTTCTCATATATGAGAAATAAAAATAAAATTCTTAGTCTCCAACTGACTGAACAGACCCCCTCATAGCTCAGGGAACCCCAGGGAAACCTTGGAAGCTGAATGCACAGTCAGCCTGGGTTGGGAGATTGCCATGAGGTCTTCTTCCCTGAGGGCTAAAAAGAAACCAGCGCTTTCAAAAAACTGCTAGCTTATCTTCCCAGGTGCAGAGCAAAGACAAGATTAGATTAATGATTCTCTTAACCCATCTCAAGACTTCTCCTTCCTCTCTTCTCTTTTTCTTCAAATGCTTACCTTATGTAAAATGTAGATTTACTAGGAATTAACTAAAGTCTCACTAGCATGCAATCATTTGTCTCACTGCTGTCACCACTTTTCAAAAGAAAAATAAGTAAATCCTAAACATCCTGAGAACCTCTTTGGGAAGAACAGCTACAGATGCTTCTATGACTAACATTTTTCTTAGGTGTTCCTTCAAGCTGGCTCAATACTCTTTGATGATTTGGGACTTATACTTGAATCACAATATTGCTAATTACTATGGTGTTACATTCCACATTTATTTAGACCCTTTTTGTATCAAATATACAAAAATAGTGAAAACCACCTGTGCACAATGTATATTTTAAATTTGTTTAAAATTAAACTGACATTAAAGGCTTTTTTAGATTAAATGAGAGAGATAAATATGCCAGGACCTATGCTAAACATTTAGCATGTACTCAGTAAGTGTTTTCTCCACACTTGAGTAAGTATACCTAAGTTGGGGATGAGGGAGAGGGAACAGATTGAACTTATCACAGTAATACTGTTAAAATTAGAACTCATCCAATACTTCAATGCTTAGTTTTTTGTCACATAACATAATGTAAGTACTTACATTAGACATCGAAATATTAATAATGACATATTCTTTTACATATAATAAAATATAGGGCTTGTAAAAGGTACATACACTGACTTTACTACTTACAAGTTGTTGAAAATTGTTGCACTTTGAAGAAAATGCTTTAAATTATCTTAATTGTGCTTTATAAAATAAAGGTAATGACCATCATCATGTTATTTCATAGTTATTTGACAAGGTTGTTATGAAGCTCATGAAATCATAGACTTCATATGTAAATGATTGTGTCAATAATAATATTGCTGTTATTGATTAATATTAACAAATAATGTAATAGAAGAGAATGGCTGCTTTCCTTGTGTCTTGTTTCAAGTCTAATTTAAGATAATCTATAATCTCTTTGTTTCCCTAAGACTTAATTTTTCCTTAATTTAACTAAGTTCGATCTACCCTAATGCTGATAATGAAGTGTTTATTTTCCATCTGAAACATCTATTTATCTGGATTTTGAATGATATTACAGACACAACATATTAATGCTAGTTTAGATCAGGTATATTATGAAACAATATTTTTTTAAAAATGTTTTAAGTGATTGAATAATTATTACAGCAGTTTATTCTATGACTGCTGAAGTTATGGTATTGCCTGACTGGTAAATGTGGTTGAAAAAATTAATTGCTTCCAGGCTGGTTGTCAGTTTCAATAGTAACAAGAGCATATATTTAGAAATAAAATATTTAATTTTTATGATGATGTTTTTCACAGTTTATTTTCTAGAGTGGTTCTTTAAGTATTAATGTATCCATTAAGCAACTACAACTGGAATGAACATTTATGTACTAGCTCCTTGCTTGATTGTCATTCCCAAGGCATCTTTGTGGCCTCAAACATATTTCTTCTTAGATTAATTTAGACCAGTAATCGTTATTAATCAGTTTATCTGATGGATGACTTATGTGGTTTGTCATAATTAAATAGCTATTGTTAGCTAATATGATGGGCCAAACAAAAAATAGTGGATTAAATTAATACATAACTGATGTTTATTTATTTATTTGGCTAAAATTTCATGTATTGCAGCTTATTTAGATACTAGATATTGGATAATTGATTATGGGTGTCTTGGTAATTATTTTTTAAGTTGGGATTAGTTGGATCTAGAACAGTATTTCAAGTGAAATATAAGTTTATTTTACTGACGTAAATATATACAGAGTTTAAGAGAGTTTGATAACTCAAAAAATAACATAACAGTCTTCACTTTGAATAGATCTACAGTTCATTTTTTAAAATTAATCATAAAAAGGAATCACACTTTATTGTGAACTTTGCATAAAAATAGCTTGTCCTAAAAATCCTGAACACAACACTTTTTTCCCACAAGTATGCATTAATCAGTCATTGAATGATGCTATCAAAATAAAATAATTCAGATATTCTTTACATGCAGAGAGAAGACCTAAATTACTACCTAATTTTACAGATAAGGAAATAAAGGCATTACAGTCATATGGTTTAGCCAAATTCACACTTTATTAAAAAATGAACTCCTAGATGATAAGCAAATAATCACTTTAAAGTTTGTTTATAGATAATAATATTCAAGTAGAAAAAAAGACAGTAAAACAAAATAAAAATGCAATGAAATATTATCTCCAAATCAGCCTATTTGTGTGTGTGTGCATGCATGTGTACACATATGTGTATGTTTCTCCTCATTGTTTAATCCTCTTATAAAATGAGAAATCTTTCATAAGGCTTACCAATAATGTTTGAGTTTTGATCAAATTTCGGAGCTCTTATGCATTAATATCCATCTTGTATGGGGTCAGCACTGCTTAGAGAAAAGAGAATGCATTTTTGACACTGAAAATTGACCACTTGTTTTGAAAAATTCACCTCCATGACTTAATTTAAACATATTTCTTGCCTCCACTTTGAAGCAAAATTTGTGGGTATAACGTGTGTGTGTGTGTTTCTCTATGTGCTACCTAACATTATAGAAGCTGAGGTGATAGAAAAGTTAAAGTAAGTTTGAACTCTGACTCATTGTGTCCAAAGCAAAATAAAACAAAACAATATCCTCAAATTATTATCTATAATCTTCTTCTGGGATTACTTATTGCTGCTTAGTTTTGAAGCTTTACTTGAAAATACGATTTTCAACATGGAAAAGTAGGAAGTGCATGTTGTTAGAAGTAGGATTTGGTGTAGACTGAGACAAGACATGGCATGAGGAGGAGGTAAAAAAAGCTTGAGGCAATAATAGCTGGTAGAACAGGCAAATAGAAAACATTCAAGTACTGGAAGCTAGAAAATGTCTGGATGGCAGGTTAAGCATAATCGCCAGATGGGCAAAATGAAATAAGCATAAAGATATGCCAAGATTTGATATATTTAAAAGAAAGCTCACAGGTAAGTAACAGAGTCTGGCGGGTTGATGAATTATAACCATACACTTGTGATCATTTGCCATTGGAGGGAATCTAAGCAGTCATTTAGATCGCATGAGAGAGTAGAATCCTAGTCAAGGGAGATGAATTCAGCAACAGGTCATTAATCTCCTGCCACATAAAGGGAGGATTTAGCAATTGAAACTTGTGTCCAGAGATATAAAAAACACGGAGAAAACATCTATAAAAGGGGTGAAAGGTGACACCCTTGAGGCATATGGCAAAAAAAGAGCCCAGTTTCAGAACCAGCTGGTGGGGCAATTTGAACCTCTTCATTCATTTAAGTTTTGTCAAACATTTAGTTAATGTTAAGTATTTAATAATAATAAGTAACAAAGAATAAGTAGAAAATCTTAAAATACATCTGCATATTCACCTTTGGAACTAAATAATAGTTGAAAGTTAGAAAGAAATCTGTAACCTACCAGAGGTGAAGATGAGAGTGGGGCAAGAGGTAAAGAGTGGTTGGAAATGGTTAAATGAATGATTCTCTAAATTGAATGTTTGTGTCCCCCCCCCACCAAATTCATATGTTGAAACCTATTTCTTAATGTGATGGTATTTGGAGGTGGGGTCTTTCGGAGGTGATTAGGTAATGAGGATAGAGCCTCCAATGAGATCCTGCACCCCTTCCTTCATGAAGTCAGAGTGAGAAGAGCTGTTCATGAGTAACTCTGCCTTACCAGACATTGTATCTGCTGACACATTTATCTTAGACTTCTTAGCCTCCAGAATTGTGAGAAATAAGTTTCAGTTGTTTACAACCAGTCTCTAGACCAGTTGTTGATCACTAGAACATGGTATTTTGTTATAGCAGCCCGAACAGATGAAGACAAATGGTAAAGTTTTTTTAAGTAAACTGGAAATAATTGTTATGATGATGCTGGTACATGAGATTATTATAAAATGTGAGATTGTGGGTCATCTGTTATGAGAGATAGCATTATTCATTGAAATACAAAGTAATGGCTGGTAGATCAGGTCATCAGTACAAATGGAATGAGTAAAGAGAGAAAATCCAAATGAATATTGACTAGGGTGAATAATAAGAATGAAAGAGTTCAATATATATGTGAATTAATGGATCCTGGATAAATTCTGAATCTGTGGATGCATGGCCAAAGCCTCCTACCTCCTTATATCCTAGCTACTCTGTAAAAAGTGGTTCTTGCTAATTTTTCCCATGTTCACACAACCTCAGCAAAGGGGAAGAAGTGGTTAAGCATACAGATATAGTTAGATAACAATTCAAACTTTCTTTAGAAAAGGATTTTAAAAGTCTCCCACAGCTGTCTTGAGCTTGAGGGATAAGAATGTATGATACAACTTCAACACATTCTGAAGCTTGTCTGGGTGAGAAATGCACTTGTACTTTGGTGAAAAAAACAAATAGGATCAAACTCGTATAACAAAGATAACCTAAAGCGGGATATACTAGAGTCTATAATCTGCATGTTCAAATATATTTAATCCCAGGAGTTGCTGTAACTGTGAGATAGCAGGAAGGAAAACTGCCAAAGATGTCTGTTGAGAGAGAAACAGATGAGTCATCTTGTGGATCTTTCTGAACACATAGCTATGTAGGAGCTGTGAGGATGAATAAGATACTGGGAGGAAAATAGAGTGGATGGCAAAAAGTACTGGGAGCATACTGGCCATGTGGAAATGGGGAAACAGTAGTTTTTCAGGTGTTTCTAAGAATTTGCTTTTGGAGCAAGAGGACTCTAGATGGAGCTGTGTAAGTCGTAGGAGGGCAAATCAGGAGAGAGTTACTGTGCTATTATTTCATGTAATTACTTTACCCCCTGGCCGAATGACTAAATATTACTTGCTGTTAGACGTCGTCTCTAACCTTCAAGAACTGGTAATACAGGAGGGCATATTGACATATATATTTAATTAGAATGTATTTTGATAATTGTTAATGGATACAAATAGAAGTATGCAGAGAAACAGAGCTTGTAGAAAGAATAAATTGATTGGCTTTTTTCAGGGGATGAGAGTTGGAAAAAGGCTTTACAATGGAAAGAGAAATAGCCACGTGATATGTGCATAGACATATAAAAACCACCATATCTGAAACTGAACCCCTTTTATTTCTAAATATTCTTTGTTTTCACATTCCTTGTGGGTGTTTTTGGAGCTACTCATCCAACAAAACTTTTAAACCGTAAGTCCGGGCATTATCCTGGAGTCATCCCTTTCCTTAATCCCAACCATTCATGCAGTTGGTCACCATCTCCTTGTAATTTCTACATCTTATTTTTCAGATATTTTCTATTTCTCTATCCAGTTGTTACCATCTCACTTCAAGTACCTCTTGAATGTAGTCTGCTGATGGCCACCTAATTGGGCACCCTTCCTCCAGGCTTTCCTTTTTCATACCGATTTCTCCACCTAACCACTGAGGTGATCTCTCTAACTTTAAGATCAACTATATATATATATAATCTGCTTAAAAACATTTACAGGTTACTTAATACTCAAATCACTGTTCATTCTCTCCTCACCTTGCCATCTTCCTCGTTTAAATTATATGAGATAGCAGTGTTAAATTCCTTATGATTTTCTGAATATATCAGATTAGTTGACTTGTAATTGCCTTTGCACTTGTGATTCTTTTAGCCTGAGAGGCCCCAAGCCTATTCTCATCTGTCTTCTGATGACCTTTTACTTAACATACTTCTGTTTTTTACACCAAAAATACATGTTTGCCTCCATACAGATAATTTGCTGCTGCCCCATTTATGATAACTTTATTTCTTAAAATCCAACATAAATTATTGCATTATTAATCATCAAATTGCTAATTAACCTTAATTTAATTTGGCTCAAAATTACCAAATAGTCAATATAAATTGAATGATTCTACAATAAAGCACTGTGAACACTATCTTTTCATCTTGGTTGATCTAATTTTACCAACTCACTTAGTCTCTTTATTTAAAAAGGTATTTAAAAATTTGCATGTTTTCTCAAGAAGTTATCAGATGAACAAAAATATTGAAGTCCTAGAATATGTGTGTGTGTGTATGTATTAAATAAATCATTTGATAAACTTTGAAGTGAATGAAAATAGATCTGCCAGACCCAAGAATCTATGTTGTTGCTCCAGCCCTGGTGCTTACCAAATGACAAGGGAATTTGCTTAAGTCACCTCGTTTGTCTTGCTCTCATTTTCATCATCTATAAGATGTTGAACAACGTGAACATTAAACATGCTTTTTGTCTCTAAGTTTATATGACTCCCATAGGGATGGATGTTTGCAAGGCTTTGTAAGACTTTGCAAGGATGAAACCCAAATAAGACATTATTATGAAGTCTGTCCTGGTTAAATACTACTGTAAAAACAACAACAACAACAAAACTAGTAGTGGCGTAAAATAATCATTTTATTTTACTAATAAGTTTACGGGTCCAGAATTCAAGCAGGGCTCTGTCAATAGCTTGACCACTAATTCATGTGGCATCAGTCGGTCGGGGTGGCTGGGGCTGGATTAGCCATTTCCAAGGTGACTTATTTTGTCACATATCTGGCACCTCAAAGATCTTTGGTCTCTCTCTCTCTCTCTCTCTCTCTCTCTCTCTCACCTCACCTCAAAGATCTTTGGTCTCTCTCTCTCTCTCTCTCTCTCTCTCTCTGTGCGTGTGTGTGTCTTTCTGTGAGATTTCATTCTCCAAGGCCTTTCCACATGCCTTGGTTTCTGAGACACAAAGGTCTCAGCCCTCTTGTATAGTTGCTGGCTTTCCCCAGAACAATTGTTCCAAGAGGTCCAGATAAAAGGCTTTATTACAACCTAGTCTCAAAAGTATCAGAACATCATGCTTTCCAATTATACTGACCAAGGAAATCGCTAAGGCCAGCTCAGAATTAAACTGCGTCTCTCATAGGGAGAAATAACAAGCAATTTATGCTTGTCATTAATCTACTGACAAGGTCAAATTCCAATGAAGGCATTTTTCTTACTCCGTAATATTTTTCTATTATTCTAATTTTCAGGAGACTGGAATTTCTGATTATAAAATCACATTTTTTACCCTCAAGGGTTCTATTCAAAACAGCTAAAAATTAAATTAAAATAAGTTTTAAAATATCTACAAAATAGCATGAGATAGACATGTTCCACAACAATATGAGGTGGGTAATGCATATGGAATGTTGTAGATTATATTTATTATCCTTGTTGATGCCTTCTATAATTTGTACAAATATATTCATACCCACAGTGAGCTACTGATGCCCTCAGTATCAGTCAACATTAACTTATTTCTTTGTGGAGATTTGTTGGAACTGACAATGTTTCACGTCATACTTCACTGCATCCCATCAGATTAGAAGCATTGTAAATGACTTTGTTTGCATAGATATAAGTGGAATAAGAAAAGCATGCCAAGTATCAAACAGAGTAATTTTTGTAATGGTAATATTTCTTTTATTCACTGTTTAATCTTCAAAGATAAAGATGAATTTGCTAATGAACTTTATTTTTCATGATCCTCTTCATTGATGCCATATCACAATGCAATATATATAGGTAATATTTTTTACTTCTTTGGGTTTATTCAGATGCATTCCACACTGACTGGCATTCCATTAGTAACTGCAGAAATTAATGGCTATCCTGACACCATACTAGGGTTACAGTTATGCATAACCTGGCCCTCTAATTTATATCGTGATTATTCATTGCCTATATTTGGATACAGAAAAAAAAATAAGAGAGGGAGGTATCTCCGGTTATGGTTGATCTATTCATTCTTTTGTCACAATTTACAGAATTGATTTTGCCAACTAATCATTTAAAAGGATGCAAATATATGAGCAAAATTAAACTAAAAATGGAAACACCCTGGGAACTTTAGATTAAAAACGTTTTGTTACAATCAACTATATGTACATGCTTCACTTGGCACTTCTGTTACTACACCAAAATAGTGTTGAATTTATGGAATTCATATTGTTGTAAGGGACACTGATAGTCTGGAAGAGATCAATCAATAAGTTATTTCTATCATCATCATGTTATTATCCAGGTAGAGAGTTGGTGGTTGAGAATATAGTCTGTTATTCTAATAAACATTTCTATAGAGCTTTGAAAATCTTAATGCCTAAAAAAATAGTAATCACTTGTGTACCACTAAGTTGTTTGCCTTAAGTCACTGGCAGGTATAGCGTACTCTAAAGAATAATGAAATTAAAGTGGAAGTAGTGAAACCCAGAATGAGTTAATATGCCAGGCTTAAGTATCCTCATTTACAAAATGAGAATGAAAACCATTTCCTAAAATATTTGTGTGAAGAATGCAGTGTTAACAAAACATACCAAGCTCTCCTCTAATGTATGTCATGCAGTAAGAACCCAATGAATTCTTGTCTGCTTATTAAATGGAGTGTAAACAGATAATATACAATAAAACATTTTGTTATAGTAAAAGAAAATAATTCAAACCTGAAAGTCATTTGAAAACACTCTTTCAGAGGAAGCTTTCAAGAGACTTGTAAAGACTGAATTCAGAAATTACCTTAATATTTGTGATTTTTGCAAACTGCAGAATTTCAGAACTAGAAGAAACCTAGTGGTCATTAATTCCATACATTCACTTTTTTGTTTAATAAATGCAACACATGATATGTTTAAACAATTTAAGTATTTTATATTTCATAAATAAACACACATACATACACATATGTGTGTGCATATGTTTATATAAAATGTACACATGCATATAAGTATGTACATATTTATATGAATACATAGAAAGAGAAACTAGCATCATGTGAATATATTTTTTAAATTTTGTCAAAAACCACAATAATTGCAAACAAACCCTACCATCTATATATGGAGGTTATTTTAAAACAAAAATTAGGGTAAGTATCAATACCTGTTGTGGTTATGAAAATATTACTATGTGGCTCTCATTTTCTTTAGTACACTATGGGCTGGTAAAATCATCAAAAGGGACACAGACCATAAGCAGTCATTTTGGGGTTTGAAGCTAAATTCATTGTGCAAATCTTCAGAGTTAATTAGCAAAAGAACCAGGATTAGAATCTCATTGTTTCTCCAGCCCTGT
Organism: Homo sapiens; assembly: GCF_000001405.40. Lineage (NCBI taxonomy): Eukaryota > Metazoa > Chordata > Mammalia > Primates > Hominidae > Homo > Homo sapiens. The sequence continues at coordinate 125,600,892 of NC_000007.14, read as the reverse complement.
ATAGTTTTTTTAAATAAAATGTTTCATTCTTAAAATGAACATGAAGCATTATCAATACAACTTGGATTTAGTACACGTTCCATAAGGAACATAGTTAAACTATATGCATTAGGCTATGATCAGTGGGAGAGAAGAAAAACAAAGATTAAATTGATATATTAATCCACTGGACATTTGATTTGTTTGCTCAGGCTGCTATAATAAAATACCACAGACCCAGCAGATTAAACAACAGACATAATTTCATCATAGTTCTGGAGGTAAGTAAGTTCAAAATCAAGATGCCAACAGGGCTGGTGCCTGGCCTGGTGAGGGCTCTCCTTTTGGCTTGCAGACAGCCACCTTCTTTGGGTCTTTCCTTGAAGCATGTGTGTTGAGATGGAGAGAGAGGAAGAGAAAGAGTGAGCACAAGTGAGCTAGGATGTCCCTTTTTATAAGTACATCAATTTTATCGATCAGGATCCTAACTTTATCATCTCATTTAGCCTTAATTATCTTCTAAATGACCTATTTTTAGATATAGTCATATCTGGGGTAGGGACTTCAACATATGGGTGATGCAAGGATGAAATTCAGTACACAGCAACACACATGAAACTACTAATCATGCAACTATAAACAAAGATTTGTATTGTTGGACTTTGTTTTGGGAAATATTTGATTCATACTTTCAAATGTACTAATTCTACTTCATTTCCTCCATACTTCCATCCCTGCTGCTTGAGGTAGCAGTGGGTGGCCTACACAAATTTAAACCAAATTAAAACAGTTTGTTTGTGTTTTGCCAGTGTTTACATCATGGACTGTGTTGGAATTTAGAAATGATTTAAAGATATCATACTTTAAAATTCTCAGCAAATAGAAGAGCAGTTAGTGAAAGGAAGAAAGTTTAGAGTTGAGTAAAGGGAGATCTGTTTATACATGGAATTTGAGCTTTAAAAATTTCAAAGAGTTCCTGTGTTTTGTCTTCAGGCGGTCATTGTTTTCCTTCAGGATGCTCTGTCTTCTGCTCCTCACGCTTTCTTTGCTCCGCTACCTTTCTTGTTTCTTAATTCTACTTAAAAAAATACTAATTAAGTTTGAATTAAACATCCTACAAAAAGAAAGTCCTGTATTCTAGTATTTTCTTCTTCAACTCCATCTCAGAAGCCTTGGGAGCCTCTAAACCCTTGGAATTCTCTGAGTGACGGGAGTGTCTTTTTTTTCATGATGAGCCGTTCAGATCACTGATAGTGTATGCTAACAAGATGATTCATGGCAGACTCCTAGGTCATTTATACTAATGAGATGACTCAGGATTGGGCTGGCCATGTCAAAAAGACCAGTCAGATGAATAGAGGGTTAGGGTTTTGCACGATGTGGTATCAGCCCAACCTCCTAACCTCCAATGAGGTAAAAGGAGCTGGAGATTTAGTTCTGTCATATGGCTGATGATTCAACCAATGATGCTACATAGAGAAACCTCAATAAAAGCTGTGGACACTGAAAGCCTGAGTGAACTTCCCTGACTGGTAATCACACATCGGTGTGCTGCAAGCATGAAACATCCTGAGGACACGGAAGCTTTGTGTTTGGAAAACTTTGTGTTTGGAACCTCGCAAACCTTACCCATCAATATACATCTCTTCATTTAGCTGTACGGCTTTGTAACCTTTATAATAAAAAATTGATCATAACAAAAAAATAAATAAAATAAAATTATCTAGTCCTTGGGTTATGTCTCTTTCAGGTATTTGTTTGTATTTTACATATAAATAAATTATATATGGGCACAGATATCCCATATAGTATACATAAATATTAACATATTTATATATCTTAGTTATATTAAATATAAAAGAATTTATATTTTGCTTCAAGCTATCACAAACTTTCTCACAGTCAGATACGGTTTTTTTTTTAACACACAGTAAAACAACTGTAGGATCAAGCGTTTATGATATTTTGCTATCTTTGTGTCACAGTTTGAAGCTACCAATTTTGAAGTACAATTTACTCTGTACAGTGGATATCTGACAACTACCAATTATGATCACATAACATATGCCTGCCCCCACCTCTGGGGGCTCACACATGTAAGAATGAATGCCCAGGCAACGAGACCATTTTGGCCCTCTCAAATCACGTTCAATTTTAGTCTTTTAAAAAGTTACCTCCAATATGACATAACAGTTTCAGTCATGTAGCACAAATGCTGCCTTTGATAGACACTCCATCACTTACTTCCCACTTTCCACTAATCTATGATAATTTTGTAAAGGTCTAAATTAGAAAAGGTTATTAGTTTTGATGAAAGCTGAAATAATAGCCTTAATTTCTTCTCAATCAAACCTTATATAAATTCACATTATTTTTTAATTCAAAACTATCAAAAATAGATTAAAAACGTCACGTATGCATGCACAAATATACCCAGAAATTCATAAAATATAATTTTTTCTGAATTCAGTTAGGAAGACCAAAAGCACTTTTAAGCCACAGAAAAGCCACACTTATAATCTGATCACAAGTGGTATGATTCCAACAAAAGTCAGTTATTCAAACAGCCTTTGACTATTGCAAAAGCTCACAGATAATCTCTTGAAAACGTGGAATTAAAAGTGAATATGTCAAAATATAAGGATAAGGATTATTTTTAAGTGAGCACTTTTATATGACATTCATCTACATGCAAATTAACTCCTAGAACTTTATTCTAATTTTGAACCAAAACTAAAAATAACATTTTGAAGTTACAGTTTCTACTAAACTCGATAATGAATACTCTAACTTAGTAAACTTGAAATCCCCATGAAATTTCTATCACTTATTGCAAAACATTTAGTCTTGTAATCATTTAAAAAATTGACTTTGGTGTTATTTGTTTATGCTGATATATTTTGCTCTGTGAAAGATAAGTTTTCCAAACCCTCAAGCTTTTGTCCCAGTTTATGCTGACACACAGTTACAGGCACCACTATTCTCTAACCTTGTTATGCCACTTGCCCACGAGCACTTCCTGGAAGAATTGGTATGGAGCTGTGACAGATAAATCACTTGGAACGATTGATTAGAATGTTTGTAATAGGCACAGGTAGATGCAGTGGAAAACACCCTATAACTTGTAAACGTATCCACACCTTAAATAATATCTGGATTAATATTTAACCAGTATATATTTTTCAATGTATCTTCTTTTGTTATTTTTTTTTTCTTTAATGCGGCTCTCATTTTCAGGGGAAATAGGAAATGCGTAAGGCTTAGTAATCAGAAAAGCATGCTTTAAAAATGTATTTAATTAGTAAGAAATTAATTATTTTCTTGTATGTTCTTTGCACTATAGTTGAGGAACATAGAAAACAACATGCTGAGCACATGGCTGTTAAATTCTAGAGCTTTTCTCAAAATCTAAAACCAGAAAGTTATTTCATAAATGGAACTTTATTGTACTTGAGACATGTTTAATATTGTTTAATTATTATAGGTATCATAATGATCTTCCCGTTCACTTGTATTGTTAAGGATAAAGAATTAAGTTAACAAGTTTATATTATGCCTTCAGTGAGCTTAAAAAATTTGAAGTCAGGCCGAGCGCGGTGGCTCACGCCTGTAATCCCAGTAATTTGGGAGGCTGAGGCAGGTGGATCACAAGGTCAGGAGTTCGAGACCAGCCTGTCCAAGATAGTTAAACCCCGTCTCTACTAAAAATACAAAAATTAGCCCAGCATGGTGGCGCATGCCTGTAGTCCCAGCTACTCGGGAGGCTGAGGCAAGAGAATTGCTTGAACCTGGGAGGCAGAGGTTGTGGTGAGCCAAGATCGTGCCACTGCACTCCAGCCTGGGCAATAGAGTGAGACTCCATCTCAGAAAAAAAAAAAAAAAAAAAAAAAAAAAAAAAAAAAATGAAGTCAATAAAGAAAGAAATCATGTAATTGCTCCTCTTACAATGTATGAGAACTTATTTTCAAATAACTAAGTATAGAAGAATTGTGTCTGAGAAATGGTATAGTAAGCAGCTCCTCTAAACTTTAACTTTTCTACAGAAATATTTTTTAAAAATTCAAAAACTTTCAGGACCAAGTATGTCATGACTCTAAAAAGCAGTCAAAGGTTTACATCAACCAAGCTAATGTTGAATTAAGAAAACTTAAAACTGCTAGTAAAATTTAGTGGTTTTTGTTTGTTTGTTTGAGACGGAGTCTCACTCTGTCGCCCAGGCTGGAGTGCAGTGGCACGATCTCGGCTCACTGAAAGCTCCACCTCCCGGGTTCATGCCATTCTCCTGCCCCAGCCTCCCGAGTAGCTGGGAATAGAGGCGTCCACCACCACGCCCAGCTATTTTTTTGTATTTTTAATAGAGACGGGGTTTCACTGTGTTAGCCAGGATGGTCTCGATGTACTGAACTCGTGATCCGCCCGTCTCGGCTTCTCAAAGTGCTGGGATTAGAGGCGTGAGCCACCGCGCCCTGCCCAAAATTTAGTGGTTTTTTAACTTGCCTTTACTCCAATCCTGGAATGGCTCAGCAATGATTTTGAAGACAATGGTCTGAATACCCAGTGTGGGAATTAAGGTCTCTAGTTCTGGAGGGAGCAAAACCCACCTTATTCATAAATTATTGTGTTTATATGTTCTAACCTATTGAGGCAACACCTGAAGAACTGATGCAAGGCTTTCCTCTCTGTTTTACTTAAATTGGAATTCACTCAAGGTGGAAAGTGTCAGACACTGCTTTAAAATATTTTAAGGAAATAAAAAAAAACAAACCAACCTGCACCTAACGGGCCAAAAAGTTATTGTTGAGCTGTACAGTGGACCATTTAAATTCTGAGAGAAAAATCTGGACAGACAATTTCTTTGCGAAATTATGGTGTTCAAAATCAACCTTCTATACTGGGGAATTTAGAAAACTCTGTGCACGCCCAGGGAAGGACACATGCTCAGAAAATAACTGAGAAGACCCTAAGCTTTCACCTGTGGCTGACCTAGAACTTCAGTGCGAAGAAACTCCCCAATAACATTTCCAAGAACCTATTGAGGGCAAGATGTGAGGACTTACTGTATCTCAAAAGGAATGAGTATCCGGAATATATATAAAATAACCCTTACAACTCAACAGCAAAAAGACAAATGATCAATTTGAAAATGGGCGAAATACTTGAATTTTCCCAAGAAGATACACAAATGACAAAGTACATGAAAAGATTTTCAACACCATTAGTCATTAGGGGAGTGCATATCAAAATGACAATGGGATATCACTTCACACTCATGAGGATGTGATCACTATAAAAAATCAAAAATAGTAAGTGTTGAGGATGATGTAGAGAAATTAGGGTCGTTTGTGATTGGTAGAAATGTAAAACTGTTCAGCTGCATTGAAAAAGACTTTGTGGTTCCTCCAAAAGTTAAACATAGAATTGAGATTTGATTCCACAATTCCACTCCTAGGCATATACCCAGAATAATTGAAAACAGGTACTTCAAGTAAATATACGTGATGTTCATAGTATTATTAGTCATAAGAGCCAAAGGTGGAAATGGCCCAAATGTGCATCAAGGGAAGAATGGATAAACAACGTGTGGCACACACAGGCAATAGAATATTACTCAGCCATAAAAAGAGACTGAAATTCTGATACATGCTACAATGTGGCTGAAAATTGAAAACCTTATGCAATGTGAGAGAAGCCAGACACAAAAGTCGCATATTGCATAATTCCATTTATACGTAATATTCATAATAGAAAAATCTATAGAGATAGAATACAACTTAATGGTTGCCAAAGGCTGTGGACAAGGAATTGGGAAGAATTACTTAATGGGTTAGGGATTTTACTTTGAAGTGATGAACATGTTTTAGAACTAGATAGAAGTGATTACACAGCATTGTGAATATACAGCCACTAACTTGTTCACTTTAAATGATTGACTTTGTTATTTATATAAATTTCAACTCAGTATATTATTTGAAAAAATGTATAAGGGGGACTAAAGAAGTGTCAAGGTTAGCAAAATATTTTAACTCAGAAGTGGCAAAACTACAGCTGTTGTGCAAATTCTGGCCCATCATTGTTATACAACCTTTGAGCTAAGAATGGTTTTTATGCTTTTAAATTGTGGGAAAAAAAAATAAGGAATACAAAATATTATTTAAAACAGTAGTCTGATTTCAATTTTATTAAACCCAGAGAAAAACCATTACTAATGTCTGTTCTTTATATATTGAAAAAAATTTAAAAATCTTCCCTTTAGACACAAATCTGTTATTGCCATCTTCTGAGGAAAGTGATGAGTTGGTACAACCCAATTAAGGTAACATGGTATAGTGAAAAGTATTGGAGAAAAGTACTTTAAGACCTGGTTCAATTTATAGCATTGATATATATTAGGGATATGGTATTTGGCAACATAATTTTTTCTTATAATTGAATCCTCTATTTTCTCATCTGTAAAAGGAAATAATAATAGCAATAGTTCAACAGTTTTGTGACAAAATTTAAGGACAAGGTATGTAAAATTCATATCACATACTGAACATAAAATAAAATTATACTTTTTCAGTCATTAATGGGCCAAATACATTTTTTCTTCTGGACTTAAAACACAATTTCTTAAGGGCTTCTCAGATTAATAGCTATGATTTCATGCTAATTTCTTTTAAGAAAATACTCTATTTTTTAAGAACTTTTAGGTTCATAGACAAACTGGGCAGAAAATACAGAGAATTCTCATATATTCTTTAGCTTCCCACACATTTATTTCTTTTCAAATCACATATAGAAAATATTTTTGGGAATTTTAGAATAGTTAATTTTATCTTTCTTTGATGGTATTGGGCCACGTTCTTTCTCTAGCACCTCACATTTCAATATGTGCCTTTCCACTTGTGATTATAGAATGTGGGTGAGAATCTTGAGCCTGCAGATAAGACATTTAGGACTCAATACTGTTTCCTGGCTCTGGAAATCATTGGCTATAATAACACATTAGCTCACTGATCACTTCCTAATCAACAATAAGGTAAACCAGTTATGTTTTAGTTCCTTTATGCTCAGATTTTCAAAGATTCGGGTTAAGATAAAATAAATTTTCATTTTCTTTTCCTTTGACTTGACTTTGATTCTCTTGCTGGTAATATCTAAAGTTATGTAATTCCTGAAGTTCTAGTCCTTAGACCTTGTCTGCCTAGGACTTTGGGAGGTGGCTAATCCTTTTCTTAGAATACTCCTGGATTTGTCTTTTGCCTGTTGAAATGTTGATATTGTATTGATCTTGTCATAATGACTTGTATGTCTCACTCTTAGTTTCTTCTATCATGCTTCCCTGGCCAGATGTGATTTGTTCCTCCTCCTGGTCATCCCTACCCACCTGGGGTCCTATCCACCATTGCCATCATCACAGGTAGCCATCATTATCATCATGATCATCATCATCTAACCCTATAATGACTATTATCTAAGGAGTATGAAAATGAGTCTTATAAGTATCTTTTGTACATTCTATAATTCTCAAAATTCTCTAAGTATATACTATTTTTAGCATCATTTTATAGATGATTAAACTGAGAATTTGGCACATGAAAATAACACAGCAAAGAACACACACAAAATTGAGCCTACTTCTGCTTGACACTCATGCTATTATTCTTTCATGGTTATAATCATAGAAAAAATAACTTACTCTTTGTCAAAGTTATATGTAAATACTTTGTTAAGTAACAATGACTTAATGAAATAAACTCACATGAGAACCAAATCAAGAGATCCCTATTCTTTCTATTTTTGAGTGACAATGACTCTCATATCGTTTACTTCCATTAGTTAGTCTTTAATTTTTATTCTTCCTCTGCATTTCTCCACATACATCCCACCACACACTAAACCTATTTATTTTCTCTCATCTCATCCCTCTATTACCATTTAGTCATTGATTTCTTGTAATATGTATATCATGATACATATATATATTACATAATATCATGCTAACAACAGTTGATAAGAGGGATATGCATATTTGTTAAATCCCAGTTTGATTTTGAAATATGCAGGTGATCTAAATTATTTATTTCACTCTAAGAGGAAAATTGGTCTTTTTAAAAATAGTAGTAGCTATTTTAACCTTGTAGCCCTTGATTGATTTTATTATTCAGTGAGGCAGAAGCTCAACTGTTCTTTTGTTTGTTTGTTTTGTTTGGTTGTGGTTAGAATATTTAAAATGAGATCTATCCTTTTAACAAATTTTTAAGGGCACAATATAGTATGGTTAACGATAGGCACAACACTGTACAGCAGTTTACTAAAAGTTATGTGTCTTGCAAAATTAAAATTGTTATACTCCTTTAAAGCAACTCTCCACTTCCCCTTTCCCCAGCACCTGGAAACCACTATTGTACTGTTTCTCTGAACTTTACTTTGTTTTTCGTTGTTGTTGCTGTTTTTTTTTTGAGGTGGAGTCCATTCTGTCACCAGGCTGGAGTGCAGTGGTGCGATCTCGGCTTGCTCCAACCTCCGCCTCCTGGGTTCAAGAGATTCTCCTGCCTAAGCCTCCCGAGTAGCTGGGACAACAGTCATGCACCACCATGCCCAGCTAATTTTTGTATTTTTAGTAGAGAAGGGATTTCACAATCTTGGCCAGGATGGTCTCGATCTCTTGACCTCGTGATCCGCCTACCTGGGCCTCCCAAAGTGCTGGGATTATAGGCGTGAGCCACTGCACCAGGCCTGAGCTTTACTATTTTAGACACCTCATATAAGTGGAATCATGCAGTATTTGTAATTCTGCGACTGGGTTCTTTTACTCAGCACAATATCCTCCAGGTTTATCCTTGTTGTCACATGTGTCAGAATTTCCTTCTTTATTTACACAGAATATTATTTCACTGTATGTGTATATTATCTTTTTATTTTTAGTTGATACATAATAGTTGTACATACTCATGGGATGCAAAATGATACTTGGATACTTGTACACAATGAGTAATGATCAAATCAGGGTAAATAGTATATTCATCACCTCACTTCATCCACCCCCTACCTCTCAGCCTCTGATACTCACAATTCTACTCTCTAGTTCCATGAGCTCAAAATGTGCCTTTTAGCTCCACTTGTAAGTGCGAACATGCAGTGTTTATCTTTCTGTGCCTGATTTATTTTGCTTAACATAATGTCTTCCAGGCTTATCCATGTTGCAGTGAATGACAGGATTTCATTCTTTTTATGATTAAATAGTACTCCGTTGTGCATATGTACCACATTTTCTTTATCCATTCATCTGCTGATGGACATTTAGTATGATTCCATATCTTAGTTGTTATAAATAGTGATGAAATAAACATGAGAGAGCAGATGTCTCTTTAATATACTGATTTCCTTTCCTTTGGATTAACATCTAGTAGTGGGATTGCTGAATCGTATTGTAGTTCTGTTTTTAGTGTTTTGAAAAACCTCCACATTGTTCCATAATGGTTGTACTAATTCACATGCCTACCAACAGTGTATAAGAGTTCTCTTTTCTCTGTGTTATACTACATTTTCAGTATTCATTCATCATTGCTTTTTTGTAGTTTTTTCCCCCCCTTTGGGCTAGTTTTGGAATTTTCCACCTTGGCACAATTGACATTTTGAGTTGTATAATTCTTTGCTTGTGACGAGGTAGGCAGGAGCATCCTGTGCATGGTAGGATGTTTGGAAGCATCCCTGGCCTTTGTCCTTTGATTTCATTAGCACTCCCACTCTCAGTTGTGGCACCCACAAACGGACCCAGACATTGCTAAATGTCGCTTCGGGGCTCAGTAGCCCACAGCTGGAAACCACAGGTCTAATCTACTGTTTTATATGCCTAGTTAATTAAACCATATCACAAGTAATTGAAGCATTATGGCTTCATATGTCTCTAATCATTTTGTATAAAAAAGGCACACTCCAAATCATTAAATTATTGATGGAAGCTTTAACTTTTGTTTTAAGTTTTATTTTCGAGGAATTAGAGTTACAAAAAATAGCTATCAATATTTGCACTGCATTTATATATTCGCATTTAAGGCTCTTCAAAAAAACAAGTCACTTGAAATATGAGCCAAGACACTTATCAGCAGTCTCTGATAAATAAAACAATAAGATGAAAAGTAGGATTATCTTCTAATCTCTGTGCTACAGTAAACCTGTGAAGTCTGCAATCATTGCAATTATTGCATTTTTAGCATTGGATAAATGAGACTGAAAATATTTAATTTGGGACTTAATGTGGACTGAATACCAAAAAAAAAAGGCATGTGATTTTTTTGGGCTTCACATAGTTTTGAAGAGTATTGGATTTAAAAAAAAGGTTTTTCTACTATCTTTCTTTTTAATTACAGAGATAATTTGGGATTCACATATGACTACCATTTCCTAGACTTCATCAAAATTTTGGTTGACCTATTTGTTAGTTTATCAATCTGGCAAAGTAGTTAGTCTAGTTAGATTACAGATTATTTATTTCACAATGATAGGAGCAGGTGTCTGTGAAGAAAGTGCTAGATGATCTACAAATAGTTGTATTATAGTCAATAATCATCTAGAAATAAATCCTGCCAGCTTTGAAAGATAATAAGTGATTGATGCAAAACTCAGAAAAAGAATCGATTATGTGTTAAAGTAAAACTGCCTCTGAAATATTTCAAAATGTATAAGAGAATGTGATTTTTAAAATTTGTATTAGTAATTCAAATACCTAAATAAAGATTTGATGACCCTTTCTGGGAAACAATTGTAATTTCAATGGGGGTAAGTTTTTTCATGGTCAAAGAGCAAGGAAAGTTGTAAAATGAAGAGAATGTGAAAATAGATTTCATCAAATGCACATTCTTAATTCAAAGCAGAGAAAATGAAAGACCAATAAATAAAGGGGAAAGTCAGTGGAACTACCTTAGGAAAGAGGATAAGAAAAAACTAAAGCCATGTCAAAGAAAATTCAATTCATAGTTCATCTATTGTGGATACTTACAAAAACAGAGAGAGATCTTGCTTCAGCTACAGAAGCTTGGTATATAGAGGGCTGTTAGAAAACTGATATTAAGCATTTCCTAATAGAGAAAACTTACCCACCTAAGAGAAAACATGTTTACAACGATATCAGTATTAATAATATTTATATCAATTAGTACCAACACTTATTGAGAACCTACAGGATATCAAAACTATGTGAGTTACTATAAACAACTTATCACCATTATGCTCTTCAACTATGAAGTGGCTACAAATACTACTATTTTCAGTAGAGAACACTGGAGCTCAAGAACAGTAAGTGACTGATACATGCGCATGAAGATGAGTGAGGGACAGAGTTAAAATTCTAGCTCAGGTTTCTGTTTCTTTTATTTTTTTCTCATATGCCACACTGAAATAATTTCTTTTATATACCAATAATTAAACAGAATCAAAAACTTTCACAGCATGGGATATTTGAACAGAGTCTTGCTTTAGCTTGGCTGTGTCCCTACCCAAATCGCATCTTGAATTGCAGTTACCATAATCCCTACGTGTTGTGTGAGGGACCGAGCGGGAGGTAGTTGAATCATGGGGGTGGTTCTCCCATACTTTTCTCATGATAGTAAGTTCTCAGAAGATCTGATGGTTTTATAAGGGGCTTCCCCCTTTGCTCGGTTTTCATTCTTCTCCTTCCTGCAGCCATGTGAAGAAGGACATGTTTGTTTCCCCTTCTGCCATGATTGTAAGTTTCCTGTGGTCTCCCAGTCCTGGGGAAATGTGAGTCAAATAAACCTCTCTCTTTTATAAAGTACCCAGACTTGGCCACTTCTTTGTAGCAGAGTGGTAAGGAACTAATACACGTCTTAAAACATAAATGCTAGTTTTCTCAAGCTAAATGGGTTTAAAATTATTTGAGGAAGGAGTAACAAAGAAAATAACTTGGAGATGTAAACAAGATATATTTAAGGAATGACACTTCTCAAACTTTTCAGAGAGGCAGGGGTAAAAACTATGTAGCATACATTTTCAGGTAAAAGATAAGAAAGGGAAATTTAGGTCAGATTGAGATGAAACTGGATACAGACTTTTGGAGAGAAAAAGACAGTAAATGATTCCTTCTCACCAAAGAAGATATAATAATCATTCTGCTTGCAGTAGTTATGTTAGGTTGTTTTAGAGACAATAAAATAAAAGATTATTTTAAACATCAGTATAAGCAGTTTGCACAATTTGTATTTTAGAGATTATTCACGTGAAAAGCAGAATGCTAACTAGAATAAAATGACAGTAGGTAGGCACATCCATCATCACCAGGGAAAAGACTGAATTCCCAAAGAGACTTTCAGGCTGAATTGCTAAATGAAGCATGTGTCTAGTTTAAACTAGTAACATTTATATATCCTTAGTTTTTGACAGGTATTTGATATAAAGTCTGAAGAAGAGAATTGAGATTATGGTTTCAAAAATTAAAGGTGGATAATGGGTGAAGTCTAATAAAGTTTTCTGCAAGAAATGAATATATGGAACAAATTAATAGTATCTAGAGACAATATGAAATGTATCATGAGTAAGTAACAGATTAACATCTGAAAATAGAAATGAGTTTTCCAACTAATGGTGCCATGTCAAATTTTGATTCAGAATAAGTAAAATTGAGAAAGAGTTGAAAAATCAGTGAGAAAATAATAACAAATGTGAAACTTCCAGAAAAATTAAAAGTAAATAGGAATTGAGAATGCCATCAATTGTCCCTTTCTGACCATCAAGAAAAGACAAATCAATAGCGTACATCTAATTTCAAGGTAGGTTAAACTGTCTGATTCCTGTGTTAAAATTACCCACAGAGATTAAGAATGTCAATGCATTCCAAAAAGTTAAAAAGTCTACCACCTTTAGTATACTCACACTTTTTATTTACTAATTTTCTGCCTCATATCTGGGGATGAGAAACGAATGGGAGGGGATAAAGCACTCTCTAAAGTGATAGGGATTACAAGCATCATAAAAGTCAATATTAATGTTCCTTTAACTTGGTTATTAAATCTCATCTGGAAAATGATCCATCTTTGGCTAATATATCAATTTATATCTGTTTCTACTTTTCTGTTATTTCTAGTACTAAAATGTTTATTACTTCAACTAAGCTAGACTTTTTTCCTTTCTTTTAATGCATCTTTCAGAAAAGTTCTAATATTAAATAAAAACAGCTAATCAAAACAGCTAATCAAAATGCTTAAGAAACAAAGAAATTTAATTTCTACCACCTGATATTAGAAGCAAATAACAGGAAGAAAATAAAGAGAGGGATTTTTAAATCAAGGATGCTAAAATTTGTGAAGTTATTTGAAAAATTCAATGAAAACTTCTTTTACACGGTTTTCACAACCTCATATTATTATGACTGCAATGTATATAAGTCATTAGTACTACCACTCTAGTAGAAAATATGTCAAGAATTGCCTTTTCTATTTATTTCTTACCTTTTTTTGGCAGGAGACTCATTTGGTTTTAGAATTATTTTTTTCTAGTTGCTATTTTTGTGGAGTTTCTTTAAGGCAACCTTTTCATAATATCATATCACACATATAGTTTCATTTAATAATACCACATAGTATGAAGTTATAGAGTTATTAGGTCACAGTTCATGTTCTTTTAAAGCAATTGTTTTTCCATTTCCTAATCACTGGAAAAGGAAACAGAGGACTCTGTCAACCAAATATTAGAAACCGATATGGATGTATTTGAAATGTGCTATAGGCAACATATTGTAGATGATCAGAAGGCTATTGTTCATTTATTTCCTTTTATGGTTTTGCAAATACAGTTTTTAAAAGCAAGAAACCAGACATTACTAGGAACTGAAGTAACTGAAACTATCATGATACTTGATCTTTCCCATGACTTATTTTGAAATATATCTAGAATAATGTACAATGATGGTAGAAAAAAAAATCAGGTACACCATCAATCCAAAAGCACAAAGATGAAATAAATTTTCATATCTTTACTACCTTGAACTTATATCAACTATTAAGTAAAATGTTTATGTATTTTTATATATATTTACACTACTGACAAAGTAAATTGTGTATTTAATTTTTAACCTTAAGTTTAACATTATTGATTAAAAATGAGTCATTTGTTACTTATAGTTATTTTGTTTTATTATTATTGGAGCAAATCCTATTCTAGATATATTTACAACTTTAAAAGTGTTTTGCAGTTGCTATTATACATATGTACACACATATATACATACACACATACACACAAAACTTTCTTAGCTCAGCCAACTGAGAGGGCTTGGATTCAACAACACTTTGCTAGCGGTAAGCGTCCCTAACATAAGATATTTTATTACCATTCTCCACTAATGGACCTAGGACTCCCCTACTGGGTTGACACTTAGAAAGTGAAAAATTAGCTTGGAACTCTATATATCCCGTAAAGCAAGGAAGCACAAAAAGTGGTTGAAACATCTCCAAATATACCAGAAGATGTCCCCTTTTGTTTGTTGTGTAGTAATAGGGTTCAATTTACTCTTCTACCTGAAATAACTGAAAACTAACAATAATATATATGAAGGAGTGGTTTCAAGGCAATGGGTGTCAGAAGTCAAAGAACAGCAATCCCTACGAGCCGGGAAGCAAAAAAGTTGAACACCATGCTTCTCTTTACTTAGAGCCTGGACAGTTTCCAAATGATGGCACAGAAAGAAGAAACCAGGAAGAACCTAATGGAATCTTTCAGGTGGGGAGATGCGGTTCTGTGGTCCTAGGAGACAGGTGCCAATAGTTCCCAGAAGAGTACTAGAAACAAGATAGAAATCTGAAGATCTTCAAAAGATTCTTTCAGTTATTCAGCTGAGAAATCAGTGAAGAGACTTTCTGAAGGGAGGATAGAACCACACACACAAAGATTTGTAAAAGAAAGAAAGAAGAAAGGAAGCATACAAGAAAGGATAAATCAACAAGCTGTGGGATAACTTGGAGCAGCCTAATACATAAATAATTATGGTCCCTGAAGGAGAAGTAAGAGCAGAAATATATTCGACAAAATAATGGCTGAAAATTTCCCAAAATAATGGAAAACATTATTTCATTGACCGTAGAAGTTTAACAAAACCCAAACACAATAAACAGAAAGAAAATACACTAAGGCACATCATATTTGCTCCAATGTCGTGATAAAAATGAAATACTAATAGTAGCTAAAGAGAAAGGCACATAGAGAATTGTTAGGGAGGAACAGAGATGAGAATAATAGGAGATTTCTTGATGGAAATAAGTAAGATAATTGAACAATATATTTAAAGTAGATACAAAAAAAACCTGTAAACCTATAATTCTTTTTTTTTTACAACAGCATTTGGATTTATTAGATCTACTGTTTTTCTATTTTCTAATTTTTTTAATTTTTTATTTTATTTTTATTATACTTCAAGTTTTAGGCTACATGCGCACAACATGCAGGTTTGCTACATATGTATACATGTGCCATGTTGGTGTGCTGCACCCATTAACTCATCATTTAGCATTAGGTATCTCTCCTAATGCTATCCCTCCCCTCTCCCCCAACCCCACAACAGAACCCAGTGTGTGATGTTCCCCTTCCTGTGTCCATGTGTTCTCATTGTTCAATTCCCACCTGTGAGTGAGAACAGGCGGTGTATGGTTTTTTGTCCTTGCGATAGTTTGCTGAGAATGATGGTTTCCAGCTTCATCCATGTCCCTACAAAGAACATGAACTCATCATTTTTTAAGGCTGCATAGTATTCCATGGTGTATATGTGCCACATTTTCTTAATCCAGCCTATCATTGTTGGACATTTGGGTTGGTTCCAAGTCTTTGCTATTGTGAATAGTGCTGCAATAAACATAACGTGTGCATGTGTCTTTATAGCAGCATGATTTATAATCCTTTGGGTATATACCCAGTAATAGGATGGCTGGGTCAAATGGTATTTCTAGTTCTAGATCCCTGAGGAATCGCCACACTGACTGTAAACCTATAATTCTATACCAAGTGAAAAAAAGTATCCCCAAATGAAGGCAATATGCTTTTGAATTTAGTTTGCTAGTATTTTGTTAAGGAATTTTGAGCTTACGTTCTGTTCATTAGAGATATTGGCCTACAGTTTCTTTGTCTTTTAATGTCGTTGGCTATGGTAGCAAGGTAATGCTGGCCTCATAAAATGAGTTTGGAAGTGATATCTCCTTTTTAATTTTTTGGAATAGTTGGAGGATTGGCATTAATTCTCTGAATGTTTGGTAGAATTTTCCAGTGAGTCCATCTGGTCTTAGCCTTTTTTAGGGGAGAGGTTTTTGATTACTGATTCAATCTCCTTACTGGTTGTAGGCCTGTTCAGACTTTCAATTTCTTCATGATTCAGTCTCGATAAGTTATATGGTTCTAAGAATTTATTCCGTCTAGGTTATCCATTTTGTTGGCATAGAGTTATTTATACTAGTCTCTTATGATACGTTTTTAATTCTGTGGCATCAGTTATAATGTGTCCTCTTTTATTTCTTGCCTTATTTGCTTGAGTCTTCTTTTCTTTTTTCTAATTAGCCTAGCTAAAGGGTTATCAAATTTGTTTGTCTTTTCAAAAAAATTATTAATTTCATTGAATTATTGCATTATTTTCTAATCTCTCTTTTATTTCTGCCCTATAATTAACTCAAAATAGATGAAAGACTTTAATATCTGAAACTGTGTAACTTCTAGAAGAAAATATAGGTGAAAAGCTTCATGACATTGGTCTTAGTAATAACCTCATGAATATGATGAGAAAAACACAGGTAACATAAGCAAAAATAGACAAGTTGGAACTACATTAAAACCCTGATTTTTAAGATGGGAAGTCTTTGAACAGACATTTTTCCGAAGAAGACATACAAATTGCCAACAGGCATATGAAAAGATGCTCAATATTACTAATCATCATGAAAATGCACATCAAAACTACATAAGATATCACCTAACTTCTGTCAGAATGACTATTATGTTAAAAAAAAAAGAGTGAAAGAAGAAAACAAGTGTTGGTGAGGAGGTGGGGCAATGGAAACCATTGTAAATTGTTGGTAGGAATGCAGCTGCTATGTAAAACAGTATGGAGGTTCCTTAAAAAGTTAAAAGTAGGACTGCCATATGATCCAGCAATCTTACTTCTGCTTATTTACCAAAAATAATTGAAATCATGATTTCCAAGAGATGTTAGTACTTCAATGTTCATTGCAGCATTATCCACAATAAGCAAGATGTGGAAACAACCTAAGTGTCTATTGACAGGTAAATGGACACAGGAAATATAGTATAAACACACCATGGAATATTATTTAGCTTTTAAAAAAAGGACATTCTACAACTATGGTAACATGGATTAACCTTAAAGACATTATGCTAATTGATATGAGTTAGTTATAGCAGGACAAATAGGCATGATTCCATTTATATCAAGCATCTAAAGTAGTTAAAATGATACACACAAAGAATAAAATAGTGATTGCCAGAGGCTGGGGGAAGAGGGAAGTAGGGAGTTGCTAATCAATATCTATAATATTTCAGTTACGCATGATGATAGGATGTACAACATTGTGGCTAAAGATGCAATGCTAATATTGTAAACTTAAAAATATTTTAAAAGGGCAGACATGTTAGATGTTCTTACCACAAAAAAAGGAAGACAAGATAAAGACTAGTGTTGTGATGGTTAATAGTGAGTGTCAACTTGATTGGATTGAAGGATACAAAGTATTAAACCTGGATGTGTCTGTGTGGGTGTTGCCAAAAGAGATTAACATTTGAGTCAGTGGGCTGGGGAAGGCAGATCCACCCTCAATCTAGTGGGCACAATCTAACCAGCTGCCAGTGAACATAAAGCAGGCAGAAAAACGTGAAAAGGAGAGACGGGCCTAGCCTCCCAGCCTACATCTTTCTCCTGTCAGTTCTGTCCCTCTAAAAGAACCCTAACTAATACAAGTTTAAAACTAGAAAAACTGAAAGAATTCATCCCCACAAATACACATTTTAGAAATGTTAAAGAAAGTCCTTCACTCAAAAAGAAGATGATACCAGATGGAAATCTGGATGTACACAAAGGGATTAAGACAATATAAATAGTAATTCAAAAAAATATATTTTTTCTTGTTTTTGAAATATTTCCAAAAGACAACTGACAATTGTGTCAGGGTTCCCTATGATAATATGCAGACTTGATGATTTGATAAAGGGATTCACAGAACTCAAAAGCTGTTATACTTATGGTAAAGTTTTTTAGGGCAAAATGATATCATTTAAAACCAACAAAGGGGAAAATGTGCATTAGTCAAGTTCAGGAGAAAGGAGGTACAAGTTTCCAAGGAAGGGTCCTCTCTCAAAGGAGTTTAATGGGTGTGCTTAATTCTCCCAAAAGTGTGTCAACATATGTGAAATGTTATCAGTTAGGGAAGATCATCAGAGCTTTGGTGTCCAGGATGTTAATTGGATGTCAGTTAGTCTTGTAGGCATTGATTAAGCCACCACTTATTACAATTAAGACATAGGCTTTTGTTGTTCAGGCCTCCATACAAATATGAACTTCTTTTAGGCAACATGAACTGTCAATAGTCCCAGATGTGAAATACAGGTTTCCAAAATCAAAATAATCCAACAAAGTCCTTTTCCTCTTGCTAATTTCCATAGTAGCAACAATTAGCAGTATATATAGCTGCCTGTATGATGTTATAGGTGACTCCTGCCGAAGTTACTCCTAACAATCTCACCTTTTGGGTGATCCTTGTATCCTTTCTGGATTTATCAACCAGCCTCTGGCAGTCACACATGTCACTACTACATTTATATCACTGACAGTTTGTTGTTCAGTTTCTGATATTACCATGCTGTCATCAATGTAGTGTATATTCACACTTGAGACCTGCTTTAAGGCCAAACCCCTTGTTCATTTAAATAATGACAGTAAGCTGGTGAATTCAAATAACGCTACCAATACAATAAAGGTAAATTGGTGTCCTTCCAGGAAAACTGCTTTTGACTCCAAACCAAGATTGAAATAAAGAAAAAAGCAGTTGCAGATTTAATCACTGAGTTCTAGTCTCTTTTAGCTTGTTGTATCTTTTGCACTATCAAGGACTGCTGTTGCTATAGGTGGAATTACTTTATCAAAGCCTTGGTAATCTACTGTTAGTCTCTGTAAATCATTTGCCTTTTTCACGGGCCACTCAGGACTATTGTAAATAGAATTTGTTGGTATCAGCACTAGAACTTCTAACTTGTCATTAATTAAAGTGGTGTATTACTTTCCTGGGGCTGTCATTAAAAAAAAATGTACTACAAGCTAGATAGCTTTAAACAACAGAAATGTTTTGTCTCATAGTTCTGTAGGCCAAAAGTCCAAAATTAAGGTGTTAGCGGGGTCATGCTCCCTCTGAAAGCAGCAGAAGAGAATCTTTCCTTAAATCTTTCTCACTTTTTTCGCATGGATTGTGGCTGTCAATCCATGCCATTCTTTCTCTTGAAGCTGTGTACAAGTCATGGTTCTTTAGAAGGAATAGGCTATAGACATACATATAAGGAGATTATTGTGGGAATCAGTTTACATGATTATGAAGACCAAGAAGTCTCACCATCTGCTGTTTGCAAGCTGGAGACCCAGGAAAGCTAGTGGTATAACTCCATCTGGGTCTAAAGGCCTGAGAACTAGGGTCAGGGTGGTGGAGGGGCACAGTCCAAAGGCCCAAGAACCAGGAGCTCTGCTGTTGGATGTCAAAAGAAGATGGATGTCCCAGATGAAAAAGAAAGAGAAAGTTTGCAATTCCTCTACCTTTTTATTCTATTCAGGCCCTCAACAGATTGGATGATCCTCATCCACACTAATTGGTGTGGTAGATTATTTTTAACTTGGTCCACTGATTCAAATGTTAATCTCTTCCAGAAACACCTCCACAGACACACCCAGAAACAATATTTACCAACTATCTGGGCATCCCTTAGCTCAGTATAGTTTACACACAAAAAATTAATCATCAGTGGCCTCATTCTAATCTCTGTCAACACACAGAACTTTTCCTGTGTGTCTGTGTCCAAATATTTCTCTTCAGGGCTGGGTGCAATGGCTCATGCCTATAAACACAGCACTTTGAGAGGCCAAGGCAGGCAGATCACCTGAGGTCAGGAGTTCAAGACCAGCCTGACCAACATGGTGAAACCCCATCTCTACCAAAAATTCAAAAATTAGCCAGGCATGGTGGTGTGCACCTGCAACCCCAGCTACTCAGGAGAATCGCTTGAACCCAGGAGGTGGAGATTGCAGTGAGCTGAGATCGTGCCATTGCACTCCAGCCTGGGTGACAGAGTGAGACTCCATCTCAAAAATAATAATAATAAATAATAAACAATAACATATTTCTCTTCTTATAAGGGTACAAGTCACATTGGATTAGTATCCAGTGTGATTATACGTGCAAAGAACCTATTTCCAAATAATTCAAAACATTCACAGATAACAGGGATGATGACAAGTGGTAATGCCTTTGGTTTTACTAGATATCTGATACTATTATATATTAACAAGCTGTGTGGGTTCAAGTAAATTTATAGGTTCCCATTTTGCATGTCCAATTAATACTAGCAAAGGGACAAATTTATATGCCTTCCATTTTATGATACTAGGTGAGGGAAGTGTTCCTAAATTAGACATAATATCCATTGCAATAATACATTCAGGTAAAGGAGACACAACCACTTCACATAAAATCTGTTAAAATATTCCAATTTTATACAAATTATTACTTTAACCCCATAAAGTTTCCATTTTTCATATGCTTTCAACCTAATTATTGCCCCATTTAGAATATCAACAAGTGTTGAAGTTACAGTAAATGCACTGTGGCAAGCAGCCCCAGAAAGTTTTTATTTCCACCTGGGTAGGGTAATGGTAATGGCCATGTGGCCATTTTACCCACATGTATGCATATGGCCTGAAGTCCCTGGGTCTCCAACTGGAGGATAGGCCAAGAGATCCTAGATCTTTTGTCAATCTCCACCCAGATTAATTTTGGGGGCAATCATTCTCAGCCATTCAAGCTCAGGTTTCTCCTTGATATCTTTGCTTTTCTTTTTTTTTTTTTTTTAATTTCTCCAAACTAGGATAAAGAGAGTAGATTTGTTTAGGGTCCCTTGATGTTGGATGAAAAGCAGGAGTTCTCATTGGTTCACCAAATTACAATGGTGCTATATTATAGCCTTGTGTTTACCTTGGCAATGTTGACTTTATTCACCCCTTACTTTCATAGTATTTAAAGACTTCTTGCATGCTGTGATAAGTCTCATAAACATGTCTTTTCTATTTTTTCTTTCCTTTGTGACCTACTCTAATTTTTTTTAGCATCTGTAAGACAATAAGGGAAAGCTGAGACAACAAATCTGATATGTCTTCTTAAATTATTGCTTGATTTTGCAGCACTAATGTTATATATAAAATGGGATCCTTAATCATAGTATTTACCATGATTCAGGTAAGGGGTGTATTAAATAAATGAACATCCTGAAAACCAGTGTGTCTTGTATATGCACATCAGCCACTTCAAATGGGGAGTTCCACTTGGCTTTTAAAAGAGAAGGATAATTTATTTTCTCAGGACAAGAAAACTTTATAGCAGCTTTTATCCAGTCCAACAGGCTAGCTGTCCTGTAAGAAAACTGTTGTATGTTTGGATCATGTACCTTCATTCATTTGTTATTACTCACTAATAAGTTGTGAGGCTGGCATCAACACAACATACTCTTCCTTTCTGCAGCTATCAAAACAAAGGAGACTTCTAAATCTTTCACAATCCATTTTAGTAAGGATTTTCCAGAAATCTGATGATACCGCTTTACAAAATGAGACAACTTGTTTATCCTGTACCCTCAGGATTCAGTAGTTTCTTGGTTATCCTGATTTACTGGACTACCCTTTTGGCAACCAGCAGCTGTAGAGATGTTATCTGTCTTTTCAGCAGTTTTGTTCTTTGGTAGCAGCTCACAGACTAGCAGCAGCAGATGGGACTGGACGAAATACAAACTATTACAGATATAAATAAATAAAGATTGTATATTTAGCTAGTTTCTTATTTTGTTTGCATTTTCTTATGTACCCAGTAAGTGAAATTTTTAGGAGTTGGGTCTACCATTTAAAAATTTTATTGGTAATTTGTATGTTCCATAACTAACCACAGCATAGCTGCTGTTTCATACTATGGGACACCTAATAAGCATCCAGATATCAAACATTCATTACACTCTTCAACAACCTTCCTTTTTCTAACCAACAATTTTGTCTTGTTTTAGTGAGTCAGGGTTGATCTAGCAAAGTCTACTACTGATATTAATTGTTGGCTTTTGTTTTCTTTTTTTAAAAAAAACTTCTATTTTAAGTTAAGTGGTGCAAGTGCAGGTTTGTTACATAGGTAAACTTGTGTCATGGGAGTTTGTTATACAGATTATTTCATTACCCAGGTAGTAAGCCTAATCCTCATTATTTTTCCGGATCCTCTCGGTCTTCCTAACCTCCACCCTCCAAAAGGCCCCAGTGTTTGTTGTTCCCTCTTACAAGTCCATGTGTTCTCATCATTTAGGTCCCACTTATAAGTGAGAACATGTCATATTTGGTTTTCTGTCACTGTGTTAGTTTGCTAAGGATAGTGACTTCCAGCTCCTTCTATGTTCCTGCAAAGGACCTGATCTCATTCTTTTTTATGGCTGCATGGTATTCTATTGTGTCTGTAACACATATTCTTTATCCAGTCTACCATTTACGGGCATTGATGTTGATTCCATGTCTTTGCTATTGTGAATACCGCTGCAATAAACATATGCGTGAATGTGTTTTTTATAATAAAATGATTTATACTCCTTTGGGTATATACCCAGTAATAGTATTGCAGAGTCAAATGGTATTCCTGTCTTTAGGTCTTTGAGAAATCGCCACACTCTCTTCCACAATGGCTGAACTAATGTACATTCTCACCAATCATGTATAAGTGTTCCTTTTCCTCCACAACCTTGCCAGCATCTGTTATATTTTAGTTTTTAATAATAGCCATTCTGACTGGTATGAGATGGTATCTCATTGTGCTTTTGATGTGCATTTCTCTAATGATCAGTGGTGTTGAGCTTTTTTTCATATAATTATTGGCCACACATATGCCTTCTTTTGAAAAGTGTCTATTCATGTCCTTTGCCCACTTTTTAATGTTTTTTTTTCTTGTAAATTTGTGTAAGTCCCTTATAGATGCTGGATATTAGACCTTTGTCAGATACATAGTGTGCAAAAATTTTCTTCCATTCTGAAGTTTGTCTGTTTACTCTGTTGATAGTTTCTTTTGCTGTGTGGAAGCTATTTAGTTTAATTAGATCACATTTGTCAATTTTTGTTTTTGTTGCAATTGGTTTTGGCATCTTTATCATGAAATCTTTGCCCATGGCTAGGTCCTGAATGGTATTGCCTAGGTTGTCTTCCAGGGCTTTTGTAATTTGGGGTTTTATGTTTAAATCTTTAATCCATCTTGAGTTAATTTTTTTGTATATAGTATAAGAAAGGGGTCCAGTTTCAGTCTTCTGCAGATGGCTAGTCAGTTATCCCAGCACCACTTATTGAGTAGGAAATTCTTTCCTCATTGCTTGTTTTTGTCAGACTTGTTGAAGAGCAGGTAGTTGTAGGTATGCAGCCTTATTTCTGGGTTCTCTATTCTGTTCCATTTGTCTGTGTGTCTGGTTTTATACCAACACCATGCTGTTTTGATTACTATAGCCCTGTAGTGTAGTTTAAAGTTGGGTAGTGTGATGCCTCGAGCTTTGTTCTCTTTGCTTATGATTGCCTTGGTTATTCATGCTGTTTTCAATTTCATATGTATTTCAAAACAGTTTTTTGAAGTTTTGTTAAGAATGTCAATGTTAGTTTAATAGGAATAGCATTGAATATGTAAATTGCTTTGGGCAATATGGTCATTTTAATGATATTGATTCTTCCTATCCATGAGCATGCAATGTTTTTCCATTTGCATCATCTCTAATTTCTTTGAGCAGTGTTTTATGGTTCTCTTTGTAGTGATCTTTCACCTCTCTGGTTAGCTGTATTACTAGGTATTTTATTTTTTGTGTGGCAATTGTGAATGTGATTATGTTCCCAATTTGGATCTCAGCTTGACTGTTATTGGTGTATAAGAATGTTAATGACTTTTGCACTCTGATTTTTTATTTTGAAACTTTGCTGAAGTTGCCCATTCCCTACACGCACAAACTCACTTTAGACAAATGCACCCTGGCTGTTGGCTGCACATTGCTTCTCTCTATTTTCCATCTAAGTTGGCTGTCATTGAAATAACTGGCGTTCTACCTGCTTTAAAAATCTTTGACCAGTATAATAGAAGAGTTAAATTTTTTATTTTGTCCAGCTAATCCATTATTCTTTGAAATTTCATGGTGAACTTTATTAAATATGATATTTTAAAGTTATCTGCCTGTTCCTCTTGTCAATGATGAACAATGAAAAAGAAAAACTTCACATTCATCAATGACATTGAACCTAAGATTTGGAGAGTTTTGGAGATACGTTTTGATTTTTAAATAGAACAGAACATGTCATATGAGAGAAAATGAGAATATACACATGCCAAAATGTCATATTAATATAATACCTGTTTGAAAGATATTCCATTTTGAAAGCAGGAGATTAAACAAGGCATAAGGAAATAACTAGAGCCACTTTAAAACACTCAAAATTTTTCTTTATGTAGATTTATATTGTAAACTCTCGAAGTCATTATCACTCTTGGACCAGAAAAGCTAAGTGTTCATAACATTGAACAACTAAAAGTAGATAAATAAATATGCCCATTTCAGATAGCATATCTATCAAGGAATGATCATATAGATTGTGTTTAGTTCACATAAGAACTTAAGAGGTTTGATAAGACAAACATAAACTCTCTAACTTAAGCTAAACTTAATAGAACAATGACCCTTAGGGCTTTGTGTCATTTACAACTAGTGAGGTAAATCTAGTGGAAAAAAAAACGGCTTTTGGCACATTATTGTTAGATTTAGCTAAAATTCTGGCAATTTAAAACAAGTTATTTTTAACTCTCTTTAGGATATATTAGCAGGTTTAAAATTATCTTAATCAGTCAATTTTCATAATTCTGTTTCAAATCAGTTTACTTTTCTACATCTATACAATCTGTAATTTAGTTCCTGTGACCTTTATGCTGCACCTATGTTAATAAAAAAGTTATACAAATGTTCTTTCCATCTGTAGTCTTGCCTTTACTTACCCATACTTTGTGCTCAGGACAAAATAATCCACCTAATGCACAAAGTTCATCTGACTGATTCCTGCTTAAAGTCACAAATTTCCAGTTGCCTTTGGGAGAATATACCAATTCTTAAAGTTGCTATTTGCCCCATCGTGACTTTGTTTCTTTTTACATTTCCAACTTCATCTCTTGCTACTCTCTAATCTTGCTTTTTGTGTGGTCCAGACATATTGAACTGATTACAATCTTTATCTCCTCTAGACTTTGCATAATCTATTCATCTGCCTACATATGCCAGTCTACACTCAACGTTGTCTACGCTCACTCACTAAATCACCAAAGATTTACTTTCTCTTCTAGGATCAGTGGTCAAAACTGACTTGAAACCATTCATAGTATCATCCTCCCTCTTGGAAAAAAGATTTCTCAGAAAAGAATTGCCTAAGTATGCAACAGTGAGCTTAGGGAGCTGATTAGACAGAATATACAGGGGGAAAAGAATGGGATTGTCTGAAGGAAGTTGAGGTTCTAACAAAATTCAAAAAATCATCAAGTGAAGTGGAGTGCCAGGTCATATGGAAATCATGGAAACAGTTAATGGTGGAAACTCAAGCAGGCGTCTGTCCATAGGTAGCAGCCCCATACCCTTGCTGACTTATGTAAGGCAGATCATAAATATTAATAAACACAGAGTTTTTATTAATATTATAAATGAGATCTGGATGCTTAGGGTAAGGAATAAGTTCGATTTAATGAGTAGGCCCTTGGCAAAACAAAATGGAAATTAACAGTAATCTACCAAGTATTTATACATATTTCAAATGTATTATTGCCTTTTACCTTTACAAAATCACAATGTGAGTTGAGAAAATTGTCCAAGGTCACTTAGAAAGTGATTCAACAAGGCCAGTTTTCATAAACAAGATTGATTCCAAAGGCCATGATTTTTCTATTATATAACAAAAGATCTCTTAATAGGGGCCCTATTGGAAGAAGAAGGAGTGTATTGGTACTTGGAAACAACAAGGGAATATATAACTTGTCCTTAAATTCACCAGTATGAGAAGCAGCAAATTGATATGTAGAACAATCTAATATCAGTAATTGTGTCCACAGATCACTGTTCTGCTTTTTTGTCATAATCTCCACGACAGAGTACAGTTGTTTCTTCTGCATACTCTCTGTATATGCTTTCTCCCACAAGATTGTTTCAGTTATTGAAATAGGATACATGCAAAGACACAATACACACACACACATATGTACACACCCAAACATATATCTGTATTTATTTGCATGTTATGCTGAAAAGGGTTTCAAAATGTCCTCTGCATGTATTCTGTAGAAAGTGCTGAACTATCTCACTTAAATAATCGTGTAGACTTATGATATGATTTGAATATCTGTCCCCTCATAATCTCACATTAAAATGTAATTCCTGGCGTTGGAGGTGGACCCTGATGGGAGGTGTTTGAATCGTGAAGATAGATCCCTCATGGATGGCTTAGTGCCATACCCTGGGTAATGAGTGAGTTCACATGAAATCTGGTTGTTTAGAGGTGTGTGGCACCTGCCCCCCATCTCTCTCTTGCTCCCGTTGTCACCATGTGATGTGCCTGTTCCCTGTCACCTTCTCTCATGATTGTAAACTTGCTAAGGCATCACCAGAAGCAGATGCCAGTGCTATGCTTCCTGTAAAGCCTACAGAGTTGTGAGCCAATTAGACCTCTTTTTATAAATTTCCCAGGCTCAGGTTTCTTTTATAGCAAGGCAAGAACGGCATAACTGAGTTATGTTTCTCAGACTACATTCACTGTTTACCATCCTCCTTTCCTATTTTCATAATTTCTCCTTTAGAAGACTAAAACACTTGATACAAGACCCAAAGGCCAATTTGAGTATTTCTAAGAATATCTGAAATTTTATAAATGTTATACTCAAAATTAGAATGAGACATGTATAACATTTTTATGTTGTTTATTTCTGATTATTATGTAGTTTTCAGAGGCATTCTTACAAGCCTTTCTGATTTCCCTTTGGCATGCTTTTATTTGGAAAATGAATGCAAATAATCTACCTCTCCACCTAAATTTAATTAGAGCTCCTATTTAAGAGAAAATATACAGTATCTGGATAATTACCTCAGGTGTCTATTTAATTTTGCCTTGGTAAAACTAATTAATATTCACCTCCTTACAGGACACACTTTCTTAAAATGGTAGTATTCTAAGGCTTTCAGCTGAGGCTTAAGCAGTCGTTGTATTTATTACTTCCCATAAATTCCCTGAATAGTCAGAAGGAAGCATTCGATGCTGTGTTTGGTTTGCAGCCAAGCCATTCAGCAAAATTCTGTTCAGACATCCTCTATGAACATGTAAGCAAAATAAAGTAAATATCTTTTAAGCTTATTATCAACAGAAGTGTTCTTATCAATGCATTAGCAAGAATAATAAAAGCAACGCACATTCAGACCAAAGGCACGGAGCTCAGCCATGGCCTCTAGAAGCTCTTTTCATAAAT
Organism: Homo sapiens; assembly: GCF_000001405.40. Lineage (NCBI taxonomy): Eukaryota > Metazoa > Chordata > Mammalia > Primates > Hominidae > Homo > Homo sapiens. Next base: position 125,573,131 of record NC_000007.14, on the reverse strand, counting down.
CAATTCATAATCTTTTTACAATTGAGTATCCAATTAACTGTAAATAAAACCTCAGAGATGCTTCAAAATTCTTTCTTCCCCCAGAATTGACAGTTAGAAATAACTTTCTGATAACAATCATAACTGGCTTTTACCATTTAGTACAGAAGGCTTGACTATGGTTAAAAGGTTTAATTTTTATGTTTCAATGGTCGCAAAGTCAAAAACATGGATTTATCTACAACAGCAAAGCTAGCTATAAATTCTATTACCAGTGATAGCAATTTTCCTTCAAATACCCTAGGCTAAATGTAACTTTATTGCTACTTCTAGTAGAAACTTCCAGGCAATTTCCATTTTACAGTGATCATGAGTTAAACTCACAATCCCAAGCAGCAGTCATTTTAAATTGGTGCATAATTTAAAGGAAGAAGTGCAACTTGTGGGTTGTATTATCCACCTGCATTTGCTTCTCTGTCCTGGCTGCTTAATCTTCTGCCAGCCCCAGCCAATCAATATGTCTGTCCTGTCAGGGTCAGATTGACAAGGTGCTTGCTGTGGCAATTTTTATGTTGCATTCACTATTATCTTCACATAGTGTTTTTACATTTCCCAGGTGGGGAAACTGTCAGCATCAAAATGCATCTGAAGTCAATAGCTTGCATGGAACCATTTTGTAAATGAGATCTCGCTAATTAGAGACTTCTCCTGGCATAATTGGTGGATTAGCAGCATAATATTTATTATTTTCCCAGTGATTCTTAGAGTTTTAAAAAGGATTTATAATAATTGGTTTTAGATATCAGATTAATAATAGAATTTGCATATTTTGACCATGTTTTATAGGAGAACAAAATGTCATTACATGATAGAGATAGTTTATAAATTCACTTGTAAGAGTGCTAATGTGGAGAGCAGAATTATCATGCTTTCATATGTGACAACATCGGCAGAGCAAATATCCTGGGCTATATGAATACTAAAATTTGTTACAATTATATTACTATTCCTAGGAAATTCTCATCTGTATATTTAGTTTTCAAGTTAACAAAGCATTTTCATAGACATCATGTCACTGAATCACTTCGACATGGGAAAAAATATGTAATATATTTCTGTATTACACACATACGTGTCAAAACTCAGAATATTTACGCTTATTCAGGTTGACCCTTCTAGGAAGGGTATAATCAGTAATGTATGCTAGATAAATATCAGATTTGGGACTAGAGCCCAGGAACAAATGAGTGATGATAATTAGTACTCAGTATACAATTGTGGACTGAGTGAATGAAGAATATTTTAACTACAGAATCAAATTATTAAATAAATTGTATTCATTTGTAAGCATAGATAATGTTTCCTTTGGTATTAGTTACTGTTTCTTTATGTCAGATAGACATGTTTTGAAAACATAGACTCTTGTCAAAAATATTTAACTAAACTAGTTTATTGCCAGTTAACTTAAAACTTGTTTCCCATCTTTATTAATATTGCATCTTAATCAAATATAAAAATTCAAGTTTCATAATTTACTCAGCTAGACATTTTTGCACTTCATTTTTCTCCGACATTTGGTATAAATGACACTTATAATTGTATTAGATGTGATCTGCTTCTGTAATTTAATTCAATATTGTGTCATGTATGGTGTTAAAGGCAGATAACAAACAGATGTGCAAACATATGAATGATTGAAAAATATTGAGAAAAATATTCATAAAATTCAAACTTAAAAGCTTCATTTAAAAGTTCAACAGATGCCCCAATCTGTTCACAGAGTTTTATTCTTTTTACTTCTCTCAGAAATTTTCAAAATATTAAATTACTTTTAATCAATATGAGATGTTTATTATTTGGCAGATGTAAATTTTCTGTAGAGGTGTAATTTTACATTCTACCTTGAATATTTCACTCGTATTTTCAAATGTCTTATTATTTTATCAGTTGTTAAAATAGCTCCAAATTCTAGCTCCAATTTGCCTTTTAAATTTGTATTTTATCACATCCTCTGTGTATTACTCAGTAGATAGAATTGTGTTTCATCAAGTAAATACTCAGTAGGTGTGTCTGAAAGCTGTTGAAATCTCTCCCCATGCATTCGATGCTTTTGTGTCTCTGTACATTAACTTAGTCCTTTACTCTACTGTCTAGAATGTTTTCTGAGAAGTTCAGAATGCAGATACTAGAATTAGATTGCCTGGTGGCAAGCCCCAGCTTTACTGCCACATCATGCGACCTTAGGCAAATATTTAAAGCTCCCTTTGCCACAGCCTCTTCATCTAAAAAATTGATATTATTTTAAGGGGCTCACAATCTGGACGGATTAGGAAAATGTAACTGCTAACTTTTGTCAAGGTTACTGGGCACTGAATTGAGGAATAAACCAGGAAGTATCATGACAATTCATTTAGTTAAACAGTTTAACCGGTGACTATGAAAATTTTTTAAATGTGGATTTTTTTTTTTTGTCAGTCTAAGGACATCTTATTAGCAAAGTGCCTATCACCTATAGGTAATAAAGTCAAAGTACCATACATTTAGCATTTCATTCTTAATAACATACCATATTTTACCTTATCAAAAATATGTTCATCATTAAAATCTTTATAGTGATGACTTTATAAGCATCAAAGACTATTTTCTTTAGACAAATTATAAGTGGTATTTCTAGACATAAGACTACGTAAGAGTCTCATATTTTTATACCTATTTCCAAAATATTTTGGAAGATTTTTAAAATGTAAGTTTTCGCCAACAATATTTCTGATTTTATTCCTATTTATCTATATCAATATTTAAAATTAACATTTTAAAATTGCCTACATGACATGTGACAAATGAATTATTTATGTTATTTTCATTTGCATTTTTAAATTCTTTTCAGTGTTGAATAAAATGTGCACAAAGTTTAAATTTTTAATTTTGAAAGAGTATCAGCTAACTGTTGCTGTGTAACAAAGCCTCTCAGCCTGTAGGGTGTTAAATAGCAAAGTCATAAATTTGTTTAATATAGTTGCTGCCTCTGTATCCATTTGTAGGCCTGACATAAGTTATTTGAAACAGTCATAACAGGTCACCTGTAACTTACTGAAAACTTCCCCTCTTTATATGATTGTGATGTAACCTGCTTGTTCCTCATCTTACTGAGAGAAAACCCACTATAACCTACAGCTGCTAACCATGATAAAATCTAAGGCCATATCATGTAAATAAATTCCCTCTTAACTCGTGTTTTCCTTAAATTAGTCAATCTATAACCCGCAAAGGAAAATCTAAAAGATAATGCTTGTGGACTTTAATGAAAGTCTAGTTCCGGCTGGGTGCAGTGGCTCATGCCTGTAATCCCAGCACTTTGGGAAGCCAAGGCGGGTGGATCACTTAAGGTCATGAATTTGAAACCCCGTCTCTACTAAAAATACAAAAATAACAGCCAGGTGTGATGGCAGACGCCTGTAATCCCAGCTACTCGGGAGGCTGAGGCAGGAGAATCGCTTGAAATCGGGAGGAGGAGGTTGCAGCGAGCCGAGATGTTCCACTGCCCTCCAGCCTGTGTCACAGAGCAAGACTCCCTCGAAGAAAAGAAACAGAGGGAGGGAGGGAGGGAGGAAGGAAGGAAGGAAGCGGGGGAGGGAGGGAGGGAGGGAAAGAAAGAAAAGAAAGAAAGAAAGAAGGAAAGAAAGAAAGAAAGAAAGAAAGAAAGAAAGAAAGAAAGAAAGAGAAAGGAGAAAGAAGGAAGGAAGGGAGGGAAGGGGAAAGAAAGAGAGAAAGAAAAGAAAGAAAGAGAGAAAGAAGAAAGAAAGAAAGAAAGAAAGAGAAAGAAAGAAAGAAAGAAAGAAAGAAAGAAAGAAAGGAGAAAGAAGGAACGAAGGGAGGGAGGGGGAAAGAAAGAGAGAAAGAAAAGAAAGAAAGAGGGAAAGAAGAAGGAAAGAAAGAAAGAAAGAAAGAAAGAAAGAAAGAAAGAAAGAAAGAAAAGAAAGTAAGTAAGTTTCCACGGAAGAACTATACTTAAAAAGAGAGAAGTGTGTGTCTCACTTCCCACCCACTGATTGAGCTCCCCGCTGCCTCTGAACTTCTGGTCAGTCTCCTATTGGCAACCTTACCCTCTCTGAGACCTGTTACTAATAATTTTCTTCTGATTTATGCATTTTGGTTTCATTTCCTTATTATGTCCCATCTGACCAAGACACCCGAACCTTGTCAGAGCTCTCTCTTCGAAAGTGGCTATGTTGTCTTGTGGTTACTCTCAAAAGAGACAACTCATGACACATTAGAGAAAAACACATAACAATAGCAATCACAACAAGTGGTAATCTATGTATAACACTTTTTATAATCTATATAATATCTGCTTGCTAATCTTGGAAGACTTGAAAAATCATGGCTAGACTCACCCATGCATCTGTACTCAATTGATGGTACCTGAACACATATCCTCCATTCGTCCTTCACATTCCTGCAGGCAACTTTTCATGGTCATGACAAGGGTCAAAGAGAGGAACTAGAAATGTGCAACCTCTTTTTTAAGCTTCTATTTTTATTAGACGTAGTATTGTTTTATTGGCCAAAGCAAATTACCTGGCCAATCCCAGAATCGGCGTGTTACTTCTTTCATTCAAAAACATTTTTGAGAAGTTTATATCATATGAAGTTCTTAAAGGAAATTTTACTTTTTAATATATACATAGTATTCCATTTTGTAATGGTTCATGCATTATTTAAGCAATTTGTTAATGATGAACTTGTAAATAGGCTAAGTTATTTTTATTTTTGAAAGTGAATCACTGTGTACATAATTTCATACACATATAAGTATGTTAATCAGATAAATTGCTTTAAATGAAATTAAATGGTCAAACGGTTTATGTGCTATACATTTTAGAAGGTATTGCTAAATTGCACTTCAAATACTATACCACCATGTGGCTTAGGCTACTGACAGTCCATAGGCATGTCTGGAAAATTTAGGAAAATTCATCATCTCTGAAAAACTGAAGTAGAAAAAAACACTATTTCTGGTCAATGTACATTTTCAGGTAAGACTTTGTGACTAAATAGAGCTTTCGTGGAAGGCAAATGGCACTTTCATCTGGATTGGCAAATGTTTTCTATAAAAGATTAGATAGTACATATAATTGGCTTTGAGGTCCGTAATGTTTCTGTTGCTACTCTACCCTGCCATTATGGAGAGTGAAAGCAACCGTAGGTAATACAAAAACCAGTGAGTGAAGCTGTGCTCTAACAAAACTTTATTTACAAAAACAGGCAGAGGGTTAGATTTGGCACACAGGCCATAGTTTGTCAACCAACCCCTGAAATAGATGGATTAGTCCTGATGGCAAGGCTTAAAGAGCTACACATTGGCTGAATTTCAGCCCAACTCACAGCCTTGCCTGGCAACCTTTATTAAGGCACAAGCTTTGCTGGGAGCTACATCATAAAAGAATGCTATTTTCCCAACACAAAATAATATGACTCTCTGATCTTTCAATTCTGACAGGCCTAAAAGAATTCTCATTTTTTTAATTTGGTATTTCTCTTATGAAGAAAGTTGATAATTTTATATTTTTATAACCATTTATATTTCTTTTTCTGTGAAGCTTCTACTGTCATCTTTGCTCATTTTAATTTTTTAAAATGCATTTCTGATTGATTTGTAGGAACTCTTCCTTACAGAAATTAGCTAACTTATTAATTTATTTTTCCAATATATCATTTTTGTGTGTGTGTGGTTTCAAGCAAGGCATATTTTTTAACTACGCTTTGCTTCCTACTGGTCATAATAAGAAAGGATTTTCTCATTTGAAACTATGTTTCTTATAATCTATCCTAGTAATTTTTGTCTTTTGTTTGTGCATTTCAATATTGAATGAAGTTGTAATTTATTATGGTTTATGACTGTGAGGTATGAAGCTAACATAGTCGTTCTTTAAATAACAAGTAATCATATAATGCTTTACTCAAATAGTTCCATTGTTTCCTTATTCAAGTCCCCATTTTGTCATTTTATAAATTGGCATGCATACTAGAATCTTTTTTTTTTTTTTGCTTTCTATTATGTTTATTTGATTGGCCTAACCATCATATACCAGTATCACATTATTTTAATTACTGAAATCTTACTATACCATAGGTCCCATCTTTATTGCTTTTCTGTTACTGACTTTTCCTTGAAAGTTTGCTTCATTAAATAATATTTTCACAATAAACTAAAGAATCTACTTAGAGGTTTAAAATCAGTAATGGCATTTCTAATAAGAATATGTTACTTTTCTCAATTATTTTGAGGAACAGTTTCATTTTTCTGATACTGAGTCTTCCTATCCAAAAATATGGAACAATTTCCTTTCTCTCCTCCTCATGTCTTCACTTTTCTCTGTATAGATCTTGCATATTTCATACTACTATTACTATTTGTATTTTATCCTTTCTTCATATGATAAACGAAGTCATATTTTGTATATTTTAACTGATTACACACACACATATTCATTTTTGTATATTAATGCTGTAACTAGTTATATAAATGTCTTTTTTTTAGAGTTCTATAAGGTTTCTGATTTTGGAGTTGATTATTTTAGGTTTCCAAGTATAAATATCACTTCTGTAAATATTGCTGATTTCATTTTCTTCTTTCCATTTTATTAAAATTAATTTATACCTCTTTTGTAATTTCATTGTCTAGAATTTTTTTTAAGTATATCATAGTGGTGATTGTCCACATTTGATTCATCCTCAGCTCCTATAGGAAAATTTCTAGTTTTTTCACATTCAACACAATGCAAGCTTTTAGGTTCATATTAAGATAGTGTCCATTTAATCTTGTTTTAATAAAAATGTTTCACAAACATAAGAATTAAGTATAATAGTATATTTTTAATATCTAAAAGGTGATTATACCTTTTATTCTTCTTCTGAAAGAAGACCCCCATTTATGATATCATAACATTATTTTACTGTAGTACAAAATTTTGTCTTAATTTTATTCTAAGATTTTAAGTTGATAAAGTGGGACTGATTCTTTCCTTAAATGGCAGCCTTTGTAAATTTTGTTATCACTTATTTGTTTCCTTATTAAGTTAAGAAAATAAACATTTTTATATGCTGTGGAAAAATCTAAATAGTATTGAAATTATCTGATATTTGAAAATTTGGTAAGATTTTCCACTGAATCCATTTGAACATGGTCATTTTTTTAAAAGCTGGAGCTTGTTCATTGAAAACTTATTTGATTTTCTGGTTAGTTGATCTGTTCAAATTTTTCTGTCTCCTCTGGAATTACTTTGGATAAATTGCATACTCTTAAAATATTATTTTCATTCATATTTTTAGTTTATACAAAGCATAGAATGTTAGACTCATAACCTTTACTTTTTTATCAGTCCTTTCTTCCCTTTAACATTCATTCATTTTGTGTATTTTCCTGTAAGTGTAATTTTAAATTTTATTTTATAATATTCTTTTTCAAAGAAGCAGTTTTTGGACAACTTGTGAATTGAACTGCTTAAATTAATTGACCTCAATGATTTTATCTTCATTAACTTTTTCTGCTTCAACTTTATAGATTTGTTCCCTAAATATTTTAAATATAATCCTTATTAACTTAATGTATTAATTTGTATTCTTTTATCTATAGTTACATACCTATATGTATTTACACATACGTACATATACATATATAAAATATGTCTCATATGTATATCACTGCTTTAATTAGATTGCGTATGTTTTGTTATATGTTTGCATTATCACTTTGTAGATATTCTGAAATTAATTTTTAGATTTAATTTTTGCCTCAAAAGGCTTTGAGAGAGATAATTTCTCTTCCCTTACATTTCCAGATGAGAGGAACTGTTGCATTTTCTGGTTTTAAAATCAAGTTATACTTTTAATTCTTTGACATTTTCACTGGCATTTAATAGTTGATTTTGGTCAATATTCCATGGGTTCCTGAAAAGAAATTGTACGTGTTTTACATGTTATCTGTTTTATTAACTATGTGTTTGCAATTTAAAATCTTATTCCTTATTCTTTCATGAAATGGGAGAGCTAAATTATCCAATAAAATATATTTCTATCTTTCCTAATTTTCTGTGATTTTTAATTATGAAATTAATATTGTTACCTGTTATATCTTTAATATGAATTATATCCAATACTGGCACTTATTTCATACTTAATCATGTTTCCCAAACTTGTCACTTTTCTAGAAGATCATACCTCATTCCTTTATTTTTCATATTTCTATGTTATTTTGTTTTACCTGTATCTCTCTGAGTTTGTTTTGATTTATAATGCAACCTAAAAATAAGCATTTTTTGCTCAATGGGTGAGTTTATCTAATGTATGTAAATTAAGGTAACTGATGTACTTGATATTAGCTTTGTTCCACTATGTTAAGATTTTAAATAACACTCATTATATCCATATTTCTGTCAATATTGGTTTTCTTGTCATTTTTTACTCAATACAATTCCCTAAAACTCTAATTCTTCTAATAATTTCTATTTTTTTGCATATGATCAATGATGAAATTAATGTGGCTCTTCTTCCTCTCTCTGCCATGACTTTAATTGTAACTTATTACACTTATAAAATTTTTTAATTTTCTTATTACTTATTAAATTTATTTGTGTTTACTTTGGTGCTATTCAATATCTTAATTTTGTGACTTAATTTGCCTTCCAAATATTATATAATTTAAAATCCATTAAGTAAATATGCATAATTCCCTTACCTTTAGTACTTCCTCTTTTCTGCTGCTCTATCCATGGACATATATTGTCAGTGCTCATATTATAAACGAAACGGGAGAAGTTTTCCCTTATACTCCTTGCTGGGTGTGTGACAGCGGTGTGGCTTGCTTCTTCGGTGCCCCACTGCTCAAACCCCTAGGACAAGCATGCCGATGAGCAGATGGTGGAGAGCGTGGGCTCCGACCCCACGGCAGCATCTAGGATTGGTTGTTTACAGTTCCTGGAGCCCCAGTGGGCGTGTGTTACAGTTTGCTCTTTCAGCTTAGCCGTCCGCAGGCAGCTTGTTAGTCAGTTCAATCAGAGCCTCTGCTAAATTGCAAGGACAGAGGGCTTCTGTATCCCTGGATTCTTGCCCTACTGTACCAGAAAAATCGGATCACATGTGGTCTTGGAGAGTGAGTGCAAAGTTTTGTAGAGTAGTGGAAGCAGTTCTCAGCAGATTGATGGGGAGACAGAAGAGGTTTAAGTGGGAAGGTAGTCTTCCCCTGGGGTTGGCTGCTCAGTGGCGGGGATCTCCTCAGACCACCCACCCTTGGCCGAATTCCCCTTGGCGTCCCTGTCGTTCTGCCATCAGTAGCCTGCCAGCATCTGCTGGTGTGTTCTTCTACTGGTGTGTTCCTCTCGATGTCCAGCCACCTGTGTGTGTGCCTGCTGGGGCCTCCGGGTTTTTTATAGGCACAGGATCAGGGGGTGTGGCAGGCCAGAGTGGTCTTGGAAAATGCAACATTTGGGCGCGAAAACAGGAGTGCCTATTCTTACTTAGGTCCCTGGGCACCAGCCTGAGGGTGGATCCTCACCAGGGACCCCACCCTTCTCGACCCAGCACTTCCCTGCCCCCTCCGGTATCATAAACATTCATTCTTTCACAGGAATTTTCTTGTTTCATTTGGTCTTTTCCAGATGAAAAAACAAAACTGTATTTGATGCTCTTTCCTAGTCTTTTTGTTATTTTTCCCTCCGTATTTCTTCTGTTTGCTCGTTTGTCCTCTAGGGACAGATCTTACCAGAAGACCTCAGGGAAACAATGTTTTCTAAGATTTGCGTGTTCAGAATTGTTTGCCTACTACTTTGACACTTCAAGGCATACTTTAGCTGAGTGTAAAATTCTTGAAACATACATTAGTTTCTTGTAAACTTCACAGATAATTTATTGACTTTTTTTCTTGGAGAAGTCTGACGTCAGCCCAATTTTTCCACACTTAAACCTTCATGTAATATTTGACTTTATTTTTTTAAAGTAATTCTCCGAAGTACCTTTTGTTATTTATTATCTGCAATAATTTTAAGTGGGTCTGTATCTCTACTTTCAATATTCTTGGCCAAATTTGCCTAAGAAATAGGTGTAGCATCATTATGAAAATTCAAAGTCTTTGCTTAAGTCAGGAAAAATCTGTTCAATTATGATTTTAAATATGTCTACTTCCCGTGGTATTGTTACTGATTTTCTTAACCAACGACATTGGTGACTCATATGGTTGATTTTTTTTTCTCTTGTCAACATTTTAAAATTTCTTTTCTTAAAAATATATGTGACTATTTTCTTTTGCCTGCCTCTCTCATTTCTCTTCTCTAGTTCGTTTGCTGTGTTTTTAGCTATGTCTGACTTCCTATTTTATTTTTTATTCTCTGGTGATTTTGATTTAAAAAAAAAATTCTTGAGTTCTGCCCACCACCTTCTTCTATTGCTGTGTTTTCAATGGTCTTACTTTATAAAAGCAATTTTTTCATTCATCCTCAGGTAAAAATTTGCCAATGAATATTTTCCATCTGCTGTTTGACATTTCTGTTCCTACTTTTTTAAAAAAAAAAAAAAATCTTATAACCTACAGCTTATAATCTTAGCGTTGCTAAAAATCTTTGAGGCTGCCGGGCGCGGTGGCTCACGCCTGTAATCCCAGCACTTTGGGAGGCCGAGGTGGGCAGATCACGAGGTCAGGAGATTGAGAACATCCCGGCCAACATGGTGAAAACCTGTCTCTAATAAAAACACAAAAATTAGCTAGGTGTGGTGGCAGCCGCCTGTAGTCCCAGCTACTTGGGAGACTGAGGCAGGAGAATTGTTTGAACCCGGGAGGCAGAGGAGGAGAATCTTTTGAACCCAGGAGGCAGAGGTTGCAGTGAGCCGAGATCACATCACTTGTACTCCAGCCTGGCAACAAAGTGAGACCCCGTCTAAACAAAAACAAAAACAAACAAACAAAAAAAAAAAAAAAAAAGAAAGAAAAAAGAAAACAAAAAAATTCAAGGTTCAAAAGGGCGTTTCATTGTGCTGACTTCTGTGTGTTTTGGATTTACTTCTGTCCACCCAAGGAGAAGAGACCACTGTGGGCTTTTTAAAAACGAAGTCTCGGGCCGGGCGCAGTGGCTCACGCCTGTAATCCCAGCACTTTGGGAGGCCAAGGCGGGTGGATCACGAGGTCAGGAGATCAAGACCTTCCTGGCTAATACGGTGAATCCCCGTCTCTACTAAAAGTACAAAAATTAGCCGGGCGCGATGGCAGGCGCCTGTAATCCCAGCTACTGGGGAGGCCGAGGCAGGAGAGTGGCGTGAACCCGGGAGGCGGAGCTTGCAGTGAGCTGAGATCGCGCCACTGCACTCCAGCCTGGGCGACAGAGTGAGACTCTGTCTCAGAAGAAAGAAAAAAAAAATGAATTCTCTTTGGTCCTCTCCCACTGCTTCCTGAAATGATAGCTTTCTGTGAGATTCTTTGTTTAGCTTCGTCTTCTCTGTTTCAGGAATTAAATTGTGCAAGAGAGTTCCTCCCACCAAAACAAGTTCTCCTTTTGCACTGTTGAAAAGAAGGCATTGAGGTTTTATCCAACAATGATGCCTCTCACTTCCAAGAATGTTTATTTGGGTTTTTTTCTCAGACATGGAATATGAGTGTCCACTTTCTGTTTCTATCTTTCCCCTACTAGTTTCTAAATAAATACAGTGTCGTCGGCTAAACGGCATCCCTCTCAAAAATCATATATTGATGAATTATATTCAGGTTTTCTTTTGACAATATCTAGTTACTCTAATCTATAAAATCACCTCAGAATGTGACTGTGTTTGCAGATAAGTTATTTACAGACATAATTAAGTGAAAATGAAAGTGTTAAGTTCGGCTTTAAGCTAATCCAACTGGTGTCTTTCTAAGAAGAGGAAATTTGGACACAAAAAGACACGTCTTGGAGGTGTGAACAAAAAGGAAATATCACGTGAGGATACAGCAAGAAGGAGACCATCTGTAAGCCACAAAGAAAGGAGTCAAAGGAAACTAGCCCTGCTGACACCTTGACCTTAAACTTCTAGACTTCTGAACTTAAAAATAAATAAAGTTCTGTTGCTTAAGTCAAATAGATTGTGGTATTTTGTGATGACAGCCCTAATAAACCAATAAATATAGTTATATTTTTGTTAGCATTTTAAAACTAATTAATAAAATTGTAATGTCTGAAAATCAAGGTTTATTCAAAATATTGACTAAATTAGCCATTAATGGAGTAATCTCCTTTGGTTTAAATCCATTCAAAATAAAAGTGTTAATTATTTTTTAAAGTGGGTACATGTATGATTTAAAAAGTAGTTAATATTTAATGATTATTGATAGTTACATTTTTTAAATAACCAAGCTACTAGATATGATTAACTGTATACTATTTCTGATTTATAAAATTGCATTTTCAAATTTGTCTCTTTTAAAGGATTCCATTTACTTATTTGTAAAGCAAGCAAGAGAGTGACTCATGAGGGGTTTGCTAAGATGCTTCCACGTAGAAAATTTAATTATTTTTCACTGTCCCTAGAACAATGCTACAGAACCAAGAACAATGCTACAGAACCAAGATCAGTGCTGTCAATTTGTTAAACCTGAACCCTGAGCCTCCTGCCAATGTCAGGAAGCATAAAGCATAATGAGACACTGAAGGAACATTCTGGATCAGCCTTCTAGAAAAATTCAATTTGGGTCCTCGCCATCTGACTATTGACTTTGCTGAGAGAAAGACATGTGTATCACCTCTCCTATTCTTCCTACTCAAAACTAACTGCATTTGTGGACCATCAGCAGCACTAAGATAGAATACACCGGTGAGCTTCGCAGTTTATCAACAACTGTGGAATAGGTATCACTCCAGTCAATAAACATTCTTATAAAGAATCTCTGTGATTGTAGAGATAAACCAAACAGCTAAAAGAAGCATAAAAAATGTAAAAGGATGGTGGCAGGCACAAGCAAATTACCACGTTTATTCAGCTGTCACAGAAACAGAGCTTAGACTTGGCAGGGTTTTTCTGTAGAAAACCTCATGAATTCTTCCCTTGAGCTATTTCCTAAATGAGGAAGAGAAGAGCAGGGGTTCTGAAAACTGTGGTCAACCTTCAAAACCTCACATTTCATTTTTTAATATAAATTATATGCCTTCTCCACTTCATGATGAACATCTAGTTACTGAGTATAAATATAGAAAAAATATCATTTTCTAGTGTTGATAGTATGGATTAATTGTTTGAAAAATTATCACTGTAAGGAATTACACTGCCAACAAAAATTCATGGCACACATAATAATACTACTCAGTAATACCAGAAATATCTGTTATAATCTCATACTTTTGTGAAAAACATAACTAATGTGTCAATTGCCAGGCTCATTGATTTTTCTGCATCAACAATCAGATCATCTCTCATTTATTTAAAAATTCTGTTTGATTTAATAGTTCTCTTTCTTAATAGTGTACTACCTGCTGTCTTCTCAGGAGAGCCAAGAATGGAGGAAAAAAGTAAGTAAGATTTATGTTTTTGTATTTATTCATCTTCCTAAATTGCTCAACAGAAGCTTACATAAAGAAATAAAGGTGTCCTTAATATCAGTATTCTTTACTTGCCTACCCATATCTATAACACACACATACACACACAAACACATGCACCCCCCACGAGTATATACACTAACAGGCATACATTTTACTCAGTTCTCTTCATAACCTTAGTTGAGTAAATATGCAACTGATATGGAATTGACCTAATCTGCCTCATTCAAATTAGAAAATACATTTCAAAACCCCGTATGACAAAATCTCTTTTAAAATGCCATAGACATGCCAAAACAGAGGAAAGAGAAAAAATAACAAAATAGGAGTATGTTGATCAATTAACCAATGTTATAAATCATGGTATCTATAGTCAATGACTGAATAACTAGATATTGTCAAAAGATACTCATTCTGGCAAAGACATGGCAATAGTGTTATTTACTTTTTGAAAGACATTCAGATGAAATGCTCTGAGTACTTTTAATGGTACTATTCCATTTCAAGTTTTATATAGACTTTCTAGATTTTATGTAGCAAATCATGGTGTAAGTTTTTATATTTTTACTTCTTTTTTGTTGAGGTGTATTTAATATGCAATAAAATTCACAGGTTATATGCATTACATTCTAGGAGTTTTGACAACTTTACATACACATTAATCTAAAGAACTGTCAAGAAAAAGGATATTTCAATTACTCCAAATTGACTCCATGATTCCTTTTGTATTTAATCCCTTTTCCACCCCATTCAAGAGCAAACATTTTCTAATTATTTTCATGATAGATTTTTATTTGTTTTTGGATACTATGTAAATGGAAGAAAAATGTACTCTTTTATGCCTGCAGATGCCTGGATATTTTTTAAGATATATTCGTATTGTTGCATACATCAATAATACATTCTAGTTGTACTACTAAATAGTATTTTTATATGTAACTACACTACAAGTTGTTTTCCTATTTCTGTGATGATGAGTATTTCATTTGTTCAACTCTTTGATTATTATAAATAAGACTGCCAGGAATATTTGATATGGCTTAGATCTGTGTCCCCACCCAAATCTCATGTTGAATTATAATTCCCCAGTATTGGAGGTAGGGCCTGGTGGGAGGTGATGGGATCATGGGGGACAAGTTCTCATGAATGGTTTAGGGCCATCCTCTCAGTACTAGTGAGTGAGAGAGATATCACAAGATGTGGTTGTTTGAAAACTTTGTAACACCTCTCCCATCTCTCTCTCTCTGTCCTGCTCTGGCCATGGAAGATGTGCCTGCTTCCCCTTCACCTCCCACCAAGATTGAAAGCTCCCTGAGGCCTCCCCAGAAGCCAAGTAGAATCTGCTATGCCTGAAGAACTGTAAGCCAATCAGACCCCCTTTGTTTATAAATTACCCAGTCTCAGGTATTTCTTTTCTTTTCTTTCTTTCTTTTTTTTTTTTTTTGAGATGGGGTCTCGCTCTGTTGCCCAGGCTGGAGTGCAGTGGCACAATCTCGGCTCACCGCAACCTCTGCCTCCTGGGTTCAAGTGATTCTCCTGCCTCAGCCTCCCGAATAGCTGGGACTACAGGTGTGCACCACCACATCCGGCTAATTTTTGTATTTGTAGTAGAGACGGGGTTTCACCATGTTGGCCAGGCTGGTCTCAAACTCCTGACAGGTGGTCCACCTGCCTCGGCATCCCAAAGTGCTGGGATTACAGGAGTGAGCCACTGCGCCTGGCCAGGTATTTCTTTATAGCAATGCAAGAATGGACTAATAAAGAAAATTGCTAGTGAGGAGTGGGACATTGCTATAAAGATATCTGAAAATGTGGAAGGAATTTCAGAACTGGGTAATGGGCAAAGGTTGTGTTACAGGAATACAGTCCTGATCAAGACCCCAAGAGAGGGTTCTTTGGTCTCGTGCAAGAAAGAATTCAAGGTGAGTCCACAGTACAAAGCAAAAACAAGTTTATTTAAAAAGCAAAGTTGTAAAAGAGCAGCTACTCCAAAGACAGAATAGGGCATTCCTGAAAGTAAGAGGAAGGACACGTCCACCCTAGGTATAAAACTTGTTTATATATAGAATAAAAACAGATCATAGGGAGATGTGCTTTGATACAAGGGTTTGTGATAAAGGATTAATTTTCTTAATAATTGTATTTTGCAAGAATCAATACTATCACCTTTAAAGCAAAGTTAGAAATGCTTCTGTTCTCAAGATATCCCAGGACACTACCAAGTCTGGGTCTTTTAGTAAACATTATCAATCTGTTCCCTTAACAGTAAATATTTAGAGGCTAGGAATACCTAATTTTTTGAGAATGCAGCCCAGCAAGTCTCAGCCTCATTTTTCTTGCCCTCACTCAAGACGGAGTCACTCTGGTTAGAATGCCTCTGACAGTAGAAACAGTGTAGAGTGCTCAGAAGAAGACAGGAAGATGAGGGAAAGTTTGGAAATTTCTACAGACTGCTTGAATTGTGACTGAAATACTAATAGTGATCTGGATAATAAATAATAAAACCCAGACTAATGAGGTCTCAGATGAAGATGAGGAGCTTACTGGGAAATGGAGGAAAGGTCAATTTGTGATATGTTAGCAAAGAAACTGGTGGCATTGTGCTCCTGCTCTAGGGAATCTGTGGAACTTTGAACTTAAGAGTGATAATTTAGGGTAGCTGGCAGAAGAAATTTCAAAGCAGCGAAGTGTTTAAGATGTGTTGTGGCTGCTTCTAACAACCTATGATCATATGTTTGAGCAAATAAATAATATAAAACTGGAATTTAGATTTACAAGGGAAGCAGAGAATAAGTTTTAGTGCAGCCCAGCCATGTGGTAAGAAAAGAAAAACCCATTTTCTGGGGAAGAATTCAAGCAGGCTACAGAAATTGATATAAGTAACAAAGAGCTAAATGTTCATAGCCAAGACAATGAGGAGGACTTGAAGGCATTTCAGAGACCTCTGCAGCAGCTCCTCACATGACAGGCCCAAAGGCCTAGGAGAGAAGCCCCTCTGCATCCCAGGGGCACTGCTCTCAGCATTCTGGCTGTTCTGGCTCCAGCCTCAGCTCAAATAGCCCCAGATATAGCTCAGGCCACTGCATCAGAGGGTGCAGGCCATAAGTCTTGATGGCTTTCACATGGTGCTAAGCCTGCAGGTACACATAATGTACGAGTTGAGGCTTGGAAGCCTTTGCCTAGATTTCAGGGGATATATGGAAAAGCCTGGATGTCCAGCCAGAAACCAACTACAGGGGTGAAGCCCTCATGGAGAACCACTGCTAGGACAGTGTGGAGGGGAAATGTAGGGTTGGAGCCCACACACAGAGGCCCAACTGTGGCACTGTCTAGTGGAGCTGTGAGAAGAGGGCTAACATCCTCCAGACCCCAGAATTGTACATCCACTGACAACCTGCACCATGCATCTGGAAAAGCCACAGGCACTCAACGCCAGCCCATGAGAGGAGCTATGGAGGCTGAACCCTGCAAAGTCACAGAGGTGGAGCTGTCCAAGGTTTTGGAAGCACACCCCTTATGCCAGCATGCCCTGGATGTGGGACATGAAGTCAAAGGAGATCATTTGGGAGCTTTAAGATTCAATGAATGCCCTGCTAGGTTTCAGACTTGCATGGGTCCTGTAGTGCTTTTCTTTTGGCCAATTTCTCCTGTATCTACCCAGTGTGTGTAGCTCCATTGTATTTTGGAAGTAACTAAATTGTTTTTGATTTTAGGCTCACGGGCAGAGGGGACTAGCCTTGTCTCTGATGACACTTGGACTGTGGACTTTTGAGTTAATGCTGGAATGAGTGAAGACTCAGGGGGACTGTTGAGAAGGCATGATTTAATTTTGCAAACTGAGAAGGACATGAGATTTGGGAAAGACCAGGGGCAGATTTATATGGTTTGGATCTCTATCCCCAATCAAATCTCATATCAAATTGTAATTCCCAGTGTTGGAGGTGGGGCCTGGTGGGAGGTGATTGGATCATGGAAGTGGGATTCTCATGAATGGGTTAGCACCATCACCTCAGTGATATTCTTGTGATAGGGAGTGAGTGAGTTATCACAAGATCTGATTTTGTTAAAAGTGTGTAGCGCCTCCCATCGCTCTCTTGGTCCTGCTCTGGCCATGTAAAATGTACCCGCTTCCCTTTTACCTCCTGCCAAGATTTTAAGTTTCCTGAAGCCTCTCCAGAAGCTGAGAAGAAGTTTTTATGCTTCCTGTACAGCCTGTGGAATTGTGAGCCAGTTAAACCTCTTTTCTCTATAAATTACCCAGTCTCGGGCATTTCCTTATAGCAATGTGAGAACAAACTAATACATCATTCTTAACATATATGTACATTTCTCACACAAAAATACCTTGGAAAAGAATTGTTAAATCATAGGGTAGAAATATGTTTCACTTTATTAGAAACCACCAAACAACCCCTTCAAAGTAACTGGACTGTTATGTACTTCTGTTACCATGTTTGAAAGTAATAATTTTTCCAAATCTATTGACCTACATTTGTTATTATCAGTCTTTATAATGTTAGCCACTTAATCAGTGTGTTGTGATACTACTGACGTTTTTTCTTTGCTTATTTGCCATTCATATATCTTCTTTTGTAAAGTGTGTGTTCAAGTCTTTTAACACTTTTATTGGGTTGTTGTAGGAGTTGTTATTTATACAATCCATAAAATTTTTCTCATGTATGTGTTACAGCTAGTCTTTCATTCTGTGGCTTATCAATTTATTTTCTTAAAAATGTCTTTTGAAGAATGGATTGTCTTAAGTTTGATGAGGACTAGTTTATCAATTTATATGGTTAGTGCTTTTTTTTGTCCTATAAAAAAAACTTTGTCTATGTCAATTTAAAGATAACTTTGTTTTTTTCTAGAATCTTTACAGTTGTAGATTTTATATTTAATTCTATAACCCACTCCCTTTTTCAGTTCAGGCTGCTATAACAGAATACTATATACTACATGGCTTAAACAATAATTTCTTTCTCACAGTTCTAGAAGCTGAAAAGTTCAAGACTAAACTGTGCACAGATCTCATGTCTGGTGAGTGCCCACTTCCTAATTTGAACATGGCTGTCTTTGAATTATATCCTCACATGGAGAAGGGGAAGAGAGAGAGAGGGAAAGGGCAAAAGAGAGCAAAAGCAAGAAAAGAAGAGCTAGCTTTTTTTTGTTTGTTTAATAAGGGCACTAATCCCACTCTTGAGTGTTATATCCTCATTACATAATTACATCCCAAAGCCCTCACCTTCTACTAACATCACATTGGAGATTTCAACATATGAACTTTAAGGGTCTCAGGATTGGAATTTCCATAGTGCTTAGAAATGGAAGGGAACAACTCAAGAAAGGATAAAGTCACAGATGTGGAGTATATATATCATTCAATACACACACACACACACAAAAAAAAACTTCAGACTAGAGGTAAAACAGGAAAATATAACCAATAAAAGAAAATAAACACAGCTAATAGAAAAGAAACTCAAATTATCTATTATCTTTGATGTTGAATTAGGGAAGGACCTTAAATAAGTTATTATAAAGGCATTCAAGATCTCAAAATCAATTTTTCCTAAAGAATAAACAGATTGTGATTTTCAGAAGGCAAACTGAATCTATATAAAACAATCCAACAGAAATTCTAGGACAAAAAATGACAACATTTAACATAAAACACATATATTTAAAACACAGATTACAAACCAAAGAAGTAAATGTCAGTAAAATGTGGAGGTACCTGAATAGAAATCAGCCAATCTGAAGAATAAAATTTTTAAAAGGTGAACTGTGGGATGTATCAAAAGGTATACCACATATGTAATTCCACTTCAAGAATAAAAGAAAAGAAGGAAAGAATGGAGAACATTGTTGAAGAAATAATGGCTATAACTATCCCAAATTTGATAAAAACTCTAAACATACAGATACTAAAAGCATAATAAAAATCAAGAAGGATATAGTCAAAGAAACCAACAGCTGAACACATTGTAATTAAACTGCTGCAACACAAATATTAACAGAAATGTCAGAAACAGCCAGAGAAAAATCACATATAACATACAATGGAACAAACATATGAATATCTGACTTTCACACAAAAGCAGTGCTGATCAGAAGTCAGTGAAATTATATCTGAAAAGTCCTGTAGTATGATAAAACGAATTCTATATCTTTTAATTGTACTATATATGATACAAATATGTAGTATAATATACTACATATTTTTGTAGTGGAGTGGGGGGAAGTCCTTCAAAATTGAATACAAAAGAAAACACGATTCTAAACAATCAAAAACAAATAGCATACTTGGCCAGCAGACCTCTCATACAAAAAATGCTAAAGGAAGTTTGTCAACCTCAAAGAAAATGACACAAGATAAAAACGTTTATCTATCTATAGGGAAGAATTAAGTCACAGAATATTATAAGTTGTTACTAGATATTATGGGCTTTTTAACATGTGTAGTTATAATCTATATAAGAAAACAAATAATGCTAAATAAAACTATATAGTTTCATGCTTATAAAATTCATATGAAATGGTAAATATTTACTCTAAGTAGACAGTTATAACTTAAGGATGCATATTTTCATCCTAGAGCAGTCACTAAAAATGGTGAAGTATAACAATAAAGGCAATGGAGAAATATAATTGTTATGTAAACCAAAAATCCCTAAAATGTCCTCCGTAAAGGATGCAGGAACTATGAGACAAAGAAAACTACAAAAACATCAACAAAAGAGATTAGAGAAATAAAAAATAAATTTTATAATGGCAGACATAAGTGTAATCATATTAACAATTAACTAAATATAAAAAGTGTAAGTTGTCTAATTTAAAAGCAGACATTTTAATAATGGATGAAAACCAATTACTCACACCACAAATTATGTAATAATTACATGTTTAAATGTAAAGGCACATACATTGAGAGTCAAAGTGTGAATAAAAAGTAACAGGAAGCTGGTATGGCCATAAATATCAGATAAAAGACTTGAGAGATAAAGAGGGACATGTTATAGTGATAAAATTGTCTATTCATCAGGAAGACATAGCATTCAGAATTTCTCTATGCATCAAATACCACAACTGTAAAACATATGACGCAACAATTAACAGAATTAAAGAGATAATTAGAAAAGCCCACAACCATTATTGGAATTTTAAGCACATCTTCCAGTAATTAAAAAAAATGGAAAAAAAATTGATTAAGTTTCAATGTAATTGTATCCTGATTATACAGTTTCTGAGGCCATAAGATAATTTGCGACATTACTTTCAAAAAATCAAAATTATATACTTTGTCTTCTTATCACAACATAATTTTAAATTTTAAATCAGTTCATATTTGAAACCAAATAAAGTCAAACTTTGGTGCTCTGAAAAGATTAATACACTTGATAAAATCTTAGTGAAAAAAAATTAAAAAGAAAGAGAGAAAATATAAATTAGCAATGTCAGGAGTAAAAAAGGGCATATCATTCTAGATTCTACAATTAACAGATAACAATGAAATATTATGAAAGCTTTATGCCAAGGATTTGACAACTACGAAAAAATGAAAACATTGTTTAAAAAACAGAATTTGTTAAACTGCATACAGATAAAATAGAAAATTTGCATAGCTGTATATGTGTTCACTCAATCTAATGCACTATCAAATTATTTCCATAAAGAAAACTTTAAGTTTCTTTAGTGAATTTTGTCAAATATTTAATGATGAAACAACTGCAGTTCTACATAAACTCCCATACACAGAGTAAAAGCGAA
Organism: Homo sapiens; assembly: GCF_000001405.40. NCBI lineage: Eukaryota > Metazoa > Chordata > Mammalia > Primates > Hominidae > Homo > Homo sapiens. The sequence goes on along the minus strand of NC_000007.14, from coordinate 125,551,835 downwards.
CAATCACTGTCTTCTGTGATGAGAATGATTTAACCTTGATCCAAATATGGCAAGGGAACTTCAAGAAAAATGTACAATCCTACATCCCTCATGAAATCACATATTTATGCTGTTACGAAAATATGTCTGAATACTAAGTCATATTGATGCAAGATTTGAAAATTGGTCAGTATAATTTAACAGAATACCAAGATAAAAGACATATACATATTTTAGTAAATTCAGAAAGAACATATAACAAAATTAAACAGATATTCGTGTTTAAAAAAACATGTTATCCAATTAGCATTGGAAGGAAAATCCCTCAAACTGAAAATGAGCATCCATGAACCTATAACCAACATCATATGCTTCCCCTAAGATCAGGAAAAAACAGAAAGATATATCCTCTCATGAGTTCTTTATAACATTTGACTGATGGCCTCACTAGTGGAATAAAGCCAAGAAAATAAAAATTATTGTTGAAAAGTGGTCAAACTCCATCTATTCATAGATTCATAGATTACATGATTAAGTTAGAAAATCTTAAGAAACTTACAAGAATCTTCTAGAATTAATAAGTAAGATTAACACAATTGATTCGTTAGAAATTTTTTTAACTTTATTTATTTATTTATTTATTTATTTACTTATTTATTTATTTATTTATTATTTTGAGACTGAGTGTTGCTCTGTCATCCAGGCTGGAGTGCAGTGGTGTGCGGTCTTGACTCACTGCAACCTCCGCCTCCAGGGTTCAAGTAATTCTCTGCCTTAGCAGAGTTTAGACCGCTGCAGTGAGCCATGATTGTGCCACTGTACTCCTGAGGCATAGAATAGCGTCTGGAGACAGGGAACTTAAGGCCAATTTGCGCTGACTTCCTAGAACTGAGTCAAAAGGAAAACCCCACCTCTTCACACCCAAGTAACAAAAGGATCAGGGGCTACTCCCTTTGCAACCCCACCCCACAACACCCTTTTCCACTGCCTCACAGATGAAAAATGAAAAGTACCTCCGTTTGGTCCCCTCCTGCAACCAGTCTTCACGTGCTTAGGGTGTAACTTTGTAACTTCACTTCAGCCTTTGATTGATCACCTCCTGCAACAAATAAGACTGGTTGTGGGCCACTCCTTCATTTATTTAGAGTGTAACCAAGTAACCAATGGGAAAGCTCTGGAGGGTATTTAAACCCCAGAAAATTCTGTAACTGGCACTCTTGAGCCACCTGCTCGAGCCCGCTCTCACTCTGTGGTGGGTACTTACATTTCAATAAATCTGTGCTTTTGCTGCTTCATTCTTTTGTTGCTTTGTTCGTGTGCTTTTTCCAATTCTTTGTTCAAAATGCCAAGAACTTGAATAACTTGTCAAGACCCTCCATTGGTAACACTCTAACCTGGGCAACAGAGCAAGGCTCGGTCTCAAAAAAATAAACGATAGTTATAAAATCTGTTAAAATATGATAAACACTTGGGTAAAAATCTATTGAAGACAAGGCATTAACATACTCTGAAAAAAATCGCTATAAAATATTTTTAATTACAAGTAGGAAAATAGTAAATTAATTATAAAGAAAACTGGTGAACACCATTGTAACCAACCAAAGTTAATATAACTAAGTAATCAGATAAACCTACAATCATGTCCCTCCTGGTATGATGCACTGAGAAAAAAAATAACATTACTTATGTGCTTTCCTCGCCCAAAATACATAGTTTTAATCATAAAAAAATTAGAAAAATCACAACTTAGTGGCATTTTGCAAAGCAATTTTTCTGTTCCCTTAAGATCAAGAAAGAGTAAAAGAGACATTTCAGATTGAAATGAACTAAAGGATCATGATAAGTTGATGCAATACATAATCCTGAATTTAATTTGTGCCTGGAGGAAAATAGCTCTAAATTATATTCTTGAAACTATTGGTAAAAATCTGAATATGGAAAGTGAATTCTATAATATTACATCAATAGTATATTTTTTTTTGCTTTTTTCTAAATGTACTATTGTTATATAATTATTTTTTTTTCTTCGACATTGAAGTGTTTAGGTATTAGGGGAGTCAAAGTATGATGTGTGAAACTTAATCTCAGTGGTTGGGGAAACAGAGTCTGTATGCCAATACCTGCTATACCATAGGAAACCACTCTATTCCCACCTAATTTTCCTTTATATATATATTGACCTAGAAAAAGCACTTCAATTTTTACAGAAATCATACTTTTCACATCATAATAAAAAGTATGCAAAATTATGAAAAAAATAATCTGTTTGTTAAGAAGGTACTGTTCCTAAGCCATTGCTAAGTGGCATAGGAGCTTACTTAAGTGAGATCATGTTATTTATCTTCAGTCCTTGCTTCTATCTAAATAGTTCATATAAAATGACTACATAAGAATTTGGTAGTGGAAAATGTTACCAACCAGTTTAACTTTATATCTGTCAGTATATAATAAAAGAAAATGGGAGTTAAGACTTACAGAAGATTGTATATAAATACATGTAAGAATGGATGTATAGGTATGGTTATAAATGCAAAATTATTAGATATAAATGTAGATAAAATTGAGATCTGTTTAAATGCACATGTATAAGTTTTATCTTTCAAATTTCTTATACACTAAGACCATCAATAACTACACTGAATAACTGAAAACAACATTGTGAAAAGCAGAAACTCTCAAATTGTATCCTATTTCTTGTAAGTAAGTGATATTCTTTCCCTTCCACCAATCAGTGAAACACTGTTGCCAATAATTTTTTCCCACTTCTTTTTTCTGCTAGGAAAAAAATATGAAAATTGCAAGCGATGAGGAATGGTGTTCTGAATAGATATCGAATTTTGTTTTAATAAGTTAAATGATGTAGAGTTTAAATTGACACTCATTGTATTTAGTAGTAAATAAATTATCAATTGAAAGTTCAAAATGTGGTGTACTGTATCACATTTATCAAAACCAATGACTAGGGTATTTTATTTGCTTTATTTTAAACCTACTTAACATCATGAAATAAGAAGCTATCAAAACTTACCTTTTTTATTCATTCTATATTCCGTCTTCTTTCCTTCTATTATTTTGTGTGTTGGGGGATGCATTTATATATACAAGCATATATATATATATATGCTTGTGTGTGTGTGTGTCGTATATGTGTGTGTGTGTGCATTCTATTGGATTAAAAAAGAAACAAAAGAATACCTATAAAAGAAATCATTCTATTCTTTTGGTGTTAGGTTATTTATTTATCCATGCATGAAGAGAAGTTGAACAGTGCTATCTGAAGAGAATATTATCCTGCAATTAAGCCAATCAGATTAAAAAAATCAAGATACAAATAAATGGTAACTAAAATACAGCCATTCTAATATTTACTTTTTGTAATTAACTTTTAAATACATGCTGGTGGAATTATCACAACGGGTCACAGTCTTTTACCTAAAGTATTTAAGGCTTAGAAATTTCACTCAATATACAACAAATCAGATTCAGAATAGAGGGTAGGATGAAATTATTGTTCTCTTTTAAAAATAATGAAATCTGTTGCATTGTTAACTTTAAGCACTTCATTTTTACCTAAAAAGAGAAAAATTGTTCTGTACTGAAAGATACTGAAAGGGAGGATAAATCTTTAATCCAGTTAGAGTACAAAAGAATAAACAGAAATATGTTATCAGCATTTATCAACCTCTCCTTGAAGCTGTTTTCTATAACCCATTGTTTAAGTGAATCTCAGAGAATACAAAAATAAAAAGTCATATTTTTGGTAACTAAACAAATATTGTCTATTCTCCCACATTTTAAATGTTTTACATGGTTTGAAATGTAAACTAAAGTTTAACTTGGACTTGGAAAAGTAAAATCTTTCTATTTCTTACATATTAAATTTATGTCATTACAGGTAATGAGATTTTGATATAAGTATTACCATTTAGATAAAATATGTTAGTTTGGGGAAGAAAATCAGATGGATACTTATTCTGGCTGGGATAAATTCAGAGATCTCTTGGCCCCTGCTTACCCATGTGGGCATGTCTTAATAAGTAAAGTGGATTCAATTTGCTGCACCTGCTGGTCCCATCTTTGCTTTCCCTTAAAGAGCCGTGACAGACAGACTATGGCCTGTGGGGATTGTTCGCACCTTCTAGTTGGTGATATCTGTCAATGTATCTTGCTCCTGTTCTCTGGCTTGACAGGAATTCTGCATCAGGGTTTAGAATGGTTGGGAACCTAGCCCATTTATGCCTGTCAGCTTCCTTGACAGCCAGACATTGGAGCTGCCCTCATCAGTGTCTTCTAGCTCAGCTTCTAGGCACACAAGGAGTTTTCTTTTCCAATGAACAAAGGGGAGCCCATGACACAGAACTGTGACACTTTAACTCTTGCTACTCCTTTCTGGTCAGTTGCTTAAACGGACTGTCTCTCCCACTCTCTCTGGCTTGGATCAATATGTGACCAGTATGCACATCTAAATTAACCTTCTTGATTCAAGAATACTCAGAATTCCACTACGCACTGTGGACATGAATACCTAGTATTAAGCATTCATCCCAAATGTATCACATTATTAAACCCCCATCTTAGTCGGCTCTGGATGCTATAACACAGTACCAGAAACTGAAAAGCTTAAAAAAAAAAAAAAGACATTTATTTCTCATGGTGCTGCAGGCTGGGAATATCAAAATCAAGGTGCTGGCCAGTGTGGTTCCTGGTAAGAGCCCTCTTCCTGGCTTTGCAGATATATCCTTACATGGCAAAGAGGAAAAGAAAGAGCAAGAGAATGAGAGAGAGAGAGAGAGAGAGAGAGAGAGAGAGAGAGAGAAAGTGAGAGAGCTCTATTAGCTTTCTCTTTTTATAAGGCACTGATCCCACCTTTATGATCTGATCTAAATCTAATTAGCTTCCAAAGGCCAACCTACAGATACCATCATATTGGGGAGCAGGGTTTCAATATGTGATTTTAGGTGGGACACAAATATGTAGCCCATAACAACCCCAAACCTTGTTTTAAGTCACCCACTTCTCAATACTGACTTTAATGTTTAATATGTCCAATTTGTTTTTTGAAATTAAGATAAGCTATTTGCTTATTTGTGTTCAATAACATATGCAGAATTCTTTAAAGTTATTTAATTATAAATATTGTGCCAGAGTTGATCATTCTCTAGTTTTTAACACCTTTGCAATATGCATATTACAATATAGGCTTTGTTATTAGAAATGTGCATGTTTTCACATATCAAGTTTCCTATTACTTGTAGGTAGATACTTCTAGACCAAAAAACATAACTTATTATTCTGTGACTACTTCATTTACAACGATTTATGGAACATAGTAGGTATCCAGTAAAGTTTATAGAGTGTTGAATGGATATTTAAAAATACCAAATATATAATATGTGAAAAAGCAAAGTATAAAATTTATCATAAGTTCATCTTATATAAATAATAATCATGGTTTATGAAAAGTTATATTACCATTTGGACAAAGACTCTAAGATAACAAAGGAAATAACAGCGTGATTTTTGAGTCATGATAAGAGGAATTTATTTTTGTTTTTGATTTCCACTCATGTGATTATTATATTATTTTGGCCACAAGCAATATATAAGAGAAATGTTAGCTTTGAGCATTATGTAAAGTGTAATGAAGTTCAGCTCTGTATAATGTGCTTGTTTCTATATTCCTGAGATCTGTTGGATGTGGTTTTCCTCATAATTACTCCAGCCTTTGAAATCATGACTGCCTAAGGGAAATGTGAACACACTTATCTATTTGTAAAAAATTCTTACAGTGACTGGCAATAAATTTCAAAACATCCATGCTTTTCTGAGCATGTAAATAATTTTAAAATAAAATTTAGAACTTCTAAATGTTTACCTATAAATATATATACATTGTATATTTTACAATATTGTAGCTTAAAGATAAATATTTTTATCTGTAAAGCTATATTCATCACATGATTCCATCATAATGTAATACATATTATTCATTTAAAATGCTACATGTCTTCTTAGAATTATCTTACATAATTATAATATATAGTATCACATTGTTCTGCACCATATTAGGTACAAGAATTCAATAAATCAAATAACTACAAAAATGTCATTATTATTAAAGGCTTTATTGACTTACCGACTGTGACAGCTACTGTATTCTGAGAGCTATAGGGGTTGGGGGACAAAGGAAAAGAAATTAGAGAACAAATATGCTATGGTCTGAATGTTTACGTCTCTCTCTCTTAGTCAGGGTTCTCTAGAGTTACAGGACCAATAGAATGGATTGATAAAGAGATAGATAGATGGTTAGATGATAGAGTGATAGATAGATAGATGATAGATAGATAGATAGATATACAGATCGATAGATATTTTAAATTGCTAGATATATAGAAAGAGATGTTAAGATATATAACAAATAAAAATATATATGAGGGGATAGATATATTATGGGAATTGGCTCATAAAATTATTATGACCAAGAAGTTCCATGATATGCCATCTGCAAACAAGAGAGTCAGGAAAGCCAATAGCATAATTCAGTCTAAGGCCAAAGGCCTGAAAACCTGTGGGGATGGGGAAGGGCTGCTTAGTCAAAAAGAAAGTCTAAAGACCTGACACAGAGAGCTCCAATGTCTAATCACAGAAGATCGATGTCCCACCTGAAACAAGGAGAGTTTGCCTTTCCTTCACCTTTTTGTTCTATCCACAGCACCACACTGCTTTTCTTTCCTCTCCGTGGATCATGCCAGCTGCCTAGTCGGTTCTGATGAGAAAACCTGGATACCTTGCTTGCCAGTGTAGGATTCACACACTAATTATGGTTCTTTTCAATGGGAGCCTCTGATAGCCACTGCTTCTAGTCAGCCATCTTGGCCTCCCATGCCGCAGTTTTGTTTTTTTTTTTTTTTTTTTTGACCTTAATTACAAAGCATGGTAATACTAAGACACATCCTAAGGGATCTCCTGTATCCCATGTATATTCTTTCCTATCTCTATGTGGGTAAGCTATTTAGTTTATAGTATTTTGTTATAGTAGCACAAATGAGCTAATACAAGATGCAAAATAATTACAGAGTAATCACATAAATTCTCATGGGTCCTAAGATTAAATCAGTTGCTATGGCAGGAAAGTGTATGTTTTTCCTTCAAGTGTTCTATTTTTTTAACTCAATTTGCATTATAGTTAAGAACACTAAAACTGCCAATTTACTTGCAGTGAAGAATATGATCAATAATGTATGTTAACATTTCACTAAATATTAAGATTAGTATAATCATATATTATTACTCTAATCCTTTAGGTCTTCTGAAGGTAAGTACAATTCTATATTTATATTTGAGGTAAGAATTGTGTGAACAGAATCTTCTCCAAATAATATAGTTCTGTGAGTAAAAGTAGAATGAACTACTAATTAGACTTTTTAATCCAAATATTCATATTTTACGGTGATGTCTTTCTTCTTCACACATCTTATAATGATTTTTTGTTTACTATTGTGACATATATATTTTAACATTAAAATTAAATATGTTTTTGGTATGTAATATATGACATAATATGCTATTAGTATAGCATATACATGATCTATACATCTATCATATATAATAACACATTATATAATATATAGTAAAACAAATATATATTTTACATTATACTATTTTTCCTCCATGTCCTTTTTTCTTTCTTAAACACTTTTGTTTTTTAAAATTTACCACTTACCATTATACCTCTCACTAATCTCAAAGCCAAAGAGACACTTGTATGAGTAAAAGATATGTTGTAGTATGTTTTTTCTGTCTATATATTAAGGTAGGCAAATGTCTGAACAATTTCGAATTTTTGAACCTCAGCCCATCAGAATGCCATGTAAGCAAAATGAGCAAAGAAGTGAAAACACACACACACACAAAGAAATAAAATTTCCTGTCAACATTGTATGATGAAGACTGTGAAGTGAGATCAATGACAAAGGATCTCTCAACAGACTGCATAAGAACATTTCAGAAGTGAAAGGCCTGTGGTATCCCAACATACAGTCACAGAAGATAATAATACAATGGGTTAAGGAAAGACATTATATAACATGCTCTGTAAAAATTTTGAACATTTGAAATTTATCAGGTGGAACAATCATATATTTATAGATATTCATTTTATGCTTCTATCAGTGACATCAAAAAGCTAGCTGATGTTGTCATTTCAACTTAAAAGGTAAAGTGTTCAAATCAGAATAATATTAATGAACTAAGTTCATGTTATATGTTTATGTGATAATATATGATATTTAATATTAATAACATTTTAAGTGCACTGGTAGGAAGTACTATATAGTAATGACTAGTACAGGCATTGGCATGTTCTATCCTTTGTTAGGATATTTTTCTTCCTTAGTAAAATAAATACTATTATGATCACACTGATTAAAACAGAGAAAAGAATACAGTATCCATAAATTATTAGTCTTACGTCTTTTATTGTTTTAACTCACTCTAAGTTTTATTTATTGAAAGGATATCAATACAAATGTATACTTGTGGACTCCGCATTATGTTGTTTACAAAATTGTGACTAAAGGTGTATTACTTGCTTGAAGAAAAATATTAAAATTTGAATATCATTAAATCATTAAATATATAAGAATAGAACTATCACTTCTCTTTACAAAAGTTAAAGAAAAAATTATCTGTTCACAAGAGTTGATGCTAAGCAATGGTTATGTTTATATTTATATTTTCAGTAAGTTAAATATTTAGTAATTATTTAAAGATGCTATAAAAGTGGAATTATTTGGAGGGAAGTTTAAAACTACAGAAATTTAAAACTAGTATATTCACAAATAATCATTTATATATAAGAGAACAACATGGCAAGAAATCTAACAAATTGTTATTTTCTACTTGCACTTTGTAAAATACGCATTTTTTAAACTGATTTTATTTTATTTTATCTTATTTCACCCTCAATTCAAGCTGAAACAAAAAGTATGTCCAATAATATGGAAGTTTTCTATTGCTCCTGGAGTTCACTTTAAATGTAATCTTCCAGTCCCAGGAGATGTTGAAATGGCACTCTGCTTTCTTCCTTAAATTCTTAGGGTAATTAACCTGTAATTATAATTAACCTAGATTACACCTATAATTGTCTGTAGCTGTGCTGTGTAATGTGCAGCCACTAGCCACATTTGCTATTGACTACTTGAAATACGGATAGTCATAATTGAGATGTGCTATAAATGTAAAATACACACTGGATTTCTAACTTCCATAAAAAAGAACAAGATCATGTCTTTTGCAGGGACACGGATGGAGCTGGAGACCATTATACTTATCAAACTAACACAGGGGCAGAAATCAAATACTGCATGCTCTCACTTACAAGTAGGAGCTAAATGATGAGAACACATGGACACATAGAAGGGAACAATAGATACTGGGGTCTTCTTAGGGTGGAGAGTGGTAAGAAGGAGATGACTGGGAAAAATAACTAATGGGTTACTAGGCTTCATACTTAGGTGATGAAATGTTCTGTACAACAAATCCCTGTGACACGAGTTTACCCATGTAACAAACCTGTACTTATATTCTTGAACTAAAAATAAGAGTTGGAAAAATTATGCTTATTATATGTTGAAATTAGATTATGATGTTGTTTACATAAATTATATATTATTAAATGTGTTTACATGCCTCTTTTTACTTTTTATTTAATGTGGCTAAATAAAAATATTTGTTGTTTTGATTTTAAATATATGTTTTATTTTAAATATGTATTTTAAAAAAACATGTTGTTCGGTAGACAGAATTATAGGGTATCCCTCAGGATTCCCAGCCTGTAGTATACACACAACTTCTCCCAATTATTCAATAAAACTATACTTCAGATGTTGATGTGAAAGCATTGTTCAGGTATAATTAATGTCAGAAATTGTTGACCTTAAGATGAGGAGATTTTTGGAGTGTGCTTAATCTTTCTTCCTCTTTTTGAAAAGCCGCCAAACTTACTGGATTAGGACCCCAACATTAAGAACTCATTTAACCTTAATTATCTCCAAAAAGCCCTATATCCAAACACATTCCACATTGGAGATTAAGGCTTCAACATACGAATTTGGGGAGAGCCATAATTCAGTCCATAGTAGGGGGCTACATGGCAGGGAACTGTCTATAGCCTCTGACAGCAGTACCTGCACAGGCAGTAGAAAAGTAACAACCTCAGTCCTACAGCCTCAAGGAGAATATATATACATATATTCAGCTATATATATATATATATTTAGCTATATATATATTCAGCTATATATATATATATTTAGCTCTATATATATATATTTAGCTGAATATATATATATCTAAAACAGTGAGCTTGGAAGAGCAAACTGAGCCACAGAGGAAATACACAATTATAGCTGACTCCTTGAATTTAGCCTGGTAAGATGGTGAACAAGGTATCCAGCCTTATTTCTCACCCACTAAAATTGTAAAATACTGAGTGGATGTTGTTTAAGCTGCCAAGTTGGCGGTAATTTGTTAGGAAGTAATAGAAAACTAATACAGGCAGCTTATATTTGTGGATTGCATTATACTTTATCAAATAATAATTACCCAACAGCGATGATTCTAGATCTGACGTGGATAGAAAAGTTGTACAATTCTTCAATGATTTCCTGAACTTGAAGGTGACTTTGAAAATGGAGTTGCTTCCTACCCACCACAGGGTCTGTCCTAAATCTTTATTCATTCATTCATCAAACATTTATTGAACACGTAATATCTGCCAGGACATAAGATAGCTATCAAGGACTAACAATGTAAAAAAGCCATAACTCTGACCTTATGAAAATTAATGTATACAATCCATTGGTGAGTGGTATAATATAAAGTTAACTTTTAATTATAATTCATATTTTAAGATGTGTTTGATTTTATTAGCTAGCTTTCATTCTGAAACCCAGAATCAGTTCAATTTAAAAAATGAATTGTATCAAGCTAACCACAGTATGTTAAAACGGCAAAACAAGAATCAGATTAATTCAGAAATCTTAGGTCCACTAGCTAACAATTTCTACAATAATGTAGTATTGAGAATCAACTGGGCAATCAAAGATGTTTCATGGTTTTCAGTGCACGAAAGCTATCTATCTTTGAATAAGCTATTTCTTCCCAAACTGCCTTAGTAGTAAGATTCTTAAAATTAATCCAAGAACTATAGGAAATGTCTCGAAAAGTATGTTTATGCCAAAAGTCATGGGAAGAAAGAAATCAGCACTACCAGTTTTCTCCATTAATCTATCAAATGAGTGCTGAAATGTCAGTATCAAGTGACAAATACCTATGGACACATGCTTCAGTTCAATACTTCAAAGAGAGCAGGTAGCTTGAAGGAGAGAGGAGAACAGCCTAAAAGTCAGTCCACCTTTTTTTTTTTTTAACTGAAATGACATGCTAATATAAAAACAAAAGAGTAAAATCTTCTTAAGGTATTCTTATTTATAGGGCCTCGCTCACTTCATTGGCATGTTTATCTTCTATTTTTCATATTTCAGAAAATGTTTTTCATAAAATATACTTTTGAGAAACTAATCATTGAGTTAAGCTACTGTAAGGAATGCTTAAACTCAGGAACATCCCCAAGCTACTTTATGTTATATATTTCTTTTTCTTTTTTTTTTTTTTAAGATGGAGTCTTGCTGTGTCACCCAGGCCTCCCAGGTTCAACAATTATCTTGCCTCAGCCACCTGAGTAGCTGGAATTACAGGTGCCCACCACCATGCCTGGCTAATTTTTGTATTTTTAATAGAGACAGGGTTTCACCATTTTGGCCAAGTTGGTCTCGAACCCCTGACCTCAGGAGATCCACCTTCCTTGGCCTCAAAATGTGCTGGGATTACAGGAGTGAGCCACCACTCCCAGCTATTTATGTTATATGTTTCTAATATTACAAACCCAATATTAAAAACTCTATTACACAAGTTACTTCATTCTGCTCTGTCAGGACGCAAATTATTCACTTACTTGACTGCCTTTTCTAACCTTCATCATAGTTGCAAAAATGAAAGAAAAACATGGAATAAAATTGTAGAAATGATAAGCTTTAATTTAAAAATTAGAAATGAAGCAAATGAGGTATTACTGGAGTGAAAGAACAATCAAATCTACAAAAGCCTATTTACAGAATTCATATTAAAGACAACCTTTTTTCACAAAATAAAAACAAGAACAGGACAAGGAATCATAGAATGACATGCTTGCACGTGAATGGAAATTGATTGCCTATTCATTGATATGAACACAGAAAACAGAACAGCAATCTAAAGAAAAGTGTTTGCAATATGTTTTGGAGAAGGGAACCCAAAAAGCAAGAATATGGCAGTGTCTAACCAGCACTGTGCAGAGTAGATCCTCTTACAAATTGAGGACTCACATAGTCACTCATCAGCTTTAATACTACCTGGATATTTCTCTGGAATATTTGTCTCCATTTTTCCAGAGACGAGGCATGATTTGTATTTTTTTAACCAATTTTACAAGTTGTCCTGAGAGAGAAAAAGAAATAGTGTTAATGAGAACTAAATGGACTGCTCTTTGGAAAAAAACTCACTCTCTAAATTAACTAGTCTTATAGTTTATGCTTAATTCCTTGCAAATTTGAGTATTGCCAGCAGTTTTTCCTTGAATATATTGTGGAAGAGAATATCCTATGTGTTCATTTTTTTTTCCTTGACATATGGAAAAGTGCTTCTCAATAGCTTTGTAGTGGGCAAGTGCAAGTGACTGCTTTGTCTAGGGAACTTCAATGAAAGCACCGTGTGTCACTCTCACGTGAGACAATGCATGATGCTGAGGTTTCACTACCAACCCCTTCTCATCCCCATGTTGTACAGGAAGGTCTTGTGGTGAAGTGACAGAGCCATAAGATTCATGCAGTACAAGGACAGCTTCCCTGGAGGGTGACTGAGACCTCCTAGGGACTTTGTATGAGATTCAGAGACCCAATTACTTAGTTGAGTGACGAAGAGGAAAAACATACACTACAGAAAAACTGCTTATAGTAAAATTATAAATAGAAATAAGAGACTCCACAATTTTTCAACAGCATAAGCAATGAACAAAAAAAGATACCATTATGGACGATTTCATTTAACTCACTTGTAATAAAAGCTATGATGATTTTGTACATGTGTATTTATTCTATGCATACTTTTTCAAAGTCAATGCTTAACTGAGTGATATTAAGTAGACCTCATATAAAGCATTTCCTTAACTTACCTGGAAACAACCACACATTCTGTAAGAAGTATATTATTTTTATACCAGACCAGGAATGAAGTTTTTTTGTTTGTTTGTTTTAGTTTTTTCAAATAGTTATATTTTCAACAGTTACAAATAAAATTCACTAAATGTGTAACAATTAAGATTTGCAAATAATACACTTCCATCGATTTATGTTTAACATCTTTGAGAATAGACTCTGGGGTTACCAAGTGCTAATATTGACAGAATAGACTCACTCTTAGAAAAAGTCAAGCATTTTACTTTCTTCAAAATATTTTTATGTACAGAACAAAAGACTTTCATTTAAGTGATAAATGTAAATAGATCTAGCATTGAACATTAACTTGTAATATTTCCTGAAAATGTTTACTTTCCTGACTGAAGACTTGATATTTGTGTTACGTATAATGTTCCTGGATGATTTTAGTAGGTTAGTTAATATGGACTATATCTGACCCAATGCAACTGTGCAAACTGAAAAACTGATATATTTGTTAGAATCACTTCTTATATCAATACCATAATAAGACATTTTAGTCACAAATATTATTTTAAAGGTTATATGTGTCAATGTTTAAAGGCACTTGATGTGCGGTAATGAAAACTGTAATATAATACTCTTATTATCTTACACTTCATTCATTATATTAATTTCTTATTAGAAATGGCTGGCATACATTCGTTTTTGTTTGTTTTTGAGATGGAGTCTTGCTCTGTCACCCAGTCTGGAGTGCAGTGGTACAATCTTGGCTCACTGCAATCTCTGCCTCCCGAATTCAAGCGATTCTCCTGCCTCAGCCTCCCGAGTAGCTGGGACTTGCAGGCCTCCAAGCCCGGTTAATTTTTGTTGTTGTTGTATTTTTAGTAGAGACAGAGTTTTGCCATGTTGGCCAGGCTAGTCTTGAACTCCTGACCCCAAGGGATCCACCCCCTGTCTCAGCCTCCCAAAGTGCTGGGATTACAGGCGTGAGCCACCACGCCTGGCTGGCTGGCATACATCCTTAAAACTGCTATTCCAGGTAAAGAAAAAAAGAATGGAATTCCCATTTTTCAACTTCAAGACTTAATTTTCTGCCATGTAATCTAAAATTTAAGATGTATGCTAATTCCAATTGTGCGATACATTTATAAACTATAAAAATATCATACGTTAAAAGTCATCATAAAGAGAATGAAAAGACAAACTCTAAAATGGAAAAACTATTTTGTAAGACATATGACCAGAAAAATGTCTGTATTCAAAATATATAAAAAATGCCCACAAATCAATAAAAAGGATAAAAAATGCAATAGAATGGTGGGGAAAGCAATAAGTGCAAATATTTCACAGAAGAGAAAACATATTTCATAAATTAATATTGTCAACCATATTAAAATTTGGATAAATATGAATTATAATCACAGTGAGATAGCCTTTTATGCTAATCACCTTGTAAAAAATCTTAAAAAGTCTTAAAATATCATGTGCAAATAAAGATGAGAAGTGACTACCTTTTATTTCTTTTAGCTAAAATAACTAAATAAATTATAATTTTTTTAAATAAACAACTTAAATATAAAAAGTAATTATCAAAATAATTAAAATTAAGTTCACATAATTTAAAATAAAATTATAGTCAGAGTACCCCTCAGACTTGTCATCAGCAAGAATGAATATGGAACACCATAATCCTACAATATTTTGGAAAAAATGATTTGAAACAAGACAAATTATTATTGATATGTAACAACATAATAAAAACAATCCATTTTAAATTACTGTGTACAACTTAATTTAGGAATTATCTGAGGAGAACTAAAAAAAAAGGTCAGTAAACCACAGAAGAGAAAGAGCAAAATTCAGTAAACAGAGAAACCGACTCAGGAAAGCAGGGATAAGATGTCCCAGATTGATCATTCTGCAGAAGGTCATGAGAGCAACCAGTGCAAATAACTAGAAAATGAAGGACTTTGGTAGAGTGGGGATAACCAAGGTAATCTAGGATGAAAGGGTGGAGTTTTGCACATCAATAGCATGACTTCAGGATATGTGGGCTTATTATCCAATAAAAAAAAAGACAATTTGAAAACTCGATAGTGGGCAGGGGAATGGAAGGGGGAGTGCTATAAGAGAACCTTAGGCCAAATAAGAAGAAAAAGAAAATGTGTCATTTTTAACAAGAAATGTGAATCAAGAATGTCAAGAAATGTGAATCTATTTGAAATTCTATGCAAATTCTACTTAGAGTACCCCTTGATTAGAGGCATTGGCTACAGAGAAGAATGTGTGTTACTTGAATAATTTTTGTATGGTCATCATAATGTAAATGCCATTTGTTGCTTGCAAAAATTGACTTAACCTAAAGACAGAATGGAAATATCTTGGTGTGTGACTCTT
The DNA here is from genome assembly GCF_000001405.40 of Homo sapiens. Lineage (NCBI taxonomy): Eukaryota > Metazoa > Chordata > Mammalia > Primates > Hominidae > Homo > Homo sapiens. The sequence goes on along the minus strand of NC_000007.14, from coordinate 125,536,203 downwards.
AGATTAGAAGGTAAATGACATCAACTTTTAAAATATAAAGGTGTAGGTAATATAAGACACAGGTTTGAAAGTAGTTTACAATATAAATGTAGGACTGCTCTTACTATTATTTAGATGAAAATATTGTTCAAGAGAACAATGTTAGAAAAACGTAGAAGTATTGGTATATTATTTTAAAGTTTATTGGTAACAACAGGAGAATTAAGAATAATATTAATTATAAGTGTTATTCATTTGATGGAATAAAAATAGAAGTATAATTATTTGAAATAATTATTAAGACTTCATCTTTAGTTTTAGAGAAGAAATAAATACCATATAAAATTATGAGTGAAAATTAGAGATTCACAAAATAGGCTACTGATAGCGATAGGAGGCAGGTAAATTCCTAGGCAGATAGGGATGGGTCCTTGGTGTAATTCAACCTTCAAGCCAAGGAGAGTCTAAAGCCTGAAAACCAAGCTACAAGTTCCTGATAAATTCACGGACCAGATTGAGAGCCCCTGTTCCTATTTGGCACATTCTCTCCTGATTGGCCCTTATCCTTCACCTGTTTTACCTAAAGTTACCTTTCCCCAGTTGGTCCTCTACACTAACATGCCTATTTGTGAATGGTGCTTTTTCAAGCATACCTACAGACCAATCAGCACACACTTCTCCATTTCAAGCTCATAAAAGGCCCTAGACTCAGCCTCGTGGCTGGCAACCCACCTTCAGATCCCCTTTTGCTGTTGAGAGCTTTTCTGTCACGCAATAAATTCTACTCTGCCTTACTCACTCTCTGGTGTCTGCATACATCATTCTTCTTGGTCATGGGGCAAGAACTTGGAACTCATCAAACTACAGGGGTAAAAGAGCTGCAACACTAATTGTTCCCAAGTATGTAATTTAGAATCTGTAAGTATGTACTCTCTCGCAGACAGCCTCCAAGATGTCTCCTCAAAATTCCCACTTTCTGGTATTTTTGCCACTGTATAGTTTCCATCAGCATTGAATAGAGTTGACAGATTCAATAAAATACTACAATTACAACAAAACTTGATTTCTAAGTCTACATCATAAAAGGTACTGCAGCTCATACCTTGTGCTCTTAGATCATGCACTCTGGGGAAACCAGCTATCATGTCAAGAAAACACCCAAGAAGCCCTTTGGGGAGATCCAAAGTATGAGGAACAGACGCCTCCTGACCACAGCTAAAATCAACTCACCTTTCTTATGTCATTAGTTAGGGAAAGAAAATGAATCCAAGTGATCCAAACTATTTAGTTATGGTTCGAGCTAATAATAAAATGTTATTTTGCTACCATTTGATATATCACGTTCGCATCTGCTGTTTCTCCCTGGGGAAGAGTATGTATGACCAGGACAAATCTGGATCCAGAGTTCATGAATTCCTAAAAAGTTATCTACTTCACTTTCACATTTGTTTATTTTAAGTTTAGTATTTAAAACAGCATTTGACATTCTTGAGAGTCTACAAATGCAATAAATTTAACACCTGTCAATAACCCCCCAAAATTATATGTTATTTAGTGATATTATTACTTTACTTGTTACTTTAAGATATATTTATGTGTAAACTGAGTATAAAGAATTCTAGACATTTTTAAAATGCCAAAATATTTTTTTCATATTTACAGTATAAGTTTGATTTTTATAGACTTATTACATATAAAAGAGAACATTTTACTCTTTGATTTCTAGAATAGTTTTTATCTATCCTATTTTAGAAATAAACAAACAAGCAAAAAGAAAACTAATACCTTAATTTTGTCCCTCTGCTTTTTAACTCATTGTTGTTTCTCTTTATATCTTATTATTCTGACTATGTCTTGAAAGTTGTTGTAGTCATTATTTTTGATTGGTTCATCGTTTAGTCTTTCTACTTAGGATAAGAGTAATTTACATTATGAAAAGATGTAAGAATTGTTATAAGACAACTGCTATATAAATTAAAAAGAAATAAATCTAGGAGAATTTCTTCAGGATCACTGAACAGTGAGAACCGAACTACTCACTTTATAGCACTGAACGAAAACAAATTAAATAACAACATTGACATCTATAATAGATAAATGGGTGATCATATCATATTTTTTATTTGCAGGCAAACAACACCAATTTCGCTTTGAAAAATATAAAGTTCCTATGTTGAAGCTCAAAAGATAAATAAGAAGATTTTGAAAGTATTACTAACACAAAAAGCTGGGCCAAATAAAACTTGTAGTGTAACCTGAGGAGTAGAAGAAAGAAGTCTAACATACTCTCCTTTTATTTAGTTAGCATTTTTTCTTACTAATCATGTTTAACTACTGTAAATGATAATCCTAAGAAGTTCCTAACCTGAGATATGATTAAGATATCAGTTTGAGGATACTTTAGGGAAAAAGAAAACCTATAGTTAAAGGAAGAAAAATGTAAATATGGGAAAATTAAACCTAGTAAATAATGTTTATGAAAGCCAAAATAAAATGGTGCACCCTCCCAAAATTTGGACAACTGCTCTTTTGGATGAAAGAATAAAATTTACATATACTTCAGTTAAAAATATCCTGAAACTTAATAAATATATTCAACATTCTTTCTGAAAATTTTCTGTGGGAAATTATGAAATGTCATTATTAGACTATGATACTACCTTTTCTTTCCTTGGATGAGACAGTAATACTCAAAAGAACAGTCATTAAAATCACGTAATCTTTGATTAAATCTTGATCTATCTGATTTCTGTGTATATGGTCATTGGCAAGTTTTTTATATTTTCTCTTGTCAATTTAAATTTTCTTATTCTGTAATGGGGATAGATGGTAATAACAACTATAAGTAAGGTGATGTATATAAGTAAGTATCATGCTTCCTGGCACAGAGATTTAATAAATGGTCATGGAAAACTATTTTAGATATTCTGAATAAATATTGTAAGATAGTTCCACATGTGTATATGCATATGTACTTATTCACATATATAAACACATATACTGTTACTAAGAAATGTAAAAGCAGACTGCTAAACATAACCATTAAATAAAGAGAGCTGCATGATTATTAGATCATCATTGTGATGGATATAGAATACAGAAAACAAAAAGAAAATGAGTAGCTTTTTTAGGAACAGCAGAAATCCAAGGTGCTAGAGAAAAATTTGGGCTGAAAGGATTCAATTATGAGCAGAGAAAATGGGAGAATAAAGAAGTATCTGCTATTATTCTGGTGTGGGTATTTAGTGGCCAGAAACTGAGTAAAATGAGTTGATAAAAAAAGAAGTTAAAACAGTCAGATTTCTGTATTTTGTAGTTGTTTGTAGCTGTAGAGAAGGGCTAAACTAAGATACATTTCACCAGTATGTTAGATATTTTCATGTGAAAGGAATTGATGAACTTCCTAAGAGCAGATGCAGCCTAGTTGCAGAATAGGAATGAGAACTATTAAGAGTTAAGAAATGAACTAAGTAAGTCTATGTTAGCAGCATATGTTAAATAATGTCATGAAAAGTAGGAGAAAGACAAAATTGTGCTACCCTTAGACAAAAGTTTTAGTTTTACTTTTCTTATTTTTCTTGAACATAGGAGCAACAAGAACAGTGATAAAAGATAAAAAAAAGACCCAGAGGAGAGACAAATTTTAAATGCAGAAAACATTATCCCAGAAGAAATCCAAAACACTGAGTGAGAAATAAATACTAACGCATGAACATTTCATTCTTGGAGACAGAAGAAATTAGTGGCTGTAGTTATAGAGGGTGGTAGTAGCATGTAGAAAATTTATTTTCTGAAAATATCAAATTTCTCAATAAATGTATTTAAGATATTGAGGATGGAATAGGGATCTAGAGCTATATATGACACGAAGAATTCCAGACATTTTCACTCAGCAGTGCTATGAAAACTGAACAATCAATATTTCCTAAACTAAAACAACTTTCCACTCTAACACTCCCTCTAAACTCCTTTCTCCTTTGCATTATCTCTCATTAAATAATGAAGGTGAAAAATCACCAATTGCATTTGCTAAAAATTCTGCGCATATCACTTTTCTCATTTTCAACCTCAAATCAATTTGCTAGACTTGTTGATTTTATTTTCTTCATAACTTTCAAAACAATTCAATTTCATCCACTATAAAAGTCACTCAGTTTAGATTCAACATAATGTCTTTCTGAATTTAGCTTCCAACCAAATCTTTCTACCTCTAGAAATACTCACTGCAGAATAGAGCTCAAATTGTCTCTTTAAAGCACAATTAAGATCGTATCATTCCCTGTTTAAAACCCTATAATGATTATTTATTCTCCTAATGCCTATTCCCCTTGGGCCAATTTCCTTAATATTACTAACAAGTGCCCTTGTGGCTTAGTTTCTCACTCTTTTTCACAATTTAAAATTTAGTTGCAGTTACCCCAATGTGTGTGCAATGCTTCTTCTAATATCAGAGAAATTACTCATTTTGCTCTCTCTTTCTGCCTACAGTGCTCTTCAATCGATCCACTTCCTTGAACCTGGCTAACTCCTCCTCTTCTGTAAGATTCGATGTGTTTGTGTACGAAAGAGAAGGAGATAGGCAGAGAGAAAGAGGAATGTTACGATGGTTAGTAAATTTTTATGCTTACAAAATACATTAAGTGGATTGAGTAAATTTCCTTGTTCTGTCCAATTAGTTTCAAAAATAAAAAGTTTTTAGTGTGCATTGCTTCATATTTATGACTATCTCCATGTTGTTTCATCTCTGTACATGCCAATACCACTGGACACATTTCTATTCAACTACATTTCAGGGCAGTTGTTTTAAGAGAACTAAACCAATAACTAAATTAATTTAAATAAAATATTTTCTTCAGCTGTTGAGAAAACTACCCCCAGGAGCTGAATACCTTCTATAATACTTCACAAGTGGACAAGAAGTACATAACAGCTCAGAAATATATGACAAAGAGAGATTAAAATAATTACATCATATGCAAACAGTGATCTAATCGATGTTAAATGCAAATTGATCACACATTAACTTTGTAACATGTAGCATAGGAAAAGAAACTCTATCATAAATGATACTCTGTTGCATGAAACCACTTGTCTTTAATACGCAAGAATAAGCATTTGCAACATTTTATCACTGTCAGAAGAAAAGATCAGGATAAAAAATATAACTTTAATTATCTCATTTTTGTTATCAACTGTCTTACAAACTCGTACTGTAAGTTTCATGAATGCATATTCTTTGCTTATTATCTCAGCGAAAGAAATTCAACAACTTTAACCATTATTTGAAATTAGCTTCAAACTTTGTCATACTTGCTCATCTAATCTCCAAACCTAGATAAATTCACAAATATGCTGCTGCTGGTCTTGTATACTGCCTTAAAGGCAGACCTTCCAAATCTCTTGCTTAAGAATCAAAATAGCCTTCTCATCAATTAGTATGTTCTGTCCAATCTCAGTACTTTAGCAAAGTCAGCATTCCCAAATGCTATTATAATAACTCACTCATATGCTATTTAAAATTCTTCAACAACTATCTTCTGCCTTTTCGTTAAGTGCAAACTTTTGTATACCAAGCTATAAAAAAAAATCTTCACTATTTTTTGTCACTAGGAAGCTTATGCTGAATTATCATATCCCCTTTTCCACTCTCCTCATATTCTATATTGAGCTACACACAACCAGTTTCTAATGTTTATCAAATGCTTTCAGGCTTTGCCCTTCTTCTGTCCTCTTCTCTCCTTTTCCCCTCAAGAAAATTAAATTTATTAAATAGGAGCTTCAATCTTCTTTAAGATGCATCTGCACACCTCATCACCCCTCACCCAATTAAGCCCATCCTTCCTCTATGCTCCTATTACTTTTTATATAATTCTCTACCTCACACTGAGCCTAGTCCTATTTGTGGCTTTCCCACATTAAATTTTAAAGATATGGATCATGCCTTCAATTCATTCAATTAACATTGACTAAACTACTCTGTGTCATGTCCTAGAGATTTGAAGTTGTAAAACACCATCTTGTCCATTATCAAAAAAGAGAACAAAATTGATCAGATTATTACAGTTAAATATTAACTTCTATGTAAATAAATGTAGAGTGGTTTACAGAAGCACCACCTAATACTGACTGGGACATAAAAAAATTGCTTTCTAGGGAAGATAACACCTGAGCTGAAATTTAGTCATTTTTGTCTTTGTCACCAAGGAAAATGTCTCCATTAATACTGAGTTTTTAAAAATCCTGAGTAAGCAAAGTTCATAGAATACTTTACCTTTTTATAAATGCCTCTGAAAGAATGATTATTTTATTAACTCTGATACATCTGACTGGCGGCTATGACCTGGTGGTGCTTAGGCCCACATTCTTCAAAACAAATCAAAACAAAACAAAACAAAAAAACTGGTTTATATTCACAAGTTATTTTGGAAATGGATATTTCTCAGCTTTGAGTTACTTAAATCTAACTTGTATAACTTTAGATATATATTTTTGTAAATAGACACCACATTTTAACACTGTATTATGACACTTTATAAAATCTGAGGGGAAAACTTGTTATTTTTATAATACTGAAGTTAGTTTCCATATTGATTCTGTCCTTAGCTGATTTCATAAGAGAATAAATTATTCCACACACTCTCCCACTGACTCCTCAGTTCTTCACAAAAGAACAATTCATCATGACTAGGAGCCACTAACTAATATTCTACAACATAGACTGATGAGCCATGGCACCGTCTCTGAAAGTATGCTAAGTCTCTAAATTTGAATTGTTAGTCATGAAAATACTGACATGATGATTAAGTTTGACTAGGTAATTCTATCCCAATATAAGTTTCTGGCAACATGCCAAAGTTAGAAACCATCCATTTATTTAGCTTCAATCATGAATACAAGAAATATTCAAAATTTTTATGCTATTAAAATTATTTCTAACACTCCACTGATAAGTTCATTGCCTCATGACAAATCATTACATCACTTAGTTATGTGTTAGTCAAAGTAATACATTACCTTCCTTCTGGGGAGCTCATTGTACTACCTAGTAAATCAATATTCTATTCTATTCTAATATACACAGGAAAATTGAAAAAGAGAGAAGGAATGGCAAACATATCAGTGGAGAATGAAACAGTCAGCAGTGACTGAATTAACTTCTGACCAGAAGACAAGCGACAAAAGAAATTTGTCACAGTAGTATTGTAACTGATATGATATGTTTTCAGAGAAATAAGACACTTATCTAGAAGTTTCACAATTTCCTTTCTCTCTTGCTTGTTTGCTTCGATTGAATATCTGGTTGTGATTGTTTTTACTTTATCCTCAGAATGTAGCTTTGCAGGACTCTCTGTTGGGCATTCGGTAGTAATGACAATTTGAAGTGAAGACAGTAATCCTTCTCTCACCCTCGAGTGTATTTATATATGAGCTGCACCCTTGTCTTCTGAAAAGGAACTTTTTTTTTTTTACCTCTTTCTGTTTTTGAGGAGAAAATTGGTGAGTAGGTAGGCTAAATTATGTAACTTTATATGGACCAAGCACCAGTGAGATTACTTCTGACTCTTAAAGTGGACTCTATTTTTTTTAAGGTAACAAAGTTGTTAGATCATTAAAGAATAAATATTCTTGTGCTTATACACACTATAATCAATATGTACTATTAAAATAAAAAACCTAAGCAAATTTCTAGATTGAAATTTCTAGGATAGATTGCAGAAGTACAGTAAAAAATGGCAGTGAAAGAAAGAATAACTGGATCATGAATATTACATAGTGAATTTATCATTTTTGGCATATATTACTGAGGCAATAACAGGGGTCATTGCCTTCAGCATCTGTTAATCCCACTTTATAGATTCTAAAATGAGGAGAAGCCAGACACATGTTGGATCTGTCTTGCTCATCTGTAGATCTGTCCTGCTTAGTACAGAGTCTAGCACATCAGAGAATGACAATTAAACACGTTTCTAGAAATGTACTCCATAATAAAATAGGAAACTATTCATATCAATAATATGCTAAATTATATTTATTTCTCTGTATGTTTCCGTGTTTTTCTTTAAAAAGCTGCAGAGAATGTATAATATTTCGTTATTTCTTTAGTATTCTAAACTGATACTTCATATGAAAGGCTTGGGGTATTTTAGTTCTTCAATAATACTTTTTAATAATTTCAAAAACTTTAAAATTATGAAGACAGGATGGTACAATGTATGTGTTTACTTATCGGTTTTAAATATTAGGTTTATGTGTTGATTCTATAACCAATCAGTTGTATGACAATTGTAGCTAGCTCTAGAAAACGGATGTGGTTGAATATTTTATTATTGTCTTATTTAATGCAATTGTATAAACATGGCAGAACATTATACTCTTGGATTTTGTCCAGTTATGCAAGGTTTTAGATGCTTGGTTGTGTTTGGCTTCACATATCAATGGAATTTACTTTTGTAATAATTCAGTAAGAGTTTTATTTAATTTAGCTAAGATTTATCTTTTATGTTTAAGATTTATTTTATTTTTGCTTGTGAATCTTCTTTTCATGGCATTTATAAATTTAGAGATGACTGAAAATCTAGATAGGGAAGATTCTTATGAAAATATTAGAAAAATCAGCATTTTAATTTTTGTCTCATTTATGATTTACATCTTATAAAAATCTGTAGAAGTGCATAAGACCAACAAAAGTGGATTTCATTATGAGTCATATATAAAGTTGATGTTTAGGCATATACTTCTATATAGCTCCCTGTTATGTATAAGTTTGGTAATCTTTGTTCTTTCCAGGATAAATTTTGTATTTTGCACATACCTTCAAATATATTTTATATTTCTGTGATAGCAGAACACAGAATCATATTAAGAACATGCATTTTAATTTTAATTTCATAGACTCACATTTTATTTTTTGCTAATCTTAATTTAAAATGTATTTTCGTAGTATATTTTCTTCAACATCATCATATAAATTGAAAGAATCAACCTATACTTTTTTAAAAAGAGGAAAGGTTATGCAAGAAATAGAGAAAATGATAACTCTATAAAAATAGAGGAAGTGGTAACAAGCCTACTAATAGTTTCTCATCGAGTTTAAATTTTAAATGGGCAAAACACCTTCAGTTTCAATTGCCTGAGATAACTAGTTTGGTACAAACTTTCGAATCTCTTTTTGTTTTTTATCGGTGATTACTCTTGCATCAAAGAACATTGATACATTATAAAAGTTGATGTTTTCATTAACTCCTAATCACCCCTGATGACGCATCCCTCACCCTAAATAGTGTAAGATGACCGAACACAGGACACCCAATACTATGTAAATTTAAGTCCATTTAAATATTATTTTGGTGATGGTTTTAATCAAATATGCAACTTCCCAATTCTTGCCATCATTTTTGAATAACTTATCCTTTCAGCATAATGCTACATTCTTTTCTTTAAAGTATATTGTTGATTCAATTTTATCCTGTTTATAAAAATCCCATTATTTTGATTTTCCTAGATTTGCAATATATATTTATATATATAGGTTATCTTAAATTAGCAATATATTACAAAAACATTTATATTGTCTTCATGTCTGTGTAATAAAAAAAGATGTTATGCTTATGCATTTCCAGATGAATTTCATATAAAAATCATGATTTTTACAAACTTTCCCTCAAAAAATATTATCAGCATTTTATTAACCCTGTTATTTATTTTCAAAAATTACCATATTAACAATATTCAGTATCACATCAAGAAATGCAAGATGATCATTATTAACATTTCTTTTTCTCAGCAGTTCTATTTTAAGTGAGAGCTTGAAAGGCTATCTCATGGAGGTTGATAATGGAATGATACTTACCAGAGGCTGGGAAGAATATGGATGTATAGGGTGAGAATAAAGAGAGGGTGGTTAATGGGCACAAATAATATGCTTAGATAGACAAAATAAGTTCCAATATTTGATAGAGTAGTGTGACTATAGTTAACGACAATGTACTGTACATTTCTAAATAACTAGAAGTGAGGAATTGAAATGTTATCAATACATAGAAATAATAAATGACCCTGATGATTGATTCCTGAATGCACTGACTTGATCATCAGACATTCTATGCATATAACACAATACCACATGTACCCCATAAATATATCCAAATGTTATGTGTCAATGTTATGTGTCAGTTTTAAAAGTTTTCTCATAATAATCTTCAACAAGATCAATAGGAATCTCTTCCATCGAATACTATCTTGTTTTACATTTGTCATTTCTCCTGAAACTCCTGTGAATTATACTCATATTTTAAAATATTTTCATATCAATTATCTCAGTGGTTATATAGAATCATAGAATTTAAATCATAGAATTTCTTGACATGATCACAAGGTCTATGGCTCACCTGCTCAGAAACATGTTTCTATGTAAAATACTTGGGATTTAATTTACCATTTACAGACATATTGTCCCCTGGGTGTGAAAATGTATTCTCATCAATTATTTTTAACTTATTAATGTGTTTAGTTTTACATTATACCTGCCAAATAAATTTTAAATTAATTGTGATAAATGGTGTCATATACAAATTTAGTAATTTTTGTCCCCTGCTTTCCCATAGTTATATCTCATAACACGGGTCAGAACTTTAATGCTATATTGTGACATCTTCTGGAAAGATAGAAACTTATGAATAACTAAAAGTCTGTATCTGTGCTTTAAACTAAGAATGATAACCGTATTCCAAAAACACATCGAATAATGTTTATTCTACTACAAATGGATTTGATTGAGGAAGGCTTGACTGAATATATAACCTCTCAAATTTGAAGTTATGATTAACGTGAAATATATATGAGATTGATATTGTTTGGCTCCGAGTCCCGACCTAAATCTCACCTTGAATTGTAATAATTCTGACATGTCATGGGAGGGAACTGGTGGGAGCTATATGAATCATGGAGGTGGGTCTTTCCCATGCTGTTCTCATGACAGTGAATAAGTTTCATGAGATCTGATGGTTTTATAAAGGGAAGTTCCCCTGAGCATGCTCTCTGAGCCTGCTGCCATGTAAGATGTGACTTTGCTACTCATTCGCCTTCCGCCATGATTGTGAGTCCTCGCCAGCCATATGGAACTGTGAGTCAATTAAACCTCTTTTTCTTTATAAGTTTCCCAGTCTATTGAAACTTAATTGTCTCTTTAGATGTTGAAAAATGAGGTGCTGGTTGGCTGTGGAGCAGATGGAAACATGATAACTTTTATAATAGTAACTGTGATCATGCCAATCTAAGGATTAAGGTATGCATCACTGATTACTAAATTCTCAAAAATAAAAACATAAAACATTACTGATGAGTGTTTAGAAAAGTAGACAATCATATTCATTGAAATTAGGAGGACAAAATCGTATGGTATATATTGATGGTAATTTGATATATTATGCTAATAATATTCCTTTTTTATCCAGGTTTCATCATTTTAATATTACTTTTGCTTTGATGGTTAATTTTAGGTGCCTACTTAACTGGATTAAGAGATACTTAGTTGGTAAGACATTGTTTTGGGGGAATGGTTAAGGTTGTTCTAGGTGATTCATGTGTGAGTTAGTGGACTAAGTGGGGAAGATCTGGCCTCAATGTGCTCAGGTACCATCCAATCAACTAGGGACACAAATTGAACAAGAAGGCTCTCTCTCTCTCTCTCCTGCAGCTTGGACACCCTTTTACTCCTGCCCTTGGACATCAGAACTCCAGGTTCTCTGGCCTTTGGACTCGGGGAATTGCACCAACAGCGGCTCCCCAGATTTTCAGGTCTTCTGCCTCTGACAGAGAATTACACCATGGGCGTCTCTAGTTCTGAGGCTTTTGGGCTTGGATTGAGCCACACTTCTAGCGCTCTTGAGTGGCCAATTTACAAATGGCCTATTGTGGAACTTCTCAGCCTCTATAATCTTCTGAGACAATTACCCTAATAAATCTCCTCTAGTATATGTATAGCTAGCTAGCTAGAAAGATAGATGGATACATATTTCGTATTGGTTCTGTCTCTCTAGAAAGCCCTGACTAACATACTTGCCAAATGACAAATTTTTATCTCACTCGTCTGGCAAAATCAAAACTTGTATGAGCCCCAGCACATATCAAAAGCTGCTCCAGAGCCTGGCATGGTTAGATAATTTCACACAACAGATCACACCAGTTTCAAGATACGCAACTTACTTAACATTATCCCACAATAGCCTCACTATTCTCTTTCTTCGATAAATGTGCCATCACATTTTGCGCTTTTTTTTCTTTCAAATTCAGTACTATCCTAAATTTTTGGACTCCATTTTCATTTTTAGTAGTTGATTTTATTTTTATCTCACAAGGAAAACAATACAATTTCAATTGGGAGTTGCCTCAATATCCTTTCAACTCACCCAAAAACCTGTTTACATTTATATACCTCCTTTGTGTTCAACTTCAAATTAGAGTTCACTCAAATTTCCTCGGTTTTTACCTACTGTGCCTTTTCAATTCCAGGATCCCATCTGAGAAACCACATTACATTTAGTTATCATGACTCTTAGACTGTTCATGGTTGTGACAGTTTTTCAGATTTTTTTTCTGATGATTTTGACAGTATTAAGGAGTACATATCAGATGTTATGTAGAATATCCCTCAGTTGAGATTTGTCTGATGTTTTTCTCATGATTTGACTGGACTGATTAGTGTGGGAAAGAAAATCCCAAAGTCAAAGTGTCATTTTTATCACATCATATCAAGGCACACATGATTCCACTGTCTATGTTAACTTCGAATACTGGGCTGAATGAGGTATTATCTTTAGTTTCTTCCAAGTAAAGCTACTCATTTTTTTTTTTTACTTCTCCCATTCCACACTGCACTCCCTGTAAGAAAGGCATTATGCCTAGACCATTCAAAAAAAAGAAAAAAAAGAGTGTGAGTTATGCTCATCAATTGCCTTTTCTCTCTAATATCAACTGGATTATTAAAGTCATTTTAAACATACTTAAGTCTCTCCCAATCACATATGTGTATGTTTATGTGTATGTATAGGTACACACACACACACACACACACACACACACACACACACAGATATACAGAAGTCTTCCTTTTAGCTAGTTTTCTCTCTGTCTCTCTTCTCTTCTACAGCCAAACTCCTTGAAAGGTTTGCACAGACTCCTTTTGAACATATTCAGGAGCAGTCATCCTCAGCAAAAGAAGAAGTTTGTGTGAAATGAACCTTTAAATATTTTGCTTAGCTATAAGAAATAAACCATACCACATGTTGACAATTCTTTAAGATGCTGGTCATCTATCTTCGACAACTGACACAATCTCCTCATCAAAAATACTGACCTCGAGTAATTTTTTCCATGCCAAGGAAGCTTTTGGTTCTTCTGTAAATGATTAGTTTGTAACATGTGGTGTAGACATAGGGAAAGACAATTATATCAGATGCTTCTTAAGAGAATATAAGTATATACTGATATACAGCACTTCCAATACTCATACATGAAATGGAACATACATTTGAATTGAACAATTATAACCCTGAAAAGACTGGCTAATTGCCAAATAAATTATACACTGTGGGCCCTCTACTAAAAATGAAGAAGGATGAGAGAAAATTTGCACAGCTAGAAGTAAAGTAAACTGACTTTTGAAGAGGGCTAGTGAACATGTGAGCGTTTAGCAGATGTGGTGCTCTGTGTGATTTAAGGAAATGTGACATTTCAAAATAAAACCCATATACAACAGAGCAAGACTTTCAGATTGAATAGATGAAAAGATTGAGTTTATGTTTGTTTTTATATATTTTGGAAAGTATGTAAATTTTGACTGCTCTACAACTGAGTGTCAGATTGATAACCTCAGATGAAATCTTACATATTCAAGTAATTTAGACATATTCTTTGTTATCAGCATTCTAATGACTTCCAAATAGAATATTATTTTAACAGTTTTGATTTTGACAATCAAAAACCTTCCATAGTGTGTGCATACAAAAATTCAAAATAGCAGCCAGGCACTGTGGCTCACACCTGTAATCCCAGCACTTTGGGAGGCCAAGGCAGGTGGATCACGAGGTCAGGAGTTCGGGACCAGCCTGACCAACATTGCGAAACCCCGTCTCTACTAAAAATATATAATACAAAAATTAGCCAGGTGTGGTGGTGGGCACCTGTAATCCTAGCTACTCAGAAGGGTGAGGCAAGAGAATCACTTGAACATGGGAGGCGGAGGATGCACTGAGCTGAGCTGAGATCGCCTCCGGCCTGGGTGACAGAGCGAGACTCCATCTCAAACAAAACAAAACGAAACAAACACACACCTCAAAATAGGTTCATTTGATTCATGAAAATCAATGAATACAACCTTGTTAAATTTAAATAAAATATTCAGAGTATGGTTTTCCTCTTAGAACTTTTGATCCAAATAGAAAAAATGTGAGATAAGGCTCCAGGAATTTGAAAGACTGGTCATCAATCCTTCAAATCCTTTACATAATTTTTCTTCCACAATACTGTAAAATGGATATGTTTTTAGGAATCTACTAAAAATATACACATATTATATATAAGTACATACACACATTTATATGTATATATGAGACAACACACAAAATGCATATAGGTTGTTTTATTATTTTATTTCTTTCTTTTCTAATTTGGTGCAGTCCCTCTCCTTGCCTCTTCAGATTTTTAAATATTCCTCACTCCTCTACTGTATTGAAAAACTAAATATTGTACTGGCATTTCCCTTGGTTTTATTATATTATTACAGAACACAAGTAAAACCAAATACTAGTTTGCTTTGGAATATTTTTGAATTGTATATAAACTGTATTAGTCTGTATATATGTTTCTATCACCAGCTCATTTCATTAAGAAGGATGTTACTCAGTTTCTTCAGTTTGGGCATGTGTTTGAAGTTAACTTCCTCTGCTTCCTATTATTCTTGTGTGTGAATATGTTAAAATTGATTTATCAATTGGCTTCTGATAGACATTTGGTTGTTTCCAAGTTTCAATGTTACAAAGCATGTTGCTATGCACTTTGTTGAATAAGTGTGTGTCTCCTGGTAAACCAGTAACACCAAGGGCTGTCTCTAGAAGTAGAATTCCTAGTAACATGTGGCACGAATATGTTTAGCATTAAATGATAAAGCCAAACATTTCCAATAATGTTGTATCAGCTTATACTCCTTCTAACGGTAGTATGAACTTCCACTATTAAATACTATTACCAATCTTTCATGTAGTACATTTGCATTTTTCTGATAAGCAATATTATTAAACTTTTATTTATATTTGTACCGAACATTTCTGTTTCTTCTGTAAAATTACTGTTCATGTCTTTAGATTGTTTTTCTCTTCAGTTGAATGGATAAGTGGATCATTATGGTAGCAGCAGTAGATTGTAATTGTTAGAACATTTTCTGAAATTCTACTTAATTTCCTCTATGGAGTTAACATTTATGCCCGTTTTAAAAACATTTTATTGATGTCCATAGAACTACAATATTTTTCACATATTTCTAATACTATCCATCCATCTTTAAATAATATTGTATGCCTCCTTTGTAGTGTAAGACACTTATAAGTATATATTATCAAATCTTCCCTGTTGTATCACACATCAGTGTTATGGATTTCAATTCTGTGTATACTATAAACACATGGTACACAATTAATATTTTGCTTTCAGCTGTTTTTAAAGTAATTGCAATTTTTTCTATTCATTTATTCTATTTATAGTATTCTTCATTTATTCGCATAGATCCAATATTTTGGTCATTGCTTTGTCTTCTTGCTTATATGGAATCTGATAAAAACTAAACTGTAATTATTATTCTTATTCCTGTGACTGCTTTTTGGGGTCTCTCTTCCTCTGGCTGCCTTCATGATTTTTTCTCTTTGTCTTTGATTTCAATAGCTTAAATATGATAGGCCAAGGTGTATTTTCATTGGATATTTATCTTGCTTGATTTCTTGTCTTCCCAGATCTGTGGCTTGGTGCCTGTCACTAATTTTAGGAAATTCTCAGCCATTACTTCTTTATATTTATCCTGCTCCCTATCTTGTTCTTCCTCTGGGATTATGTTATGTTCATGTTATGTTCATGTTAGACCATTTGATTTTGTCCTAACATTCTTTGATCCTCTGATTTTATTTTCACACTTCTCTGTTCATCTCAGTTTGAAAATTTCTATTGCTGGTCTTCAAGTTCACTGATTCTTCTCTCAGCTGTGTTAATTCTATTCATGAGCCAGTCAAAAAGATTATTCATTTCTCTTAATGTATTTTTAATTCTACCTTCTTTCTAGCACTTCTTTGTGATTTTTTCTTAAAACTCCTGAATATTGGCTGAAATTGCGTACCTGATCTTTTATGAAGCCTCTGCTTTCATTCGAGTCTTTAACAGAGTAGTCAGAGTTATTTTAAAATTAAAAGCCTTTTTTGACAGTTATAATATACTATATTTCAAGCATATTTTGATATGGAAACAATCTAAATGTCAATTGATTAATATGTAAAGAAAGTATCAATACATATATCATGTAAAACATATGATCTATATATGTATATAGAGTTAAATACAGTATATATGTTTTGGAGATATAGATGATCTATATGCATATAGATATATGCATATACATGTAATATGCATCATATACATTTACATATATTAATATATCATACCTTATATTATTTATCACATATTATATAATATAATATTGTGTATATATAATATTGTGTATGTAATATATTATATATTATATATACATATATAGTAATCTATATAATCTATAATTATAATTATATATTTATTATGTAATATAATATATAATACATACATTATATATTATATTTTATATACAATATTATATTATAGATATATATAATATCATCTATAAAATAATATAAAATATGTAATATATTATATATTATATAAATAATGTAATATATGATTTATAATTATATATTATATATTATGTAAAATATATAACATAATAATGTAATTATGTACTGTATATATTATTTTCATATTGTATCATATATAATTTTATATTATGTAATATAAATTACAAGACAAATATATTTTATATATGTATATATATGAACAATGAAATATTATTCAGCCTTAAAAGGAAAGGAATGCTTCCATATATGATGATACGGATGAACTAGAGGACATTATGCTAAGTGAAATAAGCCAGGCACAGAAAGATAAATATTGCAAATACTTCAGTTCTTTAAGCCTTTTCTGCAAACTGCTTTCAGTTTGCATCACATATGCATGGCTCTGGAGTCAGCCAGTTCAATTCAGGATACTTTCTCGATCCTGCTTTTGCTCTTGCTTATGAATAGGTTAAATTTATAAATTTAAATCTCCGTCTCCTTTTCCTCAGCATATTGCTCCTCCTAATTGTATCCTTGCTATTCCTACTCCCACTCCATTGTTTTCTTGTGTTCCTTCCCCTCTTGTTCCTCATTTTTTGCTCTTCTTTCTTCTCATTTGCTTTGTTTTTTTGAAAATATTATTTGTAATTAAAAATTATCAGTGTAATATATCTGGAATATCAGTGCATTCAGTGAAATCCTTCAACCCAGTAATAAAAAGTAAAATAGTCGCTTCTAGTCATGTTTATTTATTCTAAAACATACTTTGTAATAAAATGTTTACTCGTACAAAAACATCATAATGAATTCATAGTTAATTTACTGTCCTAACTGATGACTAATTTTTAGCGTTAAATGATCACTTTTATGTCACTTTACATTGAATTTTGTCAGCATTTGTTTCCACAAAGAGTGATTTTTAAAAATTTTTTATTTCTATAGATTTTTGGAGAACAAGTGGTATTTGGTCACATTAGTAAGTTCTTTAGTGGCTATTTGTGAGGTTTTGGTGCGCCCATCACTCGAGCAGTATACACTGATCTCAATTTGTAGTGTTTTGTCCCTCACCCTCTCAAAAATGTGGAACCAACCTACATGCCAACAAATTTATCTTTATAGCTCACTTGTATATCCGTCATTTTTCTTCTCTGATGAAAAACAAACTACCCTAAAAATATTTTTAAAAATACCTTAGCCATTATATGCACACTGTTCATTATAGCTAAACTTGATTTGTAGTGATATTTTATACATTTTTTAAAATCATTTACCATTAAGTTTCCAAAGCCTTACTTTATGTTTTTAACAATACATTTGGACATTTTCCTTTCTGTAGCTGACCACAATCATTCGAGACCTGACTGCTACAGAGTATCATTTTCAATAGTACTGAGTTATTATATGGAAAATGTGGGTTAAAGCAATATTTCTGACAGTGAACTGTGATTATCTGTGGATTGTCTGTTTGAGAGTATGAGATAGATTTTCTAAGCTTTTTCTATTACAGTGCATAAGACTCAGACTTTCATCTTAGATATCTGAAGTACAGAATTGCTACTGATCACATTACTCAAAAGTAAAAAAATATATTTTCCCCATGGAAGCCAAAATATTATTAAAGTCACCAACATGAGTACGTATGATTGCTTTTCTGCCTACTCCCAAGAGACTAGGCAAAAGAAATACTTTCTTAATGGCAATGTGTCATACATTCAAATTTAAGGATTTGTTCATTTGTTTCTGTGTATAACAACACAAGATAGATTTGTAACAAATTAAACCTATGAAGAATTAATTTATTAAAGTTACAGCCTAAGTTTTTATTATAAAATGAAAAATTTACCCTTATGAATATAACGTTTGTATTCAGAGATAGTAAAAGCACTCCCAAAATGGCAAATTTTATATTTCTAAAACCACTGCAAATTTATTTCTAGTTTAACGTCTTAGAAAAAAGATCCCAATTTGGAGATATACTTCAGGGATTTGGTGATACATTTGCATTTTTCAGAAGACACGAATAGATGAATTCTAATTTTGAAACACCATAATCCTATATAAAATCATGGTTCTTTAGTCAAAGTAATACTGCTTGATAAGAGTGTAAATCGCATGCCAAATTTTTTAACACGATTGAAATATGTATATGTATACATATGCACATATGTAATCGTGATAAAATTCAACCAGGTCTATGGAGAAAATATAGATATAGAATGAATAATATTAAAACAGGTACTTCAAATAGAAATTAATGATATTGAAATCCAATATTAAAAATGTTCAACAACAAAATACATGTTCTTGCATGTGAATATTTACATGCATCTTAAAAAATGTACCTCACAAAATTATTGAAATCCATTATATTTGTTCAATATTAAACAATATGAGATTTTGTAATACTATCTACCACGTGTTCACCCATATATAATATACATTTTATATATTATATATTGATTAAAGTGTATATATTTTTAAATTAATCATACAGCAACATTTGTGATATTTATTTTGTTGCAAAGTTAAATACACGTGTATAATGATATTCTACTCTCAATAGATTTAGGGTCTTTTGGGTGAGGAAGAACATAGAGCTTAAAACATTAATACCTATAAACAAAGCACACTATTGTCTTTCAAATCAAATACCCTTATTATGGATTAGTTTATGAGGATGACTATTTTTAAAAATTGTAATATAATTCATAGCTGCATATGAGGAGAAACTGCCCATTTTCTACTTAAAACTTCATGTTTTAAGGGCATGTATTAGCCACATATGGTCACAATTATCATGTGTACCAAACCACTCCAAATCTCAGTGATTTACAACAAGCAGGTGGCTTCCAAGACCGCACATGGCCAGAGTAGCTCTGACAGACTGCAGCTCATCTTGGCTGCAGGCTCCCAGTCTCAGTTCACATGTTTCCCCATTCTCCTTGGAGCAGCAGATAATTAGAGCAGGCCCTTTTCATTGCATATCACAAGAGTGCAAGTAGGTAAATGGAAGCATGGAAAAACTCTTAATGTCTCGGCCAAACTGGCAAAGTGTCACTGCTGTCCATTTCCCACTGAGAAAATGAAAATACGACAAAGTGGAGAACTGCTGCGCACAGCAGATCAGGGAGATGACATACAGAGACATATTCCTTGGCAGAGGTATAATTACTACCAAATGTCATGCCTACTTTTTTTTAAGTAATATTTTTGTTATTGATAGCAAAAGCATAATAAATAGGAAAAGCTTAACCATGTTGGTAAGAAATAGAGTATTCAAGTTGAAAACACAATGTTTAAGAGAAAATAATTTCTGGAGCATTGCGTTCTACAAAATCAGATCTTTCACAGTGCCATTCAACAGCTTTGGTTGTTACAATTAATATTTGTTTCTCTGAAAAATGACTATTAATATTAATATATATATCATCTATGGATCAGCAAAAGGATAAAGAAAATGGGAAAAATTAAAGCCAAATGAGGAAAAGCATTATATGGCTCTCCAGGGAACAATCGAAATATAATTTGTATCATTTATCATCATCCACAGATGTCTTCTGATTTTATACATGCTTTCAATCTGTAAGAAGAAATTTCTTTTCTTTATACTTAGCTGGCATTGTCTGATAAATGGAAAACTCCATGTAACAGAAACTTCAGAAAATTTTGATCTGCCTGAAAACATCTAGACAAAATATATAGGACAACAGAAGGCCCAGTGTAAAGTTAAGTGTCAAGGACACAACATTTGGGATTTGACTTCTCTGGGATGTTGTGCAGCTGAGAAAGAGGAATATTGCCATTGAGTAGGACTGCAAAGTTATTGGTTTGCCAAAAGTTTCACTACTGAGTTAACTGATATAGAAAAACATGATAATAGAATGGAAAGATAAGTATGTATACTGATCAACTATATTAATACTAAATTGTTGCTGACCTATGCTATTTGAACTAGCATGTATGACACATCAAGATTGTAATGTTTCTGATGCTCTAATTTTTAAAAGGAAAAAAGGTCTATAAGGTATATTATTTGGTTGATGGCCAATTGCTGGTTTCACATATGTGTAAGTGATTAAAAAATTAAAAGTGAAAAACTTTGCCGCCTTGCACTAACTTTTATTTTTTTCTTCTAGGATCATTAGTCAACACCCTGCCAAAGGTGAAATCTGACATTTGGAGGCCCATTATAGAACCCTCTCACCTTTGAGGAAATAATTCTGACTGTAGATCACAGGCTATCAGCTCATGCAACTGAAATTGTGCAGAAAGTTATACTCTAGGGTGTAATTTACATGCTGAAAAGAACATGTACTTCAATTGATGCTATAACTGTAAATGCTTTCCAGAAAAATTACAAATGGTGGCCCAAGTGGCAAATCTGCCATTTTGACCATTGACTGGCCATGACAAATTTTCACATGAAGGGAAAAAAAATCACTTTCCTATAAAATAAATAACAAATATAGTACAGATGAATCAGCAATGGAATATTAGTGTACAGGTATAACATCTTAAATATTCAATTCAATCAATCCTGAATCAATCAATTCGATATATTTTTAAATGAATACTGCAAGCCTTACACTTTGTTCACTTCAAAAGACTTAACACAGCATTCTAGTCCATAGTAAATTATGTGTGGGTTAAGTGTAAGGGATACACATTTTATTTGAAATTACACTTTTAATGAATTTGAGGTAGGTTCTGGTATCTGATTACAATGCCTCAAATGTTAATGATTTGATAAACTAATGTCACCTAATAAATATCTAAATTGTATTTAATGTGTCTTTGGTCAGGATTTTTCCTTATATATAATCTCCTTAGGTTTTAAAGTTCTCTCTAAAGCTAATTAGCTTTTGATTTTCCCTATTAAAGAGTACAGTCTGGGGTAAAATACATTAATAATAACTTGCACATTTAAAAAATAAGTTTGTGTAAAATAATATCATTATATGGTTAAATACACGGAGAATTTCCTTTACTGGGAAAATTCCATAAAATGAATTTCTATTTCAACTGTGTAATATTGAATAGCAAATTCCCAATTTTGCAATAATATTGTTAGATTTTTATTTACTAATTTGTAAATAGCACAGTTCCTGATGTTTCATAGTCAGCAGTCATACTTGGATATGCATCATCATAGTATAATATGTGTGTTCCCTTAATAACTAAATTTAAAATTTTGGTTGTTTTACACATTCTAATTTGGCTTGAGAAACACAAAGAAATCTCTCTTCATCACTGAAAGGACATTTTCCTTTTTGTAATGCTAAGTCAGGTTGTCACACACTGGGCACTTATTGACATGTGAGACTGGATAATTATTTGTTATGGAGGCTGTCCTATGTACTATAGGGTGTTTAGTAGCAAGCCTGGCCTTCACCCTCCAGATAGCAGTAGTACCTATACACCCCAGCCCATACTTATTGACAATAAGAAATGTCTCTGACAAAACCAAATGTTTTCTGGGAGACATAATCTGTCCCAAGTCAAGAATGACTTTGGTAAATGACAACACTTAATTGAAGAGACATTCAAGAAGTATATATTAGTAGAAGGTTTTTTATGAATACTGATTGAGTACTCTGCCACTGCTTTATCAGCTCTGGTTATGTAAATATTTTAAATCCTTTTTTATCATTTCAACAGTGTTCACATTGTCTTCACCAGGAGTAGACTCCATCTTGAGAAACCACGTTTCTTGCTGATTCATAAGAAGTGACTCCTCATTCATTCAAGTTTTATCATGAGATTGCAGCAAATCAGTAACATTATTAGGTTCCAACTATTAATTCTATTTTTCTTACTATTTTCATACATCTATAGCTAATTTCTCCACTGAAGTCTTGAACCTCAAAGTCATCCATTAGGGTTGGAATCAACTTTCTCCCATTGGACAATGGAATCAACTTCACTTTTGTTAACGTGGATAATTTAACCTCATCTCTTCAATCAAAAATGTTCTTGACGGCATCTAGACTTGTGAGTCCTACCCAGAAGGTTTTCAATTTACTTTGCCCAGAACCATCCTGAAGAGTCACTATCTATGGCAGCTGTAGCATTACACAATGTATTTTTTAAGTAATATCACTTGAAATTCAGAATTACTCCTTGATCCATGGGCTACAGAATGGACATTGTCTTAGCAGGAATAAAACAACATTAATAACCCTTTACATCACTGTCACAGCTCTTGTGTGACATATGCATTGTCAATGAGCACTAGCATTTTGAAAAAAAATGTATATATTTTTCTTAGCAGTAGATCTCAGTAGTGGGCTCAAAATATTCAGTAAACCATACTATAAATAGACATGCTGTCATCCAGGCTTTGTTGTTTCATTTACAGAGCACAGACAGAGTAGATTTAGCATAATTCTTAAAGGCCCTAGAATTTTTTGAATTGTAATGAGCATTGACTTCAACTTAAAGTTACCTTGTATTGGCCTGTAACAATACACTTGGCCTTTTCTTTGAAGCTTTGAAGCCAGGCATTGACTTCTCCTCTCTAGCCATGAAGGTACTTCCTGACATCTTCTTCCAAAAGGCTGTTTTGTTTACATTAAAAACCTATTGTTTTGTGTAGTCACCTTCATCCATTATCTTAGAGCTTCTGGATAACTTCCTGTAGCTTCTACATCAGCACTTGCTACTTCACCTTGCACTTTTATGTTGTAAATTCTTTTCTTAAACCTCGTTAACCAACCTGTGATAGCTCCACAGTTTGGCTCTGTAGCTTTCTCACCTCTCTGAGGCTTCACAGAATTGAAGACAGCTAGAACCTTGCTCTGGGTTAGGGTTTGGCTTAATGTTGTTTTATGCCTGCTAAGACAATGTCCATTCTGCAGCCCATGGATCAAGGAGTAATTCTGAATTTCAAGTGATATTACTTAAAAAATACATTGTGTAATGCTACAACTGCCATAGATAGTGACTCTTCAGGATGGTTCTGGGCAAAGTAAATTGAAAACCTTCTGGGTAGGACTCACAAGTCTAGATGCCATCAAGAACATTTTTGATTCAAGAGATGAGGTTAAATTATCCATGTTAACAAAAGTGAAGTTGATTCCATTGTCCAATGGGAGAAAGTTGATTCCAACCCTCATGGATGACTTTGAGGTTCAAGACTTCAGTGGAGAAATTAGCTATACATATATGGAAATAGTAAGAAAAATAGAATTAATAGTTGGAGCCTAATAATGTTACTGATTTGCTGCAATCTCATGATAAAACTTGAATGAATGAGGAGTCGCTTCTTATGAATAAGCAAGGAATGTGGTTTCTTAAGATGGAATCTACTCCTGGTGAAGACAATGTGAACACTGTTGAAATGATAAAAAAGGATTTAAAATATTTATATAACCAGAGTTGATAAAGCAGTGGCAGTGTTTGAGAGAATTGATCTCAATTTTGAAAGAAGTTCTGCTGTGGGCGACATGCTATCAAAGAGCATTGAATGCTACAGATAAATCTTTTCTGAAAGGAAGAGTCAATTGATGTGACAAACGTTGTTGTTTTATTTTTTTAAGAAATTGCCACAGCCATCTGCAACTACCACCCAGATCAGTCAGCAACCATCAATATTGAGTCAAGGCCTGCCCCCAGCCAGAAAGATTATCACTTGCCGAAGGCTCAGATGATTATTAGCATTTTTTTTAGCAATAAAGTATTTTTACTTAAAGTATGTAGGTTGTCCTTTTTAAACATTTTGCAATCGCATGCTGAATAAACTACAGTATAGTGCAATCGTAACTTTTATATACATTTGAAAACCAAAAAAAATTATGTGACTCTCCTTATTGCAATATTAGCTTTATTGTGGTGGTTTGGAACTGAGCCGCAATGCCTTCAAGGCGTATCTATTTCCTCTTGGTTTTCTACTTGGTTTTGTTACTAAAATAATTGCTTAAGTAGTCACTTCACTTTTACCAAATACAGTATGTCAAAAATATTTACCTAAAAGCTACCAAAAATCATCTAGTCTGGTCTCTCATTTTATAAAGGGGAAAACCCTTGTTCACAGAAGTTAATTGAGTAACAGAAAACTACTGTTAGCTAATGTTTGGGATAGAAACCTAGTCTCCTAACAATAACTTCATTGATCTTTGCAATAGCACACTTTAAGCATCTGACATAGTAGCTACAGGACTAGTTAATGTCAAAAGATAAATTTAACAGTCCTCAAATCAGACACTGATAATAATCTATAAGTAACATAGGCAAGTGAATGTATTAAGAACCTCTCTTCAATGCCCTATAGAGAACAACAACAAAAAAGTCATATGTCAATTCCCTCAAAAATTCTAATAAAGCTAGTAAAATAAATATCTAGAATAAGAGTCAAATATATAATAAGTAGCCTAATACAGGTACAAAATGCAAGGTATATTTGTTTCAAAAAAAAAAAAAAGAGCCACGTCCTGCAGAATAGAATGAGACCAATGACTCAACCTAAAATGTCAGGAGGGATTTCCAAAAGTGGAATGGTGGTTGTGAAACAAGGGAATTTAGTTGAAGAAAACTATTAAAATACATGACTATTCCTAAATTATTCTATGTTCAAATAAATTTATTAATTTCAGAAAATAAATATTCAAGTGTCATGAACTCGATGTTTAGGATCTAGAAAAGAAATGGTATCTAAAATTAGTATTTTCTAACAATAATTTAAAACAACAATAGCTACAATTTTGTGGGAACTTACCATGGGACAGACATTGTTCAAAGTTTATTGATATGTAACAAACCTTACCTACCAAAAACAACAAGAACAAAAAAACCTATTATTTTTCATGGTTCTGTGAGCTGACTAGGCCCAGCTAGGTGGTTCTGCTGCTTCATGTTGTACCAGCTGTGACTGAAGTCATGTGGATGTTCAATTTGCCTACAATATCCAAGATGATTTTCTCACATGGCTGATCTTTGGCATTGTTGTCTGGGAGCTTGCATGGAGCTCTGAACCAGGACATTTTGATATTCCTCTGTGGGACCTCTATCTTGGCTTGGGCTTCTGACAGCAGGGAGAATAAGTTCTAAGGAGAAACAACTCAAGCATATAAAAGTGAAAGCAGAAAATCTTTTAAAGACCAAGTTCAGAAGTAACACAGTGTCACATTTGCCACATTCTGCAGGTGAAGGCAATTTCACAAGAGTGCAGATTCTGGAGGAAAGAAACTGGATTGGCCTATTAATTTAAGGAAAGGTAAAAGATGTGCAGCCATCTTTAATCCAACAATCTTTTATTAACTCAATCAACCTAACAAAAACTCTGTTAAATTCGTGAGCAACTTGAAGCACAGCGAGGTTAATAGTTCAATTTTCCAAGCTATTACAATAAGGACTTGGCAGAAATAGCACTTAAACAGAGATATCCTGGCACTGTCACAACAAATGACAGTGATATTATGCTAAACATAAACAAGACAAATTATTTTATTTATTTTTATTTTTCTCTGTTTCCCAGGCTGGAGTGCAGTGGCACAATCAGATCTCACCGCAGCCTCAAACTCCTGGGTTCAAGGGATCCTCCCATATCAGCCTCCCAAATAGCCAAGACAACAGGCACATGCCACGACACTTGGCTAATTCTTTAAATTTTTTTTTTGTAGACAGGTTCTCACTATGTTGCCCAGACTGGTCTCAAACTCCAACCCTCAAGTAAGCCTCCTGCTTCTGCATCCCAAATTATTAGGATTACAAGAGTGAGCCACTGCCCTTGACCAAATAATTTTCTTCTTAAAAAAATGAAAAATCAATTTAGTGTTTTCCGGCATGTTGAATTTCTTGCTCTAATTTTTATCTTAGTCAACAGAACTCCCAACACTTGGTAACTTGATGTTTTCCTAGTTTTAGATGTTGTCATTTTAGATGTCTCAAAGTTTAGCATTACTGTAATAGTAACTGACCTTTATTTTTACTTGTGTTTCATTTTTTTGAGACAGTGTTTCACTCTGTTACTCAGGTTACATCACAATGGTGTGATCAAAGCCCACTGAAGTATCCACCTCCTGGGCTCAAGGGATCTTCGCACTTCAGCCTCCCAAAGTGCTGGGATTACAGGTGCATGCCACTGCACATCTTAACTGACCTTTCAATGATTAGTTAAGTACTCTTTTTAAATATGGAAATTCCATTATATGAATAAGCCAAAAAAATCCATTGTCTTTTGAAATATTGCTTTTTAATTACATGAAATTGAAATACATCCAGGATTTGTGAACATTAGGATAGCTTTCAGAAATTAAATCATGAATTTCAGGATATTTTGAATTTCATCAACGTGAAAAATTGACACACAATATGATATCATTGTTTTTACCATTTAATGAGATTATTATTTTATTATAACATTAAAAGTATATACATTCAATTTTCCACCATCAATTTAACCTATTTAATTCCCCTTTTTCTTCAGTACTTTATGCAGCATCTCTATGGGAATTGTATTTTCATTTCAGAACTGCGTTCAGGTGTCTATTTCCTGGGTTCACTGGGATCCTGAGCATAAGCCTCGTAGAGCACATGATGGTATTTCACTGTCTATTTGCCTGTGTGAGCACTAACATGTAAGGTCCATGTGGGTGGAAAATGGTTTTTACCTATTGTTTTATTTTGTTTTATCCACAAGTTTTTCTTCAGCTATAGATTTAAGTAGTCTTTATCCTGTCGCTTCTTCAGCAGACATATTCATTTTCTCTGTTTATCTTCTGTTCTCTTTTCCCAGTACCTGTAATATTTTATCTCATAATATAACCTCCTTATCATTTTACTGCATATTATTAATGAACATCTCAAATTATCCTCAATATTATTGATTCAATAATTCATCTGCTTTACAGATTTTAAATTTAAGGCTTCTAATGAAGTGTGTTTTAAGTCCTCAATTTATATTCTCAATATTTTTACATTTTTCACAATCTTACTTTAGAATAAAATTTTATCTTTTACTTTTAATTTTATCACAAGTGGGTCTTTTTTCCTCTGTTTGTCTTATTTCATCATGTAGCAATTCCATTGGTTCCATTAAGAAATTTTAATTAGTAATGCAAAGCAGAACTTAATTTTTATAACTACAAATATTATGCTAGATTTTTTTCAATCAGAGGTATTTTTATAAGACCCAGGTGTATTTTCTTGTGTTTATTTATCTATAAATAAAATGAGGTTCATAGAGGCATGTCTTATTTTTTTTAATATTTGAGAGGAGACGTACTTCTCTTGTTTGTTGCTTCCAAATGGAGGTTTTCTTGTGAATCCTCCTTGAATTATTTGGTTTTGTGTCTTCACTTTGAGGACAGAGAGAGAAGTCATTCTTTGGAGTTCGTTTTAGAAATAGTACATTCATTACAGACACTACGTGTATCTAAATTAAGCTTAATATTTAAAAAGAAACAGAGTGTTATAAACATACTCTTTTAAGAAAGCATGTTTACTCTATGTTTAGGTATCTTTTTTCTTTTCCTCTCTTTCCTTCTACCATTTATCTCTTCTTTTCCTACTCTCTCTTCTTTTCTTTTAAACTAGAACACAATTACAGGTGTAGAGCTTTAGGCTCAATGTGACAATAGCAAGTATATTGTGAGCACGTACTGTGTAGTATTTCAGTAACTTACTAAAAATAGCATGAAGCAAAATAACAGTAAAAAAGTATAATTAATATGTATGTATATATGTAATATGTATGCTATACATATAGACACACATATTTGATCTAAATATACACACTGTAATACATTTAATAAATAGCTTTTTCTGTATAATCAAAAGAACATAATATTAACTAAATTTACATTTTTTAAATTAATTTATTTATTTTTACTTTTTTATTATTATACTTTAAGTTCTAGGGTACATGTGCACAACATGCAGGTTTGTTACATAGGTATACATGTGCCATGTTGGTTTGCTGCACCCATCAACTCGTCATTTACATTTGGTATCAATTTAAGCCTTTTTTGCAACTTGTTGCGAGAAGTGATATATATATATGTGTATATATATATATAATGTTTTTGGATAACCTTCAAAATGAGAAATAAATAATTTAACTTGGGTCCAATATGTCATTGAATTAATAGTCTAGATTTTATCATTAGATTGCCCAGATATACAAATACCCATCATTTGTCTCTGATTTGGAGCAGAGTGTTTAAATTCTCCATACTTTAGTTTTTACTCATCTGTAAAATAGGGAACTTAAAAGTAATTACTTCATAGAGTTGTGGTGAGGTTTCAATGTGATCATCTGTCTGTCAGAATAATTTCTGACCTATCTGTAATTGTTCAATAGGTGCTGGCTATTATTAGTAATACTAGCTATGTTTACATACCATGCAGTCTAATTTCTACTGGGTCATCCATCATTACTGCACACCATTTGCTTTTATTCATTTCTGTGGATATCCTAGCATATACTATACAACTTTAATTACATATCAATTTCTTATGGCTGCTATTACAAAATGCCACAGACTGAATGGCTTGACAATAGAAATTAACTTTCTCACAATTCCGGTGGCTTGAAGTCTAAGATCAAGATGTTAAAAGGACGGGGGCTGAGGCAGAGCAAGAGGGTGGAATAGATGGCTCCATTGTTACCCCCTACCCCACCAGGACAACAATTGAACCACTATCTACAAGGAAAAACAACCTTTATTAGAACCTAAAACAGGTGATCCCTTTTAGTACCTGGTTTTATCTTCAGATCACAGAAAGAAGTACTGAAGAGATAGAAAACACAGAGCTGAATCACTGATGCCGCCCCTCCCCCGCCCCTGGCAGCAGCTGCCTGGTGCAGAGAGCATCTTTGGGTATTGGGGGAGGGAGAACACAGCAACTGGAGGCATTGAACTCAGTGCTGTCCTGTTAGAGCTGAAAGAAAAACCAAAGTAAACTCGGCCGACATCTGCCCATGGAAAGAACATTTAAACCAGCCTTAGTCATAGGGGTATTGCTGATCCCAACAGTCAGAACTTGAATTCTGGAAACCTCACCACCAAGGGCTAACCTGCTCTGGGTCTCTCAGCAAACCTGAAAGGCAGTCTAGGCCATAAGGACTGCAACTCTTAGGCCAGTCCTAGTGCTAACCTGGGCCCAGAGACAGTAGATTGGGAAAGTATATAACCCACCAAGACACTAGCTGGGGCAGCTAAGGGAGTACTGATATCATCCCTCTTCTAATCCAGGCTGCACAGCTCCCAGATCCAAAAGAGACCCCTTCTTCATCCATTTAAGGAGAGAAGAGGGAAGAGTGGGAAAGGCTTTGTCTTGCATCTAGGATACCAGCTCAGCCACAGCAGGACAGGGCACTGGTCAGA
Organism: Homo sapiens; assembly: GCF_000001405.40. NCBI lineage: Eukaryota > Metazoa > Chordata > Mammalia > Primates > Hominidae > Homo > Homo sapiens. Next base: position 125,505,998 of record NC_000007.14, on the reverse strand, counting down.
GTTGTGAAGCTACTGTTCTGGCCCTAGCTCCTGGGCAACATTTCTAGATACACCATGGGCCAAAGTAAACCTACTGCTTTAAAGGGAATGTCCTAGTCCTGACAGCATTCATCACCTGCTAACTGAAGAGCCCTCGGGCCCTGAAAAACCAGCAGTAATACCCTGGTATTACTACCTCAAGGGCCTTGGATGAGCCTCTGAGACTTGCTGGCTTCAGGTACCAGCATGGCCGTAGTGAGTAGAGTACCAAGTGGGCTCTTGGGGTCCCTGATTCCAGGACTTAACCCTTGAATGGCTTCCTGGACCTGCCCTGCGCCAGAGGGGAGCACACGGACCCAAATGGTTAATATTAGGCAAGGCAGCATTCACCTTCAGCTGACTTAAGAGCCCTAGGTGTCAGAGGCCTGTGAACAAGAGCAACTTTATCTTAAATAGGAGCTGGGTAAATGAGGCTGAAACCTACTGGGCTGCATTCCCAGATGGTTAAGGCATTCTAAGTCACAGCATGACATAGGAGGTCAGCACAAAATACAGGTCATAAAGACCTTGCTGATAAAACAGGTTGCAGTAAAGGAGTCAGCCAAAACCCACCAAAACCAAAATGGCGATGAGAGTAACCTCTGGTAGTCCTCTCTGCTACACTCCTGCCAGTGCCATGACAGTTCACAAATAACATGGCAATGTCAGAAAGTTACTCTTTATGGTCTAAAAAGGAGAGACGTGAATAATCCACCCCTTACTTAGCATTATTAAGAAATAACCATAAAAATGGGCAACCAGCAGCCCTTGGAGCTGCTCTGTTTATGGAATAACTATTCTTTTATTCCTTTATTTTCTTAATAAACTTGCTTTCACTGGTTTCGCCACCTGCTGATTATAGAGCCCCAGGGCCTTCAGCAAACATAGGCAGTGACAGAGAGTGGTTACAGCATGCTGTGGGCAGGACCCCAGTTATCAGCTGGCTTCAGGTCTGACTCAGCACAGTAACAGTGATGGTGGCCTCAGGGGTGCCTGTGTAACTACACCCCCAGCTTTAGGTGGTTCAGAACAGACAGAGAGACAGACTCCATTTTTGGGGGAGATAGTAAGGGAAGAAAACAAGAGTCTCTGTCTGGTATTCAGAAAATTCTGAATCTTTTCCGAGACCTTCAAGGCAGTACCTCTATGAGTCTGCAAAAACCACAGCTTTATTTGGCTTAGGGTGTCCCCTAAAGTAGACATACCTTAGATCACAACACCCAAAGTCTTTTGAAATATCTGGAAATCATTCTGCAGAAGGATGGGTACAAAGAAACTCAAACATTGAAGACTACCATAAATACCTAACCCTCCAATGCCCAGACATCAACAAACATCCATTAGCATCAACACCACCTAGGAAAAAGTGACCTCACCAGATGAGCCAAATAAAGCACCAGGGATCAGTCCTGGTGAAGCAGAGATATGTGACCTTTCAGATAGAAATTTCGAAATAGCTGGATAGAGCAACCTGAAAGTAATACGAGATAACACACAGAAGCAATTCTCAATTCTGTCAGATAAATTTAATAAATAGATTGAAATAATTAAAAGAATCATGCAGAATTTCTGAAGCAGAAAAGTGCAATTGACATACAGAAGAATGCATCCGAGTCATTTAATAGCAGAATCGATCAAGCAGAAGAAAGAAGTAGTGAGCTTGAAGACAGGCTATTTGAAAATACACAGTCAGAGGAGACAAAAGAAAAAAATAAACAATGAAGCTTGCATACAGGAACTAGAAAATAGCCTCAAAAGAGCAAATCTAAGAGTTACTGGCCTCAAACAGGAGGTGAAGAATGAGATAGGGGTAGAAAATTTATTCAAAGGGATAATAACAGAGAGCTTCTCAAACATAGAGAAAAATATCAATATCCAAGTACATGAAGGTTCAAGAACGCCAAGCAGACTTAACTGAAAGAAGACTACCTCAAGGCATGAATAATCAAACTCCCAAACATCAAAGATAAAGAAAGGATCCTAAAAGCAACAACAGAAAAGAAATGAATAAAATACAATGGAGCTCTAATACATCTGGCAGCAGACTTTTCAGTGGAAGCCTTTCAGGCCAGAAGAAAGTGAAATGACATATTTAAAGTGCTGAAAGAAAAAAAAATTATCCTAGAAGAGTATACACAGGAAAAGTATATTTCAAACATGAAGGAGAATTAAAGACATTCTCAGACAAACAAGAGCTAAAAGATTTCATCAACAAGTGACCTGTTCTACGAGAAATGCTAAAGAGAGTACCTCAATCAGAAAGAAAAGGTTGTTAATGAGCAATAAGTAATCGTCTGAAGGTATAAAATTCTACGAGAAATGCTAAAGAGAGTACCTCAATCAGAAAGAAAAGGTTGTTAATGAGCAATAAGTAATCGTCTGAAGGTATAAAATTCACTGGGAATAGTAAATAAACAGAAAACTGTGTAAACTACTCTTATCTTAAGTAGAAAGACAAAATGATAAACCAATCAAAAATAATTACAACTTTTCAAGACATATGTAGTGCAATAAGATAAAAATACAAACAGGAAAGTTAAAAAGCAGGGGAGCAAAGCTAAGGTGTAGAGTTTTTATTAGTTTTCTTTTTGCTTGTTTGTTTGTATGTTTGTTTATACAAACAGTGTTAAGTTTTTATCAGGTTAAAATAATGAGTTATAAGATGGTATTTGCGAGCCTCATGGTAGCCTCAAACAAAAAAAACCTACAATAGATACACAAATAATAAAATGGAAGAAACCAAATTATATCACAAAACAAGTCTTGAAACAACAAATTTGAAATAATATCAAGCATCTTTTCCAAACACAATGGAATAAAAGTAGAAATTAAAAACAAAAGAAATGTTGGAAACTAGACAAATACATGGAAATTTAAATTTATGTTCCTGGATGACCAGTGGGTCAATAAATAAGTAAAGAAGGAAACTAAAAAAAATCTTGAAACAAATGATAATGGAAACAAAACTAGCCAAAACCTATGAGATATAGCAAAAATAGTACTAAGACAGAAGTTTATGGTTTTAAGTGCCTACATCAAAGGAGAGGAAAAACTTCAAATAAACAATCTAATAATGCATTTTAAAGAATTAGAAAAATGAGAGCAAACCAAGCCCAAAATTAGTAGAAAAAAAAAGAAATAAAAAAGATCAGAGAAGAAATAAATGAAATGGAAATGAAGGAAATAATACGAAAGATCAATAAAATGAAAGAAGTTTTTTTTTTGAAAAGTTAAACAAAATTGACAAACTTTTAGCCAGACCAAGGAAAAAAAAAGAGAAGATCCGAATAAAATCAGAAATGAAAAAAGGAGACGTAACAACTGATACTGCCAAAATGTAAAGTATCATTAGTGGCTACTATGAGCAACTATATGTAAATAAATTGGAAAATCTAGAAGAAACGGATACATGCTTAGGCATATACAACCACCAAATTTAACCATGGAGAAATCTAAAACCTCAAAAGACCAATAACAAGTAATGAGATAAAAATCATAATAAAAATTCTCCCAGCAAAGAAAAGACTGGGATCTGATGGCTTCCCTGCTAAATTCTACCAGACATTTAAAGAAGAACTAATACCATCCTACTCAAACTAGTACGAAAAACAGAAGAGAGTGAAGTATTTCCAAACTCATTCTATGAGGCCAGTATTACCCTGATACCAAAATGAGACAAAGGCACCTTCAGAAAAGAAAACTACAGGCCAATATATCTCATGAATATTCATGCGAAAGTCCTCAACAAAGTACTAGCAAACTAAATTCAATAATACATTGGAAAGATCATTCATCATGACCAAGTGAAATTTATCGCTGGGATTCAAGGATGGTTCAACATACACAAACCAATCCATGTGATACATCATATCAACAGAACGAAGGCTAAAAACAATATGATCTCTTCAACTGACACTGAAAAAGCATTTGATAAAATTCAACTTCTTTCATGATTAAAAAAATTCAAAAGGCTGGGTATAGAAGGAACATACCTCAACATAATGAAAGTCAGATATGACAGAGCCACAGCTATTACTATACTAGATGGGAAAAACTGAAAACCTTTCATCTAAGATGTGGAACACAACAAGGATGCCCACTGTCACTACTGTTATTCAGCGTAGTACTGGAAGTCCTAGCTAAAGCAACCAATCAAGAGAAAGAAATAACATCAACATTGAAATGGAAGAAGTCAAATTATCCTTGTTTGCAAACGATACAATCTTGTATTTGGAATAACCTAATGACTCCACAAGAAAACTAATAGAACTGATCAACTAATTCAGTAGCATTTCTATATGACAACAGTTAACAATCTGAAAAAGAAATCAAGAAAATAATCTTATTTACAATAGTCACAAATAAAATTAAATAGCTAGGAATTAACTTAGGCAAAAAAGTGAAAGATCTCTGTAATAAAGACTATAAAACACTGATGAAAGAAATTGAAGAGGACATCAAAAAATGGGAAAATAGTCCATGTTCACGGATTGAAATAATCAATATTGTTTAAATGTCCATACTAGCCAAAGTAACCTACAGATTGAATACAATCATTATCAAAATACCAACAAAATTCTTCACAGAAATAGAAAAAGCAATTCTAAAATGTATATGAAACCACAAAAGACCCAGAATAGCCAAAACTATCCCAAACAAAAGGAATAAAACTGGAGAAATCATATTATCTGACTTTAAATTATACTACAGAGATAATATAATTTGGCTGTGTCCTCACTCAAAATCTCATCTTAAGTTGTGATCCTCATAATCCCCATGTGTCAAGGGAGAGAACAGATGGAGGTAACTGAATCATGGGGGTGGTTTCCCCTATGTTGTTCTTGTGATAGTGAGTGGGTTCTTATGAGAGCTGATGGTTTTATAAGTGTTGGTAGTCCGTCCTGTGGTCATTCTGTCTCCTGCCACCTTGTGAAGAAGCTGCCTGCTTTCCCTTCACCTTCTGCCATGATTATGAGTTACCTGAGGCCTTCCCAGCCATGTGGAACTATGAATCAATTAAAGCTATTTCCTTTGTAAATTACAGAGTCTTGGGTATTTCCTTGTAGCGACGTGAGAATGGACTAATACAAGAGCTATAGCAACCAAAACATCATGCTACTGGCATAGAAACTGATAAACAGACGAACAGAGCAGAATAGAGAACCCAGAAAAATATCCACATACCTCTAGTGAACTTATTTTTGACAAAGGTGCCAAGAACCTACACTGGGGAAAAAAGAGTCTCATCAACAAATGGTGCTGGGAAAACTGGATATTTATATGCAGTAGAATGAAATTAGACCCCTACCTCTCACCATATATAAAGATCAAATCAAAATTGATTAAAGACTTAAATTGAAGACCTCAAACTATGAAACTACTACAAGAAAACATTGGGGAAAATCAACAGGACATCTGTCTGGGCAAAAATGTCTTGAGCAATATTCCACAAGCTCAGACAACCAAAGCAAAAAAGAACAAATGGGATGACATCACATTTAAAAGCTTCTGGACAGAAAAGGATACAATCAACAAAGTGAAGAGACAACCCACAGAAGGGGAGAAAATATTTGCAAACTATCCATCTGACAAGAGAATAATAAACCAGAACATATAAGGAGCTCAAACGACTCCACAGAAAATAAAATTTAATAATATGATCAAAAAATGGGCAAAATATTTGAATAGACATTCTCAAAAGAAGACATACACTTGGCAAACAGGCTTCTGAAAAGGTGCTCAACACCATAGATCATCAGAGAAATGCAAATCAAAACTACAATGAAATATCATTTCATCCCAGTGAAAATGTCTTATATCCAAAAGACAGGCAATAACAAATGTTGGTGAGGATGTGGAATAAAAGGAACTCTAGTACACTGTTGATGTGAAGGTTAATTAGTACAACCACTATGGAAAACATTTTGGAGGTTCCTCAACAAACTCAAATTGGAGCTACCATCTGATCCTGCAATCCCACTAGAGGGTATGTACCCCAAAGAAACGAAATCCTATTGAAGAGATAGCTGCACTTCCATGTTTGTTGCAACACTGTTCACAATAGCTAAGATTTGCAAGTGAGCTAGTTGTCAATTAACAGCCAAATGGATAAAGAAAATGTGGTACATATACACAATGGAGTACTATCCAGCCATAAACAAGAATGAGAGCCGGTCATTTGCAACAAAATGGATGAAACGTGAGATCATTATGTTAAGTGAAACAGGGCAGACTCAGAAAGACAAATTTCACAAGTTCTCACTTATTTGTGGGATCTAAAAATCAAAACAATTGAACTCATGGAGACAAAGAATAGAAGGATAGTTACCAGAGGCTGGGACGGGTAGTGGGAGTTTGCAGGGGAGATGGGGAAGGGTAATTGGTATAAAAAATAGTTAGAAAGAATGAATAAGACCTAGAGAGCACAGCAGTGTAACTATAGTCAACAGTAATTGTATATTTTTAAATAACTAAAAGAATGTAATTAGATTGTTTATGACTCAAAGGATAAATGTTTGAGGGGATGCACGCTCTATTTTCCATTATGGGATTATTTCACATTGTATTACTCTATCAAAATATTTCATGTACCCCCATAAACATATACACCCACTATGTACCCCAAAAATAAAAATTAAAAAAAGTCATAAAAAAAAAAGACGTTAGAAGGGTTGGTTTCTTCCGAGACATCATTCCTTGGCTTGCATATGGCTGTCTTCTCCCTGTGTCTTCACCTAGTCTTTCCTCTATGTGTGTGTGTGTGTTTGTGTGTGTCTGTGTGTGTGTGTGTGTGTGTGTGTCCTAATCTTCTCTTGTAAGGAATCCAGTCTTCTTGGATTATAGTCTACTCTAATGACTTTATTTTAATTTAATTACCATTTGTAAACTCTAATCTCCAAGAACAGTCACACTCTGAGGTATTGGGGCTTAGGACTTCAACATATAGACACAACTGACCTCATAACAAGTAACATATGAACTCTTTGTAAAGTACTAAACTTTATAAACTTAAATTATTATAAATATTCACGGTCCTTTGTTTATCCCTATCTTTAAGGAATATGTCAAAATTGCAAATACTATTATTTTCCGAAAGTATATACTTGTTTTTATACCAACATAACAAAGAGAGAAAAGAGAATCAATATGTACTCAAAGCTGAAATACATGAGAGTAAAAGAGAGAGCTCAGGACTTGTCTTACAGAGTTTCATAGTTCCCCCTCCAAAAGAAACTGCCCTGCTACTCTCTTTGTCAATAATACGGTGTGTCCTGTGTTAACAGTTCCATCTAGCAAGCTATTTGTTTATCTCTTTAAGTGCTTATTAAGAATTATAAGAATTGCAGAAAAACTAATACTTGAAAACCAACACATTGTTAAAATTACAGAAATATGGAAGTATTTAATTTTTTTTTTTTTTTTTTTTTTTTTTTGAGACGGAGTCTCGCTCTGTCGCCCAGGCTGGAGTGCGGTGGTGGGATCTCGGCTCACTGCAAGCTCCGCCTCCCAGGTTCACGCCATTCTTCTGCCTCAGCCTCCTGAGTAGCTGGGACTACAGGCGCCCGCCACTATGCCCGGCTAATTTTTTTGTATTTTTAGTAGAGACGGGGTTTCACTCTGTTCGCCAGGATGGTCTCGATCTCCTGACCTCGTGATCTGCCCGCCTTGGCCTCCCAAAGTGCTGGGATTACAGGCATGAGCCACCGTGCCTGGCCAAGAAGTATTTAATTTCTAATAGTCTTAGTTTTTATTATTCTTTAAAGACTATTAATAATTTTAGAAACTTCACTTTTTTCCGAAGTAATCATGTTACGCTAACAAAAAATACCTCTTTAAAAATCTTTGCTGTAAAGTTAAATTCTGTAGTATGTAGTGGAGAAGGGGCTTCATTTTCAGAATAATTCAAATAAATTAGACTATAACCTCCATATTTTATGACTATATGATGCTTTAGAACTTTTATTTCTTTCAAGAGTCTTACCTAACTTAAAGATAGACAGGAAGCAAATATTCTTATCTATGTTTTGCAGGTAGGTCAACTAAGCTATTGAGAGTTTCTTGAGTAGCCTAAAGTAACAGAAGGAATATCTGAAATCCTCTGTGCCTTTGGAATCGAAACCCTTAATTTTTTGCCTGTGCTCCTCCCTCATACCAGCAAAACTTTCTTTTCTTTGCCAAATTGCTTCCAGGTGTACTACACTGTGGAACAGTATGAAAGTAGCTTAATGCAATAGTTCCAGCTCTACAAGAAACTAAAAAATCACCATGGGTTGTGTTTGAACCCTACTAGCTGAGGATCAGAGATATGGTTTTGCTATCTTCACATACCCCATGCCACCAGAACTTCCTGAACGAATTTCCATTCATAATACAATTTTATAATGTCTTTTTGGAGGCCTTTGATATTTGAGTAAATATATTAGCACAATATCAACAAAGCATTAGTCTAATTCGCATGATATCGGTTTAATTTAAGGAGATTAAGAAGGTATCAGAAACACTGCTCTATTGAAGTCAACCTTAAATCCCCAAAATGGTTCAATATACATGCATATCCCTGAAAATAATTTGTTATGAATTTAGTGCAAAGTAGCAAGCAAAATATTTGGACAGATGATTTATATGCCCACATCTTATAATTTCATTGCTCTTTGGTATGAATGTTAATGATGCACTAGTTTCACCCCAGTGAATAATGGTTTTGTGAAGTAACATGATTGAAAAACTATTAAAATAATTGAGATACTGGACAATGGAGGATAGCTGGGCATTACCAACAATTGGGTTGAACCAATATGACCTTTTGTGATAGATGCATGCCAAAGTGCCTTGGTTAATTTCTGTCAAAATATATTTATAGTCCATTCAATAATTAAAATAGTAACCTTATATAGGAACAAGATTACTTCCAATTACTCTCAGTAATAAGAGCCTAAGGAAAGTGAACTCAATAGAAAGAACTGATAATATCGGAACAATAATACATTCTTTTTATTCTTGTCTTCAACGCTGCTGGTTAACATTGTCCTTTAAAGTTAGCTTTAAAGTTACACTGTTCTCTTTTCACTTGCAAGGTAGATATCTATTCATATTCAATCAAGCTTGATACAGTTTTATTCTTTTGCACTGACCTTTTTGCTAAATTAAGTCAGGGACAAAATAGAAAAAGAAAAACCAAAGTTATAAATATAGAGTCAGTACTAAAAGTAAGACATATAGGCAAAGTACACACTGAGATCCACATGGAATAGGACAAATAGTTCACACAGTTCTAGAAAACAAAGATTCAAAAACTAGCGTTTATTGATCAGTGGAATGTAACATAGTATATATAAATTTCCCTGGTTTATTGGTCAATAAACATTTAAAGGTATTATATATTGACCTATAGATTTGAAGAAATCATGAATACCGATCTAATTTCCACCCCCACCCACTGTCTTATATTTTTCAGTTTAACCAAATTGTTTCATTTGCTTGTCATAATGACCAATAAATGTATGTCTACAACAGATTTGCATGATTTGAAACACAAACGTAAGTTACAAACCATTATTTGTATTTTAATCAAAATTGTCTTATGGACTTCCAGCTTTGGCTTAAGATATGGATAAGCTGAACAGTGTTGCTGATTAACTACAATGAAAAGTCGATAAAAGTCAAATAACACTAACATAACTATTGTTGAACATATCTGAAAGCTGAGGTCATAGAGAAACTAACTACTTGAACTCTAAGGGAAGACAAGAACCATCAAAGAGCAATAGAACACAAGCACTGCTTTACCTAGGGCAGGGCCAAGGAGAAAACAGAGCCAATTTACAAGTGTTTAATATGAAATCAACTAAAATTATGAACAAATTGCTCAAAGATAAGAGTGCACTAAAGAGAAACATAAAACCCTTGAGACAGGAAGCCCCTGGAGGTTTCACACCAATTCACAAGCTCTTATCCAAGGTTAGAACAACAAAACCCATTGACCTGAAAGTACCCATAAAGACACATTCTTGTTGAGGGAAAGATAAAAGGATAAAACCCTCACACAAGAAGATTTTTTCGCCGGGTGTGGTGGCTCACGCCTGTAATCCCAGCACTTTGGGAGGCCGAGGCGGGCAGATCACAAGGTCAAGAGATTGAGACCATCCTGGCCAACATGGTGAAACCCTGTCTCTACTAAAAATACAAAAATTAGCCGGGCGTGGTGGCGGGCGCCTGTAGTCCCAGCTATTGGGGAGGCTGAGGCAGGAGAATTGCTTGAACCTGGGAGGCAGAGGTTGCAGTGAGCCGAGATTGTGCCACTGCGCTCCAGCCTGGAGACAGAGCAAGACTCCATCTCAAAAAAAAAAAAAAGAAGATTTTTTTCTCTCCCTGGGAAGAAGAGAAAAGTAATCATGGGCAGATACCATTGAAGAACACCTGCTATACAGGGAGGTGCAGAATTACGAGGGAAACACCCGTGTCTAGACAAAGAGATACAGGATCTGCTTAATATTAAGTTAATTAAGAATAAGAGAAACTAGACCGAGAGTGGTGGCTCATGCCTGTAATCTCAGCATTTTGGGAGGCCGAGGTGGGTGGATCACCTGAGGTCAGGAGTTTGAGACCAGCCTGGCCAATATGTCGAAATTCTGTCTCTACTAAAAATACAAAGATTAGCCAGGCATGGTGACCAGTGCCTGTAATCCCAGCAACTTGGGACGCTGAGGCAGGGAGAATCACTGGAACCCTGGAGGAGTTGCAGTGAGCACGCCACTGTACTCCTACTTGGGCGACAGAGGGAGACTCTGTCTAAGAAAAAAAAAAAAAGAATAAGAGAAACTGACCACAGCACTACGTGGTTAAAGCAACAGCAATCTAGGGAGAGGCCTTTTCTGAGGTGCCAAGCAAAGGAAAGGCTTTCAGCAAAGGAAGCATACATGTCAGTCCCCCAGCAAGTACAAGATAACACCAGAGGAGTTTAAAGCTAATGACGCATTAAAGGTAACACTAGCAAAAGCAAAATATATTGAGATTAACTGCTGATTATATTGAGTCAAAACCCACTATGGTAAAAGCCCACTGGAAATAGAAGCATACCAATTTCCATACATAAATAATATTTGCCTCAGTCTAAGTTTCTGTACAAGGTGTCACAGTTTCAACCAATGGTTATGAGATGCAAAAAAAGCAAAATTTAATAACCTATATCTTAAAAAATATTATAATCAACTAGAACCCAAAGTGGTCATTTGTTGAAACTATCAGACAGACATTTAAAATTACAATGATTAATATGAGAAAGACTCCAGGGGAAAAGGTGATGGCGTGCATTAAAGATAGAGAATTTCAGTAGAAATATGAATTCTATAAGAAACAGTGAAATTGAAATACCAGGAAAAAAAATGATAAGAAAGATGAAGAATGCCTCTCAGGCTCATCAGTAGATTCAGCGCAGCTGAGGAAAGAGTATGTCAACTTCAAGATAGATCTATATAATAGAACCCTAGATTCTGCAGATAAGTGAGATACTGCATTGTCTTTCTGTGTTTGGATTATTTCATTTTGCATAATGTCATCCAAGTTCATCCACATCATCTCAACTGACAGAATTTTCTTCTTTTAAAAGGCTGAGTAGTTTTCCATCGTGTACATATATATACCAAAAATAATTTCACTCATAAAAGTAGATAGTAGAATGATGAATACAGAGGCTGGGGGTTGGGTGGGGAAAGGAAGGGAGTGGGGAGATACCTGTCAAATAATACATATTTTCAATTAGGCAGGAAGAATAATTTTGTGATCTATTGCACAGTACAGTGATTATAGTCAATAATAATAATAATGTATTGTACATTTCAAACTAAATTCCAAATGTCTCACTAGAAAAAAAAAATAAGTGAGGTGATGGATATGTCAATTAGCCTGATTTAATGATTCCACATTGTAAGCATATGTCAAAACAACACATAGCACCTCATAAGTATATACAATGATTTTTTCCTAAAATATTATTAATAAAATTAAATGTGAAAATATAAAATACATAAGCAAATAAGAGAAGTACTCCTTTGCCAACTGTTTTCTGTGGTTCTTAGCTACTTCTTTTGGGAGATTCTTCTTTTACTAAAAGAAAAACGTTCTTATGGGAGATTAGCAGCAGGATTCTATATTTTTTTCTTGCCCGAGTATGCTTGTAGGTCCAAGGATCAATTCAAGTCTCCAACAGCCAGTCTACTTTAATTCAGAATATTGGCTCTTTTAACAGAGAATTTCTCTCAGAAACATGGTTGTTTCTATATCTATTTGATTCCAGTTTGCTCCATGAGCAAATAGTTTCACACACAATGATTTTTGAAAACTGCCTCTCACTATAGAAATATTTCAGGTAACTTGAGCTTATCAGGCTCCCTTGAAAGTAAAAGCTAGTATTTTCTTTTTCTTGAGAAAACTTGTTTTTCTGGAAGAGGAAAACTTAATTCACTTAGTCATTTTAACAAGAATTTTGAAAGCAATGCCATAGGTTATTTTCAGCATTGAAGCTAAATTTTCATTATGCTTTCTTACAAAAATTACTTATGAATTTTATTTTTGACTGAGAAAGTATGAGGAATAGTTGCATCTTACAATTCTGAATGTCTGTTTGGTCTCTATTTCCATTTATTCTCATTTGCAAGCTTGCTAATTCTTATGGAGTCTCTCTCTCTCTCTCTCTCTCTCTGGTTCTTTGTTTACTATAGTCAATTCAACCAAGGCACATCATAATAACCTGTCTCCTAATAAAACTACAACTCTACAACTTTATAATTTTTAAATATTTGACAACATAATATGTTGTCTAAATATTTGCAGGCTAAAAAGGTGTCAAATGTTTTACCACAGATTAATATGAGTTGCTATTTTGCCATTGTTCTAGCCAACATTAACAGAATATATATATATATATTTTTTAACTAAGATAGCTCCACTTTTATGTGCCAATTTCTATATTAGTCAGCTTGTGCTAAGTTATACTATAGTAATAAGTCAAAAGATTACAATACAAAAGTCTCACAAAAGTTTATCACTTTCCCACAATGCATTTTTTTGTACAGCAGCTGGTGGTGTGTTTATATTGCTTATAAGTCTTCTAAGTGTTCTGCTTCATATATTTAGTGAATTTATGGATACAGGCTAAAGGAGTATTCCAGATATGCGATATGATTATGGCAGAGAGAAAAAAGCACTACACAGCAGTGTCTAAAGTTCCCCCTCAAAAGCTCCCTTTGTCACTTATACTCACACTGAATTGGTCAAATGAGTGAAAGGGCCAGGTGGTTTCAATTAATTAGATAAGGAGGCTACTGGCCCATTAAGACCTTTGGTTTTAATACTATGATGACTTGTAATTAATGACTTACCTCTTTCTGTGCTACACCTTCATCTAAATATACATATTAAAGGCTACAAATATGTTAATAATTAAAAATGAGAAGAGTGTAATGTGACACAATCCTTGACCAAAACCAAATAGATAGGTTTCATCATTTATTCTCAGTAAATGGCAAATTATATGATCTTCAATAGGTTTTCAGAACCAGTGTGTGATGTTCCTATGCAAGATGTTCAAATACAATGTTAAACACACACACACACACACACACACAACCTTAAAGGGTCTGCTTGAATAAAAGAAATCTTTAACATTGTGTAGATTACAATACAGCATGTAGCAGGACTTTCTAATACCAAATTAGTTTGTTTGCTAGAACTTGATGAAGAAATTACTGAACTGACATAACCAGAGATTCCATATATTTCTCCATGAACTTGTGTGTAAAAATTTATTCTACAGAACATAATAAAATTTGTTTACAAGCATTGGAAGGTAACATGCAGATGAAAATTAAATGTAATTTTTCTTTATCTTAAATGCCAATTTTATTACTCCATTGCTACATTTCTAGAATTAATGTTTAAATATAAACATTTGTCATATGAAAAGTGTTTCATTTTACATGAAGCAGAAAATACATGCAAAAATATTAGAAATGGAAATATTAATGAGAAAATCAATCTTACATCTACTTCTGAAAATATTTAGAAAGCATCTTCATGCAGTATTAAAGCTTTTGTTTGTACAATGCTTTAATTAAACAGTATTATCTTCAGCACTATAATTTTTAAATGTAATGAATAAATCTTTACTCAGGAACAATGAGAAAGAATGGAATCAATTTCATCATCAACATATTTTTACATGTCTAGTTAAATGTTGCTTCCTCCTCTAGGTGGGTTAGTTAAAAGTGACTGTCCACTTAGTTTTGCAAAGAAGGAGCAGAGTGAGGACATCAACAATACAAGAACAGTGTTGATGAACTGCCGTGCCTGCAGGATCATGCTAAACTTTTATAGTTAGCCAATGACAGCTTAAAAAGATAATTGTTGAGGTAAATTAAAATGTGGATAAAATTCTAGGTTATTCTGTTACTTTCATACTATAATAGCAATATTTAGCTTCTTGTTAAAATTTATGTTGATACTTGATCACTCAGTATTTGGCTAAACTGTATTTTTGTTGAACCCCTATAAAATTTCAACATGACTCATTGCATATTTTTGACTGGTATACATACACAGCTAGTTTTGCTCTCAATACCTTTTTAACCTCTAACTTCTTGTTAAATTGACAAGGGTACTTATGAATAAGTCAGCCATATGCCACATCTGCCACTCCCTCACAAAACTGCTGTCCTGTTTCACCCCTTACCACCCTTCTCTTGTCCCTTCCTTCTCTTGTCACGCTAAGCTTCTTGCACTTGGTGTAAAATGTGCTGCTCCTAGAGCTTTTGTGCTAAAATGTTCCTTCTGGCTGGAATACAACTGACATCCCCAGATATTTGCTTGGCTTTGTGCCTCACCTTCGTCAATCAAATTTCACTTTCTAAATGAGATTGACCCTGACATCCTATTTAAAACAAAAACTCTGGCCCCAAGCTCTTCTGATTCCCTCAATACTCATCTTCATTTTTCGTTTTTGTATTGCATTTATCACCTACTAAGATGCCATATATTTTACACGTGTATTGTGTTTATTGTATATTCCCTGCTGTCTTCCCCAATCGCCTCCAAAATAAGTTCTTCAAGGATGAGGACCTTGGTCTGTTGTGTGCCTTATGCTTAGTAGTAGCTTTTCATTAATTTTTTGTTTTTCAGAAAAGAGTGAATCAGCTTTAAAATGAGCTTTGAGCACCATTACATATGAAATGGTGATTATGCTACCCATAATTCATGTGGGCTAAAGGGCTTAATTCCCTATAAGCACTTTTAAGCTGCAGGCAGAGCTCCTATAAACATGCCAATAACGTAGATTTTTATGAAGAAGAAATTGATGACTAAGTACGTTCTTCAGCAAAAAGAAGGTGGTAAAAGGATTCTAACTAGCCAGGTTCTCCTCCTCCCTCCCCTGTAACTTAATTAGTTAAATTACAATTTAATTTTAGTTAAATTGTAACCAAAATGTTACAATTTAAGCATGTGATATAATGGTCATGATTAAATTATTTTTTTAATTTACTTTATCTCAAGGCTTTTTTGTGTGACAATGAGGTCATTATGTGAATTCAACCCACGACTTTCACATTGAGGGAGCAAAACCAAAATGAAAACAAAATAATCTCCCTTTTTTTACATTACAGTTAAACGATGTGAAAAGGATTCCTCTATAGATAATAGCCACGGTACATTGATTTATGCTAACTATAGTACTAAAGTAAAGATGTTTTCGAGATATTATAAAATGACTTACAGGACTTAGTTATCTTTTCTATGCATATCTGTCATTATAACTTTTGAAATGAGAATTCTAGTTCAGAGAAAAAATATGGGTCCATTTGCAAACCATCCACTTTCAACAATTTTAGATGCTCTTCTCTCTCAATAAAGAAACTGTTTATTTTGTGACAAATCAACTTAGAAAGGTAGCATCCATTTTTTTAATCATACATCATTTTTGTGGTCCCTAACACACACACACACACACACACACACACACACACACATGCACACACACAAACGCACATGGGCAGGCACAGTGTCTGCTTTGTTTCTTTCTGTGACACCAGGGCCAAATGACAAGCCAGCCATTATGTGTTAAATCAGAAACAGGATTAATCTTATGAATTCTATCATCGTTCGTATCTAAGCATAGCAACTTCACATTATTATTGTTTCCCTGAAATTATTTGTCAATGCTTTATTAAGGAAGTGAAACTATGTACATTCTGCTTTTGTAAATCACAAGCTTCATCATTCAAGCATATTATTTAACTCTAATTATGCATAAAATCAGGATAATAGCCACCCTTTTGAGGTTTAAATGAGAAGAATCTGGTAAGGCATCATGTATGCAATAATTACTAGTTAGTACTTAAGTTAATTTTGGTAACTGCATGTAAAGTTTGAAGCAATTTTTTGAGGCTGCATCATGCAGACTGGAGCATAAAATCTGGGCCAAACTAAAGCATCAGCAGAACTTGACATTGTCTAGCTCAGTGAACTTTTCACTAAATAAAAGCACCCACATGAGCAGACATAGACCAAAATATAGAATACCATCAGCGCTATGCTAATTTGAAGTGCTATGCTTAGATAAAAATGATGTCAGAATGTATAAGATTAATCCTGTTTCTGATTTAACACATAATGGCTGGCTTGCCATTTGGCCCTGGTGTCACAGAAAAAACAAAGCAGGCACTGTGCCTGTTGACTCCTTAATGAATTATCTAGTGAACACCACCCCAAAGACAGCATCCTACCTGCTAGTTTTGCCTATTTTAGAAATGGAATTGTAAAATATGCACTCTTTGATGTCTGATTGTTTTTAATCAACATTGTTCATCATCTAGGATTGATTTTATTTTTTGGGACATGGTGGTAGTTCATTTTTGCCATAATCTATTCCATTTTCTCATTATGCCATATTATATTTTGTCTCACAGTGCTGATTGGAATTTGGACTCTTCAATGTGAGTACATTCTGCATTACTACATGAAATAACTCTTTGAGAAAATATTGTAATGTTATTTTATAGGATATGCATTTATTCAGGATAAATAGATTATCTGTGTTTTCTGAAGATATTTTATTATAAACCCTCAAAGCAATTCATGAGTGGTCCCTTTGTTTCATATCTTCATCAACCCGTGCCATTCTCTGTCTTTACTTATTTTTTTATTTATTTTGAGAGACAGGGTCTCACTCTGTCATTGAGGCTGGAGTGCAGTGGCATGATCATAGCTCTCTGCGATCTTGAGCTGCTGGGCTCAAACGATCCTCCCAACTCAGCCTCCCAAGTAGCTAGGACAACAGTAGTGCTATTTAAAAAAAAAAATTGTAGAGACAGCGTCCCTCTATGATGCCTAGGCTGGTCTTGAACTCCTGGGCTCAAGTGTTCCTCCTGCCTGGGCCTCTCACAGCACTGGAATTACAGGCATGAGCCACCACACCCAGCCCTCTGTATTTATTATTTAAGTTATTCCAGTACGTAGACAGTCATCTAGCATCATGGTATTAATTTGTATTTTCCTAATGTTAATGAATTTGAACATTTTGTTGTATTCATGTTTGTTTGTATATTTTCAAATAGGCTTTTTATTCTAGAACAGTTTTAGATACAGAGAATTACTGCAATGATCATAAGAGAATACCTGTATACCTAATTAATGAACTAATATTGATACATTATTATTAAAAATGGTCCATACTTAAGTCAGGTTAACTCAGGATTTTTCTATTTTGTATGTGTGTGTGTATATACATTTAAGTATCCTAGTCAAGGTAGTACATTTATTGATTATGTTTCATTAGGCTCTTCTTGGCTATACCAGTTCCTAAGATTTTCATTGTTTTATGATCTTCCAGTTTTAAAGATTACTGGTCATGTGTTTTGTAAATGCCTATCAAATGGGATTTGTCTGATGTTTTTCTTTTTCTTTTTGTTCTTTCTTTCTTTTTTTTTTTTTTTTTTTTTTTTTTTTTTTGAGATAGGGTCTCACTCTGTTGCTCAGGCTCGAGTGCAGTGGCACAATCATTGTTCACCAAAGCCTCGATCTTCCAGGCTCAAACTATCCTCCCACCTCAGCCTCCAAAGTAGCTGCAACTACAGGCATGTGCCACCATGTCCAGCCACTTTTTTTTGTTTTTGGAGAGAATAGGGTTTCGCCACATTGCCCAGGCTGATTTCAAACACCTGGTCTCAAGTGATGTGCCCATCTAGGCCTCCCAAGGTGCTGGGATTACAGGTGTGAACCACCCCACCTGGCCTAATGTTTTTCTCTCTTTTTTTTAACTTTTATTTTAAGTTCGGGGGTACAAGTGCAGGTTTGTTACATAAACTTGTGTCATGGGGGTTTGTTGTATGAATTATTTCACCACCCAGGTATTAAGCCTATCACCCATTAGTTATTTTTCTTGATGCTTTCCCTGCTCCTAACCTCCACCCTCTGAAAGGCCCTAGTGTGTGTTGTTCCCCTCTACATGTCCATGTGTGTTCTCTTCATTTAGCTCCCACTCATACATGAGAACATGCAGTACTTGGTTTTCTGTTACTGTGTGAGTTTGTTAAGAATAATGTTCTCCAGCTACATCAGTGTCCTTGCAAAGGACATGATCTCATTCCTTTCTTTGGCTACATAGTATTCCATGGTGTATATGTACCTCATTTTCTTTATCCAGTCTACCATTGATGGGCATTTAGGTTAATTCCATGTCTTTGCTATTGCGGATAGTGCTCTAATGAACATATGTGTGCATGGGTCTTTATGGTAGAATGATTTATACTCCTTTGTGTATATACCCAGTGATGGGATTGCTGGATTGAATGGTATTTCTGTCCTTAAGTCTTAGAAATTGCCAGGGTTTTTCTTATGATTAGAAAGTTGTCGTGTGTACTGGGGGAAGAAGACCACAGGGCTAAAATGCATTCTCACCACACTGCATTGAGGGTATGTGGAATCAATATGAGTTACAACCCTTCATTTTAACCTTAATCACTAGCTTGAGATAGTGTTTGCCAACTTTCTTCGTTATAAAGTTAGTTTATTTGTTTGCCATTTTCATGCTGTACTAGTAGGGAGAAAGTCAATTTGTGCGGCACAGAGTGAACAAGGAGACATTTATGGTCTATCCCCTCTAGAACAGAGTATCTACTTAATTTGTTTGAAATTCTTCCACCTGGGAAATTTATCTACTATTTCCCATTTATTTATTTACTAAATCATTTATTTATGTCATCATGAAATCATGAATATTCTATACTTTGAGTTCAAATCCAATATTACTTTTTAAAAATCAAATTATTCCAGCTTTTTAGCTACTGGAAACTCTTTCAGTTGACTTTAGGATCCCTTTGACATACTGCCATAATTGTGTGTGTGTGTGTGTGTGTGTGTATTTATATGTGTGTTTTGAGCACTTTCTCACTTTCTGGAACTACAATCTATTCCAGGCTCATATTGTATATTTTCTTTCCCAGTCCTAAAATCACTCATATATCCAAAAAGCCCTGGTTTATTTTATTGGACAATAGTATTAGAAACCAAGATCCTGGTGTGTTCATTGCTACTGGGGTATCATTGTTTAATTGGTCCTTTCATTTTAAGAGCAAGAAGTTACAAGTGTGTGTACTAAGTCATGTATATACACATATGCATAAGTATGTTATATGTAACTTTATGTGTCTATGTTAAACTAAACATCAGTTTATACAGATACCTGCAGTTTTAATTCATCTTGTAAATCAATGTAGTCTTCTCTGTTTTATCTGTAACCTTATACTTGAACAATAATGAGTCTAGCTCCTAGCATCATTATCCATTTACTTACCGTACACTGAATTTCAGTGTACAATACTAATCTATACATAAAACAATTACACACACATAGTGATTTCAGAATTGTTCGAGCATATCCCCTTATCAACTTTATCAACTATATTACTGGGCTTACAGTGCCTTTTGCCTTCTTTCTTATATATGTCAATCGTTTGTGAGGTAATTTAAGTAAACAACTTTTAAAAAAATCTACCATCAAGTTGTTTCAATCTTTAAAAAAAGAATTTTATGGGATTAAAAATAATATTTTGTAGTTCATTCTGGGATGCTCCAGTCTCCTAAATAACTATTTTATTGATCATGAAGTTTACTCGTTGTGCTTTAAATTTCATAGGTTTTGACAAATGCTGAATGTCTTGTATTCACCATTATGGTATCACTCAAAATACTTTCACCACAGTAAACAAACCTCTTGTTCTTCCCCAATTCAACCTGAGTTCATGATAACTACTAATTTATTTTCATTTTTTATATTGATTTACTTTATTTTTAAAACATTATTAGGTTCACAGAAAAATTGAGTAGCAAATATAGAAGCTTTTCATATACACCTCACCCCCCAGTCTCATATTATTAACATATTGCATTAATATATTAATATATAATCAAATATTAATGTGATGGTAATATTGCATACTATATTATGAAATATGTTGACTCATTTGTTACATTGATGAATCGGTGTTGATTCATCCTTAACTCTATAGTTTACATTATAGTTCACTCTTTGCATTATACATTCTATCAGTTTTGACAAATGTATGACCTTAATCCACCATTACAGCATCATATAGAATAATTTCTGTGCTCTATAAATTACCTGTTCTCTACGTAGTCATCTCATGCCCTCCCCAGCCCACTGACCACCCTTGATCTTTTTATTGTATCCATAGTTTTTCCTTTCAAGAATGGCATTTAACTGGAATCATAGTATGTTACATTTTCATATTGGCTTCTTTCACTTAGCAGTGTGTGTTAAGTTTCTTGCATGTCTTTTCATGGCTTGATATTCCTTTTTTATTGCTGAGTAATGTTGCGTTATATGGATATATCACAATTTATTTGTTCATTCACCTACTGAAGGACATTATGGTTCCTTCCAAGTTTTAGCAACAATGAATAAATATGCTATAAACATTCATACACAGGCTTTTATGGGAACATAAGTTTTAAAGGCATTTGAGTAAATACCTAGGAACACAATTGCTATATGATATGGTAAGAACATATTTAGTTTTGTGAGAAACTGCCAAACTGTCTTCCAAAGTGGCAGTTCTTTAATGAGAACAACTCTGCCTCACCATTGAAGAGAATAGGTCATAACTAGAAAATTTCTAAGCACGTGAAAAGCAGTACTTGCAGAAGTTAGCTGCATTAATTTTCCTTTATTTTTATCCCTTTTTAAGAAATAGTTTTAAATTAATTTAATAGGTGAAAGTCATTATTTTATCTATTTTTTCATCCTTAGTGCTTAGGACTATCTTCCAAGCAAACTATTTTACATCAAATGTATAAAGATTAAATAACTGATACTGTGGTTTGGATGTTTGTCAACCCCAAAACTCATGTTGAAATTTAATCTCCAATGTGGTAGTTGAGAAGGAGGGCCTTTGAGAGGTGATTGGGTCATGAAATCTCTCCCCTTATGAATAAATTAATGTTTTCATGAATTAGTGAGTTAATGGGTTATTATGGGAATGGGACTGGTGGCTTTATAAGAAGAGAACCCTGAACTCAGTCCTCTCACCATGTGATGCCCTATGCTGACTTTGGACACTGCAGAATCCCCACCAGCAAGAAGGCCCTCGCCAGATGCAGCCCCTCAACCGTGGACTTCTCAGCTTCCAGAACTATATGAAATAAATTTATTTTCTTTATAAATTACTCAGTTTGGGGTATTTTGCTATAAACAACAGAAAACATACTAAGGAAACCTCTTACTGTAGAATTGAAATTGCAGGAATTTTTGGAGAGAGGAAGAAAATGAAAGAAATTTTCTCTGATTAATTGATGAAGACATTATATCTAAGTGAAATAATGTAGGATAAACATAAAACATTACATTATTGAATGCTAGGTTGTTTTATAAAGACTGTAATGTTAGAACTCAGAGCAAAGAGCAGGCAATTGTGTTCCAAGGATAGTGAGATCATGCTTTCTGTGGAAGCTAGAAATCTGGAACCTAAGAAAAGCCTAGGAAGGATTTTAAGAAATGGAATACTAGAAAAGGAAAAGGGCTTAACAGAAGATAAGTTTGAATGTTTTTTTCTTTGTTAACTATTTCTTGAAAAGAAAGAAAAGAAACCATGTAACTTACTATGTAATTCAGAATCAGTCTGACATAAAGTTAGTTTTTAGAAATTTTATTTTAACAACTTAGGAATTGCAGAAAATTTGCAAAAAGTAGTGTAATTTTCACAGATCCTTCGCTTGGTTTTCTTCTAATGTTAACATTTCATAAAATTTCCTCCTTTCCCTCCTCTGTCTTCTTACACACAATGATGCACACAAATGCACAATTTCCTGAACATTTGTGAGTAAATCAGAGATACATTGCCCATTTACTCTCAACTCAAATGCATATTTCCTAGTAACAAGGGCAATACCTTACATAACCCCTGTACAATTATCAAAATTAAGAATTAAAATTATTATATCCTAGAATCTAAAGACCTTATTCAATTTGTCCATTTTTCCCACTGATGTTTAAAGCAATCCAGGATGGTGTGTTGCATTTTCTTATCATGTATCTTACTTATAATTTAAATTGGAAGCATTTCTCATTTTATTTCAGCTGCATTCAGGTATAATTGACAAAAATTGTATACATAAGGTGTCCAACTTGATGGCTTGGTATACATGTGCGTCATTAAACGATGATCACAATCAAGTTTAGTTAACATATTCCTCACCTCACAAAATTATTTTCTTTTTTCTTAATCTTTTATTATCATATTTTTGAAGAGATCATTCATTTTGTAGAATATCTCTCAGATTTTGTTTGTCTGGTGTTTGCTCATGATTAAATTTGTGGTATGTTTTTGGCAGGAATATTACTGGAGTGATGTTATATCTTTGTCAGACAACATACATGGAGTCATACAATATATATTTGCCCAGCAATGGTAAGAATAATAGATTATTACCTACAGAATACAATTAAAGTCTATAAGTACCTGTGACAAAAATGAATACATAATTAGGAATTAAAAATCCTTTTTTAAAACAGAATAAAACTGTTATACATAAATTTAATGATGAAAGTAGAAAATCACCGTTTGGAAACTATCACAGAAGTAAGTTAATTAGGCAAGAATAAATGATAGTGTCTAAAGAGAGTGATTCTAGGAGAAAAAAGATATTTTCATAGTCTCAAAATATCTCCCCATGAAACATTTATTCATTACAAAAGGAAAAATACTAGCTTCACATTATATAAAACTGGAAGATACCATCTAAACCAAGTGATTAAAGTAAACTTTTATTCTTAAATAAAAGTTACTAGTATTTCTGAAGGACATTGTAAATAAGTTCACATTTATCTAAAATTACCTTACTAAAGACAATCTAAAATGGTAGACAACAACTAATATTATAATTTTGATCATGACTAGCAACTATGTAAAAATATAATTTCTTAGCCCAGTTAATTGGCAACTACATTTCTATTTTTGGTATTTCAGGAAAACTTGCAGAATAAGCCTTCAGTCTTCATTTCTACTTTCCAAAATGAATTTTTAAATTCATTTCTCTTCACACTCTGGATATAATCAGAGAAAAATCTCTTCCAGATTTCAAGAAAGTGAAAATACGTCAGAGAAAAAAACACAACTAAGTCCCATTATATATAATTAAGTCAATTCTGCTCAGTTAAACTTTAGTAAAATCACAGCATAGCACTACTTTCCTAGAAAAACGAAGAGGAAAAAGAAGTATTCAATAACACTTAGCAATCTTCCTCAGAAAAGGAAACATATACACTTTAATTGGGATGAGAGAGAAGACAAAAGATTTTGTTGTATCAGTTACTGCTTTAAGGGAAATTATTAGCATATCCAAAAAAAGGAATTCATTACAGTTAACAAAATGAGTTAGAAATCAAATTGTTTTAAGACATGTCATAGGAGAATGAAGATATGCGATAGTCCTGATGCAACTAACTGAGATGAACAATGAAATAGATGTTGATCCCAAAGTGTCTGAATAATTTAGCTCATTTCAATTCCGCATTTATTAAGAAAAATTAAAGGTGAAGACAAGTACTAAAAGAAAGGCAACAAATTAAAAATCAATAGAAATCTTACCAAATTATATAATATTTCACAAAAAGAATGCCATGCCAAAAAAGTCATTGTTTACAGCTAGTCATGACTCATTTTAAAGAAACATATTTATTGAAACCTACTTTAGTTCGATCTTATTAACTAAAATAGGTTTAGTTTCTCACCGCTATGAAGAAATACCCAAGACTGGGTAATTTATACAGGAAAGACGTTGAATTGACTCACAGTTCTGCATGGCTGGGGAGGCCTCAGGAAACTTAGAATCATGGCAAAAGGCACCTCTTCACAGTGTGGCGGCAGAGAGAATGAGTGCTGAGTGAAGGGGGAAGCCCCTTACAAAACCATTAGCTCACAGGATAACTCAATCGCTATCAAGAGAACAGCATGGAGGAAACCACCCCAATGATTCAATTATCTCCACCTGCTCCTACCCTTGACACGTGGGGATTATTACAATTCAAGGTGAGATTTGAGTGGGAACGAAGAGCCAAACCATATCAAAACCCATTACTGTTTTCAATTATTTAGAAAGAATACAGGCATGGCGAGTATAGAAGCTTCATAGCAAACACTGAGCTGCTGAAGAATCTTCCCAAATAACTAAAGCATGTTTCCTTAAAGACCATATCTCTCAATCAAGATAAATTGAGGACAAAATAGTATGGTGATGTTCAACAAGTAGTAATTCCAGTCCCTTGAATTTATTAGCAGAACTGAAAGTTTGTTTTATGAGTCTTCTTTTGTTTCTGTTTTTTGTTTTTGTTTTTGTTTTTGTTTTGAGACGGAATCTTGCTCTGTCTCCCAGGCTGGAGTGCATTGGCGTGATCTCGGCTCACTGCAATCTCCACCTGGTGGATTCAAGCGATTCACCTGCCTCAGCCTCCTGAGTAGCACGCCCCAATCCCGGCTACTTGTTTTTGTGTGTGTGTTTTAGTAGAGACGGGGTTTCATCATGTTGCCCAGGCTGGGTCTCAAACTCCTGAGCTCAGGCAATCCACCCGCCTTGGCCTCCCAAAGTACTAGGATTATAGGCGGGAGCCACCGAGCTTGGCTGAATCTTCTCTTATGAGTCACCAGGATACTGCTGACTATAGAATATACCTAAAAAAGGAAAATGTAAAGAATTAAGGACTAGAGAAATTTACTCAAAGAACTCCTAGTTAGCTTGTCTCTACCTTGTAATTATACAAGTTATTATGCCATTTCATATACCTAAAATTTCTCAAAAATTATATTTTTTGAAGTACTCTATAATTGTCTGTCTTACTCTTCTGTGCAAATTGGCATTTTATAGAAATAGTTTCCTGAATATTATCTAGATTTCAGAAGTTTTCTATAATTGATTATATAGTGCAGTAATGAATAATCGAAACCAATAAACTATCTCTAAAGCTATTTCTATTTTGTCTCTTGGCTTAAAATTTTTTCATTACTCCTAAACATACTTAGATCAGGAATTGCATCTAATTTTAAATGTATTGGTGTAGACAGTGCATTGTTTGGAAATGAATGACTTATTTTCTTGATGCAATATGTGACTACCTTAATAATGAGGCAAATAGGGTAACAAACAAGTGGGATTGTAATGGGGAATGGAGGATCAGAAAATATTACATATTGGAAGAAAGTTTTTTAAATTTTTTTCTGAAAAAAATAGCATATTTTCTATTCCTTGAAAAGAATTGCAATAAGAGAAGGTGTAAGAAACATGGGATATGTTCCAGAAAGGATGACCAAATATGTCATGAAAATGGCAATGTACATAGAAAGTTACTGTTTTATTCTGTAATTACTAAGTAAGAGGACTTTTGTATTTCAAAAAATGAAACAATAAGAAGAAAGGCTAATTATTAAGCAAACTGTAGAATAATAGAATTTTAGTTTGTACAATAACCTGCACATCAGTTTGCCTGTGCAAGAATTACTGAATTTAAATTGTCATTATCGTTAATGTGACATCTTCAGTATTCGTCCCACCTCTCATACAAATTGAAATGCTAAAACGTGACTGTAGATGCAGGTAGTACTTACTTCTTGGCATTCATGCTTTTTTTTTTTTTTTAGAATATGACAAATTAAGTATTACAATTTCCATTGTCTTTAGAGAAAACAATTCAGAACTAAAGAAAAAGAAAAAAAAGGCCTCAAACTGATTAGCTTTGAAAAACATTTACTGCTCCTCATCTTTGTTCTCTTCTTGTTATTACAAAATAAAGCCAAAGTACTCTGATTTTAACGAAAAAGAAAGGCCTCATTTAAAATAGAATCATGCTGCCTAAATTGTGCTCCAAACAAAGATAACAAATTATCTTATTTATATTATCAAGTAGTTAAAATCACACTCCTCAACACATTAGTTTCAAATTTATTCATTTTTAAACCCACTTTATGAAGGTGTGGTTGAGATGCAAAAAAACTGTACATATTTAATATGCACAACTTGATGTGTTAGAAGTAAGTATACCCCCATGAAATCATCAGCATGGTCACAGCCATAAATATATCACTTCCAAAAGTTTACTCCCACTCTTTTTATTTCTATTTATTAATTGATTACTAGTATGAACACTTAGCATAAGATCTACTCACTTAGCTAATTAAGTACTCATGAAAGTATTGTTAAGTATGACACTATGCTGTACAGTAGATCTCCACAATGTATCCATCTCGAGTAACTGAGACTGAATACTTTTAGAACATCCTGACTGTTATTTGGATCCCTATTCTTTTGAGACACCTACTCTATGTCAAATATATCTCCTATCATTTTAAATTCCAAAATGTTTATAGTTCTTAACAAATGTTTATAGTCATTTAAAATAAACACCATAGGAACAATAAACAGTGTAAGTCCAAACAGTCTCTACTTTTAATGCAATGTTGTTTATTTCAAGTTTAGTTAATACATAAACTATTTATGGGCTATAAAATTTTGGCTACATTGCACCAACTTCTTTTAAAAAAAAACTGCATTTGCTGCTCTCATAGGGTTGTGAACACTTATTTCATACAATACTTAGATGAACTTCATCTAGAAAAAAATATGTTGTTTACTCTTTATACCTTAATCTCTCTTCTTCTCTTTTCCCTCTATTCCCATTCTTGTTTGTATCTGTTTCTTCCTTATTTTCCTCTAATTATTACTTATTTCTTTTTTCTTCCTCTATGTTGCTTGTGAAGCTCTTTGTATTAGCCCTTCTTTCTTATCCATTAATGAAGCAATAGAATCTTTCTAGGTAAATCTTGGATAAGCACAAATTTTCTTCCTAGAGACCATGTTCACATTATAGAAAGGCCAAACAATACACATGTGAGTGTGGCCTGGGAAAGACTTGTCATCCCATCACCGGCAAAGGACTAGTTCGATTTATTTTAACCCATGGCAGACAGATTTACTTATTTATTTATTTATTTTATTTATTTATTCATTTATTTATTGAGTCATAGTCTCCCCTTGTTGCTCAGGCTGGAGTTCGATGGCACGATCTCAGCTCACTGCAAACTCCGCCTCCTGGGTTCAAGCGATTCTTCTGCCTTAGCCTCTCAAGTAGCTGGGATTACAGGTGCACGCCACCCCGCCTGGCCAATTTTTTGTATCTTTGGTAGAGACTGTGTTTCACTATGTTGGCCAGGCTGGTCTCGAACTCCTGACATCGTGATCTGCCCGCCTCAGCCTCTCAAAGTGCTGGGATTACAGGCGTGAGCCACCACACCCAGCCAGATTTTTTAAAATAAAACACAATTACAAAAATTACTAAAATACAAAGTGAAAAAAAGAATTATAAAATATAAGTTTCACTATGAAGGTGGAAACCATTATTCTCAGCAAACTAACACAGGAACAGAAAACCAAACACCACATGTTCTCACTCATAAGTGGGAGTTGAGCAATGAGAACACATGGACACAGGGAGGGGAACATCACACACCAGGGCCTGTCAGGGATGGGGGTAAGGGGAGGGATAGCATTAGGACAAATATCTAATGCATGCAGGCTTAAAACCTAGATGATGGGATGATGGGTACAGCAAACCACCGTGGCACATGTATACCTATGTAACAAACCTGCACATTCTGCGCATGTATCCCAGAACTTAAAGTATAGTAATAAAAAAAAACCACAGTAGATTCAATAAACACAAATTATTCTCCAAAACTGTGATGTCACTACACCCTTATTCTCACTTTCTATACCTACCATGTTTTACTAAGAGCTCGCACGGGTCCTGGTAACACAAACAGTGGTTTCAGCAACACTGAGCTGGGGACATGTCAGAGGACTGCCTGGTGGTCTCATTTAGGCTCAGTGAGAAGATGGGAACTAAAGATGTCCTTGTTTCCTTAGCTACCAAAGCGTATTAGGGATGATTTATTCCAAAACTCAGGGAGTAAAAGCATACAAGTGTATTACCCACTTCTAGGCAATAGAATGAAGTTCCTTTTCTAAGACTAAAAGAAAACATTTAATAAAATATTAAAACTGTCATTTAAGATGATTTATCTTTTAGTAAAATATCTGTGTAAATTAACCGATAAATCACATCCCAATAATTTGAGCTTGTACGTTAAAGTTTGGTTATCCTGTAAACAGGTTACTAAGTAGCTAGTGTGCTGAAAAACACACTAAAAGAAGAGTTGTTGTTGCTTTTAAGTCAGTGGATAACTATACAGCTTTAAGGTTATAATACAAGAGTAAATTTTAAAAGCAAAAACAAAAATATTGACACTTTCAGTGGTGGCAACAAGACAATTTGAATAGCAAGCATCTATTTAAAAGCCACCAAACCAATTATTCTCGATATTGGCAACTAATCAGCATAACCTAGAGAGCATTCTGTTTCTGCTACCTTACTACCGAAGAAACTGATTTAGTTGCTTTGGTCCAAGGTCTCAGTATTTTTGAAGCTTTCTGAGTGATTTTAGTCTGCTGTCTGGTTTCAAAACTATCACACTAGAGTGTAAGTTCTTCCAACATTTTTCATTCATCTCACCATCCCTGTGTCATATAGTATATATATTATATAATCTTACATATATATGTGTGTGTATAGACACACACACAGACATACACACACATATGAACCCCAGTTATATAACAGCTATTCAATAAGTGATTATTGATTCGATGACTGACTCACTTTTCTTATCCTACTTTAAAAATCCCTAAACTTTCAATAATTGATAATTACAAAACTATGTCCTTATACTAGAAAAAAAAGAACTTAGCTCCTTAGAATTTACAAGTCTACATAGACATTGATTTTATTTATTTGATTTGAAATTCAATTCTAATAGCAGGATTAATAGTGCTTCTTCATTTAAAAATATTATGTGTAATAATTTTGTATTATATGATTTGCTCCTTAATTAAATACCCTTTTTGTGTATAGGGTAGTCATATAAAATATATAGGCTAAATATGAC
Organism: Homo sapiens; assembly: GCF_000001405.40. Taxonomy (NCBI): domain Eukaryota; kingdom Metazoa; phylum Chordata; class Mammalia; order Primates; family Hominidae; genus Homo; species Homo sapiens. The sequence goes on along the minus strand of NC_000007.14, from coordinate 125,476,425 downwards.
AAAACGTTGTGCAAAAACTAAAGGAGAAGTGGGAGTAAAAGGAAAACAAAAACCTCCTTCATGTTTCAAAATTAGTAATGATACAATTATTCTCTGGTGCCACTTAGTAGATTTTTTTATTCATTTTATTTATTCACGTGCATTTTCCAACCATTAGAATGTCTTAGCAAGATAATTTCCAGCCAAGTACAGAGATGGAGGACAACATACCATAGGATAATTCGAGAACTTTTAATTTGAGAGCTCAATGGAGTAGGAAAAAAAATCGCAAGGCAAGGAGAAAAAAATTGCACTAGATAAACCTTTGCTTTGTCTACTGAGAGCTGACAAAGAAGTATGTGACCACATTTTGGGCACAGTAAGTATACTTTGTATGGTAGAAGTGTGTTAGAGAAGATGGCAAGTGTTTCCATCACAAAGTCTGCTAAATAGTCAGCACATCTTAGAACAAATTGTTTGGTTCTTTACCAATACTAAAATAGTAATGATGGATGCAATGATGCATCCCCACAGAATCATTAATGTGTATTTCTTTTGTCCATGAATATAAGTAGTTGGATATACATAACTTGATACTCTTAAAGTTTCTAGATTTTATATAATATGTTGTAATCCTCCCTGGTTTGCTACCTTAACACTGGATTGGTGGTAATTACATTGCCATTTGAACGTTTTGAACTCCTGCTAATTACAGTATTTGAAAAAATAGACTATTGGCATATTCCCATCTGTTTCCAACCCCTATTCTCAACTATCCTTTTCAGCAAAATTTCCATTTCACTTTGCTAATTCTCTGTACTCAGAAACCTGATGATACATTACTATATCTTAGTCACCACCTTTAGCATGTGAATCTTATTTAATATCTAGATGGTTTAGAGGCTTATCTGATTATTTGAAACTGTTTAAGAAAGAAAGAAAATCAGGGATTCTCATTTAAATTCCTCATACTTTTAGCTTACTATTTCAAAACCATTTTAAAATATATTCGAAACTTCATCTTTAGGTTGGGAATGTGAAAAAGATACCATCCACTTAAAATGGATTTCACGACTTGTTTCTGTTGTTACGGATGTGAAAGAAAAAACAAAACAATACTCCGATTTGTAACATCTGCCAGCTGTTGTGCTGTATTTCCATCATGACCTATTATAAACTACCAAACTGATGTTGACTGTTCTGCAAGTTCTGAAAATTTGGAAATTGAATCTTATAAATCACTACAAGTTAGCTCCAGCACAACACTCTGTAACCGCTGTTTATCCCTTTACACACACTTTTTTTAATGTCTCTTACATTCAGATATCTAATTAATGGAAATTGATCTGCTTGGCAAAATATGGCTACTCTCTGCAGGATAGCAGGGCATTTGACATTCAGAGAAGATCACTTTTTTTTTTTTGGATACAGAGTCTCGTTCAGTCACGCAGGCTGGAGTGCAATGGCGTGATATCGGCTCACTGCAATCTCTGCCTCCTGGGTTCAAGCGATTCTTCCACCTCAGCCTCCCGAGTAGCTAGAATTACAGGCACCCGCCATCACGCCTGGCTAATTTTTGTATTTTTGTAGAGACGAGGTTTTCACATGTTGGCTAGGCTGGTCTCAAACTCCTGACCTCCGGTGATCCGCCTGCTTTGGCCTCCCAAAGTGCTGGGATTACATAGGTGAGACATCTTGCCAGGTTACAAATTTCATTTCATACATGAAATTCATGTGTTTCATGTTATAATACCAGTTTTGGTAAGAATTGTAACATGAAACACATGCATTTCATATATAAAATGAAATTTGTAATTATCACTAAAAAATTACAGCTCACATGCGACACTGTTTTCTTGTTTTAAGTTTTAATCTTCAATAAAAATGCCAAATTGCTGCATAGAATAATAGAATATAATTACCTGAGTTTGTTTTATCTTTATAGTCACTGTGCCATCATAGTTTTGTTTCTAATTTATTGTTTAAATGTAGAAATATGTTCCACATAGGCTGGAAATATGAACCTCTTGAAGAAAGCTCATAGAATTCTAAAATCATCAGGCTCTTCCTACTCAAAAAAACAAACACAGGTATCCGAGGATGAAGAGACAGAGGCTGACTGAATAATTAGAAGTTCCATTAATTAAGCTCCATGCAGAAGGCAACGATCATAAAGGTAATAAAACAGTGCTAATACACACTATTAAAATAAAACAGATTTTGAGAAAATGCACTTCATTTGAATTTCCCTAACCTACCTCACATATTCTTGGAAAATGAGATGTTGTATTTTATTTACCTACTGTGCCATTTACCAATTTATTGCCTCGGAACTCAAAATCCACCTTTCCTTGACTGCTCTGTGGCAGTGGAGCTGGAGCCTGCAAGTGTTTTCCCCTTGTCATATAGCCTGGCACTGGAGAGACACTGGAGGAAGAAAGGGTTTCTCTTCCTCAACCCAGTGCAGCCCTTTCATCAGGTGTCTGCAAATTGGGCTTTTTTTTTTTTTCAGCAGGTACTGGACAGCTTCTGGCATATATTTCTTGTGTGGCTGTGGCTTCACAGCAGAGTGGGAGTCGGGCAGGGCACTCATGAACAGTTTCCCATTTTATACACACTCCCATCGGATGGGCTTGTAGTGGAGTGCTGCCAGTGAGGCACCTGCCTTTGGATGGCTCCTCCAGCATCCACACTGGCAGCTTTGCAGTGAGCTGCAGGTGCACACTCCACTGAGGAGAGCTTCTTCACAGCATTGATTTTCAGGGAGTCTTGAAAGCATCCCAGTGAACCTCTTCATATTCTACTGAACTGCAGCAGTACCCACTTCAATACCATCTGAATATCAGCCCTGATAAGAGCTGGACTTTGCTTGGGTGTTTTATCTCTATCCTAGAGGTGGTAATCTCTCTTTATTCTTGTGTCTCTTTCACTCTTATTAGACAATCCCCATTACTCCAATCTTCTGTTAATAGTATCTTTTATTAAATTTTGCCTGTGTAAATAACTGTAGTTTCTGTATCCTGATAGGACCTTGATTGATATACCTATATTCAGAAACCCCAAAATAGCTCACTCTTTACTATTTGTCTACACTTAGCACATGAGTCCTATTTAATGACATTATCAAGCTATTCAAAGCCATTTATCTAAACACAGGTCCCTCATCTAAACCACTAAAACTTCAACTTGGAACTTCAAATTCCTCTATTCAAAATTTCACAATTTAGACAGCAAAGATTTTTGAGAGAGTATTTTATCACTGCTATTATTCAGACTTCTCAGTATATGGTAGCAATAAAAAGCACCCTTTTCTGAGTTTTTTTATTCTTAACTTTAAACAAAATTGTAAAAAGGCACCTCTTTTTTCAGGCATAATTGCTATGCAAAAATCCACATATATTTAATATACAGAATTCAATAAGTTTGGGTATGTGCCTGAACCATGAAACCATCACCACAATCAAGGTAATAGACATAGCTATCAATTCCAAGTTTCCTTGTGTCCCTTTGCTTTCTATTGTTGTTTTGTGGTAAGAACATTTAACATAGGCTCTGCCCTCTTAACAAAGTTGTATGTGCTTATTATTGACTATAGGCACTATTCTATACAGCACAGCTCTGTAAGTAATTCATCTTGCATAATTGTAACTTTAAAATAATTGAATAAAAATTTGCCATTTCCCCACCTCATTTTCCCTTTCCTCTAGCAGGCAGCCCCTGCTAACCACCATTCTATTCTCTGCTTCTGTGAATTTGACAATTGTAGGTAATTCACATAAGTAGAATAATGCAGCATTTGTCCTATGATTGGCTTATTTCACTTAGCATAATGCTTCTTCAGGTTCATCTGTGTTGTCACAAATAGCAGGGTTTTTTTCTTTTTAAAGACTGAACAATTTTTAATTGTATGTATGTACCATATTTTTTTTTTTGTTTAAAAATGAGGTCTTACTCTGTCACCCATGCTGGAATGCAGTGGGGTGATCCTAGTGCACTGCAGCCTTGAACTCCTGGGTTTATGTGATCCTCTCACGTCAGCCTCCCAGTAGCTGGGACTGCAAGGGTATGCCACCACATCTGGCTACGTTGTCCAGGCTGATCTCAAACTCCTGACCTCAAGTGATCCTGCAGCCTCAGTCTCCAAAATATTAGGATTACAGGTGTGAGCCACTGTGTTCAGTTTTCCACATTTTAAAAATCAATTCATCAATTAATGGACATTTGCGTTTTTTCCATATCTTACTATTGTGAATAATGCTGCAGTGAACATTGGAATGCATATAACTCTTCAATATTTCAATTATTTTGGGTAGATACTCAGAAGTGAGATTGCTGCATAATATGGTAGCCTGGTACTAGATAGCCTGGTACAGGCTAAATATAATGATATCAAAAGCTGAATGCAGAGGTAGGTCTATGTTTTGTGTGAACTGAGACATATACAATTCTATTTTAATTTTTTGAAGAGCCTTCATATTGGTTTCCACAGTGGCTGTACCACTTTACATTCCACCAACAATGCCAGCTGGCTTCAAATTTCTCCATTTCCTCACTATCATCTGTGACTTTTACAAATATGATCTTATCCTGACAGGTATGACATGCTATCTCACTGTGGCTTTGAGTTGTATTTTTTTCTGATCATTAATGATATTTAACATTTCTTCATATATCTGTTGAATATTTATATATCTTCTTTAGAGAAATGTCTATTGATGTCCTTTGCCTGCTTTTTAATCAGGTTATTTTTTGTGGGTGCTACTGAGTTGCAGAAGTACCTTATATATTTTGGATATTAACCCCTTACGAGAGACATGGCTTGCAAATATTTTCTCCTAGTCTGTAGATTGCCTTTTCATTATGTTAATGATTTCCTTGCAGAAGTCTCTTAATTTGATGTTGTCCCACTTATCTATTTTTGCTTTTATTGCTTGTGCTTTTATCATGTCTAAGAAAAATTATTGTCAACAAGGTTTAACCCCTATGTTTACTTCTAGGAGTTTTACAGTTTCAGATCCACTGAGTTGATTTTTGTGATTGGTATATGGGTCCAATTTCATTTTTCTTTCATGTGTGATAGGGAAAAAGGGAGAAGAAAAATGTAATTCCAGCTTAATTCACCAATATGAGAGTAGAAAGAGACAAGATCCATAAAGGTGATGAGGACTAAATAACGCGATGTCTTTTAAACTAGAATCTAAACTATATTCATGAGTTTAGATTCTACTCTACTGATTGATAGAAAGTGATTGAGGAGACTTTTAAAAAAAGAATGACCTGGTCTAATTTATCTTTTTAAAAAATTACCCTGGAGGCTGTACCTATTTACTTCATCAGAGGAAAACCACCTATATTTTTCTATCCCTAATATTATAGCTCCATCCCAGACCTTTGTAGTGAAATTCTTTTTGGCATATCCCGTTGCCTCCTTGACTTCCCCCTTTGGAACGTTAATAGACAACCTAAACTTATCTTGTCCACAACTGAGTCCCTTATAGGCCTCCAGAGCAGTTTCTTATGGAGTAATTTTAGTTCACTTACCTTCCTCAACCAGGCAAGAGTAAAGATAATTGCTTTGGCTGTGAGAAGAGTAGAGGATTGGTAGAACCCCAGAGAAGTTAGAAATATAAACTGGGCCTCTGAACATTTACAAGCCCAAATCAAATCACAGAGTAGATTTAAGAGCCATAAGTACCTAAAAATCTTCTGTGGGACCCTCATCCTGGGCCACAGAGATCCTCCACATATAATTTCCTGAAGAAACCTAGCATCATACAGTGGACAAAACCTCGTTGTAAACAAGAGTAGAGTAAGAATAAGCAGAAGTAACAAATTAATAAATAGAGCACTAGAACTTTAAACAGTGGAATTATCAAATAATACAACAAAATAACAATGCCTGATATATTTTAAGAAATAAAAATCAAGATTGACAATGTCGGCAGGGAGCAAGAAACATAATAAATGACATAACATACTTAAAAAAAGGAACCAAATTTCATTTCTAGAATGGAAAACACAATTGAAATCAAAACTCAAGGATAGATTTAGGAGATTGAATAGAGTTTAATAGAAAATTATTGAACTTTAACAAAAGTTTAAAGTAATTATCAAAAAAGAGACAGAAATGAAGATTAGAATGATGAGAGTGATATGAAGAATAGTGTGATATGTAAGATCAGAGTTCTAGAAGGAGAAGAGAAATGAATGTAACAGAGAAATTACTTGAAATTGTGACGGCTCAAACATTTTCAATAGTAATAACTTATATTAACTGATTTAATGAATATCTAGAAGGTTTTTTAAAAATTCTTTGACTGCACACCCAATTTTTCAATAGCTACAATGGAAAGCAAAAATAAGCCATAATTCGATGTAATGAAAGAAAGTAACTGCCAACCTTGAACTGTGTGTCCAGTACATTGCTTTTGGTTTTATCTTTTATTTTTTAAGTAGAGGGTAAAACAAACTAATTTTGACAAAAAAAAAGTAGCTAAGTGTGCTATTAGCAGAAACCCATCAAAGAAAATTCTAAAAACATTCTTCTCAGATGAGAAAAGTATTTTAAAATAGAAAGTCTGAGATGTGAGAAGGCATGAAATTGTTCAACTGGTTTTAAAATATAAACAAGTTGCATAAAAATAAGCAAATTAGATATTATCTAACTCTTAATAAATGGTATTCTAATTGTTTATTATTATAGTTAATAAATTCATAAAAGATGACATTAAAATGCATAACAAAATAACAAAATGAGAGAAAAGTGGATAGAATTAAAGTGCACTGTTTTTGTTTTTATTTTCTTAAAAGGTAGTAACGGTATTAATTCAACTTGCACACTAGTATTTATGAATATTATAATTTCTAACACAATGCATGACAAAATAGCAGACAAGATAGAAGATAAAAATGAAATATGGGCTAACAATCATACATTCCAAAAATACAAATGGATAGAAAAACAGGATAGGGAGCAAAAAAGATTTTGTATCACTTCTAAACAACAAATGTTCCACAGATTATTAGAATAAATATGGAATACCTAATTAATTGCTTCTTTACAAGAAATATTTCATAAATATAATGATATCAAAAGCTGAATGCAGAGGTAGGTCTATGTTTTGTGTGAACTGAGACATATACAATTTAGGGCACCTCCAAAAATATTAAAAATTATCAATGTAATGTTAGCAGCAAAAATGAATACTTAGAATGAGAAATTGTAGATTTCAAACATGCATAAATACCACATAAATCATAAATCAAGTAAAATAGTATATCTTTTTCTTTATTATTGATGGCAGTCTCAGGCCATCTGGTCCCGGCGGGCCATCTGGGGCCGCCATTGCCATCACACCAGCCGCTGCAGGGAGAATACAAGGAAGAGGCGGACACCCCCCCCGCCCTGCAGCCCACCACCCTGAAGGCCGCAGCAAAGTGGCCCTGCCAGGTCGCGGCCGGCGAGGGGTAGCTCTGGGCTGACCCTGAACGCCAGGGCCACAGAGGGATCTTATGGCAACGTTGCCCCCGCCCCAGATGCCGGCCCAGGCCTAGCGAAGACCTGGAACCTCTGCCCCAGGTTGCTAGGGTATGTGGCTGGATGCTGTGTTCCACTGAGCTAGTGACAGCCAGGGACAGGAGGGACACCTGTCCCTTCCAAGGTGTAGGGGCGGGAGCTCCCCAGGTGCAACTGCAGCCACTCAAGCTGCAACTGCAACCAGGCACCCCTGTGCTCTTGGGAGCATGGAGTAGGCAGGAGCAAAGAGTGGCTGCTGATCTGGGCATCCCACTTCACGGAGCAGTCAGGAGCCCTGTTCCAGCCACCCAAACCTGGGCTGCAGACACAGGCATCCACGCACTTTTGGGGGTCCTGGGAAGGCGCCCCTTGCCCTTGCAGGGTGGGAGGGCAAGGGGTCCTGCTTCCGCTGCCTGACCTCTCCCTGCTCTTGGCTCCCGCTCTGATCTCTGAGCGGGGTTGGGGCTGAGCCAGGGTGCCGTCACAACCCAGCCTGGTGTGTGCATGCTGGGAGCAGTGCAGACATGCCAGCCCCCTGCTACCTAGGCTCCCTCCGGAGTTTGGGTATGAGGAGGGCGGGGAGGGGAATCTGTCGGGGAACTGGGGGAAGCTGGGTGCTGGCTTGCATGTGCTCTTTGGTATCAGCAGCCTGCATGCCATGGGCAGCCGCGGGAGGCAGACAGGTTCCTGGGCTGAAGTGGGTGGGTCCTGGTAAGGACCCATCTTCAGACTGGGCTGCTGGTCCCGCAGAAGGAATGGGGACTTGTGGTGTCTCTTCCAGGGCCCACGGCTGCCCATGGACCAATCAACAAATACTTCCTGCCCTCTGATGTCCATAAAAATCCCAGGCTCAGCCAGAGCAGGGCAGAGGACGGAGAGAATGGAGAGATGATAGGAAGGCCGGCTGCAGAGAGAAACTTCCCTCTCTGCTGAGAGCTTCAGAAACCTACAGGGGAGTTGGGAGGACCAGTAGCGGAGAGGAGCTGCTCTCTCCAGGGCCTGCTCTCTGCTAAGAGCTTAACACTTGATGGGACAACCTGCCTACCGAGAGGAGCTACCCAGTGCTGGTCTCCTCTGAGCTGTTCTAACACTTAATAAAGCTCATCTTCCTCTTGCTCACACTTCACTTGTTTGTATACCTCATTCTTCCCGGATGCAGGACAAAAACTCAGGCAAAGGTGCCATGAGCCACAGAAGTTTCCAGCCAGAAAATGGACATCCCAAAGATCCCATAACACTATTGCATATTGTGACTGATTTTCATTATATTACAGATTATAGAAAAACAATTTTATGCATTATACTCTATCATGGTGGTTGTGATTATTAACAGTTTCAAAAATAAAATATTTCAGTTTCACAAGTGTTAATAGTTAATGCCACATCTGCCTTTTCTAGCATAGGTGTGCTTCTTTCCAGGGGCTAAGCTCTTTGAGATTTTCAGCCGTTTGATAATATCCTGGTCTTCTTTCTCTCTCTAACCTCACTTAGCCAATTCTTAGGGAGAAAAGTTGTTTTAAAACCTAGGTTTTACTGGTTCCCCAGAAGCGACTCACCAGAGTCTCATTCAGATCTTTCTCACTGTAGTCAAACTTAGGGTCCCAAGGTTCAATAAGGCCCACCAAGGGCAGGTTGTCACGGGGCACCCAGACAATAGGTGCCTGTCAGTAGTGGCCCTCAGCTAGCTGGGAACCCCAATATCATCATCATAGTGTGAAGGATGACCCCCAGGCAGGGCCAGTACTCCATACTTCTGGCAGAAGGTAGAGAATAAAGATTCCTCTCTCCTGTCTCTGCAGGTATCATAGAAGCTAGGATTCCCCATGGTAAATCCATATCGAATTGAAAGTCAAATGAGAAAGAAAGATATCCTATTAATACATTAAGTTATCTCATTAACAATCCCAAAACTTTGATATTAATAGCAGAAAAAAAAAACAGCTTTCTTTTGATTAGTATCACTCGGTATTCCATAAATATGTACAATTATGTGTCAACTCAAAATAAAATAAAATAATTAATTTTAAAAATGTAAAACTTTAAGTGTAGTTAAAACATTTTGTAGCTACTGCATATATATGTATATGTATGTAGTAGCTACAAAAGTTCAAACAAAGCAAACTTACAGTCAGAAACGATTTCTAAAGAAAAAGAATTACTTGATAATAGATTAAGATTTATTTATTCAGTAAGCGATAACAATTTTGAATTTTTATGCCTAATGGTATTAACTTAAAATAATAATACAAGCAATATTGAGAAATCTATAAGAAATAACAGACAAATCTATAATCATAGAAGGAAATTTCAGCCACTGCTAGATAAGGTAGACACAAAAGTCAGTAAGGTTGCAAAAGGTGAGCAGAATGATTAAAAATTTAACAAGTTGGCAGGGCACAGTGGCTCATGCATGTAATCCCAGCACTTTAGGAGGCCGAGGCAGGCTGATCACGAGGTCAGGAGTTCAAGACCAGCCTGGCCAACATGGTAAAACCCCATCTCTACTAAAAATACAAAAATTATCCGGGTGTAGTGGTGCATGCCTGTAATCCCAGCTACTCGGGAGGCTGAGGCAGGAGAATTGCTTGAATCCAGGAGGGAGAGATTGTGGTGAGCCAAGATTGCCTCACTGCACTCCAGCCTGGGCAACAGAGAAAGGCCCTGTCAAAAAAAAAAAAAAATTAACAAGCTGCAGAATACACATTTTTTCCTATTACACATGTAACATTCAAAAAGTGACCCACATACTAGATCATAAATAAAAATTCTACCTAATGCATGATTAAAATTTGCAACAATGTTGTGGAAGTATATTTGCTTGGTTTCCTTCCAATCTCTCCAACACACACACACACATACACACACACACACTCACACACACACAGATAATGTGGTTCTAAAGTTGGTGGTGTCTTTGAAAGTATCCATTTCTCATCCTTTTACAATTCAAAACAGTTCCGTTATTTGTTGGTAGAGCTACTCTACTATAGAATAATTACTGTAAGAAAAATAAAATCATGTATGTTAATGCTAAGACTTAAGATAGGAATGGTAACAGACATCACAGAGGCCTAGAAGTCCGTTATTATTCACTTCAGCTGTTCAGAACCCAGCTGTGATCTTGTTTATTCTCTGAGACCAATGCCCCAGGCATTTATAGCATCTCTGAAAACCTCCCAACAACCACACTTCAAATCTACTGTTGCCTGAAACTGCCAACTGTTTCGTTTCAAAGATTCTAGTGATTTCAAAATTGCCTCCATTAGAAAGGGAGTAATTGGTAAAATTCCCTAAGGGTAGTAAAAAAAAAAAAAAACTGTCACTGGTAATAGCAGAAAATTTCACAAAAATTGCCAATAAATTTTCTGATTGATGGAACGGAGATACAACTGAAGTTTAATATCTAAGAATCCTGATAAATGGATGAAAAAAAAACTGATACACAAGCAACTACATATGTACACACATCAAAGAAAAAATTTATTTGAAAGCAATTTCTCAGCTTTCTATGTTATATGTCACATGTTAGAAATTGAATTCATGATGTCAACACCTATGTGGGAACAGTTATTGTTTTCCAGTTTATTTTTGTTACCTATCATTAAACAAGACTCTTCCAAAAATTGATACATATACCTTCAACATTATAGAAAGAAAGGAGTGTTCAAGAAATCAGGGCCAAGAATATGGGTATTATCAAATGTAGAGAATGCCTCCACAAATGATACCTCAAAAAATAACTGAATATACATTGTAAATAACGCAACAACTTGTAGTTTTTATAAAGCACATGTGTAAAAACACCATACACAATGAAAACATTATCTAGAGCAAAAGAAACACTAAATTTTGTATTTAGTATTGTTTCAAATACCTAGTAACACACTGGTAGATCCCTTTTAAGATCTGTGATACAATATTATTCTTACTTGTAATTTTAATTGCCTTGCCTTGTTTTATATCTTGTGATTTTTAAAAGCATTTATACAACAGTATTAGGATAGTATATTAACATCTAATTTTATATTGTAAGCATAACCAAAGAGTAAATAAATAAGTTTTTCTGCCAAGATGTTATAAATAATACTCACATTAGCAGAGTAAAGTAACACATATTTGTTTCTGACATATGGTAGGCTTTCAAATAATATATTTAAACTAAATTTTATTTTCTGTAATAAAAGTAAAACTCATAATGCTTGGAAGAGTAGCACAGTTATACTTTTTCCCCCAAAGATTTGCTCATTACCCTCCTAAAACCACTTCTTGATATCCCCCTTGTTTGGGAGTTTTGTTGTTCAATAACACAAATTGCCTCACTCTGAAGCCTAGTCCTACTAAGAAGCAAATCATGAAGTGACAGTGTCACTCGTGAAGTTGACATTTTTGATGCAGCTGCCAGTATTTTCTAAAGAAAAGTAATTCTGAAACCTTTTTGTCTATGGACAACCTTTCCTTAGGTAAAAGCAATAGAATAGTCCCTTTAGAATTCCACTATTACATTTTTTTATACAAGGCAGCATCACATTCATTCTTTATTTAAATTATTTACTCATCTTTATTTTAATTAATTTACTCACTGTCTTTTTCCATTCCTTTTTCTTGTGACAGTTCATCAAGACAAACATATTTAGGGCATTCCACTCCATCAGCCTTCCACTATACAGTGGGCTGACTTGTCACTTCTCAGATGCTTGGGTACCAGGCAGGGAACCAAAAAGGCTCAATGACTATCAAGCACTAAGATTGTGTTAATGTCCTGAATATTTCTTAGAAGTATTGTCGCCTTGAATGTGTACATTACAACAGAAAGTAAGACCTAGACTGGCAAATATTACTTTTTTTCAAAATATACATTCTAATTGGATTAATACTGAGAGTGTTCTAGAGCTGTACAAAATGTGACTAATAATAGTATGTAAAAATGAGAATGAACAAATATTAGCCATATTTGAATAATTTAGATTAATCTAACTGTAATGTTTGAATAAAAAAGCATTTTAAGAGATAATGCTGTATATATGCATTTATGGAAAAGTAAAGCAAACAAACAAATGAAAACAAAAAACTAACATGATCTTCAGTGTTAAAAATGAGGAAACTGCCAAGGGAGGGGGTAAAACGGTAACGACTAAGAGAATGCATAAGGGAGTCTTCTAGGAAGCAGGTCATATTCTATTTCTTGATCTGGGTGCTGATTATATCATTGTGTTTTCTTTGTGAAAATGTCATTTAACCCATTGTAAAAGAATATAAGTCTCTGCTTATAACACAGAAAGCCTTCCAGACAAAGTTTCTTGGAAAGAAAATATTCAGACACAGTAAACATTAGATGGCAAATTTGAAAAGATTAATAAAAATGATGTAAAAATCTCTAAGTTTTTTTTAAATACGAATTAGCACTAGCAGTGAAAAAAAGCATATCACATATACCTTATATGGATTGAAAAATGACAAAAAATTTAACATATATAATTTTAACATTCTAATGAAATTATTAGCTTCTTTGTAAAACACTAAAACTTAAAGAAAAAATATAGAAAAATCTGAATAGTATCTATAAAATAAATCTGTGATTAAAATTTCACAAAGAATTACAGTGTTTCTTTTGGCATTTATATTAACTAGAATGAGGCCAAAGGAAGGATTTAAAATGTTGGCATTACTTGACATGTTGTTCTGAGACGTGTATTTGCAAAAACTGAAAAAATTATGAAGAACTTTGCCCTTTAATGTATGGTAATAGTATTTCACTACTATGTTTGCATTTAAAAAGTTACAGAGAGCTTATAGTCAAATTGGCTTTAAACATATGAACTACTAATTTTGAGACAAAAATAGGTTTGCTAGAGAAAAAATGAGTTACAAAAGTGGAAGAGGGAATAAGAAGGACCTTAAAAAGACAGTGACATAATAGAGAGATTTGAAAGACTTGACAGGTAGATAAGTAGAATTCAAAGAAATATAGGAAAAAGAAAGAAAGGAAGGAAAGAAAGAAAGAAAAAGAAAGAAAGGAAAGAAAAAAAGAAAAAAAAGAAAGAAAGCAAGAAAGAAAGAAAAAGAAAGAAAGAAAGAAAAAGAAGGAAGAAAGGAAGGAAGAAAAAAAATAAATGAAAAGAAAGTAAAGGAAGAGAAAAGAAAGCAAAGGAAAAGAAAAGAGGAGGGGGGAGGGAGGGAAGGAGAGGGAGGGAAAAAAGAAAAGATAGAAGGGAAAAGAGGAGAAAGCCAGCGAGAGCGTAGAAATAGAGAAATATAATGGAATTAAGGTATACATTTAGAGAAGTAAATATGGTAAATTGCTATGAAAACAACACTAGACTAGAATAAAAAATAAAAAGCCATGTTGGATGGAGGAAAACAGGAAGCTTCAAATGCCAAAAACTTGGCATGTTGTTCTGGGTTGTGATTATGGAGATGTGTGTTTGCAAAAAAATTAAAAACTTACAAAATGCTTTGCACTTTAATGTATGGTAACAGTATTTCACTACTATGTTTGCATTTAAAAAGTTACAAAGAGCTTATAGTATTTCACTAATATGTTTTCATTTAAAAAGTTACAGAGAGCTTGTAGTCAAATTGGCTTTAAATATGTGAACCACTAATTTTGAGACAAAAATAGGAGCTTCTAGCTCCCTGTTTGTTTTGTTTTGTTGTTATTATTATTATTGCTATTCTTTCACTATTGCTTATTCAAAATAAAGTTAATGAAAGTATAGGTGACAATGATACAGAAAACAACACCATAGAGTCTGCATACACATACAAGGGAATATGAGAGGATTCTACTCAATGATCCAGATGGAACGATTGACAGGAAATGACAAAGACTCTCAGAAAGCATACTAAGCTCCCAAATGGGGAAATGAAAATGTATTAGATTTATAATGCTTGGTAATACAATCTTATTTCTAGGAATTATTTCTTCAAAACTATAAACATGATGTAAACATTTAGTATTACTTTCAAATGGCATTTATTTAAAGAAAGACAGTTTATGTTTTTAAACTTAGTTTCCAAGTTTCAGAGAGTATCTAGAGAAACATTCAGTATGCAATTACGCATTTCAGAAAGCTAAATTTATTTTTGCTGGTTACTGCAATGGGTTTATTAAATATATATAGTTTTACAACATTTATTTTTTATGAAAGATATCATTTTGCAAAAGTTCTCAAATTCCTAAGAGCCAAATACTTAATTTGGGCTATTATTTAATTCTTGTATAAAAATGGTACATTCTGGGGTTGTTATAAATGCTGTGGCTCATACTTAAGAACACAAACCTGGAAAACTTAAGCAAAGAAAAGTAATTGCATTTCCTCCGTAGTCATTGATATTGGAATGACTATTTCTTGCCAAAATCTCTCAGTTTCTTTAGTTGTCCTAATGGTTTTTATTCAGCAGTTGAATAGTTAGGTTGTTAACAGGAAAAGTATTAACAGAGGCTTTACATCTGAAAAGAAATAAGAGTAAATGACTAAGTTACACCAATTACAACTAATTCTAGATTTACAATAGAAAAATATATAATACAGACCACATTTTTATCAGTAATGGAAAGAAATAGTTTGTGTATTTAGCTACACTTTTTCCTACTATAAAAAATGTCAGAAAAAGAATTTCTAATGTTTTCTATTTAACATAATAGGAATGCATTTAACATCAATTTTCTGTTCCTTACTGTAGGTGTCATTTTAACAGTGTAAGACATTACCTCTTACAGAAAAAGGTAGGTAATGATTTACTCTTTGCAGAAAGCCAGAAGATTTTTTTTAAAGATACATTACTGCCAAAATGATATAGTCTTAGTGGTGGCAACATGTGTTTAGTCCTTCTCTGTTAGGAAATAGAACTTTCCAGTGCCATTTACTCAAGCCTGTGTTACTAAACATTGCTTTAAACCTCTCCAATCCTTCTTTGAAGAACTGAGAGCCCTGAACATAAAAGTACCCTGCTGGATTCTTTGTTAGAATCTTGTGTTCCATTTTATGGGATCACTCAGCTTTGACTCAGTTTCACAGACTTTCTCCAGAGTCTTTGGTATCTTTCTGCTTCAGTAGCTAGAGCTCCTCTCTGTCTTTCCTACAGGACCTGAAATGTCCCTCTGCTTTTAAAACATGACTTAATAACAGATAACTAGCATTTACATCTTTTCGAGAAAGTTTATTCTAGGGATGTCACTTCTGAAATGGCGGAGTGAGGATGTTCATGGACCCTTTCCCTAGTAAAACTACCATAACCAGTGAAAATTACAAAAATGCTCATTTGAAACTGCTAAAAATTGTCATAAGGGCATACAGAAAATGAATAAACATTTATTTAAGAAAATCTACTAAATCTCAGTAAGAACAGCAAAGGTACATGGTATTTCAGCTAGACTCATTCACCCTCTCCATGTTCACCATGATGAAAGTTCTAATCTAAATTGATTCAGCCAAGAACATGGGGCTTCTTCTTTCCCAGCTCCTAACCTAAGGCTATGTCAGGATAAAAAACCTTCCAACATTTCTCATCCCCTCAGCTCTATGTTGTAGACGATCTATTCTAGGCAAGTGGTCAGAAACTTCCTTAGTCTACTCAGCCCCCAATTATAGGCTAGGAGTTGTAACTCAGGCTTGGCAGCCTAAGAATACTGGGCCTCAAATATTCTCACACTACCTCAGTCACAGGGTGGATATTCCATGCCGAGAGAGGGAGACTGCAAATAGTAGAAATTACTACTCTTTCCTAGAACTCTGACTATATATACAAAACTCCAAAGTATGTACTAAGGTAAATAAATTTATTTAAAAGAGATTATAGGAGAATTCAACCTGAAAGGCACATTGGAAAACAATGAGATTTTGATCATGAGCAATTAAGAGAAGAATGATAGCTAAATGGTGCAACAAATAAAATAGTGGATCAGTAGAAAGTTTAACACAGAAACCAGAAAATAAACAGCTAAAGAGAGCTCTCCCAAGGTCAGAATAACCCTCAAATACTGGTTTCATATGATACCATTGCAAAAGATTCCAAATGTATGCTCAGAGCATGCTTGAAAGCAATAGTAGCAAACAATTAGTAGAGTCTAATATCTAGGCATAATACCATAAAGACAGACCAGCTAGAAACACAGCAAGAAAATCAGGAAAGGACAGTCAAATATAACTCATTGAAATCCACTCTAATTCCCATGGGATGAGGGAGAGGGAGAACTCTACTTATGCTCACACTTAAGCATCTGAAGAGGAGTCTGTCACTGAAATAGTCAAACAAGTTAGGATGCAAATAAACAAGCAAACAACAAGACTAGGGAGGGGGTGAAAATCAGTTTCCAGAGTTGCTACACTTTGTTATTTATAATATCTAGTTTTCAACAATAAGTAAAAACCATGCAAAAAAGCAAGAAATTGTGATTCATGTACCTGAAATAAAGCAGGTAAACAGAAATTGCCTTTAGGGAGCCCACATGACAGTCTTAGCAGGCAAAGACTTCAAAAGAGCTATTGTGAATATGTTCAAAGAAATTTAAAAGTGCTTAAAAATACAGAAACTTATGAGGATTATGACTCAAACAAAGAATGTTAATAGAGAGACACAAATTATAAAGAAAAAAAAATGAAAGAAAATTCTGGAGTTGAAAGGTACAACAACCAAAATGAAAAGTTTACTAGAGGATCCCAGCAGACTTGAGCTGAAAGAGTAAAAAATTACTGACCTTTTAAATAAATCAATATAGATTGTGCAATCTAAAAAACAGAGAAAAATAAGAAAGAAGAGCAATAAACTAACACTCAGAGAAAGGTGGGCTACCATTAAGTTCATGAATAAATACATAATAGTAGTTTCAGATCAAGGAAAGGAAAAAAGCAGAATAATATTTGAAATATAATGGCTGAAAACTTCCCAATTTCGCTGAAAAACATTAACCTATTCACCCAACAAGTTTAATAAACTCCAAATAGAACAAATGCAAAGAGAATCATACCCAGATACAGTATAGTCAAAATGTGGAAATACAATGAAAAAAAATTCTTTAACTCATATTAAGCCATGAGGCAAATATTACCTCAACTTCTATTAATGTAACATACCATTTTTTATGACCACTATGAACAAAGTAACTTATATACATACATTTTAATTCAGATGTTTAAAGAGTTTAAATAGTAATGATCAATACTCAATAATACTGAGAATTAATATTTTACTTAAAAATGATAAAATTACTCAATATTGTGCTAAATAGTATAACACATTATTTCACTAAGCTTAAAACAGCCATGAAGTGAGTAGTTATCTACAATTGTTATAATGCGTTCACAGAGCATTAGAAAAGTTAGTTTCCTCATGTTAACACAGCTGGTAGAATCAGAGCTAAATAAAGAACCAGAACTAAAACAAGGTCTGGATTCCTGCAAATGATCATGGGTTTTTTGCCATAACAATCACCACTCAGTATCAGTAGATAGATAATACAAGTGTTAAAGCAAACTAAATATGGCCTGAGAAGGACTCCATCCTTCTATATTTGAGTCCTTGTGGATGAACTGTAACCTAACTTATTAGACAGACAAAATTCAAAAGCTAACTTAGTAGTATACACCTGTAACAATAGCCGAGTCTTGGCCAATCCCAGTGACCATACTTCAACCATTCCTACACGGCTGCGTGTTCAGACTGTGTTCAAATAAGGCACACGCCAAGCTGTAACCAATTCAGCTGTACTGTACCTCAATTCCAATTTCTGTACGTCATGAACTATTTTTTTCTATAAATCTTCTTCCACTACATGGATGTGCTGGATTCTCTGTGAATTTGCTGTGATTTTAGAGGCTGCCCAACTTGCAAATCATTCATTACTCAATTAAATGCCTTTAAATTTAATTCGGCTGAAGTTTTTCTTTTATCAGATGGTGTCAGAAGTGGGATCCGAAGTGAAGCTTCTAGTGACCTCCAGGAGTGCTAAGTGAACATGCAAGGTACCTGCGGGACCCACTTGTGTACACTGACTTCTCAGAGTGGCTGGGGATTTTGGGTAAGCTCCCTCTTGGATTTCGGAGCTCCACAGAGTTGTGTTTTGAGCTCTCTGAGTTTCTGATCCAAATTGGGTTTGGAAGTCATGACAGAAACTGGGCTGGGTCCAGGAATGAAATTGATCTGGGAATTTACTGGTTTGGAAACAGTAAGAGGCCTCTTACATCTGACTGGGTCAGAAAGGAACTGGTGGTAAGCAGTAATATTGCAGTGGTTTTACAATTTGTCTTTTAAAAATTCACAGGGATTTTTGTGTTCTACCCCTTTGTTTTATTTTTCTTGCACTCCTAGGTAAGAAAAAAAATCATTGGCTAAGTTAATCAAGAGAACCTAAGAGTAAAGCCCATATTTTAGGTAAAAATGGGATCCTTAATTTCTGAAAAACTGAGTTCCTTCTTGCTTATACATTAGGCCCAGGAGGCAGCAAAGTCTTACAGAAATGGTGAAATCTTACTAAAGATAACTTACAGTATAATGTTCTAAACGAACAACAACACACTGAAGTGCAATTTAAAAAAAAATTTGTGTTGAAGCTTGACCCCCAGGGTGATGGTGCAGCAAGTCAAGTCACTAGGGCCACTCAGGAAAAGGGAACCCAGAAGGCTGGCATGTTGGCAAAAGGGTAAGAATTTCTTACCAGTCAGATTTCTAATTTCTCTCTTGGTGTGCAAATTGGTTGCATGAATGGTAAAAATCACTGTTTATCTCCTCTGTAAAGTTTTAATTAATGCAAAAAGAATTCTGAGGCTGGCGGTAAGCTGTAGTCAATCTGGTGTATTTTGTGCTATGAATTTGTTTTTCTGTGTCAAGGGTACCTTAGGATAAAACATGGGGTCAGGCGCACATAAGCTCACTGCTCAAGATGGCCCAGCAAGCTGATCAGTAACAAACTTTGTTGCAGGTCCCTGAAACAAACAAAAACCTGGATGAGGTCTTCATCTTGTTTTATGTCCTTGGGAGCTTGATCTTGTAACCATGTGGCACAACTTTCTCTTGGTCTCTGCCTTCCAGGGAACAGAAATTTAGGTTTCATGTCATAGTTAGCTCTAAAAATTATCTTCACTAGTTAAAAGCCTTTGCAAGCTCAAAATTAACTACTCTAGACTTCTTGGAAGAGCACTGGAGATTTTCTTGTGCTGTAGCTCAGTAGTTAATGTTTTGCCATTTTGCAGTGTTGGTCCAGGTTTGATTCCCAGCTTAGTAAATAAGTTCTTTCTGGTTTAATATCTGTGTGTCCTTGTCTATTCTCTTCTCCTCCAAAGACTAAGTTTTCCTTTTGCTGAGCACCTGGGAGGTTACCTTTGGTAAAGTTCAAAAGTCAGAAATATTGGCCATTTGGCTTGGCTAAAGTCAGGAAATAAGAAATTTTAAAAGGACTTTATTAAAAAGCGCTGTAGTTAAAAGTCAGCTGAATTAAAAGTGGATATTCAAGCTCTAACAGCCTGGACTTATTGGGAAAAACAGGAGGCACCAGAGACCCTTTTCTGGCCCTGTTCTTCTAAGGACTCCACCCTAAAGCCAATAACCAATTAAGAAACTTAAAAACTGGCAAATGAAAAATCTTACAACTGAGAGACAGGACTAGCTGGATTTCCTAGGCCGACTAAGAATCCCTAAGTCTAGCTGGGAAGGTGACTGCATCCACCTTTAAACCCGGGGCTTGCAATTTAGCTCACACCCAACATTCAGGTAGTAAAGAGAGCTCACTAAAAAGCTAAGTAGGCAAAAACAGGAGGTAAAGAAATAGCCAATCATCTATTGCCTGAGAGCATAGTGAGAGGGACAATGATCAGGATATAAACCCAGGCATTCGAGCTGGCAATGGCTACCCTCTTTGGGTCCCCTCCCTTTGTATGGGAGCTCTGTTTTCACTCTATTAAATCTTGCAACTGCACTCTCTTCTGGTCTGTGTTTGTTACAGCTCCAGCTGAGCTTTCCTTTCCCTTGTCATCCACCACTGCTGTTTGCCGCCATCACAGACCCGCTGCTGACTTCCATCCCTCCGGATCCGGCAGGGTGTCTGCTGTGCTCCTGACCTAGTGAGGCCTCCATTGCCACTCCCAATCAGGCTAAAGGCTTGCCATTGTCTCTGCATGGCTAAGTGCCCAGGTTCATCCTAATCAAGCTGAACACTAGTCACTGGGTTCCATGGTTCTGTTTCATGACCCATGGCTTCTAATAGAGCTATAACACTCACTGCATGGCCCAAAATTCCATTCCTTGGAATCTGTGAGGCCAAGAACCCCAGGTCAGAGAACACGAGGCTTGCCACCATCTTGGAAGCAGCCCGCCACCATTTTGGAAGCTGCCGCCACCATCTTGGGAGCTCTGGGAACAAGGACTCCCCTGTAACACAACTACTATAGTAATCTTCTATCTGTCTGTCTGTGTAGTTACATAAAAGAGCTCTGATTAATTGACTTAAACAAAAATAAGCACTTAAGTCAAATGTTTAGAAAGAAAAAGTAAAACTGTAATGCCTTTTAGTTCATGTAACTTTAGTAATCTTTGGATAATAAAAACAGCTTTAAAGATTATTGGCAAAAATAAAACATTTGGTCTAAATTATGTAGGTCAGATATTAGGTTTCCTAAATGCTTTAAGGTCATAAACTGCTTTGACTTTTAAAAATTGTTTAATTTATTTTGGAGCATTAGATAAGGCCTGGGGACATGTGGAATTAGCCATGCTCCCTGTACAACTTCCCTGCTTTACAGTTAGGTAAGGCCTGAGACACATGGAGTGAGATATTAGAAAGAGTCAGACCTTATCTGCATTTCTGTCTGGGTCCTAGTGTAGCAGGACAAGCCACAGACAAAACCTGTCAGACACCGAGTTGTAGAAGGAAGGGCTTTATTCAGCTGGGAGCATCGGCCAGCTGCTGTCTCAAAATCCGAGCTCCCCGAGTGCACAATTTCTGTCCCTTTTAAGGGCTCACAACACTAAAGATTTCACATGAAAGGGTCATGATTGATTTGAGCAAGCAAGGGGTACGTGACAGGGGCTGCATGCACCGGTGGTTGGGGAGGAACAGAACAGGGCAGGGAGTTTCACAATGTTCTTCTATGCAATGTAAGGAATCTATGAATAACATCGGCTTCTAAATCATAAGTTGATTTTTAACTACTGGGTTTAGGCCAGGCGGGCCTAGGCCTGGTTTCGGGCCTGGCACTGGGCTGCCTGTCTTTGATTTTACTTCCTTGTTGTTTCTACTGAATATGAAACAATATAAAACAATGTGAGAGGGTCTTTCTCTCCTCTCACTAGGCTCCACACCTAGTACATAATTAAAATCCCAAACTTGCCAAGGTTTTCACCAAAAGTAAAAGTCGCTAAAAGTTAACATTGTAACAAGTGGTATTATTTGGTTTTTCTGTAAATTGAACATCAAAATAAAAGCACAACAGCTTTTCTTAGAGCCCTAATCTACTCTTTAACAAAAATTGTAAAGCGTTATAAAAGGTTTATAAAATTCTTACCTTATGATCAAACTGATTAAGATCATATACATTTGTCTATAAGGTTTTATTAAAATTGGGCTTAACATCAATAACGCTCTAATGGATCAGTGAAATTTGACTTATTTGGTTTAAAAATCATGGGAAGTACTGTAAAAATAAAAATAATGTTTAATCTTCAGGTTATATTTTAGTGAATGATATTAATATATGTTCCAAAATTGTGTGGGATTTCTAAAATTCTAATATGTTTCAGTATATGAGATCAAACATAATTAAGGTTATTATGTTACTTTATTGTAGCCCACAGAAATAACCAAATTTCCTTGTTAATTGTGTTTTTAACTATAAGTATTTAAAGTCATCTCCACAGTTAATTGCTTAATGCTAATGCAGTTTCTGAAAACTTCGCAAGCATGGAAAATCCTAGAATATGTTTTCTTTTAAAAGGTTCGTGAAAGGGTGGAAAGGACCCTGAAAAACACTCTTGAATACAATTTTCTAATAACTTTAAAATCATGTAATGAGTAAAAATTTCCCATGAATTCCCCAATTCCCCAAGAGTTGGACTGGGTAAAAATTCCTGAAACTCTAATAAAAAGACTGACTGGTTTATAAAACTGCTAACCCAAGTATGCCAGATTACCATGCCAAGTCAGTCAATACTAAAATCTTTTAGATATACAATTTAAATGAACTCCATGGTCTAAGTCAAATTACCTGTGATAACCCATCAGTTAACAGTGCTAAAGCACCTACATTGGAGAAACATCTGGTATTCAAGAAGGACATAAGTCCAATCAATATTAAGCATGGACTCATGGAGAACCAGAAAGTCTGCTCTTGTCATTCCTGAGTCCTTAAAGCTTTTGTTATTAAAGGTTCTGCATTCCATGACTCATCATGAAAATGATAAAATAATCCAAATTGAATATATTAATTTGGTGACTTATACATTGTGGAGATAGTTTAAAACCAATGTTTGGTTCCATATTCCTGGCAAGACAATCAAATTTTTCATGTACATTTGGCTACCTGATGGGCCATTTAAACATTTATTTAAAAATTCACTCAATTGTCATTTTCAATGTATGTTTTCCGGAAGTACAAAAGCTTTCCATGCAAAAGAGCTGATATTGTAACAGTAGATTATTATGGATTTTCACCAGGTAAAGAAAGCTTTCTATGGTTCATTGAGGATAACCCCTTCGCAGTCTAGAACCTGAAGATTAGATCTTCTGAGAACATCAGAGAAAGACTGTCTTTGCCATCCACATTGCAGCAAAACTTTGGAAGCTTGAACTTTGGGTTCATAATCTTAAAACTGGGAAGGGTTCCTCCACAATCTTGGAACTGTACACCCATGGAAACCCTTAAGGTAAAACTAACCAGGGAAGTCTCTCCCCAGAAGAAGAAGGCATCCTTGATGTGAACAGCTTTTCCCAATACCGTGGATCAAGACTTTTCTACTATCACGAGAGTCTTATCTTTGAATATTGCTTATGGCTCTATGAACAATAGAAGTAGAAAGGGGGTCTGTTATATACACTTATGGGGTATACTTTTATTTGTGAAGTTTTCAGCCAGCCTTATACATGGATAACCTTATACTTTGATAGATAAGAGTAGGCGGCCCAATGTAGGTGAAAAACTTTAATGGTTCATATGTTGTCTCATAATCAGTCAGAAACAGAACATTGGTTCACTCCTCTTAACACACATCACGGGTTAAAGAAAACATTGCCAGGAGGCCTTCACTGTTCTAGGAGGATACCATTTGTTACATCATTTTTCCATGATTTAGAATAAAAGAGGCAATAATTAGAAATGTATCCCTTGTAATGGGCTCTATGGCAGACTCTACTGTAAAGGCTATGGTTACACAACCAACTTTAAATTCTCCTGTGACAGTTATGCTAAATAATAGAATTAGCTAAAAAGTACCTGTGCAGCTGCTGGCACTTGTGGCCTATGGAGAAATACATCAAATGTAGATTATGAAAATTTAGTTGTAGGGGATTAATGAAAAGACTACTTAGTCAAGCAAGTAGACTCTTCATCTAGCTCATTTTGTAATCTATTTAATATTAGATAATTTGGTTTACAGGGACTCTGTGTATGGGTAAGGAGCATACTCCAAATTCTTATTATCCTCCTAATAATCATCATAATAGTCTCCCTGGTGCACTGTATTCTCTCAAAGGTTGTAAATGTTTGCATGCAGCCATCTCTAGATTGTCAATGGTCTCTCTTCAAATGGAATGAGAAAAGGTGAAAGAAATTTGTGACCATGAGGACACTGTAACCTATGAATGACACAGTGAGACAGGAAACCCAAAATCATGGTAATTGAAAGTGGTGCTAGGGCCTTAAGTTTTGGTCATTCTCTCACCTAAGTGAGAACCTGGCCAAAAAGGAGGAATTTTTTAAACAAAATTATGGGAGGCAATTGTTTTGGACTAAGCTCATGCACTGGGCCCCAACAGGCTAAACCAAACAAAATGGAGTCACTTGTGCTAAATGTGACAATCAAACTAAGACTTTAAGGAAACCCATAGATCCTAGAACAGACCAGGTTTGGTTTTTCTCATGTAAACAGAACATTCCAGCATAAAGAGGTACCCTCTACTCAGTCCTTGTTCCCTCCTTACAAAACCCACTGTTTAACTGTTTCCCAGTGGGTTTCAAGACCATATAGGTACATTTACGATGGTGATAGTAATGTCAATGACTAAGGTTTTGGTCAATCTTTCAAAATTGATAAAATGACCAAAAAGGGGGAATTGTTCAAGCAAACTAAATATGGCCCAAGAAGAACTCTATACTTCTATATTTGAGTTCTTGAGGATGAACCTGGTTAATAGACAGACAAAATTCAAAACCTGACTTGGAAGTATGCACCTGTAACAATAGCTAAGTCTTGGCAAATCCCAGCTGCCATATTTCAAACATTCATACACTGCTGAGTGTTTATAGACTGTGTTCAAATAAGGCATACACTTAGCTGTAACCAATCCAGCCATTCTGTACCTCACTTCCAACTTCTATACATCATTCTTTATTTTTTTGTCTATAAATCTTCTTCCACCACGTGGCTGCGCTGGAGTCTCTGTGAATCTGCTGTGATTCTGGGCCTGCCCAATTTGCAAATCGTTCATTGCTCAATTAAACTCCTTTAAATGTAATTCGGCTGAAGTTTTTATTTTATCACAAGGCTTAGTGTTTCCCAATCCACAGATGTCTCTGTTGTTGTACTGCTGAAATTTGCAGTTAAAGTTGAGAAAATTTGTTAAATATTTCTTTCTTTGTTCATAATGAACATGTTGATGATCCTTGAAACAAAATAGACTCAGGTGTTTCCTCTTTCTTTGCTCCACCCTCCTCCATTTTAAGGTAGTTTTCTTCTTAAGGCAGATTCTTAAAAATCTACTAGTAGATATTCATCCCAGTATTATTCAGTTCCTTTCACTAAACCATTGTTAGTGGATGTTTGTCCTAACCACTAACATTAGTCACCAACTTCTCATATAGTTATTTACTTTATTCAAGTACCAATAAAACAACAATTTCTATTTCTCAATAGAGCACAAAAAACACTAGGTCATAGTCTTGCTTCTCCCATACAAACAGGTATAGAAAAATCTATGCTTCTTTAACTTATACTGATCTTTCATACATTCCTTCCAGATCTAACATCTCTAATACTTTCTTAATTTACTAATTTTTTATGCCTCTTTTTATTAGAAACTGAGAAACGGAGGAAATGACTTAAAAGTACCCGGTAAATCATAGAGCGGAATAGAGTATGATTTGTTTTCTTGAAATTTATTATTTTGATGCCTTTTCTCCCCTCTGAACTTATAAAAATATATGTGAATGTGAGTGAGTTATTTATTTCATAAGTATCAGTAGATTCCTCATCTTCCCTGAGAAGTTATGGATTCTAACTTTCATGATTCATCTTTATATCTGATCAGAAGCAACCTACATTTGACAGCCGTCCACTCAGGCCTAGAGAAAGAAAAACTGAAGAGGTGTGTAATCATTACCGTGTAAAGAAATATTATGGAGGTAACTTATGCCATCTCAGTTTATAAACAGTGACTACATTTAAGGATTGATTAAAATTTCATGATTGCTCACTCATCAGAAAACTTGCTTGGAGGAAGTTTCTTTCTAATTGACAGCTATTATGAGCTAGGATAAAACAACAATAAAACCACAACAAATCTTGTCTCTGAGAGGTTTGGAGATTGACATAAAGATTATACAAATGAAATGGTTACACAGACATTTTCATCCATTGCATTTGAGCAAATTAAAAAATGACTGGAGTGTAACTCAAAGATTCCATTTGGAAACTCAAAACTTCATATACATGTTGAAGAATTTTAGAAAATCATGACATATTGGTGATAGAAATAAAGTATACAAATTTAATTTTTACCATAAGATAATTGGGTGAGCAAAGATTCTTGAGTGAAAAAAACAATGTTTTGCAAAAGTCACAAGAAAACAGTAACTTCACAGCATTTGTTAAAAATGTTTATGTGCTCCAGTAAAACAGAGCATTACTTTTCTCTCCACTTTTTTTATTTCTCATCTTTTATAACATTATATTTCCATTGTTTGATTAATTTAACTATTCATTCATTCATTTATTGATAACTATAGAACTATAAAAATCCAAGAGGCTAGTAGTATTGTCTGTCACTATATACCCAACAAAATGCCCTTCTAATAGGGTGTGCATGATTAGTATTTGATAAATGTGTCTATTACTTAACCAAATTTTACACTTCCAAGAAGTAGACATCTGTGTGACAACAAGAAATTTATATTAAAGATAAGACAAAATGATTTCTATTATACATGTAGTTCTAAGTAAGTGAATAATGTTCTAAGCCTGTAGTTTCAGTGTCCATTCATAAAAATACATCATGAGTAGAGATAGTCATCCCCATGTAAGGGGTAATTTTCTAATTATTCAGAAAGAATAATTAGCTATTTTTGGGTTGTTGAAAAGAATTCAGATTGGGATTACTGAAAACTCTATTCTATGTCAAAACAGACTTCTAGTCAAAACAATCAGATGGCAAAACAGATTACAAATAAATTAATACAATCTACAGCTGTAAAGATAAACAATAATAAAGCCAGTCAATACTTCTGAAGTAAGTCAATACTACAGAATAGAAGAGTATACATATTTTTATATGAAATAGCCTTCCAGCTCTAACAACTGACTTGTTTATAGAGAGTTTCTCTAATGTATTTAATCACACAATGGAGGCAAGGAAATATTTTTATTTAATCCATTGGTTTTTAACATGAATAAAGTTATTTTAAAATTAAGTTATTTCTTTAATATCTAAAAAAGTGAGAGATTAGTATGTCTTTTCACAAAAATGTCAGCAAGACAAAAATACTATTGATTGTCTAATTATTGACTGAATAATCCTTAAATTTTGAATGAAATCAAGAATTATAGTTGCAAGATCAGAGGCATTGCAATGCAATAGATTGTAAAAATGTGTTATTTTGGAGAAGACTTAATTCAAAGTTAAGTAAATCACTGGATGAAAATGCCAGGATGAGGTATTTCCATGAGTTTAGTGAGGATACCAATTGCCAGGCTTAATTCTCTTATTATTTTTATAAGTCACTATTCCTTTCTGCTGATAGACAATAAATTTCCCATTCTGTAGTCTTCTTATCTACAACATTAAAACCTATCTAATTCTCATTTGTTTTATTATCCCTATAGTAGCCATGCAAAAAGGGACTAAAGTCAATTTCTATTTAATCTAGCCTGCTGTAAAAACAAACCCTTGCTTGACAAGCAACCTAGACTGATATCTCTTGCAGACACTATAAAATCCCCATACTTAGCAGCTTGCAGGGATCAGAATAGAAATATCATACGACAAATTACATGTTTGTAGGAAGATGAGGTTCGATTACACTAAATGTAATGTCTACCACCTAAGACACAGCATATTAACAGAAAACTATGACTCAAGGGAACAATACATAGGAATCAGAGTATAACAACAGCCATAAAATATAATAAGTATTGTTATGAAAAAGAACAAAGTGGCATCTTTTAAATTAAGGCTTTTACAATGCTATCAAGTCAAGATATTCAGTTCTTGTTTTAATTCTGTGGTAGAGGAATTCCTTATTCTAATCGTTATAAATAATATTTAATGATAATTACTTACAAACAACAATTCTGCTTTACATGTATTTGTGTAATTACACATTAAGTGATTAGTAAATGTAATTATTAATTAAGTGATGAGTCATCTCTCTGATGAGGGCAATAAACAGACCACAACTGCCAAACTGTAGAACTATGAAACAGTATATATTTTCTTTAATGCCTTAATAACCAAGACTAGCTCATTTTCGGTGAGTCGTTTTCCTTCCAGTATGTTTTTATTTCTAATAATGCCTCATGGAACTCATGGGGGCAAAGATAGGGGATGGGAAATAAAACTCTTGACCTAACAACAAAGTCTTAAGGAATAAACTACTAATTTGCTCATCAGACATGGCTGTGAGCATCAGACAGAAAGACCCTGGTTGCAACACATAGGTGAAATATTCATCCCCCTCGGTGACTCAAAAGCATGGTTTCAGAGGTTCTAGACAAAAAAATAAATCCTCATGCATCACGAGATTTTGAAATTAAAAAGTGAAAGATATGTGCACTATTTCTTTCTGTTTTTTTATTATACTTTAAGTTTTAGGGTACATGTGCACAACTTGCAGGTTAGCTACATATGTATACATGTGCCATGTTGGTGTGCTGCACCCAGTAACTCGTCATTTAACATTAGGTATATCTCCAAATGCTATCCCTCCCCCCTCCCCCCACCCCACAACAGGCCCCGGTGTGTGATGTTCCCCTTCCTGTTTAAAATGTTCACAGCTTCTTTGAGATTAAATTCTTATTACATTCATTATTAATATATCTAATAATATATGAGAGTTGAATGGTTGTCCTTAGCTAAGTTATAATAAAAGGACATTTTAAAATTGTACATCAGACATGCTTTCTCTATACCATGTAAGTTAGTATAAGTTCATCTTAACTATATAAGGATAATATAATTTAAAGAGCTGAACTTTTGTTCTTCATGATCATTTCACTGATTTAGAAAAAATAGCTTAGAACAAAACTGGGGATTCTGTGATACACTGATGTCTATGTGAAATTTAATGTTCTATATGGATTCCTTTGGGTGAAATTATCAATTAGATTATTTTAACAATTTAAGAAGCATTGATATTTCCCTAATATAATCTTTTAGAATTATGATTTTCTTATAATTAAATCCTACTTACAAAAGCAGTTGCATCTTTCTCTGTTTCAGAGAGAGATATAAAATTAGCTATTTCTTACACACTTGTTTGTGTATGTCTGTTCATGTGTGCGAATAGGGAGGGATGAGGGAGGGAGGGATAGGGAGAGAGAGAGAGAAAAAAAACATTGTATCACTCATGACATTTTGTTTTTACTTACTCTAAAGGGAATTCTTCATCTGTTCTAGTATTTGGACTCAATTGATGCTAAATAAGTGTTTGGTATATTATATATAATGTTATTTGACACTCAAATATACAACATGTATATGACACGCAGAGCTCTCTCACATCAGGTAACACTGGACTAATTAGTACTGGCTCCTCGATATTTCCTGAATGCAGCAGACATGCTTCCTTGGAGCTCTTGAGCTTTTGTGCCCATCCCTGTCTTTGTCATGCTCTTCCCCAGGTTCCCTACTTTGCTCTTTTACTCTTATTACTGACAATTGTCTCTGAAGAAATGTCATCTTATCAGTGAGACCTTGCCTGACTACCATTTCAACGCACCTTCCCCAACCCTTTATTCACTAGCTCCTTCATCTGTTTTGTCTTTTTCTACAGAACTTTCATCACTACAACCGTTCATCAAGGATTTATGTGCTATCTTCTTCCTACAGCAACACTAGTGTGTAAGCTCCATAAAGGCAATGTTTTTTAATGAAATATCTTCACAACTCACACTGAAGTTTGGCAAACTACATAAGTATGTTTGAATGAATGACTGAATAGTATTCAACTTATGCAATCAATTTTATTATTTTATCATCTCAGTTCATATGTGAAGAGTTACTATAACCTTCTCTGTGTACCCTACATTTTACAAAACTCTTTATGCTTCAGCTTCAGCACGTTTGAGTCATTTGCCTGTTATCTCAATTACAGTCCTCTTCTTCATGGGCTCATTTCAGCAGTAGCATTTTCCTTTGAGCTTTCTTCTATTTTCCATGAGCTATTAAGGCTTCATTTGCGGCTCTCTGCAAGCATTTCTGTCTTGTTTTCCTTGAAATGCTATCCTTTTCAACATCAATAAATTTACACTCAATTGTTGTCACAGTTCATTTGCTGCTGTCTCCCTGACATTTCAGCTATATTTCAAACTGTTTTGCTAATTTTCACTTTACACTGTTTTTGCAATCATATGTAGATGAGGTGTGAGAAGATAAAGTGATAAGTACATGGCTCAAGTGAAATTCTAGGGAAGCAGCAATTTGAATTCACATTACCATTTGACCATGGCTGTCGCATTAGAGAACATTGGTTTCTAGAATTTTCATTCAATATTACAATCAATTTGGTTTTTCAGAAGCCAGTCTAGAATACTCCAAATGTATTTTTTAATGTTACAATATATTGTGCACAAGGTCAAGCTGAGCAAAACTCAATAAATTCAACGATCCTTTTTGTTTCTTCTCTTTCCCATTACATTCTGTTCAATAAACTCTTTTTCCACTTTAACTCTGAAACCTCCTGTAAAGAACAGCACATGATGTTTGGAGTTGTTTCAATACATTCTTTTGGTTAATTTTAGATTATTCTATTTTCCTTAGCTTCTGGAATTTAGATTTGACTTTCACTAACATTGAAGATGACTGACAAGCTGGACCACATCCCAAAAGATTTCAATGCATTGCTTCAGAAATATCACCATTTGATGCTAGGATCTTTTCATTACACATTTTTCTCTTATTCATTTATTTTTCA
This sequence comes from Homo sapiens, assembly GCF_000001405.40. Lineage (NCBI taxonomy): Eukaryota > Metazoa > Chordata > Mammalia > Primates > Hominidae > Homo > Homo sapiens. Next base: position 125,445,381 of record NC_000007.14, on the reverse strand, counting down.
AAGAGTTGTTAAGTGGGTACCATGAGTCTACATCTACAGATTTTTTAAAAGAGCAATATACCTGTAGCTCTCTCCTGTGCTATTAAGCAGTGGCCTTTAGCTTTGTAGCTGGCTGCTAACTTTAAATGTTACTACATTTTCAAGATGTTTCTAAGTCAATTACTCCCTCACATACAACAAGCAACACATTGTCCAAGATTTGTAAAAATATCTTCTTGAGCAGTCTTTATTTTTACATTTCTTCCAACAACTTTTAAGTGAGAATCACCGTGAGTCTCAGGTATTTATTTTATGACTAACAGAATTATGACTATGAGTATTTGTTCAGTTCACTTGCAAGTATTTCAAGGGTCTCCCCAATGTAAAGCAATATGTTTAAACTGTAAGGATATAAAGAATTATTATACAGAATTTATGTTCCCAAAGAGCTTAAGGAATAATTGGGAAGATAAGAGATTTTCAAAGAAAGGAAAAAAAAACAGGAAAAACTAAAGGTAGAGTATGCAAAAGGTCCAATAAGTGATAGTACTAATAAGTGCTTTAGGAGTTCACAAAATGACTGAGAACTCAAAATAATTTTCAAGTTACATGAGGGGCCAAGCAGAGTGAGAAGGACATCTTCAGGAAAGGGAATGGCCTGGCATAATTGTAAGAGCCAAGCTAAGTGAGTAGACTTGAAGGAGAGTTGCATTTGAATAAGCAGAAAGTAGTGAAGCAAGCATTGCAGGCAGATTGGGGGAAATGCAGTAGGAAGACTGTTTATAGTTTATTCAGAGGGTAATAGTTAGAATAGAAGGTTTCTATTAAGATAGCCAAGGAGATAAATCTGTAGAGATAGCTAGAACCACACGTTTCTAGATTCTTATTGATTCTGTTTTATACCGCCTGAAGTCTTTTTAAAATAGAAATTAAGCCATATACAATCACTGTTCCACAGTTTTAGAGTACCTATGAAACATACAAGGAGGATGTCTGTGTGAAGGGACAGCCAGGCAACAGTGCCAATGCCCATTAGTGTGAGAAGGATGTTCACAATGAGGGGTGACCTGATGTGAGATGTAAGATCTTAAACAGGGTGAGGAGGGTGTCCGTGCTGTAAAGGCAGCACATTAAACAGTAAAAGGAGATTGTTTATATAGGATAGAATTCAAATAAATAACAATATATTAAGAGAATTAAAAGGCAAGATTTGTATGGTCAGAGAAGGGAGTTATAATTATGGAAATTTTTTAAATAAAATATTTGTTGCAGGAAAATTGATGCAAACTCATGGATTTCTTTTTCAGTCTGTCTTCTTCCTTTCCTCCCTTCCTCTTTCTCTCCTATCTTTTCTTTATCTCTCATCCAATAGTAATGAGACACAGCTAATATATAGATTGGTCTTTAAATATTATTTTCCACTAAAAAAAGATAACCTGTATGGATATATGGCTGATTTGATGGCAGGGGCAGTATAAGATGTATAAGAAGAGGTTGCATTGAGTTTGATCAGAATGCAAAAAAGTGCTCAAAAAACTGACGGAGACATGCCAGAAGGTCATGGTAGCTAGATTGAAAGGATTTTCACTGGCCAAATTTGGTGCAATTTGAGTATTAATATATATAATGGTAGGAACATTATAAACCATTGAATAAAATAGAAAACCAAGTGTTTTCATAAAATTAATTAACTACTTAAAAATTGATGAGCAATGCAGTCAGCTCTCCATATCCATGGATTTCACATCCGTGGATTCAACAAACCAGTGATCAAAAATATTTGAAAAAAATGTTTTTCACCTGTATTGAATATGTACTGACTTTTGTTTGGCATTATTTTCTAAACAATATGGTATAACTACTATTTAAGTAGCATTTATATTGTATCAGGTATTATAAGTAGTATATTAATTGATATGATTTAAAGTATACAGTAGGAAGTTTGTAGATTATATGCAAATACTATGCCATTTTATATCAGGGACTTGAGCATCCATGGATTTTGGTGTCTGCAGGAGGTCCTGGAACCATTTTTCTTAGATATTGAGTGATGGTTTTATTTATATAGTTTCTAATACTGATTGATCACCAGGGCAAAATTAGTAACTTCACAGGAAAAGACCCGGAACATAACACCTTACTTAAATGATGAAAGTGGCCACCATCAGTAATGGAACATGTCAAATTCATGTGCCAATTGGGTGCAATAAGAAGAAAACATCCCTTCTGTAATAATACTCCCTAGGATGCATAACTTGAATCTAATTATAAAGAACATCACATAAACCGAAAGTAAGGGACAGTATATAAAATAACAGGCATATAATTCTCAAATGCGTCAAAGCCATGAATGTCAAAGAAATACTGAGCTCAAGAGAAAATAAGCCTAAAGACACATGACAACAAAAGACAACACAAAATTCTGAGCTAGATTCTCTCCTTATACAGGACATTATTGGAGAATCTGGCAAAACTTCAATGAAGGATGAAATTTAGGTGATAGTAATGTGTCAATGTTAATTTTCTTATTTTGATGCTTTGTATTGTGGTTATGTAGGAGAATGTCCTTGTGTGTGTGTGTGAAATGCATACTAATGTGTTTGTGGTGGGAGGTCTTTGTGCTGCTACAGCAGAGTACCACAGACTGGGTAATTTATAAAGAACAGAAATTTAGGGCCGGGCGCGGTGGCTCAAGCCCGTAATCCCAGCATGTTGGGAGACCAAGATGGGTGGATCATGAGGTCAGGAGATTGAGACCATCCTGACTAACACGGTGAAATCCTGTCTCTACTAAAAATACGAAAAAAAATTAGCCGGGCGTGGTGGCGGGCGCCTGTAGTCCCAGCTACTCAGGAGGCTGAGGCAGGAGAATGGAACCCGGGAGGCAGAGCTTGCAGTGAGCCGAGATCGCGCCACTGCACTCCAGCCTGGGGGACAGAGCGATCCTGTCTCCAAAAAAAAAAAAAAAAAAGAACAGAAATTTATTTTCTGACACTTCTGAAGACTAGGAAGTCCAAGATTAAGGTCCTAGCAGGTTTGGTTTTCTGGTGAGAACTGTTCTCTTCTTCCAAGATGGTTCCTGGATGCTGTGTCCTCTGGCGGGGAGAATACTGTGTCCTCGCATGGCAGACAGTGAAAAAGCAACCAAGCCAAAAATGGCTTGCAGCCTCTTTTGTGTGGGTTTTAACTACTCTCCATAATTCATGTGTTGCAATGTGATACTATTAAGAGATGAGGCTGTTAAATGATGGTTAGGCCATGAGGGTACCTAGATCTTGGAGAAGACATGTTTGAATCATAGCAAGTCGTAATAAGGTATCAGGACATAGGTAACGGCTAATCTTGAAAGGTGTCCCAGGACAATAAGCTCTATGATATCTAGTGATGCAACTGAATAGAATCATCTATTCATAGTATACAAGCATTTACGGGATTTTTTCTTTGTACAGTTTTTTACATTGTTTTTAGAAACTGCACTGCACTTCTGTTCCCATGCCTTTACAGTCTGGGCATGCATAAAATAAAACTTGAAGATTTTATTTTGGAACTAGAATGAGTTACTACTGTTATTTAGGCTGGTTTTGAATTGTTTAGACTAGAAAAATTGACTGATAACAACGAAGTTTACCCTTTACTGATAGGTACACAAAAATCTGTAGTAGGACTACATGTACAGACTGCGTATATCCCATTTATTTCAGTGTATTGAGGAAGAGAGAAGATTATTCAATCAGGACATTATTATGTGCAAGCCATTAACATTAAGAAATTTTAACACTTATCTTTGAGAGAATTTAAAGAGCTGGTTTTTCACAAAATGTTTGAAGAAGGGGTAATGTTATTTTGTTATTGGCTGTCACAAATCTAAAGTTTTCTGACTTACTACTCCTTCATAAGTCACGTTCTACCACAAATCAGGTGTCAATGAGTCTCATCATTGTATTTACCTAGCTGTTATGGTTTTGCATAATGGAGAGTTGGAGAATATCATATATAGTAATGCATGGAGAAAAAAGAAAGTTCAGGAAGTTTAATGACCCCTTCTTGTCTCAGTAGCTGCAGAGCCAATACAACTCAGCTGTCAGAATTCAGTTATTGATTCTCTATTGCTTATAATATGACTTTTCTCTCTTTCCCCATGAGTTTTTCTATTGATATACAAAAATCCATTTTTATATTTATTGAATGCTTACAAAATAAAAAATACTCTGTGATGAACTATAATGATGTAAAGTCCATCAGATAAATATAGACCTTGTTATAAATACTTTGAGAGGAAGAAAGTAGTTTTGTGAGTTTCAGCTAAGAATATATTATTTCCAAATGATAGAATTAACAATAGTTAGATGGTATATAGGATGAATCTTTAAGAATAGATAAGATATTAAATGTAGATTGACAGAGATTGTCATACTAAGAGAGGAAAATGATAAGAATAAGAAAGTCAATTTGAAAAAAAAAAAAATTGGTCAACCACCAAAATGTGGGAAGAGTTTGTATTTCACTTCGGTTGGTAGGGTTCCTGAGACACCAATAGGAACTATGTACAGAAAGCCATATTCTGAGCAGTGTCTGGAAGGCATTGAATGCTAAATTGGGGAGTTTGAACTTATTCTAAAGACTTCTGGAATCTATTGATCTGACACAATCTATGTTCTATTTCAGAAGGATCAATTTGGCATCTATAAAATACTCAGGAAAAGGAATACAGTCAATGAGGAAAATAATTGCGATGCTATTGCAATAGTTTAAGTGTGAGACACTGAGGCCGAATTAAGTTATCAACACTGTCAATAAACAGGATGGGTCAGCTAAAATGCATCAAAAATATAAGATTGATAGGACTTGGCAACAGCTTTGAGGTAAAACAGAAATATGAGGGACTTGTCAAAACCATACAATACTCTCGTACCAAAATACCTAGGATAATGGTGACACTACTAAAGAAAATTTGCTTTAAAGTAGAAAAATTTGGGGAAAGAAGACAGTGAATTCAGTTTGGAATATTAATACTGATTTAGTAGTCCTAGAATATAATGTTCTGACTGCTCTTCATATCTAGAAATGATCTTTTACAGCTACAACCCCGCTGCCCCTCCCAAGTTTGGAAAGATGTGAGTTTCAAGCTGATTTCCATAAGAGATGATGGATTGCCCTGGACTAATCCAAACTTCTCAGTAAGTAAAGCTGATAGTGGGGTGGCTAGCTGCAACTCAGACATTCTCACTTTGGAATTGAGGAGAGCTACTGAAAATGCACATTTTTAAGCTACTGTAGTGTATAGCGATGTTATTTTAGATATTATGTAAAATATGCTGTCTCTCAAAAAAAAAGTTACCTTTTGGGATTAGAACTTAAAATTTTTCCATTAGCAGTATTAGTTTTTGCACTGGACTTTCATTATTAAGAGGTTTGGAGGAAAATTTTCACATTACTCATGACTTTTAATAATATTAGAGGTCAGTGTGGGTTTGCCTTTGGATTATATTTATATATAGAACTTTAATTGGAAAATATGGAAACACAGTAGTATATTTTATCATCCAATTAAAGACTATCCTATCATTTCACTAAACAAAAAATTAAATCAGTTTTGTTTCCAAGGCTATTTTCTCAGACATTGCTATTCAGTCTTAACTGCTGAGTTTTCTGTTATGAAAACAGTCTTATTTTCTTCTTACCCATTGTTGTGGAGAGGAGGATACCCACTTTAAAAGAAAATCTAAGAAAATATTTAAAATTATTTCTCAAAACCTAAATATTTTCTTAATAGTTATTTTAGAATATATGAACATATCAAAACATAATAGAACAATAAAATTTTGTAGTTGTAAGCTTCTTATAATAGCAGGTTAATTTTTTTTGTTTCTTCTCTGCTACACATATGTATATAGCATATAATTAAGAACTTTATCATATTGGAAGTTAGTCATTCAACTCTGGCTTATTCAAATGCTGGGTAAGTGAATGATTACAACATTAACTTTGAAAAGTTAATCATTTTGCATTTGTTTCCTCATTTAAAAAATAAAAATAATAATAGTAAATATTACAACTCCTCATGGAGTTGTAATAATTAAATTAGATTGTATAACACATATGATAATGCTAGATAAATAGTTAATTAGATTGTATAACACATATGATAATGCTAGATAAATAGGAAGTATACAGTTAATTCTAATTGTTGCACCCAATATTGTTGTTGTTGATGTTAACATCATGTATTATTCAGGTACCATATTTCTGAGTCTTTATAAATTACTTACTCTATTTTTCCATCAACACCTATTAGGATTTGATCTATTATGACTTACCTCTTAAATAATACTTGAATGTATACTTTCCTTCCCATCAGTACTCTTGCTGTTATTGTATAGTCTATTACCTTTTACAGCTATTATGGAAATAGCCTTCTAACTCTAAGTTGCAATTATCCAAACTTGACATACAGTTTTATATTTCCACATCTTTATCCAAAAAGAATATTTAAATATCATCATTTAAACCCTATTGTATTACCTCTACTGATTCTGCCCAATCCAGAAGAATACATATAAAAGCAGAAAATATAGATATATTTTAACTCTCTTGTATACAACATGAAAATACCATGTTATTAAAAAAAACTCAACCATTTTCTTTGAAATAAAATGTATCATTGTGAAATTCTGATACTAATGTTGATATCCAAAAACTTAATTTCAAATATTTTAGAATAAAAATGGTGAAATAAAAACTTTGATTGCATCAAAATGGTAATATCAAAACAACATATGCAAATCAATGTATTCCTCTCTTTATTTAATGTGCTAAGTTACCCTTCTCCATTGAAGAAAATTCTATTTATTCATCAAGATTCGACTTTAATATCACTTTCTGCCCAGGCATTTTCTGACTAACCTATTATTTGACTGTGCCCTCCTTTTTGTCCTTGCCCCAAATTTTAATTTACCATTAATGTATTAAACAGTACATCATATTTGTAATTAAATCTTACACATTTGAAGTAGAGATAATTTACTATATTTTTGCATTTTGAATAATAACCTGCCACAACGTATATGCCTGATGAAATGAATATTGAATTGATAAATAAACTTACCAATTCTGAAAAAGATTTTTTCCCATAGTAGAAGAATCAGAATAGGCAGATTGTAATCCTGACCCTCTGTGGCATTTCAGAAAGGCTTTGAAGTCATTTGTCTTAGTTTTTCTCTCCTGCCTTCAGTCTCTGGTAGTTGAAACTCCGGAGTTCCTAGGTAGAAGGGTTTTCTCTCAGCTTTCATGTCCTATCATACCAAGAATTCCCTGGAATAGAAAGAACCTCAAATACATCTTATGGGTTTTTCCAATTTCCTTTACCCTGTCCTTTTCCTTTGTGGTAAGGAGGTGTTGCACTTGGATTAGTTCCCACAAGTCTCCTGGCACATCTTTCTCAGCTTTCTTTTCTGTTCCCCTATGGACATACTTTCACCTAAGTTATATAAAGACCCATGAGTAAGAGGTTGTTGAGTAGATGAAAACTGGTTCTGCCAGAGGAGCCCTTCTAATACCTTCTAATAATCAATCTGGCTACGTGGGGCACGCGCGCGCACACACACACACACACACACACGAAACTATCACGAGTTTGTTAAATGTTAGCTAGTTTCTACTCCCCCTTCACCACTCCCCTATCTGACTTAATGGGTGAAATTCCTCTGAAGTTCTGTTAGAGCTGACAGCCCAGTCTTTTATGACAGTTGTGTCACTTTTTGGATTTCAGTTCATTTAGGAATGTTTGTGGCCTCAGCTCTCTGATATGTTTTGTTTTTAAACTATATGTTAATACCAATGGCATTCTTAAATAGAAAAAAAATCCTAAAATTTATATGGAAACAAAAAAGACCCAGAATAGCCACAGCTATCCTAAGCAGGAGGAATAAAGCTGGAGGCATCACATTGCCTGACTTAAAATTATGCAACAGAGCTATAGTAACCAAAAATGCATGGTACTGGCATAAAAATAGATACATACACCAATGAAACAGAATAGAGAACCTAGAAACAAATCCACACACCTACAATAAACTTATTTTTGACAAAGACGCAAAGAACATATACTGGGGAGAAGATTGTCTCTTCAATAGGTGGTGCTGGGAAAACTGGATATTTATATGCAGAAGAATGAAACGAGACCTCTACCCCTCACCATATACAAAAAATCAAATCAAAATAGATTAAAGACTTAAATCTATGCCCTCAAACTATAAAACTACTCCGAGAAAACATTGGGCAGTGGGGAGGTGGGGATGGTTAATGTGTCCAAAAATAGTTAGAAAGGCTGAATAGGACCTACTATTAATAGCAAAGTAGGGTGATGATAGTCAATAATAACTTAATTGTATATTTTAAAATAACTTAAAGGATGTAATTGGATTGTTTGTAACTCAAGAGATAAACACTTGAGGGAATGGTTACCCCATTCCCCATGAAGTGCTTATTTCAGATTGCATGCCTATTTCAAAACATCTCAGGTAACCCATAAATACACTTACTGTATATCCACAATTTTTTAAATAACTTGAAAATTAAAAAAATAAAATAAAAATAAATGCACTTAATATATAAAAAATAAACTAGATGTTGTAGTTTATTAATCGTTTGTTAATCATTAGGTTAAGACAGATGGTCTCTTGTTTCTAATATTAAACTTAGAATAAAACTGTTTTTTAAATTATTTTAAACATCAAAATATTTATTCTTTTGGCAGGGACTTAGTATTAAACGACACTTCAAATTCTTTAAAAGAAGGTCTTATAGATACCATCCCTTCCTTCATGCCATTTCCTGAGGCTCCACTCAAGTAGTTGTCTTTCACTGGTATTTATTTTCTCATTGCTACAGATTTGATTTTTGCTTATTGGTCCCAGCTTCCTCTGTGCATACTTTGGCTGGATTGTTCACTTGAAACTGGAAGTACCACAGTGCAGCCTTCAGGGTTTCTTTCAGCTAGTTAATGAGTAGTGTGTGTGTCACACACAAGACCAATGTTTGCTCCTTGAAAATTAACTTCAGTTTTATAACCCTGTTAGGAAAACTTACAACTGACTCCATTTCTTGAATCAGACAATAATAGTGCCCACAAGGCATTGCAGGGCCCACACTGGGAGCGAGATCACAGTGATAGTTTCTTCCTTCTTTTTATGAGTGACACCCAACTGTAAGCAATGGTTATAGGTAAAGAAGAAATAATTAAATCTCAGAACCCAGCATTCTCATTTACCAACAGCCAACAAGACAGATGCATTATCTTTTGACTGTATTCACTAGAGATACTGATAACCCAATCCTCTTCCTTCTACATATATGTTTCTACCGGAGTGTTCTAATTTCCAAGTTTCTACTGTAGTGGAGAGAAGGAATGTATGCCTCTCCTATTCCTTTATATTTTCTAGCTAGATGATAATCTGGATTTTTCAACAGCACTAAGTCATGCAACAAAATACCTACCCATGAAATTCAGAGGGTTTGACAGATGACAGCCAGTAACTGGCTATATCACAGATTAACTCATTTCCAAAGAGCTATTCTGGAATAATGACACTCTGTAGACACCATTCTGTGAATAGCTCTTAGGAAACTACATAATGCCCTGGTCTAATCTTCTGCATATTCCAACATTAGAATACATTTTATATGTATGATAGTTATGGCTGGCATTTCTTCCACTTCTTGAGGCTGCTACTACTTGGTTTCCTAACACCCCCCAGGATTATGCATATTCCGGGAGCTTGTGGTGTATGTATATTTTCCATTGACACTTACAGAAGCAACTTTTCTTTCAATTTAATAAAATCAGAGAATTTCACTCTATAGTGGCAACATTCTACATAGATTCTGTCATAGATTCTCACTCTATAGTGCTCCATTATAGGTACACCACTGTGGACATTATTGATCCTTACTTATACTGCAATGGTCACAGTCACAGAAATGTGCACTGTCTCCAAGTTAAATTTCAGCACCAGGGAACTTTTTCAAACTTGAGACAGTGACCAACTGGGATACAATATTCTGGTCCTGACTTTCCCTAATATACTTTGATTCATAAAATCCTTTCGGATAGAGGCCCTCTATTAAAGAGACGCAGTGATCAGTGAAACCAATTCTGTTGAACTGCACAGGAAAAAAATATTAACTCAATGCTTAATATTACACACATGCATCCCTGTCTGACACTTGGATTTTTCTAGTTGTCTTCTCATAAACAATCATATTTTTAAGACTTACAATGAAACTCTACTTCACATTTCTATAATCATAAATTTCGAAGTTTCCTGCTGGTTCTCACCTCACTGGCCATACCTATTCCAGTAATTCTTAAAAAAATGTAATGTGTAGGGGTACTAATTTGAGACAGGAAGACAGGAAAACCCTGCCACCTTTTAAAATCATGCGTTTAATACTTTTCGTTCTTGTCGAATGTGCCCTTCCTCCCTAAACATGAGGATTAGGCATTCTGCAAGTGATTAACAGATTACCTCTCCTATACCTTATTATATTATCTACATTGTTTCCCAATGGCCTAAATCAGCTTCATGTCACTCATGTCTTTAGTAAGTTAGATCTTAAATGTAGTCTGAAGTTTCATTATTAGGGAAGAATGTGCTGAAAAACACCCAGTAGTATTCGACATCACTAGTCTCTTCCAGCCTACGTTTATGCACCTAGTCAATGACATGAAACCCATTTACATTGCACTAGGAATGAGTTATTTTTCAGGAGGTTGCTTTGTTCCCCAAGTAAATATTAATTTCATGAAGACAACCATAAACTGACCTAAGCTTCGGCTTAAACTAGGTCTCCTACAATACATTTATTATAAGCTGCTTCATCTGTTCATTATTTTATCATTCTCACTTGAGATTAAAAGCATTAAGGGAAACCTTCACTCATCCTTGTATATCAAATTTAAGGCCAATTTGTTGCCTATGTAGCAATGAAGGGGAAAAATAGAAGGAGAAAGGAAAGAAAATTTGAGAAGGAAGGCAGGAGAAAAAGGAAAGAGGAGAAAAACAGGGCAGAAAATAAGAAAAAATAAGGGGTAGTATAAGATATAGTGCAAACCTTTTCAATTGTTTCAGAAATTTTCATCATGAGTGTTAAGACATAAGAAAACAACATAACTATTAATGCTTACAACATAGCCCAGAAAATAATGGAACATTTATATAAAAGTAAAACCATTCTATTTGTAAACTAAGTGCCATTGCTGGTAGAAAGCAATAGAGCTTAGGAATTAGGGCAAAAGAAAAATCTTTAAAGAGAGAATCAATGAGACAAAAAAAAAAATGCCATGGTCTGTCAGATTCACATCATCCATTAAGAGATAAGTGAACAAAATCCTGACTTCCAATTCCTTTATATCATCAGTCTGTTAATATTCAATAATTTAAGCCAGAAAACAGAGAAATAGTGTTTTATCTAACAGTTATTAAAGGTTAAAATAAAACAGATGGGGGCATTTGTATGGGCATGTTACGATTCTAACACACAATTTAAATGTTTCTTGACTTTCTATAATATTTACAGAACTGATTTTTTGAGCACCTGGACATAAAGTGAAATCAACTAGATTACACACTTCCCTTTTACCCATGTTCAGAATTTTGTTTTGCTTAGACACAGAGAAACCTTGTTGTTTTGGCAATATAAATGGTTAAGGGTCATCTTTGCAAATCAAATTTTTTTTTCTTTTATAAGGATGATGTGCTTAGCAAACATTCCTCTTAGCTCTCTAGACCACCCATTACATCTTCATTAAAATGAATATCTATCTCTCTCTTCCATTGAGTTCATAAAAATCTTTTGGACTGAGGATAGGGAATCTTTGACACATTTCCAAATGATTTGAGTGCAATTATCCTGACTCTTGTCCTCAGACTGACATTTAGAATCACTCCTCAGAGTTCTGTATTTCCCATGTTAGTCACTATTCCAAAAGCTGATTTCTGGAATCCCATTTCTGGTGTGTTTAGGCATCCTTATTGTCTACCCTACTTCCAGTTTCAAAGAGTTCACATTTTGGCAAGGCCCAACAATGCCCAAATTTAGCAATTACTGAACTCCACTTTCAACATAGTAATCAGGGGATTCTTTTGAATCATATCTGCAATATGTGAGGGCTTAATTCTTCATCCCCAATCAAGTACCCAAATGTATGAAATGGCGAATCTGAAATCCGTGTTGTGATATCTTTGTGAGTTGATTTACCACGGTTTCTACTTAATAAAATTCACCTCCTCCTGTAGCAAAGCCTCGTAGATGGAGTATAGTGCTGACACTCAGCACATCCAGAGTCTGGTGCATGCAACTGTACTGCACTTCTACATAATGAAGTCAACATGGTCAGGGAAGAGAAGTGATTACCCTTTCTCAACCTACTTGCTGCATAGTATGGGATACCTTTTCCCTGTATTATAAACTATTCCTGGAATATTCATATCTAACAGCCCCCATAAATAAGGTAGCAAAATAGAAAGAGAGTAAAATAGATGTGTCTACAATGTTTTATATTTATCACGTGCAAGATAATTATTACATGAAAGACAGTGAGAATTATTACAATGAATCATTATGATCATCTTAATAATTGTGTAGAATCTTCTGGATGAAGATTTTAAAGAACTTGGAACATTTTTAAGATGTCTGAAATCCTTAGGCTTCTGTCAATAAACAGAACTCAGAGCTTAGTGCCAGCTATTTTAAAGAGGAAAGATAAGTCAAGTTTGTAAGACATTTTTAGCTGAGAATCAGGACTGTTATTGTATTAAAGGGAAAATGTCCTTAACAAATTCAAAATTTTATCAGCTGGAAAAGCCAAATGGAAGACATCAAAATATATGAGATCAGATTTTTTAGATTCCACATTTAAATAAGATCATGCCATGTTTGTCTTTCCATGCTTGACTGATTTCATTAACATGATGTTCATTCAGGTTGTCACAAACTATGGGATTTCCTTCCTTTTATGGCTGAATAACAATCTGGTTGTGTGTATATACCATGAGATAATACATTTTTTAATTAGCTAAGTTTATGTATTTACCACATATGTGTACTTCAAAACATTACGTGGTACGTGATAAAAACAAACAATTGTATATGTCAATTTAAAAATAAATAAATGTGAAAAAATACATATGAGAGCTATATAGAAAACATGTGTATTTTATTTTGGTTTTTAACTAGAAGTTTTGAGAAACTTAAAGAGCTTCCACAATGTTTTCTGCAAATAGGAACAAAATGTGGGAGAGTTGAGGAATATATCGAGTATATGGTAGAGATTGCAGAATACTATGAAACAGAAGGCCGAACAGGGACACACACATCTTTTATTCAGATAAAACCACTAAGTGATTTAGAAGTACAATTGGTTGATCAAGTAACTTTTAAAGATATTGCACTTTATGTGGCAAGAACTGGAGTTAGCATCCCGTCACTTGAATACATAGATGAAAACTTAAGAACAAGATAAACTATGACTGTGAACTCCTTTCTTCATTACTATTAAGCATTAAAATGTTGTTACATAACCATATGGAACAATGTTAAAAGGACTCAATAGTTACGCTTATGTTAGAAATTTATATGCTATGCATAACAATAGAAAATAGAGAATAAAAACATATACATACATTTCATCCCATTAAACATACAGTAGAACTAATTAATTGAAATGGTAGGAGTGTATTAGGCAGGGTAAGTAAATTTCTGTAACATTCATTCCAAAATTACATGGCTACTTGTGTACTTCACACTCACCAAGAATTCAATTTATGTAATTGGCAGATGACTTCACACACAATGATTCAGAGACTCAAGCTCCTCCATCTTGTGGTATTTAACCTCCTTTAGGTCCTTGAAGTCCATTTTGCTCAGTCAACGAATGGGAAAAGATAATTTTAGAGGTGACTTGTATGGATTAATCCTGGGAGACAAGTGCATCAGTTTTGCTCAAATTCCATGGAAACACAAAACTAACTGTGGCAGGCAAATATGCTCTAGCTCTGTAATCAGGAAGAAGAGGAAAACAATTTGGTATGAATGTATTCAATCTTAGCCATCGGGAGAGAGTTAAATTAAAAGTTTCTTTCTTATTAAGTGTATTTATGACATAAATCATAAATTTTAGGAGTTAATTCAACAGATGATACATTGAAAATCACATGTATCCAAGATAAATTACCTCATATGCACACATAATTTGTTCCACTGTGTAGTTTTTGCACTCTCTGTTGATGCCTAGTCCATGGTTAGCAAAGAATATTTTTTACTTGAAAAGTTCATTACCAATAATTCTTACTCTTCATATGCATGAAAGGCTAACAATATAATTTCAACAAGTCAATAAATATGGCTTTTAATAACTTGCCAGGGTTCTGCAATGGATATTTGAGTCAAAGCAAAGGATTTACCTTTTTTTTTTTTTTTTAGCTAGTAAAAGTATTTAAAAATATGGAAATATGCTTAAGGGATATGGTATGACTGAAAACCATGTTAAAATAAAAAAAATTATTTACATTTCATAAAAAGGTTATCCTAATTTTTACTTATCTGCAATTGGTTAGAGTAGAAAATGTAATGTATTAATAATAGTAGCTGTATTAGTTCATTCTCACACTGCTATAAATACCTAGGCCGGGCATGGTGGCTTACACCTGCAATCCCAGCACGTTGGGAGGCCAAGGCGGGCAGACTGCCTGAGCTCAGGAGTTCGAGAACATCCTGGCTAACATGGTGAAACCCCGTCTCTACTAAAGATACAAAAAATTAGCCGGGCGTGGTGGCATGCACCTGTAGTTCCAGTTACTTGGGAGGCTGAGGCAGAAGGATCACTTGAACCTGGGAGGCGGAGGTTGTAGTGAGTGGAGATCATGTGACTGCACTCCAGCCTGGGCAACAGAGCGAGACTCTGTCTCAAAAAAGAAATACCTAAAACTTGGTAATTTATAAAGAAAAGAGATTTAATTGGCCATGGTTTTGGAGGCTGTACAGGAAAGAGGCCTCAGGAAACTTAAAATCACGGCTGAAGGTGAAGGGGAAGAAGACATGTCTTAACATAGCCACAACAGGAGGGAGAAAGAGAAGCGGGAGGTGCTAAACACTTTTAAACAACCAGGTATCTTGAGAACTCACTCACTATCATGAGAACAGCAAGAAGTAAATCTGCCCCCTTGATCCAATCACCTCCCACCAGGCCCCTCCTCCAAAACTGAGGATTACAATTCAGCATGAGATTTAAGTGGGGACACAAATCCAAACCATATCAGTAGCTAATAGTTGCTCACTGTGATAGAATGGTCCTTTTGGACAATGTTTTTAAAACCCTAGCTATCAATTTTTTTTTTTTCTAATCCAAAGACATAGAAGTAGGCAAAGCATAGTGACATGTTTTACTTCCTTTACTTTAAAGATGGAGAGTTAGGTTACTATTTTTTAAAAAAATTTAAAGTTTGAAAGGCAAAAAAATAAAAATAAAATAATAAAATACCAGGAATTTAGAGAAAGTAGAAAATATATAATTATGCATAATGTGATTTTGCTCTTAATATTCATATTTTGTGGCTTTATTCTGGTGTCAGAGTAAAAGTGTTTTTGTTACTATGAGTAGTACTTTGTGTGACATTAAAGAATAATGAAAATGGTCCAGGCTCTGAGAGATGCAGGGCTACGTGAAAATAGTCGCTCAGGCTTATTGACTGAGAAAAATGATCTTCCCTCTCTGAGTCTCATTTTCTTCACATGTAAAGTATTGCAGGTGGCATTGCATTCACAGAGATGCTGAGTGGATTAAGTATGAAAACCTGGAAGTGGATGATCAAGTGCCTGGAATCAATCAAGTTAAAATTATGTAGGTAAAGCAAATCTAGCTTATTTAATAAGTGTGTCTCACTTTCATAGATTTTTCAAATGGATAAAACAAACTTTGCCCTATTTATTTTATGTGTAAAACAAAATAATGATTATGAAAGAATTTTATGGAGATAAGAATGCTAGAAAATCTAGGATGTTATCAATTGTGAAATGCCCCTTTATTTCCTCAGATGAAATCCAAGATGACCTCATATCTGGGTTCCAGCAAGATATGCTACAAAATGAGGCCTTGGTGTTCTTTACGAAATCATCTACACCTTAGTAGAATCCCTGTACAACACTGGATTCAAATTGAAAAGCTTTCTAATCATTCTGGTTCAGCAGAGGGTTAATCAAATTTCAATTCCTGACTATCTCACAACATAAAGGCAGGCATTTTTTTAAGAGATCAGATGCGTTTTTGCTGGGTTAAGTACAGCAGCAAAGCGATGAATGTTGTCACCTGGGAAATAAAGAAAAGCGAGAGCTAATCAATTTCTTCCAGTTTTTATTTTGCTCACCCACTTGATTTGGAGCTACATATTGCTGCTCCCAAAATTAACGGTGAAGACATCTTGTTGCAATTCAGCAAGCATTACAATGTGCACTCAATTTTGAGTGTATTGAAAACCTCATCATTAAAGATCTTCTGAGACATCTATGTTTAAAATAACAGCATCTTGTGGTTACAGCAGCAAATTTAAACACATAGAAATAAAGAGGTTTCTGGTGAATTAGCTGTATGTTATAAGCTATAGTTAACTATCTGCATATTTATTCATTCATTTTACACAGTCTGCTCAGTTTTTTCAAAAGCAGACAGTCCAGTTTTGGTGTTCATTGTAAACTCAATTTGGTTTTAATTCCTTACTATACTTTCCTGACATCTATTTTATGGAAATATAGCTGGTCATTAACACTGCTTTGCATGCCTTAAAACTGTGTTGTTTTTCATGCAAAGTAGATATTTGTAGAATAATTACAGATGGGAAAGTATGCCCCATGGAATTTTTTCTTCATTACAAAATTATCCTGTTCTGATCATTTTATATCCACTTCATTATAAAAGGAGAGCACGGGGATAATCAAATATGTTAGTTATGATAGTAATCTTTAGAGCACTTGTTCTTACAAAGTAAGAAGTGATGAATTATATATAAAAGGAATCATTGTGGAAAAATTACTTAAGTAAATTCTTTCTGATCCCTGCTCCTTTTTACCACCTTCTCCAGTCTGTGAGAACAGCCTCTCTCAGCCACATATGAAGTTCCTGCTAAAGCTTACAGTCATGGTGAACTTGGCTGCTAACATCCAGAAGAGGAGGATTTGCCAGAAAATACCATCTACTCATCACTGTGTCCAGATTTCTCTTCCATCTTTTAGTAGGATAACCCTGAGCTGAATTTTCTTTGTAAGTTACTCCAAATCTACTCTCCACCCCACTCAATGCCCCACAAAATTGACCTGTACAGACTATATCAACTGGAATGCCTTGCCTTCTAATTCCTTTTAAGTTTAACCAATAGGACCAACTGACAGGAAATTTCAAACTGGGAGGAAAGAGAGGTAAGGAGGTATTCCCTCAACTAGTCTTCAGTTGGCAGTATCTGCAAACTTCCACTGAAGCCCATAGCTCCTGCTGAGCAGCCCTCTCCAAAGCTCTTTCTTTGCAGGCTCTGATAACTGCTCTTTCTCTTTACCTTAGTGTTTATCATTAGTCAAGCCTAAGTGTGATAATGGCTTCAAATTGGAGTTAGTTCTAGAATGCATCAACATCGTTTTTTGGTTTTCTTTGCTCACATATTTGTAAGTAGCCCCTTGAGGCTGTCTCATTATCTTTTTTGAGAGTGCCATCTATTTCCTGAACGATTCAGGGCCCTGTCAACATTTTTTTCTTATGGAAACAGAGAGAGGAGGACTGAGATATTTTGAGTTACAGAATGATAGATTTAGAACTGGAAAGAAGATTTATATACCAAAACATGATGAAATGGGATCCATAAATAAAAAGTGTTCTTCCCAAGTCAAAGAGCTAATTTCTTGAGGCAATGAGGCCATAATCAGTTTTCCAACTCCTGGTCAACTCCTTTTTTAAAAAAAAAAACTTAACAACATCTGGATTTAATCATCCAGAATCTAAATATTGAGATGAGTCAATAGGAATATGAGTCTTGCTTCATTTATTTACCTTTTTGCTTTTTTAATGTAATTGCTTTTTGAGGAAGATTAATAAGTAGACTGGAAAAGAAGGAGATCAATGGAAATGAAACAGGATAAATGAAGAAAGACTAGCACAGATAAGGACTGCATTGTAGGGACAGTGGTAGTTGACTTTCTAAATAGCAGTTATTGAAAATACTTGCTGTAGCATTCCTGGTTGATGTTTTCAGTTTATGTTGTGGATAAATAGGCCCTGTACCCAGAGTACATTTTGTGTCTGAAACAATAAATTCACAGCTGCCAACCTCACATAAAAAAAGGGTCACAATTTCACAATATGGGCTCAACTTGGGCTTTGAATCTGTATTTCAGTGCTGGAAAATACATATTTCCATTATACAATTAACCTTCCCAGTATAAGCATAAACCACCCCAGAACTTATACTGATATAAAAATTTTACTTTTTATGTATACCTGATGTATTATTTTATGTCTTGTAGAGATCTACACATACCACAAACACTCAGAAATAGCTTCTAAGAAGAGCCTTTACTACCTTTTCTTATTCTCTCATTTAAGCATTTTAAATAATATAATTCAGATATATTTATTTTGTTCCTTTCTATGAGTAAGATAGTATTGGAAAAACAAAAATAAAATATTTCACAAGCTGATTAAAGAAACCTACACTTTAATTTGCAAAGATGATTGCACATATAAAACTTGGTAATTCAAAAACATCCCAGAAAGGACAATTTATAGCACAAACACAAATCTATTCATGGTAAGCCCACATTTATGTAGTCACAGTTTACTTTTCAAAGGTTTATATTAGTGACAAAACCAAAAGCAACTAATATAAAACACCGTACTGTTTTCATTCAAATGGGATAATTCAATTGCCAAATGTTGGTTTTGTCTAAATCCATCATGCATCTGCCTTATAAACTGATTGAGAAATCCTAGATATTTGTGTATCACAGAAAATGTCTTTGCCCTAGGCTGTAAGTCAGGGGATGATTTGAATAAAGGTGTCAGTTTGTTTTATATTTAAAGAGAGTATAGCGGTAAAATAACCAATATTTATGACAGTATTGAACAACATTAGGCCATGAGCCTCATTAAAGCTTCATAGGTTTCTGTCTGACTTAGGACATAATTTCAAACAGCTGACACTCACATACACAGCAAAAATCAATTAGGTGGGAAAGCTATACAAATCAGTCAATCCATTAATAATAAAACAGCTCAAGAAAAAACACTTGAGATCTAGAGGGAAGGTAAAAATCATAAGAATCATTAATCCAGCTTAAGCAACATGGCAAAACCCCTTCTCTTAAAAAAAAAGGTAGCCAGGTGTGGTGGCACGCTCCTGTAATCCCAGCTACTTGGGAGGCTGAGGTGGGAGGATGGCTTGAGCCCGGGAGGTGGAGACTGCAATGAACTAAGATCATGCCACTGCACTCCAGCCTGGGCAACAGAGTGAGACCCTGTCAAATAAAAAAAAAAAGAATCGTGAGTGACCTGACAAATTTCTTCTAATAGAATGAGAACCACTATAATGGAGGCATCAGGACTGGCTGAGTGTGATGCAGCCATCACATGCCTCAGGCTGGCTCCCCAGATCCAGGATCCCCTTGATCATCACATACTGTGGTCCAGAGAAACCACAGTGTGATAGCATCTTGTGTTTCACTCAACTGTTATTTCCCCAAATCATATTGTTTGATCATGACTGCTCAGTCCAAGAAGAAATGCAATACACGTATTTAAAAAAAAAAAATACCAACTAAGATTACATGAGACTAGAAATTCCATCTTATTTATGTTTGTATTTCCAGTGCCTAGAATGGTGCTATTAAATGCTAATACACATGGTCAAGTCATTAAATATTAGACTGCAATAAATAAATTAACTAGAGTCTCATCACTGCTATTAACCTGTTGTATGAAGTTGAACAAATTATTTCAACTTCCTGAGCTTCTGTTTCACATCTGAAAATTAGGGATTATTATAGTACCACCTCTGAGTTCACACTGTTCCCCACCAAGAATGAAGTAAGATAATGCACATGAACAAGCTTTTTGGATTCCAACATGCAATAACCTGAACACATGTGTTTGTGTTGCTATTTCATATTTTATGGGTTAAAAAGGGGCACCAACTTTGTCATTGGTATTCTTCTGTTCAATACATGATCAGATTTATCAAACAATTGTTAGTGGGCTTTTTTTCTGGAGAGTTTATTAAATGTTCCAATTTCAACAAAAAAAAAATGGCTTGCAAACATTTAGTCCGTTTGGAGGTATTACAAAAAGATGTTGCTCATTATTTTTCCAAAATAATGAAAGGGAATGTTCCAGAGTAAGGACCCAAACAATAGAAAGCTATGAACTCTGGCATTTCAGGACATGACACAGCAAGCCTTCCCCTAAGGTGGAAGGTTCTAGTCATAAGAGAATCATCGAATTTCAACAGAAAGAAAATGAATGATCATGTTTATTCTTACAGCAAAATGCCAGTGCCTGTAACAGCCAACGTGAAACAAGAACAAAAATAAAGTGGTTTATATAGCATAAAGCAGTGCATTCTTAGCAACTTCAAGAGGCCTCTAAAACAGCTTAATAACAGAAACTTCTAGGTATGTAAGCAAATATATGCCTGGAACAGAAAATCCTTTTGCTTCACCGTTGAAAACAGTGTTAGTGTCTTGTGGAAAGAGATCAATGTTAGTGATCATAGGAAAAACTCAACCAACAGGCAAACAGAAAAGTAGCCAGGGATGAAAAGTAAGTTCAGTGATGATGGAAAATCAACAATTGAATGCTGTTTGTGAAAATGAAAGAAAAGGCACATTGAGGTAAGGTAGAGAAAACAGTAGGGATTACTTGAAATACATGTGAGTTTTGCCACACTCCCATCAGGTATTAATCTTTGGGACTTGGGAATGAAAAATAAAAGAATTCCCTAAATTACAGTTTGTTCATAAACTACTTCAAATATTCCTCGTACTTTTCACTCAAAATATAGATCTTAATATGCCTACTAGTTTGAAAATATTGTTTAATAATATTTAAAAAGATTTTCAGCCTATAGCAAAGTTTCAAAAACTAGAAAACAACAGTAAATATCATTGGCTAGTTTTCAAATATGAACAGTGAGATGTTTTAGCAAGGTTAAAATTATTTTACCCCCCAAGCATCTTACTTCTTGAAACACTGTTATAAGATTTGTATAAATTATAGTACATATACAAACTAATATCCATTTTATTGGTATGCATGTTCATGACCCTGTTTTCTGCCAAGGGTGAGTCATGAACATGCATAGCACTGAAGCAGCAATAAGCAAGATTGATTGGTCAGATTGTGACAGATTCTAACCTAAGTGTTTCTATGCTGTTCTCAGAAATGTCTACTTAACCTTTGATTCTGGATGTCAACATTTCCTGCTCTTGCTTTCAATGTGTCATAGTGGTTTCCTTCAAATCAGTAATTTCTCTATGTTGACTGTAAAGCTTTAATTATTTCAAGATAATTGTAATGCTTTTTCTCATGTTCCCAATTTTTTTTGACAGAATTTTCTTAGGATTCTGGACTCAGAGAAACATAAGCTTGCTGAGAATCACTGGGAAGAAAGACTTGGATGAAAACTTTATGCAATACATACTTCTTGCTGCCCTGGTCTTTCTCATAGCCCCTCAACCTAAGGTAGCTCACTGTATTTTTTTTCTTTCTCCCAGTTTCTTGGTTATTCAGAGTCTTTTGTGGTGCCATATGAATTTTAACCTTTTTTTACTAGATTTTTTTTTATTTCCATATGTTACTAGGGAACAGATGATGTTGGGTTACATGAGTAAGTTCTTTAGTGGTGATTTGTGAAGTTTTGGTGGACCCTTCACCCAAGCAGTATACACTGAACCCTATTTGTGTCTTTTAACCCTCACACCCTTCCCACCCTTTCCCCGAGTCCCCAAAGTCCATTGTATCATTCTTAAATCTTTGCATCCTCATAGCTTAGCTCCCACTTATGAATGAGAACATACAATGTTTGGTTTTCCATTCCTAAGCTACTTCGCTTAGAATAATAGTCTCCAATCTCATCCAGGTCACTGTGAATGCTATTAATTCATTCCTTTTTATGGCAGAGTAGTATTCAATTGTATCTATACACCACAGTTTCTTTATCAACTCGTTGATTGATGAGCATTTGGGTTGGTTCCACATTTTTGTAATTGTGAATTGTACTGCTATAAACATGCATGTATAAATATCTTTTTTGTATAGTAACTTATTTTCCTCTGGGTAGATACCCAATAGTGGGATTGCTGGATCAAATGGTAGTTCCACTTTTTGTTCTTTACAGAATCTCCATACTGTTTTCCATAGTGGTTTTACTAGCTTACATTCCCACCAGCAGTATAGAAGTGTTCCCTGTTCATCATATCCACACCAACATTTATTTTTTTTTTTTTAGTTTTTTATTATGGACATTTTGCAGGAGTAAGGTGGTATTGCATTGTGGTTTTGAATTGCATTTCCCTGATCATTAGTGATGTTGCATATTTTTTCATATGTTTGTTGGCCATTTGTATAATCTTCTTCTGAGAATTATGTATTCATGTCTTTAGCACACTTTTTAATGAGGTTGTTTTTTTCTTCCTAATTTGTTTGAGTTTGTTGTAGATTCTTGATATTAGTCCTTAGTCAGATGTATATATTGTAAAGATTTTCTCCCACTCTGTGGGTTGTCGGTTTACTCTGCTGACTGTTCCTTTTGCTGTGCAAAAGCTCTTTCCTTTAAGTCCCAGCTATTATTTTTGTTTTTATTACATTTGCTTTTGGGTTCTTAGTCATGAAATACTTGCCTAAGCCAACGTCTAGAGGGATTTTTCTAATGTTATCTTCTAGGATTTTTATAGTTTTATAGTTTTTATAGTTTCAGGTCTTAGATTTAATTCCTTGATCCATCTTGAGCTGATTTTTGTATGAGGTGAGATATGAAGATCCAGTTTCATTCTCCTGCATGTGGCTTGCCAATTATCCCAGCACCCTTTGTTAAATAGGGTGTCCTTTCCTCACTTTATGTTTTTGTTTGCTTTGTTAAGGATCAGTTGGCTCTAAGTATTTGGATTTATTTCTGGGTTCTCTATTCTGTTCCATTGATTTTTGGGCCTATTTTTATACAAGTACCATGCTGTTTTGGTGACTATGGCCTTATAGTATAGTTTGAAATCAGGTAATCCAGATTTGTTCTTTTTGCTTAGCCTTGCTTTAGCTATGTGGGCTCTTTTTTGGTCACATATGTATTTTAGGATTGCTTTTTCTAATTCTCCGAAGAATGAAGGTGATATTTTGATGGGAATTGCATTGAATTTATAGATTGCTTTTGGTAGTAAGGTCATTTTCACAATATTGATTCTACCCATCCATGAGCATGAGATGTGTTTGCATTTGTCTGTGTCATCTAGGATTTCTTTCAGCAAGGTTTTGTCATTTTACCTGTAGAGGTTTTTCACCTCCTTGGTTAGGTATATTCATAAGTATTTTAATTTTTTTGCAGCTATTATAAAAGGGGTTGAGTGCTTGATTTGAGTCTCAGCTTGGTCACTGTTTGTGTATAGAAGAGCTACTGAATAATGTATATTAATTTTGTATCTGGAAACTTCGCTGAATTCTTTTATCAATTCTAGGAGCTTTCTGAAGAAGTCTTTAGGGCTGTCTAGGTAAACAATCATGTCATCAGTGAACAGAGGAAATTTGACTTCCTCTTTCTTGATTTGGATGCCCTTAATTTCTTTCTCTTGTCTGATTGTTCTGGCCAGGACTTCCAGTACTATGTTGAAGAGGAGTGGTGAGAGTAGGCATTCTTGTCTTGTTCCAGTTCTCAGAGGGAATGCTTTCAACTTTTCCGCGTTCAGTATATGTTGGCTGTAAGTTTGTCTTAGATGGCTTTTACTACATTGAGGCATATCCCTTCTGTGCCAATTTTGCTGAGAGTTTTAATCATAAAGGGATGCCAGATTTTGTTGAACGTATGCTTTTTCTGCAGCTATTGAGATGATCATGTGATTTTTGTTTTTAATTCTGTTTGTGTGGTATATCATATTTAATGACTTGCATATGTTAAATCATCCCTGAATCCTGGTATGAAACCCACTCGATTATGGTGAATTATCTTTCTGATATGTTGCTGGATTTGGTTAGCTAGTATTTTGTTAAGGATGTTAGCATCTATGTTCACCAGGAATATTGGTCTGTAGGATTTTTGTTTGTTTGTTTGTGATGTCCTTTCTGGTTGTGGTATTAGGGTGATACTGGCTTCATAGAATGATTTAGAGAGGGTTCCCTCTTTCTCTATCATGTGGAATAGTGTCAATAGGATTGGTACCAATTCTTCTTTAAACGTCTGGTAGAAATCTGCTGTGAATCCATCTGGACCTGGACTTTTTTGTTGGAAATTTTTAAATTACCATTTCAATCTTGCTGCTTGTTTTGGGTCTGTTCGGGGCATTTAATTCTTCCTGATTTAAGCTAGGAGGGTTGTATTTTTCCAGTAATTTATTCATCTCCTCTAGGTTTTCTAGTTTATGTATTTAAAAGTGTCCACAGTAGCCTTTAATGATCTTTTGTATTTCTGTGATGTCAGTTGTAATATCTCCCATTTTGTTTCCAAATGAGTTTATTTGGGTTTTATCTCTTCTTTTCTTAGTTAATCTTGGTAATGGGCTATCAATTTTATTTATTTTTTTCAAAGAACCAGCTTTTTGTTTCATTTATCTTGTATTTTTGTTTGTTTGTTTCAATTTCATTTAGTTCTGCTCTGATCTTGGTAATTTCCTTTCTTCTGACGGGTTTGGGTTTTATTTGTTCTTGCTTATCTAGTTCCTTGAGGTATGATCTTAGATTGTCTGTTTGTACTCTTTCAGACTTTTTGATGTAGGTGTTTAGGGCTATCAACTTTCCTCTTAGCAGCACCTTTGTCTTATCCCAGTAGTTATGATAGATTTTGTCACTGTTGTCATTCAGTTCAAATAATTTTTTAATTTCCATCTTGATTTCATTTTGACCCAATGATCATTCAGGAGCAGATTCTTTAATTTCCATTTATTTGCATGGTTTTAAGGTTCCTTTTCGAGACGATTTCCAGATTTATTCCACTGTTGTCTGAGAGGGTGCTTGATATAATTTAAATTTTCTTAAATTTATTGAGACTCATTTTGTGGCCTATCATATGGTCTATCTTGAAGGAAGTACCATATGCTGTTGAACAGAATGCATATTCTGCGATTGTTTGGAAGAATGTTCTGTATATATCTGTTACATCCATTTGTCCCAGGCTACAGTTTAAATCCATTGTTTCTTTGTTGAGTTTCGGTTTTGATAACCTGTCTAGTGCTGTCAGTGGAGTATTGAATTCCCCCACTATTATTGTGTTGCTGTTTATCTCATTTCTTAGGTCTATTAGTAATTGCTTTATAAATTTGGGAGATATAGTGTTAGGTGCATATATATTTAGGATTGTGATATTTTTCTGTCAGACAAGGCCTTTTGTCATTAGATAATAGCCCACTTTGTCTTTTTTAACTGCTGTTGCTTTAGGGTTTATTTTGTCTGGTATAAGAATAGCTACTCTTGCTTGCTTTTGGTGTTCACTTGCATGGAATGTGTTTTTCCACCCCTTTATCTTAAGTTTATGTGAGTCCTCATGTGTTAGGTGAGTCTCTTGAAGGCAGCAGATAGTTGGTGAACTCTTATCCATTCTGCAATTCAGTATCTTTTCAGTGGCGCATTTGGGCTATGTACATTAAGAGCTAATACTGAGATGTGAGGTACCATTTCATTCATCATGCTATTTGTTGCCTGTATATCTTGTTTTTTTGTTTTTTAACTGTATTTTTGTTTTATAGGTCCTGTGAGATTTGCACTTTAAAGAGGTTCTGTTTTGATGTGTTTCCAACATTTGTTTCAAGATTTAGAGATCCTTTTAGCAGTTCTTGTAGTGTTGGCTTGGTAGTGGTGAATTCTCTCTGCTCATTTGTTTGTCTGAAAAAGACTGTATCTTTCCCTCACTGATGAACTTAGTTTTGCTGGATACCAAACTTTTGGCAGCTAATTGTTTTGTTTGAAGAGGCTGAGTATAGGGCCCCAATCCCTTCTAGTTTGTAGGGTTTCTGCTGATAAATCTGCTGTTAATCTGATAGGTTTTTCTTTATAGGTTACCTGGTGCTTTTGCCTCACAGCTCTTAAGATTCTTTCCTTCATCTTAACTTTAGATAACCTGATGATGAAGTGCCTAGGTGATGATCTCTTTGTGATGAATTTCCCAGGTGTTCTTTGTGCTTCTTGTATTTGGATGTCTAGGTCTGTAGCAAGCCCAGGGAAGTTTTCCTCAATTATTACCCCAAATATGTTTTCCAAACTTTTAGATTTCTCTTCTTCCTCAGGAATGCCAGTTATTCTTAGGTTTAGTCATTTAACACAATCCCAACTTCAGCATGTCTGAGCTGAAACTCTCATTGGGTGGGTCTTGCTGTGGCTGCTGTGGGGGATGGAGGTGAGGTTCCCAGGTCAATGGAGTTATGTTCATAGGAGGATTATGGCTGCATCTACTGTGTCATGCAGGTTGTCAGGGAAGGAGGGGAAAGCCGGCAATCACAGGCCTCACCCAGCTCCCACTCAACCCAAAGGGCCAGTCTCACTCCCACTCTGCCCTCCCCACCCAACAGCATCAAGTCTGTTTCTAGGCAGTGGGTAAGCAGGGCTGAGAACTTGACCCAAGCTACCTGCCTCCCAGCTGCAAAAGCAAATGGGCTTTCGTTCTTCCCCCGCCTGTGGAGTCCCCACACCAGATTCACTCCCTCCTTCAAGTTCTGGCCAGGAGACTTCTCGATGGGTTCAAATGGTTACAAAGTTCATATAGAGGTTTCCTTCTCCCTGTGGCCTTTTTCCAGTGCCTCTAGCTTCCCTCCCCAAGGACCCCTGTGAGTCAAGCAGAATTGGCTTGCTAGGGGACCCTGAAAGCCCACAGGGTTTTTCCTGCTGCTTCCTCTACTCCTGTATTTCACTTGGCTCTCGAAATTGACTCAGCTCCAGGTAAGGTCAGAATCTTCTCCCACGATCTAGACCTTCAACTTCCCCAATAGTGAGGGGATGGTGTTCAGGGGCAGATGATTTCCCTTTCTTACTTTCACAGTTTGGGAACTCATATTATTTGGTGTGTCTCCTGGGTCTTGCAGGAGCAATCTGCTTCCTTCAGAGGGTCTGTGGGTTCTCCAGGCTTTCCTAATGTATTCCTGCAGTCATTCTGGAGCAAAAGTTTATGATGCAAGCCACTACACACTGCTCTGTTCATCCAAGCAGGAACTGCAATCTAGTCCTGCCTCCTGTCCTGCATGATCTCCCAAGTGGCTCTAACATTTTGTTTTCTGTTCTGTAGAAACTGCCATTGAGATTTTCATAGGGATTGCATTAAACTTGTGGATCACTTTGAGTAGTATGAACATTTTAAGAGTAATAGTTTTCTAAGCCATCAGCATACAATGTCTTTCCATTTATTTGTGCCTTATTTAATTTGTTATCAATATTTTGTAGTTTTCAGTAAACATGGCTTTAACCTCCTTGGTTAAGCTTATTCCTAAATAGTTTACTTTTTTTTAATGCTATAAGAAACAGAATTTCATTCTTAAATTCCATTCCTATGCGATGAAAAAAAAACTATTTGCAAAACATAGTTTAGGAGTTAATCTTCAATATATATAAGAAGCTTCTACAAATCAATAGCCAAACAATACAAAAAAACCCCAAGTAATTCAATTTAAAACATGGATAAAGGACTTACATAGTCATTTCACTAAAAAAAAAAAAAAAACACAAATTGCCAAGAGATATAAAAACATGTTCAAAAAACTACCTATTGTGTACTAAACTCACTAACTGGGTGACAGTATCCCTACTCCAAACCTTAGCATCATGTAATATACCCATGTAACAAACTTATACAGGTACCCCCTGTATCTAAAATAAAAGTTGAAATTTTACAAAAGAAACATAATGTCAGTAATCATCAAAGAAATACAAATCAAAACCACAATGAACAATCACCTCGTACCTGTCAGGATGATTATTATCAAAAAGAAAGAAAGAAAGAAAGAAAACAAGATAAGTGTTGGTAAGAATGTGGAGAACTTAGAACATTGTACATGGCTGGTGGGAATGTGAAATGGGGCTGCTATAGGAAAAACAATATAGAGGTTCTTCATAAAATTAAAAATAGAACTACCTTATGATTCAAAAATCCCATATCTGAGTATGTCTGCAAAAGAACTGAAATCAGAATACTGAAGAGATGTCCACACTTCTTTGTTTTTTCCAACACTGTTCACAATAGCCAAGCTATTGAAACAATTTAAATGTTCATTGACACTTCTGCTTCCCTCGTTCTTCCCTCTTTTCCTCCCTCCCTTCCTTTTTTTTATTATACTTTAAGTTTTAGGGTACATGTGCACAACGCGCAGGTTTGTTACATATGTAAACATGTGCCATGTTGGTGTGCTGCACCCATTAACTCATCATTTAACATTAGGTATATCTCCTAATGCTAGCCCTCCCCACTCCCCCAACCCCACAACAGGCCCCGGTGTGTGATGTTCCCCTTCCTGTGTCCATGTGTTCTCATTGTTCAATTTCCACTTACGAGTGAGAACATGTGGTGTTTGGTTTTTTATCCTTGCGATAGTTTGCTGAGAATGATGGTTTCCAGCTTCATCCATGTCCCTAAAAAGGACATGAACTCATCATTTTTTATGGCTGCATAGTATTCCATGGTGTATATGTGCCACATTTTCTTAATCCAGTCTATCGTTGTTGGACATTTGGGTTGGTTCCAAGTCTTTGCTATTGTGAATAGTGCCACAATAAACATACATGTGCTTGTGTCTTTA
Source organism: Homo sapiens (assembly GCF_000001405.40). Lineage (NCBI taxonomy): Eukaryota > Metazoa > Chordata > Mammalia > Primates > Hominidae > Homo > Homo sapiens. Next base: position 125,416,398 of record NC_000007.14, on the reverse strand, counting down.
TAGCAGCATGTTTTATAATCCTTTGGGTATACACCCAGTAATGGGATGGCTGGGTCAAATGGTATTTCTAGTTCTAGATCCCTGAGGAATCGCCACACTGACTTCCACAATGGTTGAACTAGTTTACAGTCCCACCAACAGTGTAAAAGTGTTCCTATTTCTCCACCTCCTCTCCAGCACTTGTTGTTTCCTGACTTTTTAATGATTGCCATTCTAACTGGTGTGAGATGGTATCTCACTGTGGTTTTGATTTTCATTTCTCTGATGGCCAGTGATGATGAGCATTTTTTCACGTGTCTTTTGGCTGCATAAATGTCTTCTTTTGAGAAGTGCCTGTTCATGTCCTTCACCCACTTTTTGATGGGGTTGTTTTTTTCTTGTACATTTGTTTGAGTTCATTGTAGACTCTTGATATTAGCCCTTTGTCAGATGAGTAGCTTGCGAAAATTTTCTCCCATTCTGTAGGTTGCCTGTTCACTCTGATGGTAGTTTCTTTTGCTGTGCAGAAGCTCTTTAGTTTAAGTAGATCCCATTTGTCAATTTTGGCTTTTGTTGCCATTGCTTTTGGTGTTTTAGACATGAAGTCCTTGTCCATGCCTATGTCCTGAATGGTATTACCTAGGTTTTCTTCTAGGGTTTTTATGGTTTTAGGTCTAACATGTAAGTCTTTAATCCATCTTGAATTTATTTTTGTGTAAGGTGTAAGGAAGGGATCCAGTTTCAGCTTTCTACATATGGCTAGCCAGTTTTCCCAGCACCATTTATTAAATAGGGAATCCTTTCCCCATTGCTTGTTTTTCTCAGGTTTGTCAAAGATCAGATAGTTGTAGACATGCGGCATTAATTCTGAGGGCTCTGTTCTGTTCCATTGATCTGTATCTCTGTTTTGGTACCAGTACCATGCTGTTTTGGTTACTGTAGCCTTGTAGTATAGTTCGAAATCAGGTAGCATGATGCCCCCAGCTTTGTTCTTTTGGCTTAGGATTGACTTGGCAATGCGGGCTCTTTTTTGGTTCCATATGAACTTTAAAGTAGTTTTTTCCAATTCTGTGAAGAAAGTCATTGGTAGCTTGATGGGGATGGCATTGAATCTGTAAATTACCTTGGGCTCCCTCCCTTCCTTTCTCATTTTCTTCCTTGTTACTTTCTCCCTTTCTCTCATTTGGTTCTTCCTCTTACTAAACCATAGATGGCATTAAAGCAAATGTTCACTGTGTTCACTGTTATATGCTTTAAAACAGTGCCTGGCACACAATAGGTGCTCAATAAATGCTCATTAGATGAGTGAATAAGTGAATGAGTGAATACATGAAAGAATAAAAAAAAAATCTTGGGTCATTTATTTAAATGGAGCTCATTTTTGATGTGACAATATTGCTGTTTTGCTCCCAGAGTTGTTGTAAAGGGTACATATGATGAGTTTAAGAAAATATTGATACAAATTTATTTGAAAATGGAACATATTAAGATACTAAGCCTGTAGAATTTTTTTTAAAATAAAGAGAATATAGACATGGTATAGCTGTATTTAAAATGTTAGCCAAAAATATTTAAAAAGTACTCACAGGCAGATTTTTTTTTTTAATTAAAGTTCACTGTAGTTTTCTTAAGACATAAAATATTGGTAGTTGCCAAAGTTGTTCACCATGATTTAGAGATCTACACTTCAGTAAATAGAAAGGAAAAGTAGAAAATTACTTTGCATCGTTGAGTATTTAGAGTAGATCCAAGACCATATTAAGATTTTTACATATTATATATCACTGAGGCAGTACTGTTACTTTAATTTATAAATTTATAAATAAAGAATTCAGCCCCAGATACATGAGATCTGCATGTCTTTAAATCAAGTGCTTTACCTACTACATCATCTTTCTTTCATCAATGACTAGGAAAATGGTGCAACAGATAAGTCTGTAACAATTTTTTATCCTATGTAAACCAAAAAAAGTATCAGACAGTTGTCCATCAATTAAAAAATTTATTTTGCAAAGGTTAAGGAGGCACATGCGGGAAACAGGCCCATACCTTTCTACAATGATGATTTTGAGGGCTTCAATATTTAAAGGGGAAAGGGTTAATACTGGGGACAGAGCAAGAAATTTTTAAAAGGTGTAGGTAGATGAGGCAAACGGTTGCATTCTTTTGAGTCTCTGATCAGCCATTCATGTGTGAGGGAAAGATAGAGAAATAGTCACTTATGCATTCATCTGGCTCAGTGAATCTGCATTTTCACATATGATAAAATAAATGTAGGGCAGAGGAAGCAATCAGATAGGCATCTGTCTCAGGTGATCAGAGGGACGATTATGAGTTCTGACCTTTTTTCCATACCTGTGAAGATAAGGTATCAATTTACATTGCCGGGGTGAAATTCAACAGAACTGGTTTAGGGTAAAGATCTTGAGCCTCACATGGAATTTCCTAATGGGCAAATTGTGAGGGAAATATGTAGTGTTTTGTTGTTGTTGTTGTTGTTGTTATTTTTTAAGTATAGCTATCTTATTTGGGAATGAAATGGGAGACAGCTTTGCCTGACTCAGTTTATTTTCCTTTCATACCTATGTTTTATTATTGGGTGCCAGTTCTGTCCACTCCCTTTTCAGAGAAATCCCACCTACTGTCCTGGCTGAGGTGTTGTCAGGTTACAGAACTCAATGTTACCTCAACTCACCTCAAGTGATTGGGCCAGGAGAAATCTTCTATGCTACAGCTTTAAAAAAAAAAAATGATAAATCGCCTAGATTGCTTTATTGGGAATTTGAATTGAGAAAACAGAGGTAAATGTCAGTTATCTTGGGGTTTTGACACAGTTAATTTATGAGGTCACACCTTGGAGAAAAAAATAGAAAATGTATGAAGCAGTCAGGGGTGAGGCTGGTGTGCTAGGAAGCCAAAGCCACCTGCAAGCAGAAGTTATTAAAGAGTAGGAAAATAAGTCAGCAGTAAGGAAAGGCAAGAGCAAGAATCACACATGCTGAGATTAGGGAGATCATGCAGCCCCTAAGAGATGACAAGAGAACCCTTGTTTTTCTAGTTCTTAGTTTCAGTCCCTATAAGACTATGTCTCTTATCATTTGGTAACTGTACAATTGTCTGTTATATCTTTATTTTAAAAAATAAATCTTCCCTTTTCTTTTGCCAGAACTAGTTGGAGAGGTCTCTCTTGAAATTAAAATGATTGTAAGTAGAACAGATTATACTGCTCCAAAAAACCCATTATTTTGCGGGATGTGTGTGTGTGTATGTGTATGTCTGTATTTAGAGAAAGAGTCTGTTTTCTCCTCAAGCTATGAGTTTCAGTTTTATTTTAAGACACACTTTTATCTGTTACCACAGTGAGAGAACAGAGAATTTTTTTTTTTTGCATGTGATTTCTTGCTTTTAGGAAAGAAAGTGTTTCAAAATTTGAATAAGAAATAATACATAGAAATCATCTTTGTTTGTTATAGCCTCCCAAATTTATTCACATAGTCTGAAAATTCAGCTTTACATAATAAGAACTACATCCACCTCATAGCTACAATAATTACTGAAGAAGTTTAATTTTGCAGGAAATATAACTAAGAATAATAGCAAATGAAGATCTCTTAAGCTTATCTTAAATATTACATTTAATACTATATCAATTAATGAAAGTTTTATTTCAATGATTAATGTTTGATTGCCTTAAGCTAGCATTTTTATTCAAAATAAAAGCTTCACCAGTGTGCATTTATAACTTATAGTCCTGATAGTTAAACTGAAGTTTGGGCTGAAAATATCTTTGTGCAATAGAAATGCACATATAAGACTAACATGAACTATGGTTGACATTAAACAGAAAGGTATTACAAGTATCAGACCTAACTCAAAAAATGTCTGCTAGTTGCATGCAAATACTCTAAAGGAATAAGATAAATATCTTTATGTGACTTAATAAGCCCGATTTCATTATTTTATAGTTATACCACTATAACTTCAGTACAAAGTGTAAATTGGTGTCTTTCTAGTTAATAAAAAGTAAAGACAGGTTTTCTAGGGGTATGAATGTTTTTAGACATAAATGTAGAGGTGATAGTTGTTTTCCTGATATAAACAGAGCAGATAAAATATGCAAAACAGGTTTAAATCATTAAGCAAGGGGAGCAAAAATTAAGAAACATTAGCTCAGCCCTCATTCAGGCTTAAGGTCACTTCAATAGCTTATTCTTAGAGACACTTAAAGTCACCCATTGGCCAAGCATAGAAATTCATTTCTCTTGTTAGGACTTTGTAAATACAGAAAGTGAGCTGTGTTTCCACAGACCCTTTATTCCAGCACTTCTCCTGTGGCTCTTCTCTGTTATCTACTACTGCTCCATTAATTTCTCCATGACCCTTGATGATTTCCTACAGGCAATTACCCAAAGGCCGTTGCCAAGACTGATGATAATCCTTCCTACAGTTCACATACTTTGGCTGATAGAGCCTACGCAGAGGGCATAGCTCTGTTCTCTCTGCCATCACGATCTCCTCTCCATTTGTCCCCAATCTCCTGCGTTGGGGTCTATCTCTAGCCCATCAGAAGCATTTTCACATTCTTGTCAAAGTGAGGAGTGAGAGAACTAGGCCAGCATTATTAGTCACAACTTCACTCAGTACAAAGAGGCATCATTCACTCTGCCCCTGGAACCGTCTTCATTTTCTACTATCATTTTTCTTTATCACTTACGGCAATATTCTTTCAGAAGTTTCATGGACTCTTCTTTGACTTTTTTCATAAAATCTTGAATCAAACCTGTCTCCATGCAATGATTCTCCCCAGCATGAGTAACTTTAGGTCCTTTCCCTTGGGGCTGCCCGACTCCATACAAATAATGGGCCTTATGATGATTAAGGAATTCTTCCAAGTGACAGTTAAAGAGGCTGCCTGCCTAGAGCAAATGAAAGGCATGTGGAATGGAGATGGGTGTTATAAAGAGAATGAGTTTGGATGTTGCAAATTTCACAAAATACCCTCTCTGAAGATCAAATTCTGATGCAGGTAAGAGACTGAAATTAGGTAGAAATTCTAATTATAAAATCCATGAATAACTACCTATTTCTGAATACAATATTGTCAGTTATTTTATTCTAGAGTTGATGAAATGTGAATTTAAATACTCAAGGCTTAAAATTCAAGGGAAAAGTATCAGAGATGACTTTATCATTGCAAATTAAACATAAGAGCTAGATTTCTTCTTAAGTTTTTCATTTTTGTTTTTCTTCACCTGTACTCTTCTCAAAACCTGTATTTATGCTGACAAGATTATTTTGGCTCTAGTAGTAGATTTGGGTTTGCAACAGGAAGTAATTGTAATTAGCAATTTATGCAAAATAATTATTCTTTTTTTATGACTTGGATGTTGACCTTAGTGTGTGTCTTCTGTGTGTATGTGTGTATGTGCGTGCATGTGCATATGTGTGTATAAGTGTACATATTACTAGAAATTGTTAGAAATGTTTTAAGGAGTATTATTAAAGTTTATAAGTGAAATAATCTTCATGATATAAAAAACATGAATAGACATAAATGAATAAAATATTTCACAATATATTTTTGAGTCAGTAATTTCAGATGTACTTTTGGTATTTTCGTATAATTCTGCCTTTCCCAAAATATAAAAATGTATTCATTACCTTCTCTCCAAAAATGCTTCCCTCTCCAGAGCTCCTTTCCATCCTTATTACCACCATCATTTCACCAGTCATAGTTTCACACATCCTTGTCATCTTTCATTGGTCTTCCATCTTATTCAATCAAGGCATCATACAAACTTTAGAATTCACTTCAAAACACGCCTTACATTTATCTCTTTCTTTTCATTATCTCTGTCCCCATTTTAATTGTGAATCTTATTATTTCAAATTTAGAGTGTCTCTACAGGTATCTCTACAGTTATACTGATACTCTACAGGTATGTTGATATCTCCACAGGTATACTGTACTGGCACCTCCTGCTATGTATAATACAATGTTTTATGTTCACCAGACCTGTAACAAAATTTTTGTTTAACTGTTTTTTTCTTCACTTCCATTTTCTTCCTCTTTTTCTTCTCTCCTACAAATTTAGATCTGTATGTTATTGTCAGGCTTTCTTTATTGTTTTCATATTATTCCTTTCTTAAACAATTTTCAGTAGCTTCCTACTGGCTATGGAAGTAAATCTAGATTTCTCTGCTCTTATTTCATACCTGACAAATTCCAGCTCTGCCATGCCAGTCAAAACTTGTACTTCACAGCTTCATGGTGTGGACTGTGCTTTAGACAAGCCAACTTGAACACAATCCTTTCACAATGACCTGCTTATGCTGACTTCATTCTTCTCTTTTGCCTAAGGGGTATTTAATGCTTCAAGCTTATCTTTCAAGTTGAGGTTAAGTTTAGTTTTCCAAATATCTGCTATAACACCTAATTCAAATGTTGCTCTTGTAGGTGTTACACTTCATCATGTGCTACTTTCTGGCATTTGCTTTCCCAGCGTGAAGGAAAAATGCCTCGATGGCAAGGATTAGGCTGCATAGTCTAAGTATGACAGAGTCTCCCGGCAGTAAACTGCCCTAGAGACCAACTAGGTCAGCCCCTTCATTTTAAAGCTGATAAAACTGAGGCTTAAGTGATCAAGTGGCTTTCAAAAAGCCATAGAACCCTTAACAACAGCATTAGGAATCACACTCCATTTTCGCCTCGGTACATAGCATAGCATATACATAGGAAAGCATGTATTAATTCCACTTAATTCTGGATTTGCGTGTAACTAATTCTCTGTAGACAGGAAAAGATGTTTATTTTCACAATATTATAGCTTTCAAAGCTGGCTGATTTCAAAGTATCCTGTTGTGACCAGAAATGAACAAAATATTTACTGAGGGAGAATATATGTCTTACTTTTAAATAGCTTCTAGTTTCTTCTTCTTCTTCTTTTTTTTTTTTTTTTTTTTTTTTTTGAGATGGAGTCTCGCTTTGTCGCCCAGGCTGGAGTGCAGTGGCACGATCTCGGCTCACTGCAAGCTCCGCCTCCTGGGTTCACGCCATTTGCCTGCCTCAGCCTCCCGAGTAGCTGGGACTACAGGCCAGCTAATTTTTTGTATTTTTAGTAGAGACGGGGTTTCACCATGTTAGCCAGGATGGTCTCGATCTGCTGACCTTGTGATCCACCAGCCTCGGCCTCCCAAAGTGCTGGGATTACAGGCATGAGCCAACGCACCCAGCCATAGCTTCTATTTTCTAAACAGAATGGGAACCCAGTTATCTTTTATTTACCTAGTAGGGTAATGTACATAAAGAATCCAATGTGAAAACTGCAGAGAAAACTATAGAGGAAAAGAGTTAGAAGGAAAGAAGAGATGGCTGGAAGCATGGAGAGAAAACAAAATGAGGATTTTTGCAGTGAATTGCTAAATGCTTTGCGTTGTAATGTCATTTCTTCCCTAATCACTCCACAAAATCTTTAATAAATTAATCTTACAACTCATTATTTCAAAATGCAACCCAAAGTACTTCTGCACTGGTTCAATGTGGGTAAAAAAGGAAAAGAGATTCAGCATAAAGTTTCAGATACATCTGTATTACTTTGAGTCATCAGCAATAGTTTTAATTTTTAAATTATTTGTCTTCTTTTTAATACTGACAAAATCCTACTTCAATTAAAATAGTGTAATTTATAAAAATTAAATATTTTAGGTATTTCATGGAATATCTTAATTATATAGGAAAGATATATTTCAATGATTAAAGAAAATTTCTCATTAAACTACAAAATTGGAAATAAAAATGACATTTTCTGAATAAAGCCGAACGGGGAAATTTTTAAAATAAAAGCTTTGATTTTAGCACAGTGTTTTCACAGAGTTTTGTCAAATTATCATATGGTCCATTAGTTGATGAGTACAATTTATATGTAGTAGAAACATTTGAAAATATTAGTTATAGATGGAAATTTTTTGCCTAGTTAGTTGTAATATATTACTCACCTACTAGGTACAAAATATTAAAGTATCCATTGATTTTACATTTGTGTTTGATTAGTGATTAATATAGTTTTGTGTAGTTTATGTAAAACTGTAACTAAACAAAAATTTTTTGGCATGATTCATATTCTTTTCAACATACCAGAAATGTTTACAGTGATGTTTTCTTTCTTTAAAATGTGTCATACATGTTCACCATTTAAATTTTTATTATGCTTGTAATCCCAGATAAAACAATGCCATCATGTTCTGTTCTGTGAAACAGTCTTACTTTAATTCACTTGTTAATTTGGAAAAAAAATAAGCTCTTAAAAATTTGAATTTTTTTTTAAAGTTGGGGTTAGTCAACCTGCAAACTCAGTATGTTAGTTCCATATTGTTGCTTTAACCGAGTACCACAAATTTAATGGCTTAAAACAACTAAAATTTGTTATCTTACAGTTCTAGAGGTCAGAAATCCAAAATGGGTCTTGGTAGGCTAAAATCAAAGTGTCAGAAGAGCTGAATTCCCTTGCAGGTTCTAGGGGAGACTTGTTTCCTTGTTATTTCCAGCTTCTAAAGGCTGTCTGCGTCCCTTGATTTGTGGCCCCTTCTTCCATTTGCAACACCAGCAGCATAGCATCTTTAGATCTTTCTCTGACCCTTCTGCCTTCCTTTTCCACTTATAAGAACACTTGTGTTTACACTGGGCCCACTAAAATAATCCAGGATGAGATCAGTTGATTAGTAGCCTAACTCCACCTGAAATCTTAATTTCCCATTGTCCTGTAATCTAGCATATTCCCAGATTCCAGGGAATAAGATGTGAACATCTTTGGAGGACTACTCCCAGCCATTAAAATAAAAGTTGCTTCATTTTATTGTAATCTCCATATCTCTGATTTTCAAGCATTCATAATTCATGTTTAGATTCATATCTCACAATGAACTTCTATGCTTAGAAGACTACAAGATAAATTTTATGTTTAAATAGAATTAGGTTATTTTGTTATTAAAAATTATCCAGCATCTTTTAAAATTTAGGTAGCGAGTACATGATATTCAAAATCTTGGATTTGCATGCATTGCTTATTTTGTGAAGAAGACTGGCCAGAAACTTATTATAAAATTCCACAGCAAGTGAATGCCCAGCAGGAAGAACCTTTTTCCTACTTCCTCCACTACACGTTTGTCTACACAAATCACGCGTAAATGTCAGAATCCACTTTCTACAATTCATTTTTAAAAGTTTCCCTTCCATAGTGCTGAAATTTAACAACCAGTGAGCCAAACAATAAACCTAAATCTTACAGCCAAAAGTAGCTTTCAGAATAATGAAATTTTAGGATTGACTTAATAAAACACCACTATATTATAAAAAGTTTTATGATTTTTTTGTAATATTGTATTTTATATTTGGCATTTACAACTTATAGCTAGAAGGACAAATAATTTCTTAAGTTTCAATCCTCATTGAATTTATATAGTTCAATTATGCCTCAAATCAGACATTAGTCTCTAAGCACTCAACTGACAAAATAATTTTGATAATCATTTATAAATTCTAGAAGGAATAAAAATATTTTATTTCAATATTTTGTGTGGCTTTAGTTTGGATAATTTCTATATAGCCTTTTCTACTGTGTCTCTTCTGTCAAGCTCACCAACTGAACAATTTTTATTTCAAGTATTGTGTTTTTCATTTCTGTTTCCCTTTCATTATTTTAGAGGTTCTATAGCTTTTCTAAAACATTCCATATGCTTTTTTATATACTCCTTTAACTGTAGAAACATGAACATATTTAAATAGTTAATATAGCATCTTTCTGATAATTCCAACATCTGTGTCATTTGTTTTTCTTTTATTCTTATTCTTAACCCTCTTGTTTATGTGTTTATTTTTCTGCTTATATACAGTATTTTTTATTCTATACTGGACATTGCAAAGTTACATTTTAAGTATTCTGATTTTTTAAAAAATATCCATGGAAAATTATTGTTTTTCTAGTAGGCAGTTAAATTACTGGTGTTTGCTGTTATCACATGAAGACTTTGTTTTACACTTTGCTTGGGTCTGTTTATTTTGGCTTTGCATTTAGTTCTAGGGCAAATTCCTTCATCTTGAGGCATGGTCTTTATTCCTAAAATGGAATCTGAGGTTTTGATGGAAATCTGAACTGTTATAATATCTCCTCTAGTATGACAAGACTTCAACTCAAACATCTGTATTCTCAACGCCTAGAAGCTTCTGAACAATCTACTCAGCTTCTTAGACTTCTTTCTTTTTCTCTTTTCTGTGTTCCTTATAGCTTTAACCTTTTGCTTCCCCTTTATTCAAATTTTGTATTCAAATTTTGTATCATCTCCAAACTATGAGCAAATGTTTATAGTAATTTTATTTTAATCACCAAAAAAGGGAAGTAACTAAGATGATCTTCAGTAGGTAAATAAACACACTTAATAAATCCACACAAGTGAATATTATTCAGTGAAAAAAAAGATATGAAATGTCATGCTATGAAAATACATGGATGAATCTTAAGTGAAGATTGCTAGTGAAAGAAGAGAGTTGGTAAAGGCTGGAAATTGTATGATTCTAATTTACAGCATTCTCAAAAAGCAAAATTGAGGTGATATTAAAAAGATCAGTGGTTTTCAGGAGCTTGTCATGGGAAGGGGCAGAGGGTTTAATAGGTGAAACACAAGAGATACTGTGGGTTGTGAAACTATTCTACATGAGACTGTAATGATGAATTCAAGACACAATGCAAGTGTCAAAATTCATAGAGCTTTATTCCACAAACAGTTAACCTTAGTGTATGTAAATTTAAAAACATGTAGGAGGTCAGAAGATCTCAGGACAGAAAGCAATGTGTAACAAAATTATCTAACTTTATTAAGAATATATGAAAAGCATTCACTAAAGAGGGTGAGAAAGACATGCTGACGCAAAAAAGTTTGGAAATGGAGTATAGAAGACAAAGGACAAAAAAAGAAGTGTACATAGGCATTGCACTTTAGTTGATAAAGTTGATTCTCACTGGAATATGTATGAGCAATTCTTGTAGTGCTGTATGTTTATACTGGAGTTGAACAGTTAGGTAAATATTTGGTAAACCCCAGGAGCCAGGTTTCTCACTGTTGGAGATGAGGGTTATAGATAAGTAAGGGAAGGAGTTTAAAATGATCCATGTGATAATCAGTATGAACTCCATGTTTGACCTAATACAGAAAAAGATCGCTACACATAGAAATATTGTAGATACATGTATATAAGTGAGTTCATATATACATGTATATATCACAGCGGCATGACAATGGGCACACATAGCATCCAATTCTGGGTCTCTTTTTTTTTCTTCGGTACTTGGTTTCTAATACTATTCTCAAATTTTAAAAACTAGGGTTCTTTGGAAAAGTCCATTATGTACAACCATTGGAGCATTTTTTTTAGTGTCAGGAAGTAAGCAAGTGGTAAAACAAAACAAAACACAAACACAAACAAACAAAAGCAGAAATTTAAAAAAATATAATGAGGCTATGTCAAAGGGGTATAGAAACTAACTGAAAGAGCTACCAATGGCCAAAGCTGGAACCATTTAGCAAAAGGCAAAAATTAAATAAATATTAGATTATACTACAAAGTATAAAATTAATATATGAGTCCATATAATATATATAACAATTGAATACGCAAATAAATGAAGAATAGACAAATCTATGCAGAAGAATTCTAAATAATTTAGATATTCCGCCTTCAAAATGGTGGAGTGTAATTCCTGACTCCTTAAGTGCAGGCTCCACATAGTTACCTCCTTCTAAAGAGTATAATATGGGAATGGAAGAAAGAGGTAACTTTACAGTGGACAAATCTGACAAACACTACCTCAAGCCAGGTAGTCAAGTTTAATAGTGATAAGTCACGTATTCTTAATATGATGTAATAAGAATGGTACCTCATCTCTGAGATCTTCCTCCCCCTAATCCATAAAACCAGTGCAGTCATTTTAAAAAAATTCAGAATGAAGGACATTTTATACAGCATGTGACCAATAATCCTCAAAACCATGAAAGTCATAAAAAAGAAGAAAAGCCTTAGAAATGGTAAGAGCCAAGAGGTGCCCAAGGAGACACAACTATTAAATGTAGTAGTTGTGGTCTAGAAAAGAAAAAAAATAACTAGGAAAAAACTAAGCAATTCTGAATACTGTGTGCACTATAGTTAATAATAATGATTCAATACTGGTTTACTAATTATTGCAAATATACCATGCTAATGTTAGGTGTTAATTGGGGAAGCTGAGTATAGAGCATATGGAAATTCTGTGTATTCTCAACATTTTTTGTAAATATAAAACTTTTCAAAAATAAATAATTTTTAAAATCCTATATTAATAGTATTTATAAAGCCGATATTTTTTCTTTAAAATATAATTTATTATCTTAGCAATAAACATTCATCTAATTGTTAAAATATGTAATTTTCTTAATACTTTCTCTTACATATGTGATTGATATGTATATATGAATATGCAAATTTATTTGTTTAAAAGAAATTTTAATTGTTTAATTTTGTCCTATGTTCCTCATATGACCTATGCCACAATATCACATATCTCTGGGAACCATGTATCAGAACAAAAAGAGAAAGAAAAAAACTAATGTCTGGCATTACTGGGAAATAATGTTTTATTATGCAGGAACCTATTACAGTCATGCTGACAAAGAAGAAATATTTGACAAGCTATTTTTTTTTCTCTTAGGAAAATGCTACCTTTGCTTACCTCCTCCCCACACTTCAAAGCAGTGGCTGTCTTCAATATTGGCAGCAGAACAATGCTCAAACGTTTGTTGCACTTGGTACACTCACTTCTCTGCTTTCTGAGACTTGAGTCCATAGATGAAAAGAAGCATTGGTTTTCCTTGGGCTTGAATGGTATCCATCCTGAGAGTAGATGTTTAGAATTAGGAGTCGTATGGTGCCTGCACTGACTGCCAGACCTAATGACAAAAGTGTCAACTTACTTTTTACTAAAGTTATTGTCTTTCTGTTTTGTTTGTGAGATGTACAGCCCTCATACGTAGTGCTACTTAAAGTAAGTTCTGCACCTTGATGTCAGTGAACATGCCCTGGGGAACCGTCTGTCAAAAGGAAAGTGTAGATATTGAGAATAAGCATTGAAAGAATTTTACTGCACTTTGGAATGGCCATAATATCATTACATTTTATGAAAATATTTAACCTCAAAGAATTAGAAATGCAAATTTCGTATTTGATCATAGACATGTTGAGGATCACTGCTCTCAAGCATGGGGTCTAGGGCAAGGTATCTCCTTCCCCAAGTCTAAAAGTGGTATTGAAAATGGAAGAGTAGCACAAATGAAGAAAGTTTACCTTCGCCTTTTCCAAAATCTTGCTTAAGGTGACCTCTATCATCTTTAGTCTTTAATGGCAGAAGTTAGTTGTTTAGATTCCTCTTTATTCTGGTATGGGACTTTAATTAGTATTCTTATAATCATATAAGCACATTCATAAATCTCTAACAATAAACTGTCAGAAATATAAAGGGAACTAGTCATATTATATCCTGTGAACTTTAAGGAATGGAAAAGAAACCTTTAAAGACAGAAAAAAAAAAAACAAGAAAATACAAGGTTAGGCCAGGCGCGATGGCTCACACCTGTAATCCCAGCACTTGGGGAAGCCAAGACAAGTGGATCACCTTAGGTCAGGAGTTTTAGACTAGCCTGGCCCACATGGTGAAACCCCATCTCTACTAAAAACACAAAAATTAGCCAGGTGTGGTGGAGGGCGCTGAGGCAGGTGAATCGCTTGGACCTGGGAGGCAGAGGTTGCAGTGATTGCATTCCAGCCTGGGCGACAGAGTGAGACTCCATCTCAAAAAAAAAGAAAAGAAAAGAAAGGAAATAAAGAAAAAGAAAATACAAGGTTGTACCGTGTGATTGCAAGATCAGTCATGCTTATTTTTCATGAATTCATCTTTGGATTATTGTGTAAGGGTAATCACAATGCCCTAAGAAAAGTACTGATGTCTTTACATCTCCTGTGAATTGAACTATAAAGAAAAACATTGATTTTTTAAGGCCTCTGGTATATTGAAAATGTTATTATGTTTTCTCTCTTTAAAGAATCTATCTAACTCAGCTACTCAACACCATCAGTAAATTTCTATTGTCCTCCTGTATTAAAAACATCTGTTTTATTTTTGAAATGTGTATCATAGCATATGTTCATTTCCTTATCTTCTTTAACTCAGAGCAACTGGTTTCTTCATATAAATTAGTAACTAAATATATGATTATATTTATGCACAAAATTCCAGTTTCATTGTGATGCCATAAAACTGCCTTGCACATATGAAGATAGCTATTCACCTGCTTGGCCACTGAAGATTCCCACTTTTGTGCTGATGAGCTTGTAGTTTTTCAGCTCCAGGTCTCACATTTGCTTTTCTCATAGCTTTATAATAGGCATTACATCACTATGTCCATCCAGGAATAAAAGTTTGTTCAGTATACATTAAAAAAGTTAAATATTACTTTGGGTTAACTATATGTTCAAAGCAGCTGAACTAATTGACTAGATCTGGGGATGAAAAAAAATATGTACCTCAAATTTCTCAACAAAACCAGTAAGTATTACTATACTAATACACATTTTAAAAATTATTTTGTTTTTTTTCTGTGTATTTTTTATAGTCAGTTGTAGGTCATTAGTGGTAAAGATTTGACTATAGAGATTTTATCAGATATAGATGATTATATCTTTGAATCTAACTGCTGCTATCAGCAATTCATGGGATGATAATCATCCTCAGCATTGATATAAATCAAAATCCAAAGGAAAACTGTACAACTGTAGGTGATACTTCATTAGGACCCCTGGCCATGCTGTGAAGGAATTAGGTCAAGCAAGAACTGGCTGTACCTAAAATTGTACACAGGTTTCACATCAACTCTTTCCAGTAATATTTGTTATCTTCTGCTGAAATACTTCAGAGAGATATATTCTTTTTCTCTCCCTTCTTCTTCCTCATAGTAAGGTCCGCTCTTGAGTCCTTTACTCATTCTAGGGCAAGGATGGCTAATAAAACAAAGACAGAGCACTCATCTTCTCAATATGGACAAATGACATAGACTCTACCACATAAATTTTAGATTTTATCTTATATGTTGAATCAGAATTTTCCATGTTTCATGTGAGTGAGAGAGGTGCAATCAGTTTTTCTCATACTACTTAAAATCATGTATTACCCTGCATTATATGTTAGCAACATATTTTGCAGAGAATTAAGACCACTTTTAAAACAATGTCTTGTTTTTACAGCTTTAAGGCATGTCATAGAGGGCTCAAGCTGTCCAAGTTTGTTTGAGTGTGTCTGAAAAGTGAGAGAGGCTATCTAAGCAAAGGAAGGAGAGGTAGATGACATGGCAAAGGCAGAAATCCCCTGTCAGCTCTACAGTCTCATAACATACCACTTGCTCCGTCCCTTGGCACACTCTAGATCCAGATGATGATTCTTTTAGACTCTTAAGCATTGGAAATCCTTTCTTGCCTCAGGGTTTCCATATGTACTTCTCTGTTTTTGCTCCAGGTAAAGGGATATGTACATTTTGCTTCCACAAAAATGTATCTTTTCTCTTATGATACATAGTTTATTCTAGATGATGAGAAACTAATTAATAAGATTTTGATCTCATTTATTTATTTCTTCTAAATTAAGCCATGCCACAAGGGCTTGCCAAGCATAAGCATTTGTAAGAAGATTGATTTGAGCATTTTAGGGTCACTTTTCTTTGTTTGCTAGTTCTTCATCATGGCAAACAATGCCAAAAATATAGACAATGTCAAAGAGCCATAATAGTGCAAGAGAACGTCCCTCCCTGTGTGAATCCTTTGGTCCTCAAAGAGGTGCCCAGGTTTCAGTATCTATGGAATAAAGGGTCTGCCAATTTCAGGAGCCCACCATCATGGAGCTGCTGTCCTTTTTTTCACTTATTGGGCTGAGGATGAGAAGAAATAATTTGTCAAATACCTATTTGTTATTACCACCACTAAATGAATTTTTAGGCAGGAGCTTGACTCAAATCCAATTTTCACCATCAGTGATGAAGAGTTTCATGAAATATAGACAGCCCAATTTCTGCTCCCCCAGAGGATAAAATCTAGTTGGGACTAACATCAAATATGAAGATCTATTCCTGCCATTTGTTATTTTAGCTATAAAAGTAAAAAGCCGACCTCAGCTGTTTGGAAATACCCAAGTGCGGAAGGGAATTGTTAGAGGGATGGGAGGCAGCTGAGTTGGGCTTAGTCTGGGAAGGCTCTGCTTTGCTAATTCTCTGAGGGATTTATCCTTGCCTTGACGACCCTTGAGTTTTTTTTCCAACTGTTTGACATTAACCCTTAGTATTTTTATTCCCTTGGATCTACACAAACACACACACACACACACACACACACACACACCCCACATAAAATGCTTGGGTGGGGGGAAACAATTGGTCTTAAGCTGTTAGATAACAACTTTAGAACAATTTCTAAACAATGTTCAGGGGAAAAAGACAATTTATCTAAAGTTATTAGAGATTTCAATTATTTTGTCTTGTTTTTCTGATTCACAGGGGTTAGTCGAACTTACTGATTACCCTTATTACAATTTACTGATTACCTATTTTTTTCTGTTTCTCTTTGAAATTGGGCCTATTTGAATGGCAGTGATCTAGGGCAGAGAGAAAGTACTTTCTGAAGAGGAAAATAAAAGTAGGAAAGATTGAGCATCAAATCTAGAGTTTAGTTGTTGCCACGGTAACACCAATGGCTTGTTCTGGATGTGCCTGTGAAAGAAACCCTGAAGGCATCAGAAAGAGTGGAGAATAAAAACTGCACTGGAGAGAAAAGAAGAAGGGAAAACACAGTGTCAGGGTTTGCATGTGGTGTGGTAAGAAGCTGTCTCACCGTTTTTGCCAAGCCTGACTCTAAAAGGACTAAATTATACTATCCCTTGGTATATTGATTCCAAACAATATTAACTCACTTTCATGTGTTAGACACAATGCTAAATTTAAGAATACAAAAATACTTTAAAAGTACATTTTCTTTCAAAGTAGTAATAACTTAGCCAAAAAATGTGACATTTATATAACTCATATCAAGTTACCAATTTGCTACCAACTGCTACTCTTGACTTAAAAGCATCTTTTCCTTAAGTTGCTTACTGTATATTTCTCATTTATTGTTTTCCCTGCTGGCAATAATTTACCCAACCAGATCTATTACCATATCCATTCATTTATTAACAAATGTATTTAATTTCTATTCATGTGTTTACTGATGTCACCTACATAGCAGCCAGTGGAGATTTAGCAGTGAATAAAATAGGCATAGTGTCTACATTTTACATTATACCTATGCAATCCCATCATGAGTTTACAATTAAGTAGATAAAACAGATATTTTTAAGAGGGTCACACAAGTAAGTAATATAATCACCAGTTAATGATCAAGGCTATTGTAAATAATGTCTTCTTCCTCTTTTTTTTTTTTTTTTTTTTTTTGAGATGGATTCTCGCTCTGTTGCCCAGGCTGGAGTGCAGTGGCGGGACCTGAGCTCACTGCAAGTTCTGCCTCCTGGGTTCACACCCTTCTCCTGCCTCAGCCTCTCAAGTAGCTGGGATTACAGGCAACCGCCACTACGCCCGGCTAATTTTTTTTTTGTATTTTTAGTAGAGACGGGGTTTCATCGTGTTAGCCAGGTTGGTCTCGATCTCCTGACCTCGTGATCCACCTGTCTCGGCCTCCCAAAGTGCTGGGATTACAGGCGTGAGCCACCGCACCTGGCCCTTCTTTCTGTTCTTTAGGTGACTATCCCTCTCTACCCTCTGAGATGGTTGTAGCAGTAGTATGTGTGTATGCATGTGTGCCTGTGTGTTCTGTATTTGTGTGTGTGTGTGACAGGTGGTCAGGGAGTCTGGGTCTATCAGGCTTGAGGAGACTAGTGTCTATGAGAGAGACAGCCTTCTCAAGAACCATTGGTGGAAAATTGGTTGGTGCTCAGTGCCATCCCAGTATTTTCTAAGTGTCTTGCAATCTGTCTTAGACATTTTCTTCTTACTATCCCCAAATAATATCATTCAGACATAACTTCATGCAGATATCTTTATCTGCAAGTCAAATTTACTTTAGGCCATTCACTTCTATATTTATTCTTTCATTCAATCAATATGCATTGAGTTCCTGCCCTACATAATTATACCACTTATGCTAGGTGTTTGGAAAGAGGGCAATAATCGACAAAGACTAAGCTCTTATATCCTAGAACTTGTATTATTGTTGCAGAAGGAGGAGTGAGAAAGATATTAAATTATGAATAACTATTGATTATTTAAATAAAATTATGATAAATGATACAAAGTAGAAATACAGAAGGCCAGTAAATATTATCATTGAGGGAACTGACTCAGTCTGGAAAGGAGGGTAACAGAAACTTTCCTTGAGAAAATGGCTTTTAAGTGAAGGCCGTAAAGTAGTTAACAGATAAGAACCAGAGAGATAAAGATTCATTCATGCTTTGAGGTAGAAAGTAGCAAGTGATGTGCATATCAAGCTTATGCTGTAAATTCAGATGAGGAAGAAATACTACTTTCTATTTTCCCTTGAAGCAAATTAAAAATGATTCCAATACTCCAATTCTGCAAGACAATGGGAGATTCAATCTCTGTTATTATCCTGGCTTCCCATCACATTTCTCTCAGCCACATGACAGCAGTGATCTTAACCTGAACCTTAACTAGGAAAGCCTTTTCAGTTCAGTTCATTATAGTCACAAAAAAGATGTGTGTAGTCTAGCCTTTGTCATACCTTGAAGTCCAGCTGCTCTGCTGATTCTGTACATTTTTAAGCATAGAGAACACTTCATGGAAAAGAATCCTGGCTCCCAAGTTACAGCATTCTTAAATTTTTTATACATCCTCCACGGGGCCTTACGAGGAAGCCAGCCATGGGCCCCTTCCATTGGCAGAGCTCACTAACAGCCATCAAATCCTCACCCTTACAGATGCTTACCCTCCCTACTCACCTTGCACAAAACCTTTAAATAACTCAGGCTATGGAAGAAAGCAAGTGGCTTGCAAATTTTGTTTTTGCGACTCCCAAAGCAAGAGAACAGAAAATCTTGACAACTTGGTGAGTTTAAAAATAATCAAGAAAAACTAATCAAAATTTAACGTCTCAAGAAATTTTGATGCAGCATATAACATGTTTAAAAATTTAAAATGTTTCACGGTGGCCAGAGAGCAAGGAACTGAGAGACTTTCATTAGTTAGAGAGGAATAAAATTATGCCAGGTCTTGAGTACCACCTAAAATTCATGTCTATTAACATTTTGGAGTAAGATTATATCACTCCATTCTATGTACAGTGTAAAAATATTTCTGCTGTTTTTATCTCTACTTGCCAGCATTAGCCACAAGATGACAAAGCCAGTTTATCTTTTGTCAAAGTTCCTCTTTTTAGCCATTATGCATCCATGGGTCTCCCAGTCCTGTATATGGATGCATTGAGGAGAGAATCCAGATCTGAAAAGTTTAATTTTGTGAACTGACTGGGTCAGAATTGTCAGAAATCCAGTTGTAACTAGGACATGGAAAGCTAGAGCCAGAATTCTGGAGCTGGATGAAGTCAGACATTCCCAATAATCCTAGCCCCCCTGCAGTGGCTTAATTTTAGTGATTGAGCTGCATATGATTCTGTGTTTTCCGGTGAACAGGCTTCTAGTCAGCCTGTTCTGGGCAATCTGGGCAATCCTCATTAAAGATGTTCTTCTCCTTGACACTTTGCAGATATGAGACATGGGAAGTCTTTTCAGGGGACAAGTAGTTCTTGGATTGAGGCTAACGTTTCATCAGCCATGGACGAATTGGGCTGTGAGGTAGTGAAGCACTGTTCATGTCAGCCAGGCTGTGCCAGAGGAGGAGGAGTCCAAAACAGTTGCATAGGTGAACTCTTCTTTCTCAGTTGCTATGGGAAGTGCTAACATGGAGCCCCTTATCGTAGCTGTTTGGGGAAAGGTGATTCTCAGTGTCAAATTCAGAAATAGGACTCTCTTCCCTGGCAATTTGAGCCCAAAACTTTGTACTTTATTATAGAGTTCAGCTCTTTCAGTTTTCGTATACACCACCACTCTAATATATTTCAACCTCTACTTAGGTTAGGACTAGCTTAGAGTCTGCCTGTCTTTCTGCCAGAACCACTTTTATTTTTATTTTCCTAACTTTTATTTTAAGTTCAGGGGTATATGAGCAGGTTTGTTACAGAGGTAAACTTGTGTCATGGAGGGTGGTTGTACACATTATTTCATCACCCAAGTATTAAGCTAAGTATCCATTAGTTATTTTTCCTGATCCTCCCCTTCCTCCCACCCTCTGCCTTCCAATAGGCCCCACGGTGTGCTGTTCCACCCTGTGTGTCCATGCGTTCTCATCATTTATCTCCCACTTATAAGTGAGAACATGTGGTATTTGGTTTTCTGTTTGTGTGTTAGTTTCCTAAGGATAATGACCTCCAGCTCCATTTTTGTCTCTGCAAAGACATGGTATCATTCTTCTTTATGACTGCATAGTATTCCATGGTGTATATGTACAACATTCTCCATATACCATCTGTCATAGATGGGCATTTAGGTTGATTCCATATTCTTCACTATTTTGAACAATACTGCAATAAACATACATGTGCATGGGTCTTTACAATATAATTATATACCTTTGGGTATATAACCAGTAACGGCATTGCTGGGGCAAATTCTATCTTCAGTTCTTTGAGGAACTGCCACACTGTCTTCCACAATGGTTGAACTAATTTACACTCCCGCCAACAGTCTATAAGCGTTCCTTTTTCTTCACCACCTTGACAGCATCTGTTATTTTTGACTTTTTTATAATAGCCATTCTGAATGGTATGAGATGGTATCTCATTGTCGTTTTGATTTTCATTTCTCTAATGATCAGTGGTGTTGAGCTTTTTCTTAATATGCTTGCTGGCCACATGTATGTCTTCTTTTGAGAAGTGTCTTTTCATGTCCTTTGCCCACTTTTTAATGTTTTTGTAAATTTAAGTCCCTTATAGATGCTGGATATTAGATCTTTGTCAGATAGATAGTTTGCAAAAATTTTCTCCCATTCTGTAGGTTGTCTGTTTTCTCTGTTGATAGTTACTTTTTGCTAAGCAGAAGCTCTTTAGCTTAATTAGATCTCATTTGTCAATTTTTGCTTTTGTTGCAATTGCTTTTGGCATCTTCATCATGAAATCTTTGCCCTTGCCTATGTCCTGAATAGTATTACCTAGGTTGTCTCCCATGGTTTTTATAGTTTTTGGTTCTACATTTAAGCCTTTAATCCATCTTGAGTTAATTTTTGTATAAGATGTGAGGAAGGGGTCCAGTTTTAATCATCTGCATGTGGCTACCCAGTTATCCCAGTACCATTTATTTAATAGGGAATCCTTTCCCCATTGCTTGTTTTTGTCAGTTTTGTCAATGATCAGATGGTTGTAGGTGTACGATCTTATTTCTGGGTTCTCAATTTTGTTTTGTTGGTCTACATTTCTGGTTTTGTACCAGTAACATGCTGTTTTGGTTACTGTAGCCCTGTAATGGAGTTTGAAGTCAGGTAGTGTGACGCCTCCAGCTTTGTTCTTTTTGCGCAGGATTGCCTTGGCTATTCGGGCTCTTTTTTGGTTTCATATGAATTTTAAAATAGTTTTCTCTAGTTCTGTGAAGAATGCCAATGGTAGTTTAATAGCCATAGCATTTAATCCATACGTTGCTTTGGGCAGTATGGCCATTTTAACAATATTGATTCTTCCTATCTATGAATATGGAATGTTTTTTCACTTGTTTATGTCATCTCTGATTTCTTTGAGCAGTGGTTTGTAGCTATCTTTGTAGAGATCTTTTACCTCCCTTGTTAGCTGTATTCCTAGGTATTTTGTTCTTTTCATGTCAATTGTGAATTGTTCCTGTTTTGGCTCTTGGCTTTACTTTTTCTTTTTTTTTTTTTTTTTTTTTTTGGTGTATAAGAATGCTAGTGATTTTTGCACATTTATTTTGTATCCTGAGACTTTGCTGAAGTTATTTATCAGCTTTAGAAGCTTTTGTACTGAAACTATCAATTTTCCTAGATATAGCATCATGTTGTCTGGAAAGAGAGACAGTTTGACATCCTCCCTTCATTTCTTTCTCTTGCCTGATTGCCCTGAATAGAACTTCCAATACTATGTTGACTAGGAATGGTTGAGAGAGGGCGTCCTTCTCTTCTGCCAGTTTTCAATGGGAATGCTTCCAGCTTTTTCCCATTCAGTATGATGTTGGCTGTGGGTTTGTCATATATGGCCCTTATTATTTTGAGATATGTTCCTTCAACACCTAGTTTGTTGAGAGTTTTTAACATGAATTGATATTGAATTTCATTGAAAGGCTTTTATGCATGTATTGGGAAAATCATATGGTTTTTGTCTTTAGTTCTCCTTATGTGATAAATCACATTATTGATTTGCATATGTTGAACCAAACTTTCATTCCAGGAATAAATCCCACTTAACTGTGGTGGATGAACTGTTCAGTGTGCTGCTGGATTCAGTTTGACAGTATTTTGTTGGGGATTTTTTCATTGATGTTCATCAAGGATATTGGCCTAAAGTTTTCTTTTTTTGTTGAATCTCTGCCAAGCATTGGTATCAGGATGATGCTGCACTCATAGAATGAGTTAGGAAGTAGTCCCTCCTCCTCACTTTTTTGGAATACTTTCAGTAGGAATGATACCAGCTCTTCTTTTTTCAGTAATCTCTAAAAATCAGATGCCCATGTCAAAGATTAAGTGAAATAATAAATTTGAAGCATTTAACATGGTACCTGTTACATGAAAATAATTGTTTTTGTCATGTAAAAGATGATGGAACACCTGTCATATGAAACATAGTATTTGTAACATAAAATATTATGTTAACAATATTAACATATATTAACATGTTGATATAAATATTAATAATATAAATGACCAATTTAAAAAATATATATGTATTTTGTGTATGTATAAACACACATACAGAAATATATGTGTTTAATTCTTGATTTTCTAAAGAGAATTGGTGTGTAAATTATTACACTAATTAAAAAAATAAAAGTCAATGTTAAAATGAAGTTTGAGTATAAATCAGAAAAATCTAATTATTTATATTATTATCTCATTATCTAAAATCTAATTATTAGAAGGGCATTGCCATAGACTGAATGTTTATGTCCTAACCCCCAGCGTGATAGTATTTGGAGGTGAGACTTTTGAGGGGTAAGACTTTTAGAGGGTGGAATTGGTTTCCTTATAAAGGAGGCCCCAGAGAGCTCCCTCATCTTTTCTTCTAGATGAGGTTACAGGGAAAAGACAGCAATCTGTGAAAAAAAAAAAGGGTGGATTCTTACCAGACACCACATATGCTGGCACCTTAATCTTAGACTTTTCCAGCCTCCAAAACTGTGAGAAATAATTTTCTATTGTTCGTAAGCCATCCATCAGTTTATAGTATTTTGTTACAACAGTCCAAATGGATAAGACAGCCATCTACCATTTAGAACTACATAGTAACCACAAGAAATTATACAATGTTAAATCTCTTGTTTTGTGAGATGCCCCACCCTCTTTGCTTTTCAGAGTGAATTTTGTCTCTTGTTAGCTACCTATCAGGGAGTAAAAGAAGTGGGCAAAATTTAATGTCACATATATTTGGGAGTAATATTGTAGTTCAAAATTCTGATTATATTCTATGCAATTGAGAAAATAAAGGTTTTTTCCTATTTTCTTCTCTTCTTGCCTCTAAGAAACTTTATATATATATATATGAATATATATGTGAATATGTGTGTATGTATGTATGTGTGTATATATATGTGTGTGTATATATGTATATATACATATTTCTTTTTGTCATGACTAAGGGATGGTGAAGAAAGTGTCACAGTACATAGTATGTGAATCCCAGGACTTGTCTAAAAGGACCACTGCAACTGAAAATGTTAGGTCTTGCTCTGAAATATTTTAATTTCACGCAGATATACACCAGGACTCTGATGAAGAAATAAGTACATACTCTGAAAAAAGAGAGAAAGACATTTGAGGAGGCTAACAATAGAGAAGTAGATAAGCTAAACTGATGCTATGTGGCTTGGCTGCGATAGATGTGAATCAGACATTGGGTCATTGGGCATAAGGGCATTAGGGTTGTTTGGAGAAGAGAATAATGCTAATTAGTGAGAGGGAGAGCCAGCCAGGGAAACAGAACCATAAAGCACATGAGGTTTAGTCACTTAGGCAGTATCTGCTCAGCTACTTACAAAGATCGGCATAATGACAAATCATTCACTATTTATACAACAGATGTTTATTTAGTTCCTACCATAAACCGGAATAAGCAATGAGGTTAGGACAGTGGGCAAAGAACAGATTAACAGATAGTAGCATTTGACTATTCTCAGTCAACCAACTAATGTGGTGGTTTTGCTCATAATGAACTGAATTTCTACTGGAATTGTTATACTTTTAGATGCTATCGTTATGATGATAATTTTGTCTCTAAATTATATTTATCATTATAATTAAAAACATTATATATTTCCAACCATGTTTTGATTAATCTTTTAGTAAATATTATTCAGTGTTGATGAGCTCGATCACAGTTCTACTCTCCAATATTTTCTTTAAGAAAAAATTGAATGTGTATTTATAATGATAGCTAAGCCCAAAAAGAATGACAATTTATTCACAAAATAATCACAGGAAATATAAATTTTGAAAGTAATAATGATAAAGCCCTGCTAACATGAGACATATCCTTACTTTAAATGAAATTGGATTCCATTGTTTCCAATAAAAATCAGTGCTTCCTTTGAAACAGTTTCTTTGCACGAGACTGAACAAGTGGCTTGAAAGAAGGATTGAGGCATAAATTTGTAGCGATAGACGGGCTAAAGAAGCACTCTTTTTGAGAGCACTGCTACTTAAGTCATCCACTAATGTGGTACAAAAGAATGACTTGGAAAAGATATGACATATCAATTCAATTAGCAATTATTCTCAACTCATAGCCCTTCCTTAAGATCTATTTGTCACTATAACAAAGACTCTCATGCATCTACAATCTATTCTGGCACATGCTTTTAGCTGGCAAGGAAGAAGTAGTCTGGAAAGTTATTGTTGCCTTCCTACATTGTCTTACAGAAGCTCATAATAAGCCAGAGCTGGAGAAGCATCTGACCACTTCAATTACTCTGCAGGATCAAGTCTAGGTATCTGCAATGCTAGAAAGATTCATGAGCCAGCAGCAGCTGCGGCAGCCACAACAGCCCAGAAAATACCCTCACAAATCCACATCGCCCGAGCTGTTAAGACTTCACTTTCCTGGTTAGGCAACACAGAAAATAAGGACAGAAATAAGCAACGATTGCCAAATAATACAGTTTTCTAAAAGCACCATATCACATTAGCTGATTCCCTTCAATGTTTTCTGCCATATTTTTTTTACTTAAGGCAGAAAAATTAAAATCTTTGAATATCTCAAAGTGAATGTTTAGGTGTAAAGCCAATCTTAACACTTAAAATTTTTAAAAGATGATTAAACAAAGAAGTACCATTTTACAAACTATGCTTATATCTTACTTACCCAAATATGGTTGAGGACCTGATGCTGAGTTTTTGCTAGTATTAGGGAACATTATTTAAGCCAAACATCGTATAATGCAAGTTTTGTGTTTAGTAAAGAACTTTTTATTTGGCCTGTGATTAAATGGGCCATAATAATGAGCCAAAGAATTCCACAATTGACATTTTCTTTTATTTAACATTTATTTTAAGTTTAGGGGTGTATGTGCAGGTTTGTTACACAGGCAAAATTTTGTCATGGGAGTTTGTTGTACAGATCATTTCATCACCCAGGTATTAAGCTTAGTACCCATTAGTTGTTTTTCCTGATTCGCTCTCTCCTCCCACTCTCCACCCACTGAGGCCCCACTGTGTGTTCCATTCCATGAGTCCATGTGTTGTTGTCATTTATCTTGCACCTATAACTGAGAACATGCAGTATTTAGTTTTCTCTTCCTGCATTAGTTTGTTAAGGATAACGACCTCCAGCTCCATCTGTGTACCTACAAAGGACGTGATTTCTTTCTTTTTTATCACTGCATAGTATTCCGTGGTGTATATGTACCACATTTCATCAATGGTTTTGCATTCACAATATATTTTCTTTTAAAAAATACTGCATGAAACGATTGCCTTCCTAAGTGACATCGTAAATTTAACTCAACTCAAAATAGAACTGACCAGGTGAAATACTAACTCAACCAATGTTAGGCCCCATGAAATACACTTCAATACTATATTGATATATTCCTTTTGTTACTATTATCACACTTGTAGTTGTAATAAAAACTAGCTCTAACAAAATAACTGATGTCCAAAAGTCATATAAGATGTGTAGTTGTATCTTATGAGATTAATAAAACGAAGACAGCAGGTTATACATGTAGCTAGTTATTAGTTCTAGAAGTGCAGCTTTGTGATACACTGCTGTGGTTTAAATATTAAAGGGGATGACTCCACATCTTGTGGCTGATTAGGACTTCTAAGACAGTAGCACTGATTTCAGCATTCCTCTGGTTAATTGGCACCCCTTTTATTGGCCAGCCATGGTGTAAAACTTGAGCTGGGAAATACTGAGAGATCCAGACACCAACCTTAAGTGTCTTTCCTCCTTTTCAAATTGGCGTTGCATTATTTCCCCAATCACCTTACCCTCCCACAAAATCCTCTATTTTATCTCTGAAAAGTCGATGACTATTAACATTTTTTTTTGTGAATGCATGGACTGACCCTTTTTAAGATTCCTTTTTCTCATTTGTATTAAGAGTCTTACATATAAATATGCTTAAGGGATTATGGTATGCTATGTGTTTCATTTACTTTGTTGACAAAAGCTATAATGCACTTCTGTTCTATGGTATGTCATGGTAGTGAGAATTCCAAGACAAAAGCAAAAGTGGCAACATGTCGAGGAAGAACTAACATGACATTCCCAGGACTCAGTTTAGGAATAGGAAGTAAGCAGAGAATTGTTTTTCAGTACAATATTAATAATACACAAATAAATTACCCTAGGAAAATGGAGAAAAAGTAAGAAAACTCATGATTCCTCACATCCGTAAAGTTCCATTGCTGCCCATTAGGTCCCTGCTCTTCTGTTCTCCTTATTTTAGGCTTCTATGCCACTCGCTACACATAGCTTAGGGCAAATGATGATTTCCCCCTATGCCTGAGTCAGAGGCAAGGAGAAGGGAGAGAGAGGGATACACTCTTTAGCGAGTGGTAGGTGTGGTATCAATATGTATGCATGTAGATAGATGGGGAAAAGTGGGGAGTGGGAGGTGGGAAAACTGACTGAAAAAGAAGTGGTTATTTTGTAAAATGTTCCTCCAGTCATGAAAACATGCTTGGATAACTATTATTTACTAGGCCCTCAGCTAGTTTCAAACGACTCATTAGGAAATAAAATATGGATTCAGGTCTCACGGAGCTTATGTTTGAATCTCAAATTGGATATTAAACAAATATAGAGACAATCTGCAATAAAGTGCTCTACAATAAAGCAATAAATTAAGTCAGATGTAACACGAAAGATGGCTAGCTTCTGCCCAAATCCCATTCACATGCCCTTCACACAGATACTAAGACCTTATTCCTCCCTACATACGAGATTTAGATAAAACATAACAATACATCAAAGAAATGTCTAGATTCAGACTCCTCCTGATTTTGTAACTTTCATGTCAGAAACTAGAGCCACAGGGGAGATTTGGGATGAGAAACATGATCACTAGGTAGTATAAAAAATAGAATCAGACCAGAGACATCTAAAAAAAAATGACCAGACATGAGAGCCTCCGGAGCGAAGTAAAGTGAGCAAAGTCATGTGTATTTACTTTTATATCCAACTTCCCAACCTGCCCTTTTTCCTCCCTCCATCTTTCACCTCTGTCTCTGAGGACACTAGAGTTTCCCTCCTTTATTCAGACTACATCTTGGGCAATGAGACCAAGGGACTGAATAGACAGCCGTGGTAGCAACAAGCCAAAGAAACAGAAGAGAAGATTCAAGAGTGTTTCCAAGTTCGATGCAGTACTGGTGGGAAGCCCGAGATATTCTGGGTAAGCACTGGCTTTTAAAAATAACTCTGTATAAGAGCCTACACACACAACAACAACAACATTCTACAACAGCTCAGTCCACCAGTAGGTGAGGAATTTTAGGGACTATATGTTATAAATTAACACTCTGTCAAAATGAAAAGTAATGGTATCAAATATTAAAAAAACTCTCACATGTATACTATCAACTTTGTTTTTTTTTTCAAATCTAAGCTGTCTTGCAGTAATTAAAACTAAGCTACAGAAAATATTCTCCCCAAAAAAACTAATGTTGCTATTTTTTATTATAGCAAATTAGGGAAATTGTTTCTAAGAATGTGTGAAGCAGTTTGAGACTAAGTTTAAAATGTTAATAATACCTTTGAGGAGTTCAAAAAAACTCAGCAAATGTTAACTCATTAATTCTCAATACCCATTAGTGATGGTAGGAAAGAAGTGTTATTAGCCTTAATTTACAGAGGCAGAAACTAAAGCACATCTTGAGTAATCAGCTTTTCTAATGTCAATAATCACAGATAACTTTATATCTATGGAGATTCACAGAATTGGTGATCCCTTCAATGTGACTTCAATTACAAGCCATTCATCCAATCCATTGTGCTTCAAAAAAATATACTTGTTTTTATGTACTAGAAATAAACTATAAATATATATGTATAACCACTTATTAATCCTGTTCCTGAACCAATTTTTGTGAAATATCCAGTAAATTATCAGATTTGTTACCCATCAAACATTAGCATGAATAGTTATTGAACTGAAGTAGAAGTAACCTGGAGTACTAAATATAAAGTTAGTAAAGTTATAAAAATTACATGTATGTATGTAAGACATACAGCTAATGGTTAAAGCCTATTAAATTATACACAAACACACAGAAATACTATACATGTTAGCCTAGCTGCAGTTGGCTGTCCTACAAAAAGACTTTTAGTTTAATAAGGTCATTAATTTTTCCACTCTTTATTCATTTCTTCACTAGACAAATTATATATCACCATTAGAGCATGATTGCTCCCTGAAGAAAAAAATGAAAGAACAATAAAATAAGCAAATTTGTAAAAAAAAAATACATTAATACAGTCTAATGAGTTTATTGACTTTAGCTATTAAGGCATATATAAAGTCAAAAGAGGTATTATCAATATATAATTTTTTCTATGACTCTGCAAACTGGTCTCGACAGAGGCACCAATGGGATAACTATATCACAGCCCACTAACACAGAAGTTTTAGGGGAAATAGTAATCATGTATTTTATGCCATTAAAGAAAATAAATAGTAATCATAAGTAATGGGAAATATGATTGTATTCAACAGAAAATGCCTCAAAAGGGTTTTAGGTTCTAGTAATTGCAGGAAGGTCATACAATGGATGCTCCTCCTGTATGAACTCCAGCCTAATGTTATATATGTTTGTGTGTGCGTATCACATATATATGTATTATATATCACATATATATTATATATCACATATATATTATATATCACATATATATTACATATTATATTTATAAAATACATACACTCTCCCTCCCCACAGGGACTCCTTGAAAGAATACTGCATGATGTGTGTATATATCTCTCACCTGGGGGTCTGTCCTAAGATGACTTCTGATGATTCATGTCATTGTGTAGTCCTCGCTCCTTCAATATGGGCTAGACCTAGTGACACTCTCTTCTAACAAATAAAATACAGTAAAAATAGCAAGGTGTTGATTTGGAGATTAGATTACAGAAAGACTGGATTCCATCTGGCTCACTATCCCCTGGAGGCTTCAATCTGGAGGAAGATAGCTGCCTTGTTTTGAGTAAACTTACTTAAGAGACTATGTGGCAAGGCACTGATACCTCCAACCAAATACACTGAGGACTTCAGATTGTCGGCATCCCTGTGAGCGAGCACAGGAGTAGCTCTTGTAAGACCATCCAATATCCACATGAGTGAACTCAGATTGATTTCTCCCAGTCAAGCCTTGAGATGACTGCACCTGGTCTACACCTTGATTGCAGCTTTGTGGGAGATCCTGAGGCAGAGGACACAAATTAAGTTGCACCTGAATTTCCGACCCTCAGAAACTGTGAGATAATAAATCCTTGTTGTTTTAAGCAGCTACATTTTGGAGGAATTTGTTATGCATCACAAATATACATTTGTAATGAGAAATATCACATAATATTATTCAACAGGGATTCCTCAAAGAAGGTCTCAGATTCTGGAAATTTCAGGAATCTGTACTGACTTACTTTCCCACAGATATTAATTTTAAATGCTGTTCAAAATACATGTTAAAAAACTATTCAATTTTTTTTAATTTTATTATTATTATACTTTAAGTTTTAGGGTACATGTGCACAATGTGCAGGTTTGTTACATATGTATACATGTGCCATGTTGGTGTGCTGCACCCATTAACTCATCATTTAACATTAGGTATATCTCCTAATGCTATCCCTCCCCGCTCCCCCCCACCCCACAACAGTCCCCAGAGTGTGATGTTCCCCTTCCTGTGTCCATGTGTTCTCATTGTTCAATTCCCACCTATGAGTGAGAACATGTGATGTTTGGTTTTTTGTCCTTGCGATAGTTTGCTGAGAATGATGGTTTCCAGTTTCATCCGTGTCCCTACAAAGGTCATGAACTCATCATTTTTTATGGCTGCATAGTATTCCATGGTGTATATGTGCCAGATTTTCTTAATCCAGTCTATCGTTGTTGGACATTTGTGTTGGTTCCAAGTCTTTGCTATTGTGAATAGTGCTGCAATAAACATACATGTGCATGTGTCTTTATAGCAGCATGATTTATAATCCTTTGTGTATATACCCAGTAATAGGATGGCTGGGTCAAATGGTATTTCTAGTTCTAGATCCCTGAGGAATCACCACACTGACTTCCATAATGGTTGAACTAATTTACAGTCCCACCAACAGTGTAAAAGTGTTCTTATTTCTCCACATCCTCTCCAGCACCTGTTGTTTCCTGACTTTTTAATGATCGCCATTCTAACTGGTGTGAGATGATATCTCATTGTGGTTTTGATTTGCATTTCTCTGATGGCCAGTGATGATGAGCATTTTTCATGTGTTATTTGGCTGCATAAATGTCTTCTTTTGCTTTGACAAAATTCAACAGCCCTTCATGCTAAAAACTCTCAATAAATTAGGTATTGATGGGACGTATCTCAAAATAATAAGAGCTATCTATGACAAACCCACAGCCAATATCATACTGAATGGGCAAAAACTGGAAGCATTCCCTTTGAAAACTGGCACAAGACAGGGATGTCCTCTCTCACCACTCCTATTCAACATAGTGTTGGAAGTTCTGGCCAGGGCAATTAGGCAGGAGAAGGAAATAAAGGGTATTCAATTAGGAAAAGAGGAAGTCAAATTGTCCCTGTTTGCAGATGACATGATTGTATATCTAGAAAACCCCATTGTCTCAGCCCAAAATCTCCTTAACCTGATAAGCAACTTCAGGAAAGTCTCAGGATACAAAATCAATATACAAAAATCACAAGCATTCTTACACAACAATAACAGACAAACAGAGTGCCAAATCATGAGTAAACTCCCATTCACAATTGCTTCAAAGAGAATAAAATACCTAGGAATCCAACTTAAAAGGGATGTGAAGGACCTCTTCAAGGAGAACTACAAACCACTGCTCAAGGAAATAAAAGAGCATACAAACAAATGGAAGAACATTCCATGCTTATGGGTAGGAAGAATCAATATCATGAAAATGGCCATACTGCCCAAGGTAATTTATAGATTCAATGCCATCCCCATCAAGCTACCAATGACTTTCTTCACAGAATTGGAAAAAACTACTTTAAAGTTCATATGGAACCAAAAAAGAGCCCGCATTGCCAAGTCAATTCTAAGCCAAAAGAACAAAGCTGGAGGCATCATGCTACCTGACTTCAAACTATACTACAAGGCTACAGTAACCAAAACAGCATGGTACTGGTACCAAAACAGAGATGTAGATCAATGAAACAGAACAGAGCCCTCAGAAATAATGCCGCATACCTACAACCATCTGATCTTTGACAAACCTGACAAAAACAAGCAATGGGGAAAGGATTCCCTATTTAATAAATGGTGCTGGGAAAACTGGCTAGCCATATGTAGAAAGCGAAACTGGATCCCTTCCTTACACCTTATACAAAAATTAATTCAAGATGCATTAAAGACTTAAATGTTAGACCTAAAACCATAAAAACCCTAGAAGAAAACCTAGGCAATACCATTCAGGACATAGGCATGGGCAAGGACTTCATGTCTAAAACACCAAAAGCAATGGCAACAAAAGCCAAAATTGACAAATGGGATCTAATTAAACTAAAGAGCTTCTGCACAGCAAAAGAAACTGCCATCAGAGTGAACAGGCAACCTACAAAATAGGAGAAAATTTTCGCAACCTACTCATCTGACAAAGGGCTAATATCCAGAATCTACAATGAACTCAAACAAATTTACAAGAAAAAAACAAACAACCCCATCAAAAAGTGGGTGAAGGATAAGAAAACTATTCAATTTTTGAAAGAATGATCAAAGTAGGCAGAGACTGGCACGTTTTGATTCTTGAAAGAAAGGAACCCTTGAAGATATATGTTTACATGTCTCCTTCTCTGAGAGCCCTCTATAGGTCACATGGAAGAATACCCTTAGAACTCAATCAGAAGTTGAAGATCCAGGCTGTCAGAATAACTGTAAAGCAGGGGAGGAAAATGCAGATGGAAGGAAATCACAGAGAAGTAAGGTTATGTATATGTATATACACAAATACACAATATGTATATATCCTTCTCAAATTCGTGGCTGATTCATGATCTTTACATTTATGGGACAGAGAAATCCAGTTGAAAACTACAGAAGACTAAAACCTGAGCATAGATTTTAGTTGCTGTGCACAACATAGAACATGGAATTTAGTGTTTAAATTCTACTACTTAGAGGGTGTCAGTAGACAATCTGAGCTTTACATTGAACCCCCAGCTGGATAATGCTCTCTGAGTAAATACCACATGCCAGGAATAAGAATTATCCCTAAGATTGGAAAAAATAAGACTATCTACAGTTAAGCCAACATTCTACTAGTTTCACAGTGTTTTTAAGATAACCAAGTACATAATAGCAAATGTCAAAAGTGTTTGGAGGAGAGAATAGATGCCAGATTCTGTACATGGCATCACTGAAAATTCTTAGTATGCAATCAAATGTAGAGGATTATTGCTAAGTTTGTAAGTTAGTAATTACAAAAAATATGAAGGCACAGAAAAATGTGACCCAAATAAAAACCAAAATCAATCACGAAAAATGGACCTCAAGATGATTCAGCATTTGGAATTAGCAGGAAAAAAAAAAATTTTTAAAGGGCAATTTGAAATATGTGCAATGACATAAAATTAAAGATGGCTGCAATGAGTGAACAGTTGAAGAAACTCAGAATCTTTTTTAAAGTCGGAATTTCTGATTGCAGTA
Source organism: Homo sapiens (assembly GCF_000001405.40). Lineage (NCBI taxonomy): Eukaryota > Metazoa > Chordata > Mammalia > Primates > Hominidae > Homo > Homo sapiens. Next base: position 125,382,688 of record NC_000007.14, on the reverse strand, counting down.
GGAAATATATGAAATTATAAATAAACTGGAATTACATTAATATAGCAGTAGATTAGATATGGAAGAAGAAAGGATCAGAGAAATTGAAGACAGATAAACAGAAATTACCCATTCTAAAAAACAAACAAAAAAGACTAAAGATTAAAAAAAAGGACTGAAAAAAATCAAAAATACATCAGGAACTTTTGGACAAACATTAAGCAGCCTAACATACATAACACTGGAATAACAAAAGAAGAGGAGATCTAGAAGAAGTAGAATAATTATTTAAAACAGCAATGATCCCTAAAAATGCCAAATAGTGTAAAAATTAACTTACTGAATGAAGAATCTCAAAATCCTCAAGAAGGTAAATAAAGGAAAACTATACATGGAAAAATCATTAAAAAATTAATGAAGAATAATTTGGTTGAGGGCAGTGCCTCACTCCTGTAATCCCAGCACTTTGGGAGGCTAAGGTGGGTGGATCGATTGAGCCCAGGAGTTTGAGACCAGCCTGGGAAACATGGAAAATCCCCTAATCTACGAAGAATGCAAAAATTAGCTGAGCATGGTAGTGCTTGCCTGTAGTCCCAGCTACTCGGGAGGCTGAGGTAGGAAGATCACTTGAGCCCGGGAGGCAGAGGTTGCAGTAAGCCAAGATGGCACCACTGCACTTCTGCCTGGGCAACAGGGCCAGACACTGTATCCAAAACATAAAAAAGGAAAACTTAAAAATATCCAGAGGCCGGGCGTGGTGGCTCACGCCTGTAATCCCAACACTTTGGGAGGCCGAGGCGGGCGGATCACGAGGTCAGGAGATCAAGACCATCCTGGCTAACACAGTGAAATCCCATCTCTGCTAAAAATACAAAAAATTAGTCGGGCGTGGTGGCAGTCGCCTGTAGTCCCAACTACTTGGGAGGCTGAGGCAGGAGAATGGCGTGAACCCAGGAGGCGGAACTTGCAGTGAGCGGAGATGGCGCCAGTGCACTCCAACCTGGGTGACAGAGCTAGACTCCGTCTCAAAAAAAAAAAAAAAAAAAAAAAAAAAATCCAGAGAAGGGGACAAAGACACACACTGTCAATCCATAATTCTGTATCCTGAAATATATTCTGAAAAAAAGACAAAATACATTTTTAAATAGATTGTTCAAGATGTATAAAGCTGCAGTAATTAAGGCATGGTAATATAAGTAGAAGACAGACAGAGTAAAATATAATAATGAGCCCCAAATTGCATCAGCACTTGGAAAGAGTTAGTCAGTTTTGTTAAAATTAAACTTTCATTTACCATAAAATAGAGCAATCAATTCTTTTTCTGGGTATTTACCCAATGGAAATGAAAATATATGTTCAAATGAAGATCGGTATGTGGATTTTTATAGCAACTTTATAGCCCAGGACAAGAAACAATCCACATGTTCAAAACATGCATAGGTTACACATAAAATGATAAAAAATAATAATAAAAGACACTGCTAGCTACTGCCTGTGGGTGGGTGGATGAGTTTTACCGCAAAGCAGCAAGAGGAAACATTTTGTGTTGATGAAATGCTCCTTGTCTTGATTGGTGTGGTGGTTGTATGACTGAAATCATTTATTGAAATCCATTGAATTGTATTTTGTGAGTGAGTGAATTTTAACTGTATGCAAATTATACCACAATTAAACCTGATTTGGAAAATAGAGGCCTTTTAATTCATCAAATGAACATTTGATTGAAGTACTTTATGATTATGTAAAATAATTTAGGATTATAAGTTAGTTTAGAAAAGAGATTTGAGGATTTACTTGCCTTAAAATAATTGGATGGCAACTTAGGGAAATTGGACACTCACTACTCAGCTCCAAATTAATAAACTAAAACCAGTAAGTAGCAATTGCAAAAAGAGAGATTTTATTTCTGTATAAGGAAAACGTCCCAACAATAACAGAATAGCTTATTCTATGAGTTAGTGAGTGCCTTACCAGTCAACTAAGAAGCAGCTGGAGGTCCACCTATCTGAGATGAAGTAGATGGGTTTATTACATTGTTTGGATAGGTTTTCTTAAGGATTCTTTGTAATTATTAGGGTCTCTGGTTTTATGCTATAAATCTATATGACTGGAATAGAAAACATGAGATAATATTTCAATTTTTGTGAAATCAGTTTTATCTCCATCTTGAATTTTGTAGGTTCTGTCAGTTTTGACACAATGTCAATTAAAATTATATTCTTTATAACTTACACAAAATGAAGAAAGTAGATCAATAAATTATTAAGTGCCACTTTGGTACTACAACAAATTTAGAATTTACAATATTTTCATAAAACCTGTTAATATTCTACTTTCTTTCTTCTCTAATACCATAAGCATCACCCCCAAGTAAATGTGTATATTTTCAAACATAAATTTAATTATTTGCATCTGTTTTAAAGATTGTTGATTCTACCATGTAAAAATTTTGTTTATCTGAAATATCATCATCGTAGTTTTTAAATTGATTAATGTATTTATATACTAAATATAAGTAAATCTTTTTGGTTGTGTAATTTTTTTGTCTCTTAGATTTTGATAATGGAATCACATTCCAGAAACTGCATTTTCCTTAAAGTTAGAATGAAAAATATACAGTCATTATTATGAGATTTTTCTCTTCAAGTTTAAGAGACAAACAATACAAACTGATATTTGCTTAGAAAATATGAGACGTTTGCTTGTGAACAGCTGCCACATCACACTATTTAGAATAGAATTACAAAATTGATTGGAAAATCTGTCTTATAAAAACTTTTCTATCAAAAATACACAAAACCTAAAATAAAACAAAGATACGAAAAATAAACTATGCAGAAATGGAGGGGTTTTTTAACCAAAAATGCATGAAAATATATATGCTCAGAAGTTAAATGGGAAAAAAATATGCTGTTTATTTTCATTTCTAGCAACACTTTAAAGTTTTGAATCAGTATGCTAGTTTTAAAAATTATTAAAATACATATTATTTAGTTATGAAAAAGTTTGTGTTTGGATACCTCAAAGAACATGGGGTTTTAGAAACAGTGATCAAGAAGCTAGAGTTGACAGCAAGGAATGAAATGATATATTTAAGCTATCAAAAGAAGGGGCAGGAAAACAAAGTTCATAACACAGAAAGTCAAAGTACAGCACTCTTTGAAGACTTAGAAAGTTAAAGTGGCAATTGGTCATGGCTGAAAAAGAAATGAACTAATGAAGACCAATGGGTTGAAGGTACAGAAAGGGCTGCATGTTCTGAAGATAAATAGGCATGGAAGTGAGGTGAGAGGAAATAAGGTAAAGCGCACTGAATGAATGATAATGCCTGAATAGGTAGCACGTTGATTACTGAAGTAGTTCACAGCGCTATAGATAAAACCAAAAGGATATTAAATCATTTAATGGCTTTCTATGAATTATAGAAGAAGGTCCATTACTGTGGTATGTTGTTACATAAAACTACATGTTCCAGAGAAGACATCCACAGCCTTCTGCAGCCTTCCTCAGGGATTTCTTTATCCATTTAGAATTCTCTCATGTGAACCAGGTCAAATATTAAGTGTCTCTCGGAGGAGTGACAAATTTTGTATTCTTCAGAATGGTGCAATAAAATTTAGCCACTCATAGACATATTGATTAATCACTGGATCTGTTAAATGTAAAAATCAAATTTGTAAGATGCAAATTTAGATGACCTAGACCTTTTTTGCAAAATAAAAAAAGAAGAGCATTGAAGAATTAAACATAACTGCTGAATCAGAGGAAAGTTTCCAAACTAACCTTTTATATTTTTAATATCTAAAATAAACCACATATAACAGGAATTATACTTTCACATTTTTGAAATAAGCATTCATACATGAGTATATTGAATAGTATTAAATAGCAACTAAATTTATGCAAAGGAAATAGAAACTAGCTACATATTGATTATGCATTAATTTCATTAGAAATGGTAATTCGGCTGAAATAACACCATATCATAGATTTAAGGTTTTGAATTTAAATTTAGGGCTTGCAAAGAAAATTATACAAAGTCATATATTTTACTTACTTGGGACCAATAAGAGAAAATTAAATTTTGATAAACATACTTATTGTTATCTACATACTAGAAACTAATTAGTATGACTGGCTTTAAAATAGAAAATAATTTTGTGCTGATAAACCTTGAGGATTAATTACTGAGATCAAATGACATAGACACCGGAACACTTGTCATTTTATTTTTGTAAATTAATCCGTAAACCAAAAAAATGTTAATTGAGCAATAATGAGTTTTCTGGGAGCATACTAAGTAATGAAAGAAATACAAAAGAAGAAAAATTTGCAATTCATATAATCAAAACCTCAATTGCTGGGTGACCACCATGACTTATGATTCCTAACTTTTATCACACAGGTGAGAATTCAAGCTCTATTACAGTTTAATTTTGTGAGTTTTTCTTCTTAAAAAAAGCAAAATAGCTAGTATGCATTTGTATGAGCTTAATTTTTGAAATATTCAGAAGATAAATTTAAATCATATTAATTTTGGCTAATTTTGGTGAACTGGGATTTTCACTGAATTTGGTTAACTTTTGCAGAAAACCATTCATATTTATAGAACCAGAAGGAGATGCCCAAGTGAAAATCTCCAGCCATTAATTTATTATACTTCAAAATATGTTAAAAAAAAAAAAGCTATTAAGCATAAGACAAGAAATAGGACCCTGATAATTGTATTTCTGACAGAATTTTTAAATGCGTACATAGACTATTATGAAGTATATTTTTGATTATTTTTCTTTTCCATTATTTTTCTTGTATATTTAATGCATACATACATTATTTAAAAAAATTTCATGGGTTTTAAAGAAAACTATAAATGGAATGCTTTTGGCATTCTCGCTAAGCTATTTTTAAGTAATTGAACCACATTTTTAAAAATATTCTGGAGTAATGTATATACTTATAGTTAACTCTTTACCCAAATGTGATGCCAATATCAAAAACCAGATATGATAAGAGAGACATGATTTCTTGGAAATCTTAATTTTTGTCACGTAGAACTTCAGATTTGTTTTAAATAAGATATCACTGATCTATCTAAGCATTTGCATTTCCCTGATGATTAGTGATGCTGAGCATTTTTTCATGTGCCTGTGGGCTATTTGTATGTCTTCTTTTGAGAAATGTCTGTCTAGATCTTTTTCCCAGTTTTAAATCAGGTTATTTGTTGTTTTGCTATAGAATTGTTTGAGTTCTTTATATATTCTAGTTATTAATCTATGAATTAAAAATGTGCTACACACAATGGAATCTTATTTAGTCATAAAAAAAGAATGGAATCTTGTTATTTTCAGCAACATGGATGGAACTGATTAAGTGAAATAAGCCAGGTTTGCTAGCAAGGACCAAACTATAGGAAAATTGTGCTTTTGTTGCCTTATGACAAATTTCATTAGTATGCTAAGAACTATTCTGTCAACTGTTGTTGGTAGACATTTAATTAGATTTGTTTTAAAAAGCCTTAAGTGACAGGAAGACAGCTGCATACTTACCTTGAAAATGACATTCTATGTTTCCCTGTAAGCTAAACTACTGCAGCTGTCTGATAATTTTTACTCTTTCAAGGAAATGATTTGTAAGAATGAGACAAGTGATCAGCTTTGAGCCTATACTGACTTTAACAGGATTTTGGAAAGGCTGGGCAAGAGAACAAAGGGAAATTTATATCAGTGCCGAAAACTGGTCATGTGCTTGTGATTTCTGCTGCTTTGTTGGACTTCTTTGTTATAATATTTATCTGTCTTTTTCAAGAAAAAATAAGTTTAGAAATGCAAATACTACAGAGAAAGAAATAGCTGTGTTCCTGCCCATGTAGTTATTTAAAATTGGCACACTATATTTGTGAATTTTTTTTTCTGATTCAAGTCAATGAGTTACTCTGGATACACTGGAATATTTACTTATTTATATTGGGTTACATTTGTACAGTCTGTTATTTTAAAGGAAATGCACTGATACTCTGGGAAATATATTGCTAGAGAGATAGATAGTAACAGAGAAATGAAGAAATATTTCAAAAAATTCCAGTGGTAAATGAAAACTTTATTATTTGCTAGGATGCCTTGGTAATAAAAATTCCAATGTTAAGCCTGCAAATTTTATTCAAAATATTTAAATCATATGTATGATAATTGTAATAAATCATGAACTCTAGTAGACTCAAGGATATAAGACACTGGTAGTATTGGTACCTGGGAAGCATAATATGTGTGGGGACAATGATTTAGAAGACACCTATGGTAAGTTGAAATAGACAAAGCTTTGATTTGCTGAGACCACATTGCAGAGGTGAAGGTCAAAGTTAACCAACCTGCTAGATTAAACACAGGAGGAGAAAAATTCATGTTGATGTAAAGACTTAAAAAAAAAAATCAAAACCCCAAAAACTGTATCTAAGCTCTTTAGAACCAAGAGACAGGTATATGGCCCTAAACAGCCCATCAAACAGTATACTGAATGGGAGCTTGTTTGTGACCACTGTTTCCCACCCCTTGGTGACTGCTTGTATTGGTCCCAAGCCAGAAAGATCTTTTGTTGCTGAATTGCCTGGTTTAATTCAGCGTATTTCGAGGGCTAGCAACAAAACATCCCTGGGGATGTCTTAAAACTTTACGTTTTAAACACATCCTTATTTGCAGTCAATTGTACTTCTTATAACCTCCTCTCTGAATTCAAAGCAGTTTCAACAGCTGTTTAAATAGCAGAGGAAATGAAGCTGCCTCAGTGATCTTACTACATGGATGAGAAGAGAACTGGGCAATTTCAGAACAGCAGCCTCAGGAAATAAAGCCAGAGCTGAGTTGGATATTCTTGCTCAGTTCCCTGTTGTACTCTTCCCAGTTAAATCGATGGCTCCTTCTTAAGGAAATACTCCTCTTTGGGTAAGAGTCAGGACTAGAGGTTTTGATACAGGGGGCAAGGCAAATATGTTCCTCTCATGTTTCTTTTTTTTTTTCCTCCCTGGAGATGAGTTTAGGGATTCATTCCCCCAACTTTCTCTATCTTCTTGCTTTCTTAACCTATTGGGCTTAACAATTGATCCTATAGTCAACCAGAGGTGAGGCTGTGTAGCAATATATAATAAAAGTAAGATTTTCACCTTCATGAAGTGGTTCTCCTCATCTCTAGTCATAGGATTTTATTGCGAATGCTCCCAGTACTACTGATGGGAAGCTCAGCTTTTGTCCCAAAGCCTCAATGCATTACAGACGAAAGTAATCACACCCTAATCTAAATCTCACAGCAAATATATCCAGCCATGTGTTCTGAGCTGGCTCTGGGTGTTATGTGATGAATCCAAATGCGTACAAAAATTACTCCAAATGGTAAAATGTCAGCATTATTAAAATATGCTAAATTTAAATACTATTTATTTCCTCACATTATCACATTCCAGTTAAATTTAAAGTCCATAAATGAGATCATTGTTCCCTTAAACGTAATTGTAAAAATAACAACTAAAAGTGAGTCTAAAGACATTAAAATCCAAAAAAATTATATTGTTAACTTCTTATTATGCAAGTCTTAGCCAGATAAATCTCTTTCTGATGCCTGGATAATATTGGAATTCCTTCAGCAACTGCAACCTAGGCTGTGATACAGTGAAATTGGTATAGCCAACTCTAGAAATTGAATTATTTCAGTAAAAATCTTCTTAAACTAAAGGTATCACTTAAACAAAGCCCCAAATTTTCCATCTAGTATTTCAGTGCTCAAACTGATATTTGTACTTATTTCTTGGAGTTTCTAAATAACAAAATAATATTGAGATTTTAAGGGTTCATTCAAAATTTAGAAATGAGAACCAGGCATCAGATAAATAGAGATCAAAGATGAATATCACAATCAATAAAAGTTGGACATAAGAATAAAACCTAATTTGAAGCTTAATGGGTTTCTATTATCTTCATCCTATATTGAAATTTAAAAACATTAAACTGCTGATCCCAGTAAGCCTGCCACATGCAAAATAGAGAAAATCTTGGCACCTTCCACAGAAGGCAATAAGTGAATCCTGTCTTGAGGAGGTGTTCTCATTCTTTTCCTTTTCTGGTGAGTGAAGTTGAGCATTCTTTTCCTCTATGGACATTTGAAGACAGAAATAGCATTGAAATTTCCCAATTTCAATGGCTATATGAGAAAAATTCTAACTAAAAAAAGAGATGGGTTTATGATATTAATGGACATGATTTAAAGGCTTAACTTTTAAGTGTATTATTAAAAATGAACATATAACTGCTGTGATAGACATATATATTTTCTTCATAGCATCTTTTTCCTTGTGAGGGAAGTAGAATTTTTCTCTTCTGTCTCAGCAGAGCCCAACACCAGCTGCCAACCCCAGGTAAGATCAGGCATGAACCTAGGTCTAATCTCATGACCTTGAACACCAAGAACAGCTCAACAATAGGCTGAAAAATTAAATAAGGCAATCAGAATCCTCTCTGCAGTTTTTCTCCTTGAATTATTTGGAAATAATGTCTGTTTCCAATAGAAAATACCTAGTAAGATGTCCCACAGTGTTTAAACTAATAGTGCATTCACTGCATGGAGACAACTTGTGCCAGAACTAACATGATAGGATTTACTTAATGGCACATTTAATTACCTAATGGAGCTATTCCTAAAATCTTGTATAATAACAATTCTGAGCTGATGCAACATTTATCCTAGCAGAATATTTAGTGAAATTTAGCCAAGAAACACATTAAAAGACGTTTGTCACAGCCAATCTGAAAAACACACAAACTGCTGAAATTTTGATAAACTAATACAATGGGAAAGTATATGTTTGAAATAGGACAACCTTTAAGTCATATTGTTAAGTAGAAAAAATAGATACAAAACTATGCATACAGTATAACTAATTTTGTGTAGATTTAAATAATATATATCACTTTATGAGTAAATACATATGTTACCAGATAAATATAAATTCTAGAATTACAAATATGACTTTTAATAACAGTTGCATTTTATGGCAGAAATAGTACAAATTTAGAAAAGAGATAAGATTTTGCTAATAATTTATAATTTTTCTTACCTTGGAATTTTTGTATTATGTGCATATATTATTTTTTAATATAGTTATTGCCTTTTGGTGGAATCATGGCCAGTTTTATTGTTTTTTATAATTCTAACTTGAAATTACTAATAAATATTATTTATTTAAAAATTATTTATCGTACTGAAGGCAGCACAGAGCTATGTGTGATTTTATATATACACACACATATATATATATATATGTATAATTTCCACAGTAAGATTGTAGCTTCTTGAAGACAGAGACCATGATTTCTTTTTCTTTTCTCCCTGATGGTAGCATGTAAGTTCTACCTAAATTGATTTATATAGAATTGAGCAATATGGTTGCATGAGATATGTTAATTGACAAATTCTTCTCTCTTAGAAAAGCAGATAGCCTTGTGTAAAAACCCAAGATTCTTCCATAAAATTATCTCCAAATTTATAAAATTAAAAATGAAATAATCATTTTATCTATTGTATGGTTAACTTCACTCAGGAAAATGAACTGAAAAGCAATAGGAATTATGTGATTTTTGTAAAATGTCAAAGACTTTTCTTTTTATGATTGTTTTCTAGTGAATGAATTTCTTAGGCTTTTGGACAAATTGTAGGGTTCATCCAACGTGAACATTCAGTACATTTTCAATTTTTTTAAAGTACTTGTATACTGCTTAAGTAGTTTATGTAGTCACATAGAAATATGGGGCACATAACTTCAATGGCAAATCCCAAATTCCATTATATTGCTACATCTGTAGTTAATGAATAATGTAAACGAAAAATTCAGAGTTTTCTATATAGCACACACATTTTTATCTCTACTCTTTTATTTATGAATATTTTATACCAGCTTGCGATTTTGTATCACTGCAAGTAAAAATGAAAGGCAATTGTAACATGGTTATAAAATATACCATAGTAACATTTAGATGATCGTCCACTTTTCCAAGTACAAATAATGTTCTTTATTTCCCCAAAGCTTTTTGTTAAAGTTCAGTTTTTCTATGAGACTTATAATTGATCTCTATTTAATAGCAATATTGGCTCGATGGTTTGTTTTTACTACGTACTTCTAAGCATAAAAATATATCAAATGAATACTTTTACAACAAATATGACTTGAAATACTCGAAATCAAGTTCCTCATACTAGTGCATTTAGGAATGAGAATATCTAAAAAAATACAGGATTTAGAACTCTTCCAAAAACAGTATCTAGTGTATCTCTCAGTGCCCTGACGAGAACTATGTCACCTCAATGGTGACTCTTATGTACCATAAACATCATTACCTTTGGACTCATCTCCTAATGACATGGAGAAAAAAGTATTCTACAACAATAAAATATATTTTTGTAGTCTTTAAATTAGTCCCTATTTATTTGAGCTGTCTAATGGAGTCTATTATCCTGAAATGCACCAACATACCACAGTAATTCAAGGAAACTTGCAAAATAAGCAAATAATACTTCAATGCATTCAAAGATCACTTTTCTTTAATTTAAAAAATATAATGTCTTAAGAAGAATGCTTTTAAGGCAGCTTTGTAACACTAGTGTAACTAGATGATGTTCAGAGATATAAAATTGAGCTATATTTTTCGCAGGAATATATTCAGATAAACGTCCCTGAAATTTCAGGAAACGCTACTAATTTTTAAAGAACTTTTGAAAACAAGGCAAATGTCAGGGCTATGGAGCACCAAATTGTTTGGACAAACGATCAAATGGGTTTTCCTTGTCTCTTGATTAAAAGCAACAACGGCTACAATTTGTTTCTAATTTTAAAAACTAGATGCTGATGATCACTGAATAATTATAAGATTAACCATAAGAACTTGCATTTGCATAACTAATTTTAATCTTCAAATATATTTGCACAGATTATTTCTTTATTTTCTTACAGTTTTCTTACCCTTTTGATTTTTACCAGTATTACTGACAAAACAACTATATTGGCATTATTTATTAATCAGGTTAACATTTGCATGTTCTGGATATTTAAACTTTCTACAACATGTTAAAATTAGCCCTTAGCCCAAGGATTAACTATTTTTACCAGAGCAGAATTCTAAATTCAGGCTTACGTATACCCAGAACAAGATTTGTCCCATTACTTAATACAGCTTAAATTGAGAAGGTTGCCATTCAGTATTTTTCATGATCTAGAATATGGTAACCTCCAGATGACAAGTGACAATAAAGACTATATTTTGAAAATTCTTTTATAAACTAAATTGTAGTAACAAACCTTAGAGATGTGGGATAGGGTCCAGCCCATTGCAACAAGGTAAATACCACTATAAAGTGAATCAGATGTATATCATTTTCTGTAGATTGAACTAATTAATTATTTACTTTTTCTAAGTAACTTTTCATAATTTGCAGAATTTTATAAGGATCTTTAGTAAATACCATTTTCAAAGTAAACTGGAATGTGGTCCTTGCCACTTAAAGATATTTTTTATAAGCTTAAGAATGGTGTAAACATTGGGTTAAACTGCTTAGTCATATAAGATTTTCTAGCCTATTGGCTATTCTAGAATTACATCACTTGCATCTGAGAAATTTGTACATTTATCTTACTTATCAAAAAACTTATTTCACAACTTCTTGCTAGAAAACATAAATCAGTTCAAGTTCCGTAATGTATTGTCATTTTTTGTCATTATATGACATCACCATTTTTGTTTATTTTATTTCTTTGTCAAATAACTTATAGTTTTTATTTATTTATTTCTGAGACAGGGTCTTGCTTTGTTGCTGAGGCTGGAGTGTAGTGCTAACTGAAGCCTCAAACACCTGGGCTCGTGATCCTACTGTGTCAGCCTTCCAAGTAGCTAAGACTATAATCATGTGACACCACACCCGCATTTTTTTTTCAGAGATGGGATCTTGCTATATTGCCCAGGCTAATCTCAAATCCTGTCCTCAGATGATCCACCCACCTTGGACTCCCAAAGTTTTGGGATTACAAAAGTGAGAAAGTGTTCCTGGCTGTATTATACTTTTTAAAATGAGTATTCTATTGCTTCACAATTCTCTGTTTCTTGTCATTTTATACTTGGTAAGTTTTTCCACTCAATATTCTAAAACTGCAATTTAGTTCTAATTTATGTATACTCAAAATCATTAACTTTTCTTAATAAACATTGACACTGTATCTTTGTTAGCAAATTACCAGCGATGTTCTTGTTAAAAGAAAAGCTACTAGCTACTTGTTAAGAATATATATTATCTGAAAAATAATACAAGATGGTAAAACAAATAGTCTTCTTCTTGTCAGTTATTATTTTATCATCATTCATATTTTGATGAAATATTTCATTTAAAATTTTACTTCCTACAGGTTTATCCATAATCAGGGCATTTTGAATGTATTTTATGTCCTTAAGAAATTGGTTTAGCTCTGTAAAAATCTAATAGATTTTAAGACCCCATTTGAAATATGGAACTTTTATCAGCAGAAAATATCACAGAAAGCAGAGGAAAAAGTAAATTAGTAAAGCCAGGAAAATATTAAATTATAACTTTTATGGAATATCATTTCTACTGTGGGTTTCTTTCCCTTGAATAATTCTTACAATGCACATTGGAATGAGAATGAAAAATAACATTTTCCCTTTATTCATTGAATTAAAAAGTGCATTCACAATGTTAAAACATTATTTACTATTGCTGTACTAGCTAAAACAGGAAATATGCCCAGAGTCAAAAAGAAATGGGGACAGGTTTAATGGAAATTAAAGACTGGAGTCAACATTATTATACACTTAGATTCTCTCTTTTTTTAGTATTTGTTCTCCATTTCAGAAAATGTTATATGTAAAATAAAAATACGTGTGTATTTGTTTCAGGCAGATTTTCACATTCTATTAGCTTAGTGACATTGGGACTAATAGAAGAAGGTATGCAATAGCAATGAAAATAAATAATTGAATGAGCACTTTTTTTCAGCAAAAAGAAACTCATGTATACCCATTGACATGTGAAAATACTTTGCAAAATTATTAGGCAATCTGTGTTTTAACAAATTATAATCTTACAACAAAATCTCTTTAAAGAAATACTCCAAAGACACTTTGTAAAGAATAAATGCTGTATCTGAAAAAATTTTTTGATATTGCCCAGAATTCCAGAATGCTAGAATAGAATGAGGTACTGAAAAGATATAAGATTTTTATTCTTTTCACATTTTAAGATATTTTTAAATAACAAATCATCCACAAAGACATGCTCCTTGCAAATTTTCCTTAAAATTCCAATGGATATAAAGCAAATATTGATAGTGACAGGTTACCATACCCCAAGCTCAATGTACTTCTCCATATATAACTGTTTGGCATATGTTTTCCTAGATTTTGTATTCCTTGCACCAACTCATAATAAATCTTTAGATCTATTCAACTCAAAATGCTGCTGAAATAGATTAATTATTAAGCCTGCTATTCATTTGGATGTGTTTTCCCTCAGTTTTCTATTTAGTTTCCTACTTACCAAGGGTCATTTTAGCTGTTGAAGGAAACATTAACAACCATGTCAAAAAGAACTTACTGATAAGGCACTATATTTATTTACACTTTTGTTAAAGTGAAAAACTATAGTTACAGATGTAATGGAGCTATAGATACATGTGTATATGTGTATATGCATGTATATATGTATTTATATATGTTTACCTACACATACTCTAGTTTGTTTTGCAAATTGGCTTTTGATAATAACATGTACTTATTTCATACCCACATTAATTCATTTAGCTTATGCAAATCATGAAAGAAGAAATGTAACTTCTAAAGTTTTAGACATCTAAATTACCATCCTGACAATAGAAACTTTTTCCTTTAAATTAAAACAAAACAAAAAAAAGGTGGTGTGAATGATCACAGCAATATTGAGAATGTTTAAAATGGCTATTTCCTTACATTTTAAAACAACATATGAATGGAAAATTTTTATTTTGGGACAATTATTATACACTATTTTATTAACACTTTCAAATAAAAAGATGTTCACCCTTTCACTTCTTCCACCATGTGAGGATGCAGCAACAATGTACCCCTCTGAAGCTGACAATGAGCCCTCAGCAGACAGCAAATCTGCTGGCACATTGATCTTGGACTTCCCAGCCTCCTCAATTGTTATGAACTCATTTTCTGGTACAGCTAAGTTAAGAGACATCTGGGCTGGTGCAAATACACACGAGGATGCCACTGCCCTACTCCCACCAGTGCCTCAGCCTAGCTGATACATGTGTACCCTGCTGCATTACCAATGCTGCTGGTACGTGTGAGTGAGCATAGATCCAACTGCCACCACCCTGATGAAGCGCTTTGGCCAGTATCTTCCACTGGATTCTTGTGGCCAGTGAACTGGGTATACCTTTGCCTCTCTAGTGCAGCAGTTTCTAACCTCAAGGGGCCAGAGTATGAAACCAGAGGCCCAATACAAGCACCCTAGGGTTAGAGCATGAAAGCAGGAGTGCTAAGCTGAACTTTGGCCCCCCGAAGTCTTCAAGAAATGAAGCCAGTTGACTGATCCCACTTTATACCACAATAAAACCCTCAAATGCATGAGAGAAGATAAAAGCAAAAAGTCTGATCCAAACAACCACAACTTCAAAGTTTAAAGGAACATCAACCCATACGGATGAGAAAGAAGAAGCTCAAGAACTCTGACAACTGAAAAAACCAATGTCTTCTTGTCTCCAAATAACTGCACTAGCTCCCCAGCAATGCTTCTTAACCAAGCTGAAATGGCTGAAATGATAGTCTTAAAATTCAGAATATGGATAGGAACAAAAATTATAAAGATTCAGAAGAAGTGGAAACCCAATCCAAACAATCTAAGAAATAAAGTAAAACAATACAGGAGCTAAAGGAGAAAATGGCCATTTTAAGAAAAAAAAAATGATCTGATAGAGCTGCAAAAGCCACTACAAGAATTTCATAATACAGTTGCAAGTATGAACAACAGGACAGACCAAACTGAGAAAAGATTCTGCAAGCTTGAAGACTGATTCTCCAAATTAACTCGGACAAAAATGGTAAAAAAGAAAGAACAAAATCTATGAGAAATATGAGATTGGGTCAAGAGACCAAATGTATGACTCTTTGGCATCCCTGAAAGAGAGAGAGAGAGAAAGCAAGCAATGTGGAAAACATATTTGAGGATGGCATTCATGAAAATTTCCTCAATCTTGCTAGGCAGGCCAACATTTAAATTCAGGAAATGCAGAGAACACCTGTGAGATACTACATAAGGTGACCATAATCAAGATACATAGTCATCAGATTCTCTAAGGTTGACATGAAAGAAAAAAATATTAAAAGCAGTTATAGAGAATGGGCAGGTCATTTACAAAGTGAACCCCATCAGGCTAACAGTGGACCTTTCACCAGAAATCCTACAAGTCAGAAAAGATTAGGGGCCTATATTCAGCATTTTTAAAGAAACTCCAAACAGGAATTACATATCCAGCTATACTATGCTTCATCAGCGAATGAGAAATAAAATCCTTTTTAGATAGGAAACTGCTATGGAAATATATTACCACCAGATCTGCTTTACAAGAGGTCTTTAAGGGAATGTTAAACATAGAAACAAAAGACTGTTACCAACAATCACAAAACACACTTAAGTGCATAGACCTTTGACACTATAGAGCAACTACCCAATCAAATCTGCATAATATCCAGCTAAAAAAAAATGATAGGATCAAATTCATACATATGAATATTAAACTCAAATGTAAATGGGTTAAATGTCCCCAGTTAAAAGGCACAGAGTGGCAAGATGAATTAAGTAACAAGACCCAACTGTATGTTGTCTTCAAGTGAGCCATCTCGCATGCAATGACATTCATAAGCTGAAAGTAAATGAATGGAGAAACTAAATAAAATTGAGATGTGGAAACCATACAAAAGATCAATGAAACCAAAATTTGTCTTTTTGAAAGAATAAATAAGATTAATAGATTGCTAGTTAGACAAAAAAGAAAGAAAGAAGATCCAAATAAACACAGACTTGACAAAGAGGACATTACGAGCAATCCAACAGAAATACAAAAAGCCCTCAGAGACTATTATAATCACCTCTGTGCACACAAACTAAAAAACCTACAACAACTGGATAAATTCCTGGAAACATACAACATGCCAAGATTAAGTGAGGAAGAAATTGAAACCCTGAACAGACCAATAATGAGTTCTGAAATTTAATAGGTAATAAAAAGCCTACCATCCAGAAAAAGCCCTAGACCAGCCAGATTAACAGCCTAATTCTACCAGACCTATAAAGAAGAGCTGGTACCATTCCTATTGAAACTTTCAAAAAACTAAGGAGGACCTCCTCCCTAACTCCTTCTATGAGACCAGTATCATTCTGATACCAAAACCTGGCAGAAACACAGCTAAGAAAGAAAACTTCAGGCCAGTATCCTTGATGAACATAGATACAATAATTGTCAATAAAATACTAGCAAACTAAATCCAGCAGCAAATCAAAAAGTTAATCCACCATGATAAAGTCATTATCCCACAGGTGCAAGTTCGGTTCAATATATGTAAATCAATAAATGTGATTCACCACATAAAACTAAAAACAAAAACCACATGATCACCTCAATAGATTCAAGAAAGGCTGTCAATAAAATTCAACATCCCTTCTTGTTAAAAGCTGTCAACAAACTAGGCATTGAAGGAATATGACTCAAAAAATTAAGAGAAATCTGTGACAAACCCACAACTTATGTCATACTGAATGGACAAAAGCTGAAATCAGTCTCCTTGAGAACCAGAATAAGACATGAATGCCCACTGTCACCACTCCCATTCAACATAATACTAGATGTCCTAGCCAGAAAAAATCGGTCAAGAGAAAGAAATAAAAGGCATCCAAATATGAAGAGGAAGACAAACCATCTCTGTTTGCAGATGATATGATTTAATACCTAGAAAACCACGTAGTCTCTGCCCAAAAGCACCTAGATCTGATAAAAAACTTCAGCAAAGTTTCAAAATACAAAATCAATGTACACAAATTGGTAGCATTTCTATACACCAACAATGTCCAAGCCAAATCAAGGACACAATCACATTCACAATAGCCACATACACACACACAAAAACCTAAAGTACCTATTAATAGAGCTAACCTGGGAGGTGAAACAGTAACTTGAGAGTTACAAAATGCTGCTGAAAGAAATCAGAGATGACACCAACAAATAAACATTCTATGCTAATGGATAGGAAGAACTAATATTGTTAAAATGGCAATATTAAGCCAGGCATGGTGGCTCATGCCTGTAATCCCAGTACCCAGGAGGCTGAGGAGGGAGGATCACTTATGACCAGGAGCTCCAGACCAGCCTGGGCAGCACACAAAACCCCATCTCTACTAAAAATACAAAAATTTGCCTGACCTCGTGGCATGTGCCTGTAATCCCAACTACTCAGGTGGCTGAAACATGAGAATCACTTGAACCCAGGAGGCGAAGGTTTTAGTGAGCCAAGACTGTGCCACTGCACTGCAGCCTGGGTGATAGAGTGAGACTCTGCCTCAAAAAAAAAAAAAAAAAACAGGCGATGTTGCCCAAAGCAATTTACATATTCAGTGCTATTCCTATCAAACTGCCAATGATATTTTTCACAGAATTAGAAAAAGCTATTGTAAAATTCATTTGGAAGCCAAAAAGAGCCTGAATAGCCAAACCAATCTTAAGCAAAAAGATCAAAGCTGGAGGCATCATACTACTTAACTTCAAACTATACTACAAGGATTCAGTAACCAAAACAGCTAGATACCAGTACAAAAACAGACACATATACAAATAGAACACAATAGAGAGCACAGAACTAAAACTACACACCTACAACCATCTGGTCTTCAACAAAGTTGACAGAAATAAGCAATGGGGAAGGGACTTCCTATTCAATAAATAGTGCTGGAGTAACTGGCTAGCTATTTGCAGAAGATTGAAACTGGACCCCTTCTTTATACCAGATACAAAAAAATCAACTCAAGATGGATTAGAGCGTTAGATGTAAAACCTAAAAGTATAAAAACCCTTGAAGAAAACCTAGGAAATACCAATTATGGGATATCATTCTGGACATAGGCCCTGGCAAGGATTTCATGCTGAAAACACCAAAAGCAATTCCAACAAAAACAAAAATTGACAAATGTGATCTAATTAAATTAAAGAGCTTCTGCACAGAAAAAAAAAAAACTATCAAGGGAGTTAACAGACAACCTAGAGTTAACAGACAACCTATAGAATGGGAATGGGAGAAAATTTTTGCAAACTATGCATCTGACGAAAGTCTAATAATCCAGAACCTATAAGAAACAGAAACAAATTTACAAGAAAGAAAATGGTAAAAAGTGGGCAAAGGACACGAACAGACACTTTTAAAAGGAAGATATACAAGTTTCCAACAAGTATATGAAAAAATACTTAAGATGACTAATCATTAGAGAAATGCAAGTCAAAACTACAATGAGATACCATCTGACAAAGTCAGAATGGCTATTAATAAAAAGTCAAAAACTAACGGACACTGGCAAGGCTGCAGAGAAAATGTAACACTTACGCACTGCTGGAAGGAATGTAAATCAGCTCAGCCATCGTGGAAAGCAGTTGGCAATTTTTCAAGGAACTTAAAACAGAACTATCATTTGACCAAGCAATCCCATAATTGAATATATTTCCAAACTAATATAAATTATTCTACCATAAAGACACATGCACACATATATTCATCTCAATACTCTTCACAAGTACAAAGACATGGAACCAACTTAAATGTCCATCAGTGGTACACTGGATAAAGAAATTTGGTACGTATATACCATAGAGTACTATGTAACCATTAAAAAGAATATAATGTCTTTTGCAGCAACATGGGTGGAACTGGAGGCCATTATCCTTAGCAAACTATTGAAGGAGCAGAAAGCCACATACCACATATTATCACTTATAAGTGGGAGCTATACATTGAGCATACATGGACACAAAGAAGGAAACAATAGATACTGGAGCCTAATTCAGAGTGGAGGGTGAGAGGAAGGTGAGGATCAAATAATTACCTATCAGGTACTATGCTACTTACCTAGGGGATGAAATAGTCTTTACATCAAACCTTCGTGTCATGCCATTTACCTATGTAACAAACCTCCACACATACCCTGAACCTAAAATAAAAGTTAAAAAAAGTTTTTATATGAATTTTCCTGATGATAAAAATAATTAGATATGATTAAATGCCCATCACATAACTAGAAGCTATTTAAAAAAAAAAGGTTATGTGAAGTAGTAGGAACTCTTGAACAGTGCTGGTGGGAGTGCAAATTGATACATCCATGTTGGAAAACTCTTAGGCCTTATCTAACTATAGGGTAATATTTTTACACCTATGAATCAAAAAAACAGTACCATTTATATACTCAAAAATGCATACCTACATTTTATAAAGGCATGTGCTCCAGGTTTATAGAGTAATATCTAAATTAATATCCCCAAATTAAACAACCTAAATACCTATGAACCATAGAATAAATTAGTTATTTTGTGGTGTAATCATATAATGGAATAAGATAAATTAATGAGAGTTAAACTACAACTACAACCAAAACTTTAAAAAATTTTACAGATATATCATGGAGTAAAAGAATTCAGACTTTAAAAAGTATTAATGCATAATGATATTTAAATTAAGTTTGTAAACAAGCACACTCCTTTCATAGTATTGGGATGGTTGTTATCCCTGGAATGGGAAGAAAATGTCTTGGTTCAAAGGTGGTTTCTTGGTATGGTCATTGATCTGCAAACTGGATTACACATTCTTAAGATGTATACTCATTCATATGTTGCACTTTAATTTTAAAAAAGTTTTTCTGAAAAACTATAATGATGCTTGAAATAAAAAGTAAAAAATAAAGTCTTTATTTTATTTCTTAATGCTTTAAATAATCATGATTTAATACTGACAGGACAAAACTATCAGTAATGATAAAAGTCAGATTTACAAGGTCATTTACCAATTAAAGTGAGTAGTTCTGCAATGTATTTACCACAGATCTAGCCCAACGAACTGCCACATTTGTGGTTCTTAAATGTTCATCAATAGTGATAACCTAGGGAACCCCAGCTGGAGAACTGGAAATTGCTCTCATCAATTTCTATGGGCTTTCCTAAGCCCACCCATAGGGAAGATTTCTTGACCTAGACTAAGATAATCCTCTTATTTTAATTATGATTATAACTGCCTCCTCCACTCCCAATACCTGTAAACTATCTTTAATTAAAATGAGAAGGATATTGAAAAAGTTCAAAGTGTAAAGTTAAAAATCAGTGAAAATACTAGTTCTATTAAACATACATAAGATACTACTAAAGAATCAGTTCAATTTCACAGAACATTTGCATTTCATTGCCCTGGATCATCTACTGAGTGCCTGGTAGCTGAATGTGTCTTGATTCTTAATAAATTTTCAAATAAGTTTTCTTCATAATATTGCTTTACTTTTCCCAGAGGAACTTTTTCTTCTCCCTAACTTTTTAAAAATTTCACTATGTTTTGAAATCATAGTTTATTTACAATATTGGCTAGGTATAGTGGCTTACCCCTGGAATCCCAGCACTTTGGTAAGCCAAACAGGTGGATGGCTTGATGCCAGGAGTTTGAGACCAGCCTGGGCAACATAGCAAAACCCCATCTCTACGAAAAGTACAAAAATTAGCCAGGCATGGTGGAGTGTACCTGTAGTCTCAGCTACTCTGGAGGCTGAGGCAGGAGGATAGTTTGAGCCCAGGAGGTGGAGGTTACAATGAGCTGAGATCATGCCTCTTCACTCTAGTCTAAGTAACAGAGCGAGACCCTGTCTCAAAATAAACACATTTTTGAGATATATTATGGAATTGAATTTAGTAACTGATAGTTATATGCTTATGCTTATGGTGATTTGCCATCCGTATCTAAAAGTTTTCTTCTGTGTGTCATCATTTCTCAAAAAAGGCCCAGAATTGAAGAGCTACGAAATGACTTCAATTTCAGGAAAAGCCAATAATCATTTGCATAACACTCAAATAAGAAAAAAAAATGTTATACAGGCAACTGAATCTCCACACACTTTCAGTGAATATTGTGACTTTGTTAATCCTCAGTTCATGACAAACAATTTGCCAGAAACTTGGTGAGCTCCTGTTGAGCACAAAATGATTGAATAATTGCTTTGAATAGTAAACTGTAACATGATAAAACTTTCCCATATCTTTTCTTCATAAACATTCTGGTTATATTGAGTTGCTTTCATAGATATTTCTCATAGTTTATTACCTTATCAATTTAGATATTTGCTGTTGTTATTAGACACAGGCATACATCATTTTATTGTAGTGTGCTTTCATGTACTTCTCAGACACTGAGTTTTCACAGGTTGAAGTTTTGTGGCAACCCTGCATCAAGCAAGTCTATCAGTGCCATTTTTCCAAGAATTTATGTTCACTTTGTGTCTCTGTGTCACATTTCGGTAAGTCTCCAATATTTCAAACTTTTTCATTATTATCTGTTACGGTGATATGTGCTCAGTAATCTTTGATGTTACTATTATAACTGGGGGCAGGGGACACAAAAAACGCACCATATAATATGGCAAAATTAGTCAATAAATATTGTCTGAGTTCTGACAGTTTCACCAGCTATCTGTTCCCGGTCTCTCTCCCTTTTTTCAGGCCTCCCTATTTTCTGAGACATAACACTATTTAAATTAGGCCAATTAATAACCTTACAATGCCCTTTAAGTGATCAAGTGAAAGGAAGAGTCACATGTCTCCCACTTTAAATCATAAGCTAAAAATGATTGAGCTTGGTGAGGAAGGTATGTTGATAGCCTAGACTGGCTTCTCTTACCAGTCAAGTTGTGAATGCAAAGTAATAGTTCTTGAATAAAATTAAAAGTGTACACCAGTGAACACATGAATGGTAATAAAATAAAACGGCCTTATTACTGATATGGAGAAAGTTTCAGTGGTCCAGATAGAAGATCAAACCAGCCACACCATTACCTTAAACCAAAGCCTAATCCAGGGCAAAGCCCTAACTCTCTTCAATTCTGTAAAGGCTCATGGGGGTGAAGAGGCTGCAGAACTAAAGAAATTACGTCTATAAGAAAAAAGTGCAATTTGAAGCAGCAAGTGCTGATGTATAAGCTGCAAATTATCCAGAAGATTTAGCTATGATCATTAATGAAGGTGGCTGCACTAAACAACAAATATTCAATGTAGATAAAACAAGCTTCTGCTGGAAAGAGATGCGATCTAGGACCTTCATAGCTAGAGAGGAGAAGTCAATGCCTGGATTCAAAGCTTCAACTGACAGGTTGACTCTTGTATTAAGGAATGATACATCTGGTGACTTTAAATGGAAGCCAATGCTTATTGAAAACTCTGAACATCATAGGACTTTTAAGAATCATGCTAAATCTACTCTGCTAGTGCTCTACAAATGGAACAACAAAGCCTGGATGACAGCACATGTGTTTACAGGATAATTTAACTGAATATTCTAAGTCCACTGTTGAAACCTACTGCTCAGAAAAAAAATACCTTTCAAAATATTACTGCTCATTGACAATGCACCTAGTCACCCAAGTACTCTGATGGATATGTATAAGGAGATTAATGTTGCTTGTCTGCCTGCTAACACAAGATTCATTTGCAGCTTATGAATCAAAGAGTAATTTTGACTTTCAAGTCTTATTATTTAAGGAAAACATTTTGTAAGGCTATAGCTGTCATAGATAGTGATTTCTCTGATACATCTGTGCAAAGTAATTTGAAAGTCTTCTGTAAAGAATTTGCTATTCTAGGTGTCATTAAAAACATTTGTAATTCATGGGGAGGGGTCAAAATGTCAATATTAATTGGAGTTTGGAATAAGTTGGTTTCAAACCACATGGATAACTTTATACGTTTATGACTTCAGTGCTGAAAGGAACTACAGATATGGTAGAAATAGCAGGAGCAGTAGAATTAGAAGCAGAGCCTGAGGCTGTGACTGCATTGCTGCAACCTCATAATAATACATGAACAGATGCAGAATTGCTTTTTAGGGATAAGCAAAGAGTGGTTTCTTGAGATTATATCTACTAGGGAAGATTCCTGATAAAGGTATGAAAACTGTTGAACTGATAACAAAGGATTTAAATATTAGATGATCTTAGTAGATAAAGCAGCTGCATGGTTTGAGAAGATTGACTCCAATTTTGAAAGAAGTTCTACAGTGGGTGAAATACTATCAAACAGCATTGCATCCTACATATAAATATTTCTCAAAAGGAAGAGTCAATCAATATGTCAAACTTCATCGTTGCCTTATTTTAAGATATTGCTGCAGCCACCCCAATCTTCAGCACCCACCACCCAGATCTGTCAGCAGCAATCTACATTGAGGCAAGACCCTCCACTGGCAGAAGATTATAGCTTCCTGAAGACTTAGATGATCATTAGCATTTTTAGCATTAATGTTTATTTTAAATAACATATGTATAATAATTTTTAGTCCATGTGCCATTGCACACTTAATAGACTACAGTATGGTGTAAACATAACTGTTATACACACTGGTAAACCAAAATATTTGTGTGACTCATTTACTGTGACTCATTCACTTTATCTGGGTGGTCTGGAACTGAACCCACAATATCTTCAAAGCATGCATGTAGCAAGAAAATATAGGAAAACTCAGAAATAAGAGAGATAATTGGATTATTTTTCTGTAACTATCCACGTCACTTACTTAAATCTCCACTTTGGCAATGAACATTGTGTCTACACCTGTATGTTCTTGTTCCAGATTACCCCTGATGAAGCCACACAGGAAAACAAATATTTAAAATACTTGAGTTAATATCTACTGGTGAAGATGACCAATAAAGATTTGAAAATTGTTGAACTCATAACAAAGGATTTAGAATATTAGATGAACTTAATGGATAAAGCAGGTACACGGTTTGAGAAGACTGAATCCAATTTTGCAATAAGCTCTTCCGTGGTTGGAATACTATCAAACCATACATTTTTAAAGCCTGTTTAAAAAAAAATACTACAAGGCAAATAAATGTGAATTACATTTTACATATATGCTACAGGCAGTGATACATTAAATAAGAGTAATACAACAGAGAGCTTTACAAATAGTTTGGAATTTAAAAACTAGATGTAGTAGAGCATATCCTAAAAGGAAATTAGTTTCAAATGGCTGAGAAAGGGCAAAAGAACACTGAAATGTACTTGTCTAACTAGAGCAGAAGTAAATTTACAAGAGGAAGTGAATTTTATAACTAGGGGAAAGCTAAAGGTTTATAAGGGTTTAAGTAGTAAGTAGATTACTCAGGTCATGGGTTGTCAACTTTTTGACATCAATGGACAAACATATATGTACTCTAATCTATTTGTCTAAACATTTTCCTGGAAGGGGATGTGTTTGCCAATCGAATAAAACAAATTATTTACCCACATACCTGAATATGTCTTGTAATTTTTTTTAAAACAAAAATAATATTAACATAGCTTCAAGTTTCCTTTTCTCTCTCTGTGTTTCAAAAGAACATGATCCTCCTACATCTAATGAACAGATCCATGAATTAGAGTAGTGGGACAGAAGAGAATTGCTGAAGGCCCTCCAGTGAGAATGCCTCAGGAATGCAGCAATAAGAGACTATTTCAAAGTCTGCCTATGAGCAAGAAGAGCAGCACACAGTAGTTTTAACATCCTGCCTTTCTATACAGTCATAAGTTTGAAATCTGCTTATTTTGGTGTCTGCTAGTTGCTAGAATTGGTTGAGCTAGATTTTTCATTTTTCTGAATTCAGCTCTGTAGCAAAAATGCTCAGATATTTCTCTGAAATAGTTTTTTTGTTGCTGCTGTTTCTTGGAAGAAATATTTTTAAAAATTTTGGAAACATTCTTTTCTACATGATTCTTTTGGCATGAGATTATAGAGGGAGAGACACCCTTAGAAACCTTTTATATCTTAGGTGCCAGGGTTCAACGGAGCCAAATATCTTATGTCCACCTGATGCAAGGTCACCACACTAAGGAGGTATCAAGGAAGATGAGACAAAATGCTAACTTACTACTTTTATAAATATATTTTGGTGTGTTTGCAAAAGAAAAATATTTTTTTCTGAATAAACACCATGGTCATTCTCATACCAATAACATACAAATCTTGCAACTTATTTTATCCATCACTCTTCGTCTTGATATTGTTTCTGCTCTTATTTTCTGATTTCAATTTCAAGGCAAATATTTTTATCTAACATTATAAATTTCCCATGCAGTTTTTTGAGTAGCTTCTCTGATCCATTACCTATGACTTTATCTTTTTTTTCTTTAAAGAAAGATATAATATTTAGAATTATGATTGATCTTAAAAAGATCAAAGAGAATATATGCAAATATGTTTTATTGTTCTAATTCTGAATGAAACATGAAAATCCTATTAGGATATAAATAAGGGAAAGTATACAAAATGAGAAGAAAATATCAAACATTAAATGCAAGCAAAATTTAATTTGCATTAATTGTACATCTCTAGCCAGAGGATGCAAAATGACATAGCTGTTATCTCACTTAAAGGGGACACTAAGCTTCAAAAAACATATAGGCCAATGGGCAGCAGAGAACTCTTGGTTTTATCTTTTCACCTAATTATACTTTTATAGCATTCAAACTATCATTTAAATTTTTCTTTTATGCAATGTCTCATAATAACTAATTCTTAGTTAGAAGCCAGGCATGGTAAAATTGACATTTATTTTTCATTTTATTGCTATTATTATTGCTATAGCTACTATTTTAGTGTGGTAGGACATTGGTTTTCCATATCCTTTAGAAGGCAAAGATTTAGATAGTCAGCTGAGTGGGAAGAAATGAAGTGTAACTTTAAGTCAATGCTGGTGAATTATAAGTGAATACCCACAGCAAATTATTAAATTCAAGTTATTAAATTTTGGAATTTCAATTAAATTATTTTAATGTTTAAAACAAATATTCAAATTATTTTAATGCTTAAAACAAACATTCAAAGAAATATCTACTTAAAATTTTTGACTTATAATAATAAACTCCCACATTTGTGTATTCACTATTAAGATAATTTTGCTTATCACAAAAATATAGTGAAATCTGGGTTTGTTCAACAAATAGACTTTTACAGAGTAATGATAACAGCAAAAGATTACTATAATAGACAATGTATATGCGTATTAGTTCATTCTCATGCTGCTAATAAAAACATACCCAAGACTGGGTAATTTATGAAGGAAAGAGGCTTAATTGACTCGCAGTTCAACATGGCTGGGGAGGCCTCAGGAAACTTACAATAATAGTGGAAGGGGAAGCAAACACATCCTTCTTCACATGTGGCAGGAAGAAGACTGAAAGCCGAGCAAAGGGGGAAGTTCCTTATAAAAACATCAGATCTCATGAGAATTTACTCACTATCTACTCACACGCTATTCTCGTAATAGCATGAGGGAAACCACCCCCATGATTCAATTACCTCCCACTGGGTCCCTCTCACCACATGTGAGTATTATAGGAACTACAGTTCAAAATGAGATTTGGGTGGAAACACAGCCAAACGATACCTATAAGGTACTAATCTAAGCATTTTGTGTAAATTATGTTATTTCATCTTTACCACTATTAAGACTTACGGTATACAAATGAGTAATATGTGGCTATAAGGGTTTAAATATTTTTCTCCTACACGTTAAGTTAATAAGTGCACTTTCCTGATTCAAAACCAGTTACTTATTCATCCCTCTAAAATTTGTGAAGCAATGCCATTGCTACCCATATTTCACAAATGTGGATAACAAAGTTAAGAGAGTTATCTTTATGTGATTATTGATATAAAGTGGTAGAACCAATGTCTGAGCTCAGAACAATATATTAAAAGAGAAAATAAAAGTAAACTTCATGGAGCTAAGGGTCATGGAATAAAAATCTAGCTGTGCAACATCAACATGATCAGCTAGCTATATGTTGATATTGAGCATATGTATTAACTGTAATAACACATTTACTGGTTTATATATTTTAATAATTATATAATTAAAACATATCAATTTGGTTTTTAAAAGTCCAATAAATTGTACTGTTAACTAGGCAATGTGAAAGCAAAAACATGTTAAATGGAGTAGTGTATTTGTAAATAATTTTTGAAGTGGAGATACTAAACTACACAAATTCCGCAAATAAAAATATATAATACTAGTTGAAGGACATATTATACATGAGCTGGATGAACCTTTCAATTTACTTCTCTGTTATTTATATTATCAAACCTTTTCTCTCCACTGGATACATAACTAACAAATATGCATGAGGCTTCTCATTTAAAGAATCAAAAATACCCTAGGTTCTATATATTCTAACTCACACAGGAGTCTGTACATCGTTGCCATTTCCTCCAGAAATTTTAATCTATAGCAAACCTCAAGAAGTATAGACATTTGTATAAAAAGAGTTATTGCTGCCAGTGATCTACAGATACCTATAAACTTGTTCAAGTGAAATTTTACAAATTCTCTAATTTAGATCATCAAATTATATTGCAAATATTTGTAGGAATAATTTTTGAGGGAACTAAATAAAGACAGTGATCAGATCACATGTAATATTGGAAGTGAAGGATAAACTATTATAAGAAGAATATCCCAAAGTACAATTGTTTAAGCAAAAGACGTGTGAATCTCTCTTGCATAGCAGTCCCTAGTTAAGCAGCCAATTTAACAAGCCATCTCTTGTTGCATCTCCATCCACTAGCATGCTTTTATAATCTGTAAGATGAAGTTAGACTTCATTAATTTGTGTTCCAGAAAAGGCAGAAGAAATTCAATGCAGTCCTTATTCTTTGAAGCAAGTGAGGCAGAAAGTTCACACATTACTTTGGGTCATGTTCCACTTGTGATGTTCTAGTTACATGGCCATAGTTTTCTGAAAGGGAAGCCAGGAAGGATAGTCTCCAGCTAGGTAGGACTAGTTATTCATTTGAGCACCATGCACTGTGCTATCTGCTGGCTTTACAGAAATGAGGTAAATGCACACAAACTTCTGTCTTCATGGAGTTTATAGAACATAATACATAAAAATACCCTGTATATTATATATTAAGAAGAGAGAAATTGTTTTGAAAAGAATAAATGAAAAAAGGATAAGTGGTGTTGAAATGCACTGAGACATGTTGCACTTTTTAATAGAGGGGTTGTTGCAGACCAAGCTTGTCTAACGTGTGGCTCAAGGTGGCTCTGAGGGTGGCCCAACACAAATTTGTAAACTTCCTTAGAACATTGTGAGTTCTTTTCGTGATTTTTTAATTTTTTTAGCGCATCAGCTATCGTTAGTGTTAGTGTTTTTTTTGTGTGGCTTAAGACACTTCTTCCAGTGTGGCTCAGGGAAGCCAAGATTGGATACCCCTGTTGTAGACCATGCCAAGAAGGACTATTAGAGCAAAAACTCTAAACCCTACACACTTCTGGGGGAAAAATCATTCCAGGCATAGATTAAGCAATCGGAAATATGGTGCGATAGGAAAACACTCAGTGTGATTCAGGACCAGCTAGTAGGTCTGGTGTTTGGAGCTGAGTGAGTAAAGGAGAAGAATGGTAAAATCTGAGGTTAGAGCAGTGACAGAGAACAGATCATTTAGGTCCTCATGGGGTTGTTATGAGGACATTGGATTTTGCTCTGAGTGACTTGGAACGTTTTTGGAGGTTGTTGGACAGAGACTATTTGTCTGAGAAAAGTAGAGAATGGGTCATTGAGGAAACTAGAAACTGATCTTAGGCCCCGAGCTAGACTTCAGTGTTACTATAAGCATTCATGTACAAAACATTCTTATATCTCTCTAAATAAGTGACTTTGGTTTCTTTACCAACTAAGTTTTATTTTTACTCCATCTACTCTGTCTTCCACACAGGTAAGCTTTATTGAGCTACCCAGTCACAAAATGCCCTGCTTTCTGACAGCACCCAGTGTGGGTCAAAACCCTGCTTCCTCAGACTCTCTCCAAAATTACCTATGAAAACCCAAATTCAATAAAAACTTCTTTCTATCATCTTTCTGAGATGCCTCATGGTTATCTATGCTGTGCATTCTCTTTTCTTGTAATTAAAAATAAATTTAATTGTTCAACTGTTGATATGCTCATGGCAAAGGCAAAACCATAAGGATAGAGAGAACTATAGTGGTTGCCAAGATTTAAAGTTGGAGGAAAGTAGGTTTAGTTACAGAAGGACAGCATGAATAGTATCTCTTGCATGATGGCACTCTTCTGTATCTTCATTGTGGTGGAATTTGCATGATTATGCATTTGTAAAAACACATAATATATACCTATGACTAAATTTTAATATGTGGAAGTTAGAAATTCACTATATGTAAGTTAGAACAAATTTTTATTTCAATTTTTATTTTAGATTCAAGGAGCACATGGACAGATTTGTTACACTGGCATATTGTGTGATGCTGAGGTTTGGAGAGCACTTGATCCCATCACCCAGGTAGTGAGCACAGTTTCCAGTAGGTAGTTTTCCAGCACTTTCTCCCTCCCCTCCTTCCCCTTTTTGAGTTCCCAGTGTCTATTATTCCCATGTTTCTATCCATAGTTACCCAATGTTTAGCTCCCACTTATAAGTGAAAAAGTGGTGTTTGGTTATCTGTTCCTGCATTAATTCGCTTAGGATAATGGTCTCCAGCTGCATCCATGTTGCTGCAAATGGCATGGTTGCATTCTTCATGGCTGCATTGTATTTCATGGTATACATGTACCACATTTTTTTAAATTCAATCCATCATGGATGGGTGCCTAGGTTGATTCCATGTCTTCGCTATTATGAATAGAGCTGCAATGAACATACAATTGCATGTGTCTTTTTGGTAGAACAATTTATTTTCCTTGTGGTATATACCCAGTAATGGGATAGCTAGGTTGGATGGTATTTCTTTTGTAAGTTCTTTAAGAAATCTTCAAGCTTCTCTCCACAGTGGTTGAACTAATTTACAAGGAATCATTTTTTATGAATTAATAATTAAAAATTCAAGATTCTTTCTAATTGTGAGACAGCTTATTCCTGTAATGGTGATTACTGCACTTAATTACATAAATAGAATTTTAAGCTATCAATAATATTAGCTTAGAGAATGTCAACACTTAAATTCCTTTTCAATTCAGCATTTCTTAAATTGGTGGATCATCAGAGAATAAAGCAAACTAGTCGTGCTTCTCTGTAATGATCCTCTTTTAATTATTTCTACTATTTTCTACATGGCACTATTTCCTAACATCTAAAAGATCACCAATATTTTTTGAACTGGAGACATTAAAAAGGAGAATTGTCTTTATAGCTCAGCTTTTGTTCCTTTATGTTCATGCTTTCTTCTCAGAATTCCTTTAGTACCTAGCCAATTTTCTACTTCTAATTAACCAATTATCACTACTTGTTTTTAAGGTAACTTCATGTTCTGCTTTTTAAAACTGCTAAATGTCTTTATAGACACTCTCTGTTCCTATTTGTAAGCTTTTGCTATTTTAACCCTCTATAAACTTCGAGACAGGAAATAGGGACTCCACATTCCTCCCAAATCACTACCATGGATCACAGCACTTGAATCTTGACTCTGTCCAGCACCCTTTATAAGTTTCTGGGGTATGACATAAAAATTTTAAAACCTTAAAGAGAAAAGGCTACAGAAAAAGAAAAGATACTGAAAAGATAATGTATAACAAATATTCAACAAAGTTGTTTTTTCCTGTTCAAGTAAAGTCACTTAATAAAGAATCAGAGATTGATTTGACTTTGACTCCTGTTGCCTGAAGGAAATTACTTAAACACACACACACACACACACACACACACACACACACACACACACAATCTTTATTCTATTCTCTAAACTATACCTAGGGAGAATGTTCTGTTTATAGATAACGGTTCCCTGAAACAAACTGCTTCTTTGTAAAATAAGTGTATAGTATATGATACCCTGTGCAGGTGAACATAAAATACTAAGACTCATGTACACGGATGAGTATGTCTTTATTTATAGAGAAGTTGGGGGATTTGGTTTTCTTTTTTTTTCTTTTCTTTTTTTTTTTTTTTTAAACAGAGTCTCACTCTGTCACCCGGGTTAGAGTGCAGTGGCCTGACCTCAACTCAGTGCAACCTCTGCCCCAGGGGTTCAAGTGATTCTCGTGCTTCAGCCTCCTGGGTAGCTGGGATTACAGGTACCTGCCACCACGCCTGGCTAATTTTTCTATTTTTAGTAGAGATAAGGTTTCCCCATGTTGGCCAGGCTGGTCTTGAGCTCCTGACCTCAGGCAATCTGCCCGCCTCAGCCTCCCAAAGTGCTGGGATTACAGGCGTGATCCACTGTGCCCGGCCTGGTTTTCTTTTTGACACGCTTTGGCTTTAGGAACACAGCCATAAATAGTTTGTCAGTCTTTTTTTCGCTGAATTCCAAGAGAAAGTTACTGAAATAGTAACTTCACACAGTCTTCAGATCCATCCTAACAATAGCCCAATCTCAACAGGTATTTTTGACCCACCTGATGATTTTGGAAAGAATGAAGGTGAAAAAGAGTCACAGGATAAAAATATGTGAAGGACTAAAGACTGAAAAATCACTGCATTGTAGCCTACACCGATGAAGGTGGGAGCCTGGGCTGAAATAGTTATAAGTAATACTTATTTTCATAATACCTCTTATTTTTGAAAGTATACTTACATGAATTATTTTGATGCTTAGGAAGTCTTACGCAGCAGACAGATCAAGTAACATTACTAACTTCTGTTGGTTGTGATAAAAATGAGTCTCAGGGGAATAAGCTCATTTGGTGGAACAGTCACTATGGGAATCTATAGCTCATTATTTGAACCCAGATTCCTCTTCACAATACTCGGTAGCCTATAAACAAATATGAACAAACCCCAAATTCACCCTTTTATCACTGTCTACCTATATTTCATTGTTTCTTATTTCCCCCTTTATTCTTCAAATAATCCCAATACACTTAAGAATAGCAACCATCTGCTAGTGTGAATTATCCTAGGGTGGGAGTTTCCCCTCAGGATCTCTTCTACAGTACCTATTTCTGATATCAAAGCCAAACTATAATATCTGTCGTTATATATTCTCTTCCTTTTTTCATTTTGTCTATTCTTACCCTTTTTAAATCTTTATTATTGAAATTTCTAATATTTATTTTGATGCCACACTCAGCAATTTTGGGTAAGATCAGGACTGATCATTGTAATTATTCTTGATGTTTTTCCTGAATCTTATTGGTAAAGTCAGTATTGACTTTCTTTTCTGATGATGTAATGAGAGTTTAATGGAATAAAGCAATAACGATAAAAGCTGGAACTCCTTACTCTGCCAAAAGTAATCAGCCTCTATTTTGAGATGAACAATTAGGGTTCATCATGATCAGGCTTCTATGTAGTTAGGATTCTATTCATTTAGTTTTATAAAGCCTTTTTTCAATGCTTGTGTGGTCTTGATTCCTGAATGTCATGTTGAACCTTTATGTGAGATAATGAAAAAGAAGTTTGGCTACCTGGGTCATTGGAAATGTACAAAGTTTCCATTGCATCATTCCTCTGAGGCAATATCACTATTGATTACTGTGAAACTTTTCTTTGAAGAGCACTAAAAATGATTAATGGTTTTACCTTGGTTATGCCCAAGAAGTCTTGACGTTGCCAGATTCAACTTGCAGATTTGGTTTAGTAATATCATTTACTTCAACAGTTTTAAGCAAAATACATTTTTGAAAAAAAAAAGAGACTTTCTCTTGACATATCTGGATTTAGTTTGTC
Organism: Homo sapiens; assembly: GCF_000001405.40. Lineage (NCBI taxonomy): Eukaryota > Metazoa > Chordata > Mammalia > Primates > Hominidae > Homo > Homo sapiens. The sequence continues at coordinate 125,349,736 of NC_000007.14, read as the reverse complement.
TTACTGAACAGACTGCCCACAAAATTAGTGTGTGTGTAATTTTCTGTAACAAAGAACTCTTACCAAACCAAGATATGTTTGGAAAATGGAATCTTTCTATAATTCAAATTTCAGCCCAACCACCAAATGATTAAACCTCTCCCCAAAGTGCTCACTTCAATTAGTGTGTCTCTGGTCATTTCCCCATGGCACCTGGTATATATTTTTATTTAGATATATGTATCTCCAAATACATATATATATACACATATATATATACACATATATATATATACACATATATATATACACATATATATATATACACATATATATATACACATATATATATATACACATATATATGTGACACTCAATAAATTACTTCAAAAAAATTTATGAACAAGTACGAATTATAAATAGTCTGCTTGTAAAGAATTCAATGAATCAATGTACGATCAATAGAGTCCTGTAAAAACTTTCTTTCCGTATTTCCAGCATCAACAGTAGAGATGACTAAGAGAAAAACAACTCTTAGTTTCAGAGCCAAAGGAAAGTATGTCTCGGCCTACCTGTGAGTCAATCTAACTATCTATCTACACACATACATACATATGTATACACATACCTGTATTATGCATTTGGAAAAAAATATGATATTTTTAAGCAGGAGTCTTTTTGTTCCAATTTGGGTTCATATTTTATGAATTTGTTAAATATTTTATTAATATGTTAAATGCATTTATATACCGCTCTCAATAAATTAATCCATGTTGGTAATCTCTTTGCTTCTTTCAAAATATATCCCCCCATCAAATGTCTATAGACACTAATGAGAGAAGAATAGAAGGATAATGATAGAAGGATAGATGAAATGGAATAATTTAATTTCTTAATATCACAAAGCCCAAATGCACTTTTTTTCTAAATCATTTCTTAAATCCACTTTAAGTCCCTATTTCAGGTAATAACTGCTTATATCAAAAGATAGGAATCTGTAATTTAAGATATAAAAGTGAAAGCCTCAAAAATAACTGTAATCAATTTACATCTTGTACAATATTTAATGTGACAACTTTTTTTCAACACTCTTATTCTGGTAAAATAATATATCTAATATATGACCTTTAATACTAAAAATGAAGTTTTAGCATGCTTCGTGAAACATAGTAAAATTGCATAGAGGTATCAGAAATAATTTTCTAATTCTGCTTACAAAAAAGCCTCTGAAACGTATTCATAGTAAAATTACGTGTCATCATTGAAACCAGTAGAAGTTCATCTCATAAGAGATTCATAAACAAGCCAGGAGTGGGGGTTGTTTTGACTTAAAAATGTGTATTTTAAAAAATTAGTGGGACATGGTGGCACATGCCTGTAATCTGAGCTACTCGGGAGGCTGAGACAAGTGAATCACTTGAACCCAGGAGGTAGAGTTTGCAGTGAGCCGAGATTGCGCCATTACACTCCAGCCTGGGCGACAAGAGCGAAACTCTACCTCAAAAAAATAAATAAATAAAATAGTATTTTTCTCTAAATATTATTATTTTTTAGGTAATTATTCCCATGTTGAAATGTGTTAGTGCTCAAATCTACAAAATGCAACACACTATGAATTTAATTATTTAACAGGACAGTTTGGCCTCGTACTTCATCACAAGGAGTTAGATCCCTTCTCTCAGCTGTGCTCCCTCCCCGCATACAACCATTGTAATTAGTGGCTGGGAAACTACATGGTAGGACATCATTGCTTTTCCTCCTGTAAAGGACTAAATGTAAGGCAAAAAATAAACATATTCAAATATTCCTTATTTAAATGTATCTCATATGGCCTCAATCAGCTATAGGTAGGAATTAAGTTAGCATTTTTTTTCCTAAGGGGAATCTCATCATACAGAAAATGAGAGTTTCCTAGAGTAATCAAATTCAATTTCAGAGTCTAGGATATAAAACTAAGGTGTTGGTTCTCTACAAAGAGTGCAGCTAATGCAGAAAAAGTGCCTCCCACCCCACCCCTGAGAAAAAATATAAATACCATTTGAGCATTAGTAACACACCAAAGACTTGACGATGATTAACTATAAAAAGTTATAACACAAGGGACGTCTCTGTCGCCCTCCCTGAGTATTATACCGAAAAGAGTATTATTATTCATTCCTCAAGGAACCATGTTTATCCACATAAATAAACAAGTATCAGAAGTGGCCGTCATGTGGGAACCACTGGGTTTCAGGGTTAATGGCTTGTCTTGTTCTGTCCTGAGAATGAGGCCGGAAGGATGAAGGGAAATGAGATCAGACGGCCACTGTTTTGAGAATCTAGCCTAATCAGGACACTTAATTTCCTGGCAGGTTATCCCAGGAGACCATGAGAAAACTGATTCAATTACAAATATAAGTAACCCTGGATATCCTCAGAACTATATTTGGAATAAAACTCTTGAAAAAGACTGAATACCATGCTAATTTAATAGGTAGAGTTTTATAGATTTTTAAATAATAAAAAATATAATTAATCTTAGCAGTTTAAGTCTAATTATATGGTACTTACTATGTGCCAGCCATTCTTTGGAATCCGTTACATTTAATCAGCCTTTTGATCCACTCCATTTAACAGCTGGAATAACTGGGGTCCTGAAATATTAAGTAATTTGCTCTAGTACACACTTTTTAAACTGTCAAATAGTTTATTTTATTTAAAGCTCAATAAAATGTATAAATTGTTTCATATATGTGGACATAAATAGATGAGACATACTACAAAATAGTTGAACAAGAAGCCACTAGTTGTAAAAATTTAAAATAGAAAATTACAGTGTATTCAAAAAAAGTATATCATCTTAAATTTTGCTATAGATTGTAATATCTTGAAATACCTCAATATAACATCCATATTATTAAATAACAACCATATGCAACAGTAAGAAAAATACTATTCATTATCTGTCTGTCCAAAAACATCAAGAAATATTATTAGTGAGTCTCTCAGATTGACGTATTTTATAATTTCTATGTTTCCTGGAGTTAGGGTACTTCATGGATTAATACTATAGCTATTCACCCAATATTCAAGTCAATTAAAAGGTAACAAGTTGGATTTCTAAAAAGGCTCGTGGAAGGTAAAATTATTTTAAACCCAATAATGCACATCATTCCCATCATCAAAATGATACTGCAGACCGTGTTGATTTAAAGTTTTTCATATGTACAACAATCATTCTAAAAAGATATTTATGATTTAAGTTTTAATTTAAATAAGGATGCATACCACTTATTTATTCACTATATATAAGTATTTTGGCAGCAAAACATTTGACAGTAAACTGGATTTTAGCAAAAAAATTTGAACTACTGTGAGTTGGCTTTAGAAACCTAAAGAACTGCGGTGAGAGCACAAAGATTATAGTGAACAAATGAGGTGGATGGGTGCTCTCCTGAGCTGCAGAAGAAATGGTTTGGTGTTGAACACAAAACAAAAGTCAAATTTATTAGAGTTGTTCACAGTTCACAATGGTGATCTTCTTGCTGATCTTGTCATTCCATAATATCCACAACAGTCATACCCTCATGCCCTCTTTCACATTGTCCAGGCCCACATGGTTGCCATCCAACCATTCAGCCTTGGCATGGCAGATTAAAAATTGGAAACCATTTTTATTGGGTCCAGCATTTGCCATGGACAAGATGCCAGGACCTCTATGCTTCTGGATGAAATTTTCATAACCAAATTTCTCCTCGCATATGGATTTGCCATCAGTGCCATTATGGCATGAAGTTACCACCCTGGCACATAAACCTTGGAATAATTTTGTGAAAGCAGAATCTCGTATAACCAAATTCTTTCTCTACAGTTCCCAAAGCACAAAAGTTTTCTGCTGTCTTTGGAACTTTGCCTACAAACAGTTTGAAGAAGACGTGGCCCAAGGGCTCACCCTCTGCAGCTATGCCAAACAGAGTGGGGTTGGCCATGGCTAGTGGCAGGCACCTCCAGGCAGCAGCAGTGTCTTAGAAAAAAACACTGTTTATTCCACATGTGTAAAATTCAGTGAGTGACTTTCAGAAAGATCAAAAGAAAGTAAATGTAACATCTATGCTGTTGTTTAAACTTCATTTTTATATGCATGCATGTTTCAAGGAAACAAAACTTTCGAGGTATAGAATATAACATATCAAATGAAATAATTCAGAATTATCTTAACGTGTACACAAATAACAATATAAAGTACATATATAGGATACATTGTATAATTTGTTTTGAGGTTTCAAAAGGAAGTTATTTGGTTTTAAAATTCTGATACCAATATCTAATATAACATTCAACTAAAACGTATTTCAAAAGTTAAACTTTTGAAAATAATAACAAAATTAACACATAATTTTAAGGCAATCTGCCTTTATCACAATCGTCAAAATAGTGCCTTTCAATTCTTCTGCAGAGAGCAAGAAGGTTGCTGTAGTTTTTCACCTCAGAAAGTTTATCATTCATCAATCGTGTGGTAAGAATGGTGTACAAATGGCCAAATACCAGTGTATCAAATTCAGGAAGCTGCTTATTAAAAAAATATGGTTGTGTTACCAGACTTTTAGAGAGAGCTTGACAGCACTGGTCTATATCTTCTAAGACCTGGTCCAGAGTTTTCTTACGCCATCTGATAGCTTTCATCTTACATTTGACTTTTCACCATTTCTGATAGGCCAAAATATGATGCAGAGGCCAAGGGTAAGGAGATCCATACCTAGAATGAGTGATCTCCCAGATTTAGCTTCATCAAACCACTGAAGATACAACTAGTAACAAAAGAATATTCACTAAAATCTGGGAAAATGGAAATAAGATTAACAATACTTGGGATATTTGAATTTCAACTGAACTTATTTACTTGAGCTTGTTGGAAGATTATTTAACTTACTAAGACACAATTTCTTGTATCTTCCCAACTAAAAATATAGTCATTTTTACCAATGGAGCTTGAAAAACAAATCTTTTTTTGATAAATAATCATCTTGCTTTCAGCATCTAAAACTTATTACCAGAAACATACCTTCTGCCAGACAAATGGCATTATTTCTTATCCGAATGCCTAAGGGTATGATAGGCATTTTGATTGTTATTATTTTTTATTGTGTTTATTTCTGGAATTTTCTACTTTGAAGTTACCATCCTTGTCGTTAGCTAGAAGCTACAATATAAATTTTGCATTCAAGTCTCTGTGTTTTCTCCTTTGCATGCAAATATTATACTGTTTTCAAATGATAATATAATCAGTTCACATTTTTATTGGAAAGACTAAAATATTAACACTTTGTTCTCTTTGAAGACGATGATCTAAGTTTTATGTAGTAATCATTTCAATTAAATTATTGGTTCAAAGATACTATTTTAAATTTTGATGTAACATACTTGACAATGCTTTTATCAGATTAATGAAGCGTAGCTTTGCTTTTCAAATTTTATTTTGATACATGGGCTCATACCTTTGGTCCAATTCATTGATAATTGTGTTTAAGAATAGAAACAGTTCCAAATTTTGGATTTATATTTAAGATGAATATAAACATGCTTAGATTGTTCCAGTACATTCGATATCTTTAACTTAAAATTAGATATAAAAGTTGCTCTATTCCTGTTGATGCTCCTAAAATTTCACAGAATGTATTATGCAGAACACCTTCACAAAAAATTAAAAACAATATCATAAATAAAATAAAATCCTATGTTCCCTGTGTATTTATGAAAGTAAATTACCTATTCTTAAGAAGATGTAAAGTGACTTATCTCGATTTGAGATAAATATGATCAATGAGTAGTTAAAACTCAAAAGAGCTGAGGCTCAGCTTTGAATCTATGCAATCCCTGAAATTTGATTAAGTTGCTACTGGATTGCTAGTCTCTCAAAGTACCTGCCAGATACAAGCATACTATTTTAAGAGAGGATAATTTCATATGAGACCTTACTATTTCTATAATTTTGCTAATATGTATAACACACAATGTAAAATAAACAAATAAATACACTTAAAGAGGAAAACAATTATACAAACCAAAAGAATCAATGTAATCTGCAGATATAAATATAAATTTATGGATCAATTTGTCATATATGCCAAATAAAATAGAAGACAGAAGGCCAGGCGCGGTGGCTCACACCTTTGTCATCCCAGCACTTTGGGAGGCCGAGGCGGGCGGATCACGAGGTCAGGAGATCGAGACCATCTTGAATAACACGGTGAAACCCCATCTCTACCAAAAATACAAAAAATTAGCCGGGCGTGGTGGCGGGCGCCTGTAGTCCCAGCTACTCGGGAGGCTGAGGCAGGAGAATGGCATGAACCCGGGAGGCGGAGCTTGCAGTGAGCGGATATCGCGCCACTGCACTCCAGCCTGGGCAACAGAGCGAGACTATGTCTCAAAAAGAAGAAAAAAAAAAAGACAGAAGACACCCTGTTAAATTTGAATTTCAGAAAAACGTTGAATATCCTATGCAATATGTGGAACATACTTATACTAAAAAAATTATTCATTGTTAATCTAGAATTTTATTCAGCCCTTATCTGAAATTCAAATTCAACTGGACATTCTGTATTTTATCTGGAAACATCACTTATGAGAAACCCAAATATGAGACTTCCCAGAACCAGATTTTAAAATAACTGCACGAACAATGTTCAAGAAGTTAAAAGACAAAGAAGAAAGAAAGGGCTTCACAAGGTCACCAGCTACAGGTTTCAGCTGCAGTTGCCAGAAGAACAAGCAATGATTAGACAGACATCATTGCCAATGCCTATGAACAGCATAATGACAGCTCCTTCAATTTTAAAGTAGATTGAATATAGAAAGTGAAATGAAACTATTTAAAACTGAAGAAGAGATTTGAACAAACGGAAATCTCTCTACTTAGCAGGGTGGCAAATAGTGAGAAAGACCAGATGAACCATAGAAGTAATTTTGTCTCCAAGCAGCATTTTTTTGAAAATTTATTGCTAATTCTACCCTTATTTCTCATAATTTTTTCTCTCTTTTTGCAATTTACCTCTGTGAAGACTTTTTTTTTTTTTTTTTTTTTTTTTTTTTTGAGACGGAGTTTCGCTCTGTCGCCCAGGCCGGACTGCAGTGGCGCTATCTCGGCTCACTGCAAGCTCCGCCTCCCGGGTTCACGCCATTCTCCTGCCTCAGCCTCCCGAGTAGCTGGGACTACAGGCGTCCGCCACTACGCCTGGCTAAATTTTTTGTATTTTTAGTAGAGACGGGGTTTCACCGTGTTAGCCAGGATGGTCTCGATCTCCTGACCTCGTGATCCGCCCGCCTCGGCCTCCCAAAGTGCTGGGACTACAGGCGTGAGCCACCGCGCCCGGCCAGACTTTTTTTTTGTTTCATCTACATTTTCAGAATGGTAGGAAGCTGATCTGTGAGCTGATTTGTGAAATATCATGGCTGTACCTAAATAATTTGTGTAATTAAATCAGTATACTCTTTTTATATTCTTTTTCTTTTTATCATAATAGACATCTACATTGAGGTCAGCTTAACATTTTTCAATTTCTTTCAAATGGATAAATAACATTCTCTTTTGGCTAGGATTCCTGGCATTTCCTATGAAAAAGGTAGAGGATCTGCTTAGAAAGTTTTCATCTTAGAATTACTTGAATATTTTCTCCCTTTTCTAATTTAATCATCTATAGAATTCAGAGGGAGAATTAGGTAAATCTAAATTAAGTAAAAGTTATATTATTCTAAGCACTGCCACTAACATTTTACAGATAGTGTATGACATTATCTATAAACCTTTTCAAGAAGCTACAAACAGAATTAAAAATACATAAGAAGAGTGTTATTTGTCCCACATATTTTCCTTTTAAATAGTTGCAGCTTTCCTCAACTGGAGTGCTTTTGGTTTTTCTGAAGGATCAACATTTTGTTATGTGTCACTAATTACAGAAGTATTAGCCTTCTTGGCTTCAGTGCACTTAATTTGAGCATCCTCTATTGACAATAAAAGAAATCCTAAATATTTGAAGGTATAATCAGAAAATCAATAAAATTTCAATAGAAATAAAATTATAAAGCACCATGTAAATGAAATATACAGATACATAATATAACATATACATATATAAGAAAAAGGATATTTTCTTGCAGCATTCTTCAGTAATCTTTATTCAATTTAACATTTTAAGCAGTTAATCTTTATTAATCTAGCAATTCACTTGCCATCCCCACTTCTCAGGAGAAATAATAAGAAAAAATACAGTTTTCAATTTCTTAATAATTGATAATAATGCTGTTACATTTACTTATTTATAAGTATATTTAATAAATACATCTTTACAGTTGACAAGGCTCATGTGCCCTAAGGGTCCTTTAGGACGTAGAAAAGTATGTGACAATTGCCACCTCATAGATGAGGATGCTTAAGCCAGAAGAATTCAACTTACTAGCTCAAGATCACGCTGAAATTTGGAAGTGGATGCAAGATTAAAATGGAAGTCTTTTTACAGTAAGTATGGAGCTCTTTTTGGTACAATATTTGTCTGATTCTTCTGAAAAGTTTATATTTCATTGGTTTGTGGTTTCCTGGTGGTATATGATAGGGTCATTTGATATATTTTACATTGATCTTATTTAAAAGAAAATAAGGAACAGAAAATGGAAACAAGCTCTTTTTTTTGACTGCTTACAATATTCCAGCACAGTTTTAAGTGCTTTACATATATTAACTCATTTAATCATCCCAAAATGCTATAAAAAGAATCCAAATGGAGACTTTTCAGAGTCTTAACTTGGTTGAAACCACTGGTCTTCAACTGAGACCTCACTCCTGTGGGCTCTTTTAGTACACCCCCAGCTGCCACAGGACCATCTGTGACAAACGCCTGTGGATCAGGGAAAGTATGTGGTTCCATTTCTAACCAAAGCACATTTTCTTCGAGGCTTCAAACATATCCTGTAAAGTTCACATGGCCACTATAATCCCAAAGAATACTGGGGAGAAAATCGACCACATTGGTCAATATGCCAGTTTCTATTGATCAATGCCTGAAGAACAAGTCCCTGCAATATGCTGCCATTATCACAGAGCTATGGGCTTTCTTGTCGTTAATTCAGAGATCAGCACTTCTATTGCCTACAAAAATCTATACACTGTGGCCTTCGTAATACCACATCATTATAAAGGAACTCCCCCATCCTTTCCCACATATCTTCATATCTTCAGCATGATTTCTCAATATTCCTGAAACCTCGAGTTTCATGAGAACACAACTTCCTGTGCACCAAATTACGTGAAGACGGTTTATATTCTCAAAAAAAAAAACAAAAAAAAAAACACTTAATCCAGTGTCACTATTCTTCTACACCTCCAAAATCAAGCATCCAAAGCATCTTAAGAATACTAATAGTTAATTTTTTTTTTTTTTTTTTTTTTTTGAGATGGAGTCTCTCTCTGTCTCCCAGGCTGGAGTGCAGTGGCGCGATATGGGCTCACTGCAAGCTCCGCCTCCCGGGTTCCCTCTGTTCTCCTGCCTCAGCCTCCCGAGTAGCTGGGACTATAGGCTTCCGCCACTATGCCCGGCTAATTTTTTGTATTTTTAGTAGAGACGGGGTTTCACCATGCTAGCCAGGATGGTCTCCATCTCCTGACCACTAGTGATCCGCCCGCCTCGGCGTCCCAAAGTGCTGGGATTACAGGCGTGAGCCACCGCTCCCGGCCAAAGAATACTAATAGTTAACTTTTAATGAGCATGTAGCGCATGCCCAGTCTGTTTTAAGCATTTCACATGTAATTATAAAGTAAATCTTCAAAATATCTATGGGACAGGATTATTAATATAACTGTTTGACAGATTCTTCATGTCTTAAGTCACATTAAGTAGGAGGTAATCATTTCAACTTTGATTATTAACCTTTATGCTGTAGTACTTCACTTATTTGCTTTTTTAAATTTAAAAAATTCATAATTTTTAGTAATAGTTTACTATTCTTATCTTCATTAAGTAAATAATTTATTTTTTCTTCCTTTCATTATTTTCTACCATGCGTTCCTTGCATTTTTAATGAGGAAGAATCTTCTTTCATTCCTTGCCATTTATTGCTATAAAGTAACATTCAAGCCAAATCTGAGTAAGAGCAATGCTGCTGTATCTTTTGTTTTGTGTTGGTATGTAGTTTATTTTTGTTGAGGTACAGAAGAGCAGTCTGATGAAACCCTATTTCATAAACCTTATTAAATAATAGCCTAAAAAAAAAGAAAAGATTTCTTTAAGTCTAGTTGTAACAAATCTCCATTTTCTGACTACAGCAAGGGTGGTATGACTGCTCACTGGGTATATGCATCAACTGACTTGAAAATAAAATCTACATGTCATGCCGTGGCTCCATACAGCTGCAATAATTGCTGCACTGCAGCTATTGAACCTACTTTAAATGTCAGAGATAATTTTTAATACACATGTTTAGGTTTTGTCATTTTCTTTAATACAAGCTAAAAAATTTGTGGGAGTGTATTAATACTGTATACATAAACAATGACTCTGCAGCTAGCCTTCAGAAACATATGTTAGAATGTCAACACACTATGAAATTATGTATGAAGTGAGTATGGAAAATATGCACATAAACTTATAGCAAACATTTAGTGAGAAAAAACACTTGTAAGTTTTCTATCAGAATTTCAATAAAAAATATTAAGCACTTGACAGCAAATTCATATGCACATGTCATCTGATAGCAGCAACTAATTAAATTATAAAAGGTAGAGCACATCGCATAAAGAAAGTGCTACAGAACCTCATGCCACTTTCATGTTGACCCCTGGATATGTACTTTATTTGCTAAATTCCATTGTATTGTAACATTCTTTTAAAAATTTATGTCATTCCCACTAGCAACACACCTTAGCTGAAAATTAAAGAGAGACTGGAAAAGTCATTCATATAATAGGAAAATTAGTGAAAGGAACTTCTAATTGACATTATAGAGATCAGTGTTTACAAGTGAAGAAAATGAGTAAAATAATTAGGTTGATGATATGTAATAGTACTTATAAGATACTTTTTTGATTAACAAATATGCTACTGGGTTGACCTATTTTGCTCTTTTGTTGTTGGTTTATTTTTTGTTTGTTTTCTGTTGCTATAATTTTTGAAAAATTAAGTTTTATTCCAATTTTAAAGGATGTTTTTAAGTATCAGTACTCTGAAAATTATATTATGTAATATTTGAAGTCTTTTGATACATAATTATTAATATTATTACCTCATGATTAGCCATTGCCATCAACTTAATATTTATTTATTGAGAACCTATTATACACCAGACATTTTCTATATCCAGGAAAGACAACTTAAGTCCTACATGATTACACTTTTATGAGGTATCTAAAGTAGTCACCTTCACAGAAATAGAAAGTATAATGGTGGTTACCAGGGGCTGGGTAGAGGAGGGAATCGGAAGTTTGTTTAATGGGTACAGAGTATCAGTTTTACAAGATGAAAAAGTTCTTGAGACCCATCGCACAGCAACGTGAATCTACTCAATACTACTAAACTGTACACTAAAAAGTTGTTAACATGGTAGACAGAAATTTACCAAATTGTATATTTGACACATGTGTAGTTTATTTTACGCCAATTCTACCTCAATAACACTGCTTTTTTTTTCTTTAAAGATATGGGGGAAACTTAAATATATATTGCTAAATCAAAGAAGCCTATCCGAAATGGTTACATACTGTATAATTACAAGTATAGGACATTTTGGAAAAGGCAAAACTACAGGGACAATTAAAAGATCAGTGATTAACAGGGGTTCGGGGGAAGTGAAGAATATGTGGATTACAGGGGATTTTTAGGGCAGTCAAATTAGTGTATGATATTCTCATAGTTGACACTTTTTAAAACCCATAAGACTTTAGAACACAAATCTAAATTATGGATTGTATTTCATAATGATTTATCATTTTTTCAGCATTTTTAACAAATGTACCATATTAATGCAAGGTGTCAATATGGGGGAATCTGTCAGGATGTGGAGAGAGAATATATTGATAATGTTTGTATTTTCTGCTCAATCTTTTAGTATAAAAATACTCCAAAAAATCTAACTATTAAAAAGAAATACATTCAAAATGCAAACATAATCCAATCAATTCTCACCACCTCTACGGCTTTCACCTTAATTTTAGACCATCATCATTTTTCACATTTTTTGCCTTGCTCCTGTAGAGGGTGTTCTAAGTGTAGAGGCAAGACAGAGTCATTTAAAACATTTCACTCTCCTTTGTAAAACCTTGCTTTGGATTTTAAATTAGAATCAGATAGCTTAAAGTCATCACAGCGACCTATATGACTACCTAATTTTGTACCATATAATTCAATATCCTTTAACTAACTTTTTGGCATCATCTGCCCAGCTCACTTCACTCTAGCTTCATTGACTAGTTCTGTCTCTTTCTTGAACACATCAACCATTCTCTAACTCAAAGATTTTCTTTATTGCTCCCTCTTTCTAGTATGATCTTCTGCCAAACAGCCTGATAAACCTTATGCCTTAATTCCTTTGAGTCTGCTCACTTGTCATTTTCTTAATAAGCAAAAACTTCCTTGATCACCTAGTGTAAAATAGCAAACATTTCTTCTCAGCACTTTCAATCTCTTTCCTTGCTATATTTCTCCACATAGCACTTATCATTATCAGATACACCATCTATTTTACTGTGCAACTCTCTGCAATATAATATGCAAGGAAGGAGAGAGAGAGGAAAGAAGGTGGGGAAGAGAAAAGCAGAGGAAGACAATAAAAATGAGAAAACAAATCTTAGAGATAACTAGGCTTTCTGAAGTTATCACACCAAGTAGGTGAAATCCAAGATTCAGACATTCTTCCAGACCAGTCCCAAATCCAGATAAATATGACTAATCCAAGATTCATGCATAACCATTTATATGATTTTGATACACATATTTATAGGTTTTTGCCTAATTGCCTTATCATAACTCATCTCCGAACATATTTATTTGTTTGCCTTCATGTTATTCTATGGAGTAACTGTAAATTTGAGAGAAGTACTTAGGTACTGTATTTAAGTAGAGGAAGATTATTTCTTAAATAAAGAAGACTGAGGTTTAGTTAAGACTGGTTATTTGTCAGAGTTGGGTCAAATGCAAAAATAGCCTTTTACGTTAACATGATTGGCCTAACAAAATCCTTGCATTTATTCATTAGGGTCATTCTTAAATGGTTCTGCTGAAAAGCGTTTTTGAACAATAGATTAATCCCCAAAGCATTTTAAATCTTTGGGTAAGCTGCTTCAGGTTAGAAATTAAAACATTCCATTATATATCTAGCAAATAGAGTTCAGCGCTTCAGGCTGCGAACTTGTCTAAAACTCTTGCAAAGAGTATCTGTTTTGTAAATGTCTTTTATAGTAAAGTATGAAGGAGTCAGTTTAAATGTTAAGAAAAAAGAAAAAAGACATATGGAGAATAGTAAAACCACAAATTTAAGGTCATGACAAATGTCATGGTTCTTAACAAAGTAACTAACTTGAATTTTGAAGAATCAAGAAAAGTTTTAATTTAGGAATATGTTACTTTGTGCATTTCTTGTTTAGATCTAAAACATTTCTATACAGTTTAGTCTTTTCATCCCATTACACTGCAGTGTTATGGTTTTTATTTTGCAATGTTTAATTCCTTTTCTTGGATGGACAAATTATCCTTGTTTTCCCTGCAGCCCACTCTAATGATTTCCACTAACTGTGATAATGAGGCCAAAGCCGATTAACTTTAGGACTTTCTTCTACTAAAATTGACAAGCAAGCTATGCAGCAATACATGTAACTCTCTCTCTCTCTCTTTCTCTCTCTCTCTCTCTCTCTCTCTCTCTATATATATATATATATCAGATATATCATATATATATCACTATATATATAGGGTGTGTGTGTGTTTGTGTGTGTGTGTGTCTATCTAGGAATATTCTTATCTTCCCTTCTAGCAAAAGGAAAAAAAATCAGTGAATCTGCCAACATGGCCATTGCCAGTTGGCCAGAGGATCAGGTCACTTGCATGTCCTCTCTCAGCATGAGAGAATATTTGCATACTTGGCTGCATTCTAGTTTTGAAGGACACCTGCACTGCTTGTTCTGGTCTTAGTGGGATACAGAGGCACTGTCTTGAACAGCTTTATTTTAACCCATTTAAACAAAGAGTTAAACTAGAATTTAGAACTTTTTAAGGAAGGATGGTAAAAATCAGTATAAATACTTAAGTAAATTTCGTTTTACCCAAATATTAATACATAAAACACATACCTTTTTACTTAGCCTTTTATTATTAGCCATTTACCTTGTTTTCTAGATGGAGGAACTGTGTTTAATGGTACCAACTGTTTTGTGGTGTTTTTGTTGAAGAAGAGGCCATTCTTCTCCCGATGATTATTTTGGACTTTGCAAAAGAACAAGTAAGCACTTACAAAGAAGTTTATACTCAGAATTTGCTCTTTACATCGCTATTGGAAAGCATACATTGGTTATTAAATGAATATACAGCTCTAGACTTCCAAACTTCTGTATTTTGGACTATAATTATATGTCTTGCAGTTTTTTCTTGGTACTGTGAGGTCAACAAGGAAGTTTAAAAAAATGACCTTCTCTAAAGAAGTTTCCAGTTTAAATCTCGAACAAAAGACATTTAACAATTATGCAGTTACTATGTCAGATATTCATAAGTCCTTATATATGCTTTTTTAGGAAAATCTATTGCAGTTCAAGATAGCTATTTATATAACTATCTCTTAGGTTTATGAGTCCTTTCTAGGTAGGAGCTATATCTCATATATGTCTTTAATCCCTAATCAGTGACACAAAATCAAACTTATAATAGGTGTTTAGTAACAACTTTTTTTGTATGATCAAAAAGTTTGAATTCCATAAGCAGAGGTTTCATTTATTTCACACTAGACACATATATTTTATATAATATTTACATACTCTTCTACCTGAACACTTGAGTGTTTTTAGTTAAAAGGCCAAAGAACTACAGTTATTATTTAGTCTTCTCTTTCTTTAACTCATATATCCAACTCACTTTCAAGTCTCATAGATCCAGCAAAATGCATATCAAATCTTTAAATTTTGTTCTTCTCTACTGTTACTTTTTTTTCTTTTCTACCATGAAAAAATGTGGAAAAATGCTTTGATAACTTTAAGGCCATACATAACACACTAATTATTACCACCACTGCTTCTACCTCTAGCACTGCCATTGCCACAAACACCATCAGTATCACCATCACAACCATTACTACCACCGTCACCATAACCACCACCACCATCAGCACCTGTACCATAACTACCATCTCCACCATCATCAGCACCATTATCATCAGTATGCCACCACCACCACTGCCATTGCCAATGCCTGAGTGGAAGAGGAGTAGAGCAGCGAGGTGCTTGAGACAGAATTTTCTCTCCCAAATCCCCCATTATCACCATTGCTGCTAACATCATCAAAGCTAAAACTTGAGGCTGTTTCTATACCTGAAGCCTCAATACTCTTTTTGTTTTATTATTATTATACTTTAAGTTCTAGGGTACGTGTGCACAATGTGCAGGTTTGATACATAGGTATACATGTGTCATGTTGGTTTGCTGCACCCATCAACTCATCATTTACATTAGGTATTTCTCCTAATGCTATCCCTCCCCCAGCCCCCCACCTGACAGGCCCAGGGCCTGGTTTGTGACGTTCCCTGCCCTGTATCCAAGTGATCTCATTGTTCAACTCCCACCAATGAGTGAGAACATGTGGTGTTTGATTTTCTGTCCTTGTGATAGTTTGCTGAGAAAGATGGTTTCCAGCTTCATCCATGTCCCTGCAAAGGACGTGAACTCATCCTTTTTTATGGTTGCGTAGTGTTCCATGGTGTATATGTGCCACATTTTCTTAATCCAGTCTATCATTGATGGACATTTGGGTTGGTTCCAAGTCTTTGCTATTGTGAATAGTGCTGCAATAAACATACGTGTGTGTGTGTCTTTATAGTAGCATGATTTATAATCCTTTGAGTATATATGCAGTAATGGGATTGCTGGGCCAAATGGTAATTCTAGTTCTAGATCCTTGAGGAATCGCCACACTGTCTTCCACAATGGTTGAACTAATTTACACTCCCACCAACCGTGTAAAAGCGTTCCTATTTCTTCACGTTATATCCAGCATCTGGTGTTTCCTGACTTTTTAATGATTGCCATTCTAACTGGCATGAGATGGTATCTCATTGTGCTTTTGATTTGCATTTCTCTCATGACCAGTGATGATAAGCATTTTTTCATGTGTCTATTGGCTACATAGATGTCTTCTTTTGAGAAGTCTCTGTTCATATCCTTTGCCCACTTTTTGATGGGGGTGTTTGTTTTCTTCTTGTAAATTTGTTTGAGTTCTTTGTAGATTCTGGATATTAGTCCTTTATCAGATAGGTAGATTGCAAAAATTTTCTCCCATTCTGTAGGTTGCCTGTTCAATCTGATGGTAGTTTCCTTTCCCGGGCAGAAGCTCTTTAGTTTAATTAGATCCCATTTGTCTATTTTGGCTTTCGCTGCCATTGCTTTTGGTGCTTTAGTCATGAAGTCCTTGCCCATGCCTATGTCCTGAATGGTATTGCCTAGGTTTTCTTCTAGGGTTTTTATGGTTTTAGGTCTAACATGTAAGTCTTTAATCCATCTTGAATTAATTTTTGTGTAAGGTGTAAGGAATGGATCCAGTTTCAGCTTTCTACTTATGGCTAGCCAGTTTTCCCAGCACCATTTATTAAATAGCGCATCCTATCCCCATTGCTTATTTTTGTCAGGTTTGTCAAAGATCAGATGGTTGTAGATGTGTTATTTCTGAGGCCTCTGTTCTGTTCCATTGGTCTACATCTCTGTTTTTTTACCAGTACCATGCTGCTTTGGTTACTGTAGCCTTGTAGCATAGTTTGAAGTTAGGTAGCATGATGCCTCCAACTTTGTTCTTTTTGCTTAGGATTGTCTTGGCAATGCAGGCTCTTTTTTGGTTCCATATGAAATTTAAAGTAGATTTTTCCAGTTCTGTGAAGAAAGTCATTGGTAGCTTGATGGGGATGGCATTGAATCTATAAATTACTTTGGGCAGTATGACCATTTTCACAATATTGATTCTTCCTATCCATGAACATGGAATATTTTTCCATTTGTTTGTGTCCTCTTTTATTTCATTGAGCAGTGGTTTGTAGTTCTCCTTGAAGAGGTCCTTCACATCCCTTGTAAGTTGGATTCCTAGGTATTTTATTCTCTTTGTAGCAATTCTGAATGAGAGTTCGCTCATGATTAGGCTCTCTGTTTGTCTGTGAATGGTGTATAGGAATGCTTGTGATTTTTGCACATTGATTTTGTATCCTGAGACTTTGCTGAAGTTGCTTATCAGGTTAAGGAGATTTTGGGCCAAGACGATGGGGTTTTCTTAATACAATCATGTCATCTGCACACAGAGACAATTTGACTTCCTCTTTTCCTAATTGAATACCCGTTATTTCTTTCTCTTGCCTGATTGCCCTGGCCAGAACTTCCAACACTATGTTGAATATGAGTGGTGAGAGAGGGCATCCTTGTCTTGTACCCATTTTCAAAAGGAATGCTTCCAGTTTTTGCCCATTCAGTAATGATATTGCCTGTGGGTTTGTCATAAATAGCTCTCATTATTTTGAGATACATTCCATCAGTACCTAGTTTATTGAGAGTTTTTAGCATGAAGGGTTGTTGAATTTTGTTGAAGGCCTTTTCTGCATCTTTTTGTCATTGGTTCTGTTTATGTGATTGATTACATTTCTTGATTTGCATGTGTTGAACCAGTCTTGTATCACAGGGATGAAGCCGACTTGATTGTGGTGGATAAGCTTTTTGATGTGCTGCTGGATTCGGTTTGCCAGTATTTTACTGAGGATTTTCACATTAATGTTCATTAGGGATATTGGCCTGAAATTTTCTTTTTTTGTTGTGTTTCTGCCAGGTTTTGGTATCAGGATGATGCTGGCCTCATAAAACGACTTAGGGAGGATTTCTATTGATTGGAATAGTTTCTCTTTCCATTTGTCTTGGAACTCTTACTTCTTTGGCTTCCTTAGCACTTCTCCTATTTGCTGACTACTTTTAAGTCTTTTTAACTCCCTTCTCTACCAGCTGACCTTTAAGTATTGTTTTTCCTTTCCCTCAGCCATTGTCACTTCACTCCATATTATGCAATCTCATTAATTCAGATGTTAATGAAACTCAAATCTCTATGTCCAGTAAAAATCTTCTTTTTCTTTTCAAGTTTCTTTGAAAACAACAAACCAAATAGCTCACAGTAACTTCAAAATAAAGCATTTCTAAAATAATTTCTCTTCTCACATTCCAAGGTGATTTCTTCTGAACGTTTCATTTTTGCCACCTTTTAATCATTGAACTAAGTGGATCAAATTAGAAAATGAAAAGTTATTTTCTTTATTATTAAATAAACAAATTTATTAAATTTACTTAAATTTAATGAAGAATATAAGACTATTGGTAAATTAATTGTGGAGGAAGTAAAGGAAAGAAAGCACACAAATGACTTTTAGCTTCCTAGTTTGATCCATATACATCATAGAATACTATGTAGCCATAAAAAGAACAAGATCATGTCCCTTGCAGTGACATGAGTGGAGCTGGAGGCCATTATCCCTAGAAAACTAACATAGGGATGGGAAACCAAATACCACATGTTCTCACTTATAAGTGGGGGCTAAATGATGAGAACACATGGACACATAGAAGGGAAAACACACAATGGGGCCTTTTAAAGGTGGAGGGTGGGAGGAGGGAGAGGATCAGAAAAATAACTAATGGGTACTTGCCTTAATACCTGAATGATGAAATAATCTGTACCCTCATGACACAAGTTTACCTATGTAACAAACCTATGCTTGCACCCCTGATCTTAAAATAAAAGTTAAATAAATAAATAAAAATGTTTCTCATATATAGGCCACCTTTTTCATTCCTACATCTGGTGATATCTTCACTTATTCCCAATCTACAGTTACTTCTCAATTTATGACAGGATTACATCATCATAAAGATGAACCCATCAGTAAGCTGAAAATACATTTAAGATACCAAACCTACTGAACTTCACAGCTTAGACTAGCCTACCCTAAACGTGTTCAGAATGCTTACATTAGCCTACATTTGGGCAAAATCTTCTGGCAATACAGTGCACTGCAGAATATCAGTTGTTTACCCTCATAATCTTGTGGCCTGACTGGTAGCTTCAGCTGCTGCCCCCCAGCATTGCAAGAGAGTATGGAACCTCAGAATGCTTACATTAGCCTACATTTGGGCAAAATCTTCTGGCAATACAGTGCACTGCAGAATATCAGTTGTTTACCCTCATAATCTTGTGGCCTGACTGGTAGCTTCAGTTGCTGCCCCCCGGCATTGCAAGAGAGTATGGAACCACACATCCTTAGCCTGGGAAAAGATGAAAAATTCAAAATTCAAAATAAGGTTTCTACTGAAGATGTATCACTTTTGCACCACTGTAAAATTGTAAGTTGAATTATTTTTCAGGATTCTATTACAATTATAGTCATGGCCTGCATAACTGTTTTAGGCAAAGATTATGTTTTAGTCAAACATTATGCCCTGCATAATGTTTAAGTCAATGACAGAAAATTGCACATACAAATGTCATTTTATAAGATTAAATACTGTATTTTTACTGTACCTTTACTATGTTTAGATATGTATAGATACAAAAATATTTACCATTGTGTGACAATTGCCTACAGTATTTAGTACAGTAACATGCTGTACAGGTTTGTAGCCCAGGAGCAATAGGCTATATCATACAGCCTAGGTGTGTAGTAGGCTAAGTTTGTTTAAGTATCCTCTATGATGTTCCTATAATGACACAGTCACCTACAAATGCATTCTTTAGAACACATCCTCATTGTTAATTGATGCGTGACTGTACTTACCTGTTTTTTCTGCCTCAAGTTTCAAAGCCTTACATCCATGATCTACATGATGTCTGTGTTAGTTTCCTAGGGATGTTAAAATAAAGTATTACAAGTTGAGAGCGCGAACAAAATAAATTTATTGTCTCAAAGTTCTGGACTCTAGAAGTACAAAATCAAGATGTCAGCTTCCTTCGCCCCTTCTCAGGTTTGTGAGGGAGAATCTGTTCTATGCAGCAATCCTAGTTTCTGGTAGCCTCATTTGTTTTTTGGCTTACAGATGATATTTTCTCTGTGTCTTCACACCATTTCCTGTTATATCTATTTCTATGTCAAATTTTGTCTTTGTATTAAAATACCAGTCACAATGGATTAGGACCCACACTAATGACCTCATTTTAATTTGATCCTCTGCAGAGACATTGTTATGGGTTGAATATTATCTCCTCTCAAAATCTCTGTGCTGAAATCTAATCCCTGATGGATGTGAGTGGTATTTGGAAGTGGGGCCTTTGGGAGGCAATTAGGTCATGAGGGGGAAGCCCTCATAAATGCGATTAGTGCCCTTATAAAGGAGACCAGAGAGCAACTAACTCACCCCTTCTGCTATGTGAGGACACCAGAAGAAGTCAGAATTCTGCAACATGGAAGGGAGCCCTCCACCAGAACATGACCATGCTGGCACCCTTATCTAAGACTTCCGGATTCCAGAACTGTGAGAAATAAATTTCTGTTTTCTCAAGTAGCCCAGTATGTGGTACCCAGTTATGATACTATGACACCCAGCCAGAACTAAGACAGACCCTTCTTCCAAATAAAATTATATTTATAGGAACTGGAATGAGGACTTCAACATATTTTGTGAAGAACACAATTCAACCCATGACAACTGCCAGAGGTATGATTGTAAAAGATGTTGTATTACATCCCTCTCTTTCTTAACTCCCCATTATTATTTCATAAAGTCAACTACTTAGGAAATAATTAAGGCTATCTTCAACCTACTTCCAATATTTCTTTCTCATCTTGTCTGCTGGTAATGCCTATCAATGGCCCCTTGCTCCAGCCAGTATATTCCTGATGCTTTGAATTTTCTGGGTTTTGCTGAAACTCCACTCTTTACCTGAAATATTTTTCCCACTTTCCCCTGGCTACTAACATTTTACTTCATTTTCATAACCCCAAATCAAATGGTGTGTTCTCTAAAAAGAGCCCCTTGATTCTCTCGTCTCAATCTGCAATTCCATATTCCCATGGCATGCATTTAAACCTTTTAAAATGTAAGACTTACAAAGCCTAACTTCTACAGAGATCTCCCTTATTCTTCAATTAATTCTATTCTACTCCTTTTAATGAGCCAAAATGGCATGTGAATAGTGAATATTTAAAAATACATGATTTATTTAATTGATCTATGTTTGCAAGTAGGGCCTCCTGAAACTATCAAACCTGAAAGAATCACAGTACCATTGATGAAAATGGAAAAGCTTGACAGAGCAGCTTCTATGTCAGAAATTTTAATGAGCTTGACTGATAGAAGATACTCGTTAAATATATCAGAGCAGAATGCATAAATCATTCCCATAAATGTAGGGATTGAATTTACTATATGAAATCTCCAAGTGGTTAAAGAGAGTAACCAAAGGCACTCAGTGAGCTTTGGGAAACTCTATTATTTATTGGGTGGAAGGAGAAATAATTTCCAGATCTACAGAAGGTGAGTAAATGAACGACAAAATGCAAGATACGATGTGTCTGGTGTAGAATATAAATTTAATAATGGCTGGTTCTCACCTTAATTCTAGGCTTAGTTCTAGAATGTAGATACCACAAAATGGAAAATAAAAACTAATATATTTACAGAGATAGCTAGTTAACCTGTTTTGCAATGAAAATGTTCTGACACATTTCAACTAAAATACATATGTACAAGATGTAGTTACAAAAGGGTGTTTTTCCTACTTAGGAATTGAAGTAGCAGCAAGGAGGACATTCTCCTCACGAATCTGGCCTATTCTTTTTTTCTTTATATCTATTTTAATTCTCGCATTAAATCAACATTTAGCTATGCTTTAATGTTCACATTTAACATAAAAACCTAAAACACTTCATGAAATTCTAAAATCATGCTACATTATGATGCATGATTTAAGCATTTCATTCTAATTAAGTATATGTACTAGTGCCTGGGTCGTTCAGGGGTAGAATTCTCACCTGCCAATTAAGCATATGTATAAAGCTATAATTATTGCTAGTCTGCTTTTCTGTTTATACTTTTACCATTCCTCAAAAGACTTAATGAGCTTATTGGATAATTTTGGGAGATGGGACCTAAATCTTAAAGCTTTGTTGATTCATTGGAAATTCTAAATGCAATATTTCACCTTTGGTCTTTCGTTACATAATGGATAACACAGTTAACCCATCTTTCCCTGATGATAATGTTGGTCTTTACTTAAAGGGCATCATAATTTAAATGCTGTAAATTTAAGAAATAGATAATCATTTTTTCCATAAGATTATGGCAAGGCAGCCTGGGAGTAACTCATGAGTTTCTTTCAGCATCTGCCAAGAGCAGAGGAGCATTCCTTTATGGCTTTCTTCTTAATGGGAAAATGAGTGGGTTTACGCACATCTCTGTTTAATTTGGGACCAAATACATCTCTTAAGAATCCTTACTTCCTCTTAGAGAGTGTTAATTCTAAAGCAATTATAGCGTGACAGGTGGAAACCACAGGTAAAAACACAGCTGCACGCCTTTAAATGATGCCTATAAACATTTGGAAATAACCTAGGATATTTCCATGATCTTACAAGATGGGGTTGTCAGCAAGCCATTCCTGCTCTCCCCAGTGGAATGCTTTCAAGACAGCAAGTGATGTTTTACACGTTGCTGAACTACAAAATACAACATGATCTTGTTTGCTCTCCCCAGTGACGTGCCGGTGTGGAATTCTCATTTGCTTCTTTTGGGGATTGTGGTCAGCATTTTCACTTTTGAAATATGTTACCTTCTCCATTATGTATAGAAACTTCTGATTTACTGATATTTGGTATATTTTAGGAGGTAAAATGTCCAAAAGTCCAGAAAGCTATAGAATTTTAAAACAAAAATAAGATGTTGTATTTAAAAGAGAAATACTTCATCAGTTCATGAAAATAAATGCCATTCCAAATTTTGAATAATGGCAAAATTATTACATGCAAACATTTAAATTATTAAGCACATTTAATAGAATTCTGAGTATCTCATTTTACAATAAAGCAAAATATTTTATAAACCTGATTAGGGATTCTCAAGATATTAATGTGTCAATACATGTACATGTTATCAAAGAAAAAGAACACATTTATAACTAATTGGGAAGTTTATCAATTAAAAAACAGAATCTTTTAGATCTTGTCATTCAAGAAGCCCTGATCTTTTTAATGTATCATAATAATTCTCAATATTAGCAATATTTGAAATTCTCTGAAAATACAGAAGCATAGGCAGGGCGGAGTGGCTCACGCCTGTAATCCCAGCACTTTGGGAGGCCGAGGTGGGTGGATCACGAGGTCAGGAGATCGAGACCGTCTTGGCTAACACAGTGAAACCCTATCTCTACTAAAAATACAAAAAATTAGCCGGGCTTGCTGGCGGGCGCCTGCAGTCCCAGCTACTCGGGAGGCTGAGGCAGGAGAATGGGGTGAGCCCGGGAGGCGGAACTTGTGTGAACCCGGGAAGCGGAGCTTGCAGTGAGTAGAGATCGCGCCACTGCAGTCCAGGCTGGGCGACAGAGCAAGACTCCGTCTCAAAAAAAATAAAAAATAAAAAAATTTAAAAAATAACTGTAGCAATATTCTTAAAGTTTCACGTTTGGTGTTACTTGTTTATCATTAACAATTCTCACTGTCACCTTAATAAGATGCTAAACTTCTGTCCTGATTGTCTCTATGTCCCCAAAAGAAGCACAAAGCATATTGCTAGACAAGCTGAATTAGAAAATTGGGAATTGGGGATTGGTCCTGCAAATTGATCTTGAAAACTTGCTGATTTCATGTCTTTTAACACAAAGCACACACTCTTGACATTCAGCAATCTTGCCCTGAGGAATTAGTAATACAAAAATCAGTTTTTCCTTTCTTATTTGATGGAATCAAATCTCCAGCTCCGTTGCTTATAAAACAAAGCTGTTTGAGTCACTTCGACTTGAACTGAATTCCTTAATACTTTAACACATATTTTTGTTGGTTTGTTTGCATTGTGTTGAATGTACTACCTAGCTTTTCTAATTGTACTCAGGAAGAAATGGTCTACTAGAAGTTAGATTGCTACAGTGAGAAGCAGAAGTGAGAAGTTTTCCAAAAACCTCTTTCACACCAGCAGAGATGTCTTTCCTTTCTATATATTCATCACAAAAAGTTAATGTCTGATTTGAGAGCACTATGTGAATATGTTATATTTACCTTTTAAATAAAGAAAGCTAAATGTGTAGGTGCCAGATTTGCTTGATTGAGGGCTATTTATCAATTAAATGTTTCTTAATCTATGCACCTGTTTGAATAATACATACAGTTTTTTTAGATAAATACTCTGTTGACTCTTGAAATGTCACATAACACCCTAGAATATACAACATATTAAATTTAAGAACCAATGCTTTACATTTACAAAGTAAAAGATAAAACGCTAAATGTTTCCATTATTTTATATTGCTCTCAACATTTTAGGCTTAACTTTTATTCATATAACATTGCAATCTAATCTCAGTATGTAGGCTGTAGATTCCAGCTGCTCAGATTCAAATCCTGGCTCCATCACTTACTTAAGTTACTTAAAGGTCCTATAGCTTAATGGCAAAAGACTATTAAAACTAAACTAAACCTCCATTATAGGATCAATGTGGAGGTTGACATAATACGTATAATGTAGTGACTCTATTGCCAGGCACAAATAAAATTTCAGAAAGCCAGTGTGAACTATATTATCTCTGTGATTTTAGACCAAACATCCAATATTTTTATTCTCATTATCAACTTATAAAATTATAAAATAGTATCATGTTTAAAACTAAAAATGTGTTTGGATATTTGGAGATACCCACACTCAAAGTCTCCCAAGGAATAGCTCATTATTCTTTCAACCACACAAGTCCACTTTATAAATTTAATAAACAAGTTGGGGATTAAAAACATAAAGCAACAGTTCTAAACAATTAGAGATTTCTCTTGGAATGCTACTGTAAGATGATTTTCTTTCAATCATGAAATTTTCCTTTATTTTGCTTTCTCTTTCTTTTTCCAGTCACATGTATCGAATATTTTTAGGCACTCAGAATTCAGACATAAAAGCCAATTCTTAATTGTCAAGGAATCCATTGAGTATAGGGGAGACAAGCGTTAAAACAATTTACACGGAGTGTTGTTTATGTGATAAGAAGTTGTAGAGAGGAATACAAAATAATAGTGGTGGTGTTTTCTACAACTATCATTTTGTGTTCACAGTGATTATTGTTTTTTATATTACAATTTGACCTGTTAATATTAAAATATTTTTAAGTAGAAAGGCAGGGAAACAAGCTATGCTTGAGTAAAATCACAATGGATTGTTCATTGCTTGTCTTCAGAAGGAAATGATTAAGACAGGTATTTTTTAGGTGGCTTGTCAAAGATGACCAGCATTCTAAAACAATTGAAGGACTTGGAAACAATTACCTTTTTAATTTTTGTCTGGTAAAGCAGTTTTTAGGAGTGCTTTCCAAAATATTACTAGTGATTTAGAAAAAGTACTTACCAATAACCATTCATTGAACTAGTATTAAAGTATGGTTAGTAAGTAAAATGATCTAATAGGCATGCTTAGAATTCATCTTTTCCATTTGGAATACATTTGTGGAAATAGAAGATCTGCTATGATCTTCTATTTGCTATGATCCTGTCCTGAACAGTGAATATGTGAAAAACTTTTTGTGTAATGTGTGGCCTGAGGAGCACTATCACCTATTCCTTGGTTTTCCACAAGGCCTCTACTCCTAGATTCCTAGGCTTAGACCTAACGTTTCTAGTGTTTTTTTAATAATAGTTTATAGAAATATATATATTAATATTTATTATTGTTACATAAAATACAAAACACATTCAGGAAATATTTTTATATCATGCTTTCAATTCTCTTATATCAAAGAAATGTCTGCACTTGCATGTTTATTTCAGTTGCCTTCACAATAACCAAGATATGGAATCAACCTAAGTATCCATTAACAGATGAATGGGTAAAGAAAATGCGGCATAGAGACACAATAGAAAATAATTCAGCCATAAAAAAGACTAGAATCTTATTTATAAGTGGCAACAGGAATGAGTCTGAAGAACATTTTATTGAGTAAAATAAGTCAGGCACTGAAAGACAAATATTGCATGTTTTCACTCATATGTGGGACCTAAAAAAATTGATCCTTGCGGGTAGTGAATAGAATGGTGGTTGCCAGAGGCTGAGAGCCATAGTGGGGAGGGGAGGATGAGGAGGGATTGGTTAACGGGTACAAAAATACAGTTAGATACAAGGAATAAGCTGTAGCATTCGATAGCACAATAGGGTGCGTATGGTTAAAAATAATTTAATATATATTTCAAAACAGCTAGAAGGGAAGATTTGAAACGTTTCCAAAACAAAGAAATGATAAATGTTGAGGCACTAGATATCCCAATTGCCCTGATTTGATCATTACGCATTGTATGCATTCGTCAAAAGTTCACAGGTACCCCATAAATATGTGCAACTGTTTTATATATCCACTAAATTAAAATTAACATAAAATTTAATTGAAATTTAAGTAAGTCAAAAAAAATACTTGAAAACTGTTAAAATATTCAGCTAGATGGCCTTTACCATCCTCTTTCTCACTCCTTCCCCAATCTCATCTCTACCTTAACGGTGATAATTATGGGTAGAATGGAGACCTAAAGGACTGGCCAATGGATGGCCACAGGTTGTTGCCAGCACTAGTAGGTCTTCTATGGTCTGTGGCTAGCTCCAACACTTTACATAATGTACCATGGGAAAGCTCTTTATATGCAAGTTGCCTCATAGAAAGTCAGGCCCATATAAAGGAGTCCCAGGAATATAATTGATAGGGTTTGGCTGCGTCTCCACCCAAATCTCATCTTGAATTGTAATCCCCATGTGTCTAGGGAGAGACCTGGGGGGAGATGATTGGATCATGGGGGAGGTTTCCCACATGCTATTTGCATAATAGTGAGTGAGTTCTCATAAGATCTGGTGGTTTTATAAGGGGCTCTTCTCCCTTCGCTTCTCTCTCCTCGCTCCTGACACCATGTGAAGAAGGTTCTTCCTTCCCCTTTGCCTTCCACCATGATTGTGGGTTTCCTGAGGCCTCTCCAGCCATGTAGAACTGTGGGTCAGTTGGTCCTCTTTCCTTTACAAATTATCAATCCTGGGGTAGTATCTTTACAGCAGTGTGAGAACAGACTAATATAGTTAGTACATTATGAAATAAATATAATTATATTTCATAAGGTAATTGTGAAACATTGCCAGCAAGATTTTCGTATCTATGATACATTGTAATTTAATATATAATATATATTTCATTCTGTCCTAAAGTTTGGAGTATCTTAAACATTCAGCTGACATTATGAAGCTCAGAATGTTGAACACCAGATATCTCCAAAGTCCAAAGCCTTGCCTGTATTGAAAACCAATTAACTTAATAGCTTGAAGTTTTTGATATCCTGATGAAGTCAAAAAATGTACCCCTTCTAAAAGAAGTTGAAGTATGCTACATAAGTATTCCTATATTTACTGAATCATGCATTTCTTATTAATATGGTTGAAAGCTTCTGCTAAATCAGGGAAAGCAGGGATGCATCCTTGCAGTAGATTAGATTGCCACAAATTTGAGGAAACCAGTTTAGCTGTGCATATCAAGTCTTAAAATCATCCATAATATTTTTATCAATTCCACATTGAGGAATTTACAATAGACAACAAGAGATATATATGAAGCTAAATGCAGAAAGATGTCAATTTTATACTTTTATAATATAGCAAATACTTAAAAAATCAATGTTTAATAAGAAAAAAGTTTGAATAATGTATACTAAATGATTATAAGAGAAAATCTTATCATCACTAAGATTACATAATCATACAGTTTTAATAGTATAGATAGGTGCAAATACTATAATGTTAAGTAAAATAAAACAATTAAAATGTTACTAGACAGGCATGGTTGTAACAAGTCTATACTCCTAACTACTCAGGAGGCTGAGGCAGAAGGATCCCTTGAGCCTAGGAGTGAGCTATGATCACACCACTTCACTCCAGCCTGGGTGAGAGAGTGAGATCCCATCTCAAAAAAAAAAAAAATTTAAAAATGTCAGTTATAGTATAATGATTATACTGAAATAGATATATATTGCTTATATGCAGAGAAAAATAGTTTTAATAAATCAGTATAAATTAAAATAAATATCTCCAAATATTAATATCAGTTTTCTTTGGGTAATAACTCTTTTGTTTTTGAGACAGGATCCCACTCTGTCACCGAGGCGGGAATGCAGTGGCATGATCTTGGCTCACTGCAACATCTGCCTCCCAGGCTCAAGCAATACTCCCACCTCAGCTCCAGACTAGATGGGACTGCAGGTGCATGCCACTACACCCAGTTAATCTTTTGCAATTTTTTTGTAGAGTGTATTAGTCAATTCTCACACTGCTATAAAGAACTACCCAAGACTGGTTAATTTATGAAGAAAAGAGATTTAATTGACTCACAGTTCCACAGATTTAACAGGAAACATGACTGGGAGGCCTTAGGAAATTTATAGTCATGGGGGAAGGTGAAGAGGAAGTAAGCACATCTTCACATGGTGGCAGGATAGAGAAAGAGAGTGAGGAGGGAAGTGCCACACACTTTTAAACCATCAGATCTTGTGAGAACTCACTCACTGTCATGAGAACAACATGGGAGAAATCCACCCCCATGATCCAATCACCTCTCACTAGGTCCCACCTTCAATACATGGGGATTACAGTTCCACAGGAGATTTGGGTGGGAACACAGACACAACCACATCATTCCACCCCTGACTCCTCCTAAATCTCATGTCCTCACATTTCAAAACCCAATCATGCCTTTCTTACAGTCCTCTAAAGTTTTAACTCATTTGAACATTAACTCAAAAGCCCGCAGTCCAAAGTGTCACCTGAGACGCCCTTCTATCTATGAGCCTGTAAAATCAAAACCAAGTTAGTTACTTTCAAGATACACTGGGTAAATGTTCCTATTCCAAAAGGGAGAAATTAGCCAAAATAAAAGGGATACATGTCCCATGCAAGTCCAAAACCCAGAAAGGGCAGTAATTAAATCTTACAATTACAAAATAATCTTTAACTTTATGTCTTACATCCAGGAAGGCTGATGCAAGGAGTGGGCACCCAAGGCCTTGTTCAGCTCTACCTTTGTGGCTCTGCAGGGTACAGCCTCTGTGGCTGCTTTCATGGACTAGTGTTAAGTGCCTGAGGCTTTTCCAGGTGCAGGGTGCAAACTGTTGGTGGATCTAATATTCTGGGGTGTGAAGGATGATGCCCTCTTCTCACAGCTCCACTAGGCAGTGCCCCAGTGAAGACTGTGTGGTGGCTCCAACCCCTACATTTCCCCTTTGCACCGCCCAACTAGAGGTTCTCCATGAGAGCTCCACTCCTGCAGCAGACTTCTGCCTGGGCATCCAGGTATTTCCATACATCCTCTGAAATCTAGATAGAGGTTCCCAAACCTCAACTCTTGCCTTCTGCACACCTGCAGGCCCAACATCATGTGGAAGCTGCCAAGTCTTGGGCCTTGCATCCTCTAAAGCCATGGCCCGAGCTCTACTTTGGCCTGTTTTAGTCAGGGCTAAAGGTGGAATGGCTGTGACACAGGACACCATGTCTTGAGGCTGCATAGAGCAGCCGGGCCTGGCTCAGGAACATTTTTACCTCCTAGGCCTCCAGACCTGTGATGGGAGGGGCTGTTGTAAATTTATCTAAAATGCCCTGGAGCCACATTCCCTATTGTCTAGCTGTTAACATTTGGCTCCTTTTTACTTATGCAAATTTCTGCAGCAGGCTTGATTCTCTCCCAAAAAGAGTGTTTGTGTGTGTGTGTGTGTGTGTGTGTGTGTGTGTGTTTCCCACAAGGCCATGCTGCAAATTTCCCAAACTTATATGCCCTGCTTCCCTTTTAAATATAAGTTTCAGTTTCATATAATCTCTTTGTTCATGCATATGAGGATTTTGCCATGTTGCCCAGGCTAATGTCAAACTCCTGAGCTCAAGCAATCCTCTCGCCTTGGCCTCCCAAATTGCTGGAATTACAGGCACTAGCCACCATGCCTGGCCTTATCTTTGGATAATAACTTTAAAAAGCAGTACACTTATTCTTTTTTAAATCTCTGATTGATGGATAAAGATTGTATATATGCAAGGTGTACAATGTGATGAATTGACATATGCAAACACTGGGTAATGATTGACACAAAATTGATTAACATATCCATCATTACCCATGCTATACTTTAGATCCTAGAACATGTTCATTTTATAACTGAAAGTTTCCCCAGCCCTCAACCCCTGGTAACCACTGTTCTCTCTGCTTCCATGAGTTTGAATTTTTTAGACTCCTCATATAGGTGAGATTATACAGTACTTGGCTTCCTGTGTCTTGCTTATTTCATTAAACATAATGTCCTCCAGTTTCATCCATGTTGTCACAAATGTCAGGATTCGTTCCTTTTTTTGTTGGCTGGTATATATATATATATTTTTTGTTTGTTTAAAATTTTCTTCCTATTAAAGTCACTGAAAATACTGCATGATTAAAACCACATACAAAGTTTCATTTAGTATTTTAAAGTAAATTTTTAAAATACAACTGACCATGGTTTAATATGGCACTCATTATTCAGTATTATTCATTTGTTAGTACCTCATATAGGCCACAGAACATGAGAGATAATCTTCGTGAAATCGAATGTAGTTATTTTGTATTTTATAGGAGATTGATTATACCACACTCAGCAACTTGCTATTTTTGCCATGATGCATTTTTTAAAAATGTAACTCTAGAAAGTTGCTTCTTCTGAAATATATGACCAAAATTATGCAATTTTAACATAACTAAGTGGAAATCAAATAATTTGACCATAAATGCTCTGCTGTTGGGAAGAAATATCTGCAGAGACCACTTTGCATAATGCAATACAAAATCTGAACAGTTTTTGCTTTGCTTTCTATCCCCTGCTGCTTGGTGTCCTATAGGGAGGCATTGTAAGCCTGTAATCTTACAGCTCTTTCATTTATCATCCTTGAGATCCCAGCCTAGAACTGAACATTGAGAAACATGCTTTTAGTTTTTACAGGTCTGATGAATTAAGAGGTCTATAAACCAAAAAATATAATTTTTCTCCATGTCTTATTTTGTAAGCATCAGATTTTTTCATGTGGTCTGTATATTCTTATTTAAGCCAGTATTATCAAGTTTAAAAATTCCAATATAGAACAGTTGAAAGTTTACAACTAAGCTGAGAAAAGTTAAAAACTCCTGCCAGGGAAAAACAAATAAGGTTTATTTACTGAAGCAATGGCTGAGTTCTTAATTCCAGGATAATATTATTTAGGAAAACTATAATATGTCTCATATAAATAGCTTTCGTTTTTTTGTTGTTGTTTGTTTTTTTGTCTGTTTGTTTGGGGACAGAGTCTCACTCTGTTGCCCAGGCTGGAGTGCAGTGGCATGATCTCAGCTCACCACAACTTCCACCTCGCGGGTTCAAGTGATTCCCCTGCCTCAGCTGCTGGAGTAGCTGGGATTACAAGCGCGCACCACCACACCTGGTTAATTTTTGCATTTTTAGTAGAGATGGAGTTTCACCATGTTGGCCAGGCTGATCTTGAACTCCTAACCTCAGGTGATCTGCCCACGTCAGCCTCCCAAAGTGCTGGGATTACAGGATATGTAGCTTTTATAAGTAGTCTTCTGTCTTACAATTTTCAAGATAAAATGTTTATAAAAACGTCAAATATGACCAAAAATTTTGAAATGTAATGTCTATAGCTAATATGGAAAGGGAAAAATCACAAGCTGCTCTCCTATAATGCTGTTTTCTTTTTCTTTTTTAATTCTTGATTTCTTTGTACTAATTCTACGCACTTTACTCAGATACCTGAAGCACATAGCAGATGGAATAACTTAGTGAGATGCCAAAAAATTGTTTTTAAATATAAAATTTAAAAGACAGCATTATAGACTCAATATGAGAAATGTTACTGAGGAGATGCTAGGTCATCAAATCTCTGTATAATCTAGTTGCAAGGGTAAAAAAACAATACTGGCATTTAAAAATAACAAAACTTTCTACATATTCTGGCCATTCTTTCTATATTCATATGTAAGACCACCTCTTATTACATCTCGTTCTGGCTGAAGTAAAATAGTCATTTTTCTGCAGGACAGATCAAGAAATGCTGTTCAAGAATGAAGGCCTGGAATAGGGGACCCCAAGAGCTTGCTTGATATTCTACCCTGCTGTACCCAAGCTGCTACATAAGGTGCAAGACAAAGTACCCTTTTCCTTGTCCTCTGCTTTTCTCAAGCAGAAAGAGTCTTTCCTCATAGCCACCACAACTGTGATTGTTCCAGGTCTCACCTGAAGCCAGCAGGTCTCAGAGTCTCACTCAAAGCCCACAGTGTACTACCCAGGTATTACTGCTGGTTATTCAGGGCCCAAGGAATCTTTAGTAAGCATTTAATAAATCCTGCAAGAACTGGGTCCTTTCCTTCAAGGCAGCAGATTCCCTTCTGGCCCAGAGTGTGTGTCATCCAGAAGCTATGGCCTGTAATCGGGGCCTCATAACCATGCCCAGTGCCCTATCTTACTGTGGCTGAGCTGGTATCCAAGACGCAAGATGCAAGACAAAGTCCTCTTTACTCTTTCCTCCCCTCTTCTTAAGGACAAGGAAAGTGTCACTTTCATTGCTGTGAGCTTCACTACCTGAGACTGGGGGAAGGGTGATGCAAGCGCTGCCTTTTCTCCTCCACATGGTGTCTCACTAGGCCACATGTCCCCCAGCTCTACTGGCTTTGAGACCAGCACTGCACTGAGACTTGCCTAGGAGTTGCAGTCCTTATGTCATACCCTGCCTCTTACAGTTATTTACCACACCAGAGCACTTCAGTCTGCAGTGGTGAGGGTTGCTGAAACTCAAGTTCTGATCACTGGCTAGGGCTGATCTAAATGCTCACTCCAAGCATGGCATTGGCTAAATTCAGTTCAGTTTTGCTTTCTTCGTGACAGGCAGCACTGGGTTCAATGCAAAGTCCCAAAATCTCTGTACTCTCCCTCCCTCAAGCAGATTCTCTCTTCACACCATGCCATTGCCAGGGAATGGGCAACGGGTGACACTGGTGATTCAAGACTGTCTTTCCTACCCTCTTCAGTGCCTCTTTTAGCAATATGAACTTAAAACCAGGTACTGTAATTGCTCACCTGATTTTGGATCTTATGAAGATGTTTTTGTGTGTGTGTAGATAGTTGTTAAATTTTAAGTTCCTGTGGGGGATGATGATCAGTGGGTGCTTCTATTCAGCCATCTTGCCCTGCCCCTTCATGGCTGCTTTTCCTCTTCATGCCACTTTTGCCCTTGGGATTCTTAGCAATTGTTACTACGGGGAAAAGACTGAGAAGTGATGTAAAGGACCTTTGCTAAAAGATGAAAAATGCCAGCAGAACTCAAAGCAGTCTCTGAAAAACTCAGAGCCAAATATTAAATTTGGGACTGCCAAGGTATCCAGCACTTAAAGAACTGAGATGCCCAAGAAAGAGTAACAGGGAAGTGAAACATACACTTCATCCCGGTTTTTCCCTTCTGACATTTGCCAAAGATAAGAGACTGATAGACCAAGGAGAAAATATCTGAAATGCAGAGGAGAGATTTAGGGTAGCTCACAGTATGGGGACACAAAATCACCGAATAGGAGAGATGCTATAGAAAGTCCATAATGTACATTTGCAACTAATGGGGGTGATAGGGACTACAAGATAGGAGTAAAGTTGTGTCCGGAATTGGTTCCTTCTGGTGGGTTCTTGGTCTCGCTGACTTCAAGAATGAAGCCGCAGACCCTCGCAGTGAGTGTTATAGTTCTTAAAGATGGTGTGTCCGGAGTTTGTTCCTTCCGATGTTCAGATGTGTCTGGAGTTTCTTCCTTTCGGTGGGTTTGTGGTCTCGCTTGACTTCAGGAGTGAAGCCACAGACCTTCGCAGTGAGTGTTACAGCTCTTAAAGGTGGTGTGTCCAGAGTTTTTCATTCCTCCCAGTGGGCTCGTGGGCTCGCTGACTTCAGGAGTGAAGCTGCAGACCTTCTCAGTGAGTGTTACAGTTCTTGAAAGTGGCGCATCCAGAGTTGTTCATTCCTCCCAGTGGGTTCGTGGTCTTGCTGGCTTCAGGAGTGAAGCTGCAGACCTTCGCGGTAAGTGTTCCAGCTCATAAAGGTAGTGCAGACCCAAAGAGTGAGCAGCAGCAAGATTTATTGTGAAGAATGAAAGAACAAAGCTTCCACAGCATGGAAGGGGACCCAGTGGGTTGCCACTGCTGGCTCGGGTGGCCAGCTTTTATTCCCTTATTTGGCCCAGCCCACGTCCTGCTGATTGGTCCATTTTACAGAGCACTGATTGTTCCATTTTTACAGAGTGCTGGTTAGTGCATTTACAAACCTTTAGCTAGATGCAGAGCGCTGATTGGTGCATTTTTACAGAGTGCTGATTGGTGCATTTACAATCCTTTAGCTAGACACAGAGTGCCAATTGGTGCATTTACAATCCTTTAGCTAGACAGAAAAGTTCTCCAAGTCCCCACCCGACCCAGAAGCCCAGCCGGCTTCACCTCTCAATGCCCCCTCTAAACAGGACACCTCAACTGCTGCTGGGAATTGGGCAATGACTGCTCTAGCTACTTCCTGCTGGATAGAGGCCAAGAAGGGGCGCTGCAGTTGTAGAGTTCTCCAGAGGGGAACTCTTTAGGCCAGTGAAAGGGCCAGTGGGTCAGTCCAGGGGTCCTCAGTAGAAGTTGTTAGTTGAGCTTATTTGGGGTTCCATTTGGAAGACCACCTGTAGCTTGATGGCCTCAATTCTGGAGGAAACAAATTTGACAAGGAAGTTAAAAATACAGGGCTGGAAGGTAAGTAATAGCAAGGTGGCTGCCATGGGACCTAGAAAGGGGAGAAGCCATGTTGCCCAACTCCAGAGGTTGGTATAAGAGTTTGAAAGGTGTTGTCTGATTTCAGAAGCCTTTTCTTGTAAATGCCAGGTGGCA
This sequence comes from Homo sapiens, assembly GCF_000001405.40. NCBI lineage: Eukaryota > Metazoa > Chordata > Mammalia > Primates > Hominidae > Homo > Homo sapiens. The sequence continues at coordinate 125,314,417 of NC_000007.14, read as the reverse complement.
TCTTGTACTATCCCTGATTGGTTAGTGTAAAAGCAACACTCTTCCACTAAGAAGGTGCAAAGTCCTCCTTTCTCAGCAATGAGGAGGTCTAGGCCTCAGTGGTTTTGGAGAGTCACTGCTGCCAAAGAATGTATTTGGGATTGTAGTTACTATCCTTACCAGATAGATTTTGTTATTTCTTGCAAACTGTCTGAGGAATCCTTTGAGAGTGTGTTGTAGTAGGATAATGCATGTTACACTGTTAGCTTTTAGTAAAATTTACTTTAGTTGAAAACCTTGTAAGTTTAGGATTTTAATTTTTCTTTGCTATTAATAAAACCTCATTCAGTCCATATTAACTTAGAATTGGTGTAAATGGCTCCTCCCTAATTCTGTAAGTACTTTAAGATTTGGCTGAGTGCGAACAACTCACACATTTGAGTAGACCAATTATTAGGCAACTTTCCTAACTGCTTCTACAAGTGTTCCCTTATCACTTACTGGCTGCCCATGTGTCTTTTTATTTTCTTTAATCGCCTGGGAGGAACCATCTATCATCCTGTCCTGAAGGAAGTTCCTCCTAGATCTGGTTTGACCTTTGTATGGTAATTAATTAAGATTTAGATCCCCTTTTAGAAAACCTGCTGGGTTAAGGATTTTTGATAGGAAGGCTATGGGTTGTCAGTGGCCTCCCTGTTTTCGGGCTACACCCTTGTTTACACTGAAAACAAGGTGGTATTGGAGTGTTATAGGGTTACAGAGAAGACCTTCAATTATCAATTATAGGTTTTAAATTTACCCCGGCTTTTAAAGGAATAGGGTACAATGTTTTTTCTTTACTACTTCTATCTCTTTCTCTCTCTTTGACTCCTTTGTCTCTTCCTCTCTTTCCTTCTCTCTTTGACTTTCTGTCTGTCTCTTCCTCTCTCTGTCTCTCTCTTTGACTTTCTGTCTCTCTGTCTCTTCCTCTCTGTCTCCTTCTCTTTGACTTCCTATCTTTCTCTTTCTCTCTCTCTGTCTCCTTTGTCTCTTCCTTTCTTTCTCTCTTTGACTTTCCATCTCTTCCTCTCTCTGTCTCTCTCTTTGACTTTTTGTCTCTTTCTCTCTTTCCTTCTGTCTTTGACTTTGTCTCTCTCCTTCTCTCTGCTGGTCTTTCCCTGCCTCTGCCAGCCACTTGCGCTGCTGTTCTCCCCTCTCCTTCCCCTTTTTTGATGGCTTCGGCAGTGTAAGACTGCCACCTCCTTGGTTTTTGCACTGAGTGCAATAACTCCATGATTTCCTTGTACTTAATGGGGGTTCCCCCAGAGGTTAGGAACTCCCTTTCTTTCCATATTGCAGCATGGGCATGTAGGATTAGATAAGCATACTTACTATCTGTATACATATTTATTCTTTTTCCCTTTCCCAGTTCTAAGGTTAAGGTAAGTGTGACTAGTTCTGCTAACTGAGTGCTGGCCCCTGGGGTAAGAGGCTTACTTGCAAGTATGATTACATCACTAACTATGACATAACCTGCCCTTCATATCTCGTTTTCCACAAATGAACTTCCATTGGTATATAGGTTAAGGTCAGGATTAGCTAAGGGTACTTCTAAGAGATCATCTCGGGTGGAATAAGTCTGGACTACAACCTGTTGGCAGCCATGCTCAACCGGCTCTCCATCCTCTGGGAGAAAAGTGGCAGGGCTGAGGGCCACACACATACGCACTTGAAGCACCAGTCCCTCAAGGAGTAGTGCCTGGTATCTAAGCAGGTGGTTGTCTGATAGCCATAAACTTCTTTTGGCACCTAGTATGCCATTACATCATGAGTAGTCCAGACAGTGAGATCCTTTCCTTGTATTATTTTGATAGCTTCTGACACTAAGACAGCCACCACCACAGCTACCCATAAACAGTGAGGCCAGCCTTTTGCTACTACATCAATTTCCTTACTTAGGTGTGCCACTGGTTGTGGGGTTGTCCCATGAGTCTGAATAAGGACACCAAGAGCTATCTCTGCCCTCTCTGTGATGTATAAAGAGAAGTTTTGTCCTGTGGGAAGGCTTAAAGCTGGAGATTGTACTAGGGCCTGCTTTAAGGTTTTGAAGGCTGTTTCTGCCCCTAGTTCCCATTCTACTAGATGAGTACTTGCCCTCTGAGTCTCCTTGATTACAGTATAGAGGGGCCTGGCTATCTTGCTGTATCTGGGAATCCATAGTCAGCAAAAGCCAGTGATTCCAAGGAACCCCCGCAACTGTTTTAATGTCTTAGGGTGAGGATAAGCCAGTATAGGCTGTATTTGTTCCTTGCTGAGTGCCCTGGTCCCTCTGGCTAAGATTAGGCCTAGATATTTGACCTGCTGTAGGCAAAGCTGGGCCTTCAACCTAGATGCCTTGTACCCTTGATTAGCTAGAAAGTTCAAGAGATCTAGAGTAGCCTGCTGGCATGAGGCTACTGAACTGGTAGCCAAAAGTAAATCATCCACATACCGAAGGACCAGAGTGCCTGGACTTGAGAAATGGCTCTTAAAAGTGGCATGTCCCTAGATCTTGGGCCAGTGCCTGACCAAATAGATGAGGGCTATCCCTAAACCCTTAGGGCAAGACGGTCCATGTAAGTTGGGATGTGTGATCTGTGGGATCCTCAACGGCAAACAGAAACAGGGAGTCAGAGTGCAGGGGAATACAGAAGAAGGCATCCTTGAGGTCCAGAACCGTGAACCATTCTGTTTCCTCTGGTATTTGAGAGAGCAGGGTATAGAGGTTGTGTACAACTGGATATAGAGGAATTACTGCCTCATTGATGAGTCTAAGATCTTGCACTAGTCTCCACTGACCGTTCGGTTTTTGTACTCCTAGAATTCGGGTGTGGCAGGGACTGCTGCATTTCTTTACTAAGGCTTGAGCTTTTAAATGTTTAACAATATTCTATAATACTTTATGAGCTTCAGGCCTTAAGGGGTATTGCCTTTGATAAGGAAAAGTGGTGGGATCTTTTAGCCTGATTTGGACTTGGTGGGCATTTTTTGCCCATCCAAATTGTCCTTCCAATGCCCAGACTTCAGGGTTGATTCCCTCCTCAAGTAGGGGATGACAAGTGGGTAACTTGTTCCCCATATTCATGTAGATAATAGCTCCAGCTTTGGCTCATATATCCCTCCCTAATAAGGGTGTGGGACTTTCAGCCATGACAAGAAAGGCATGTGAAAAGAGCAAAGTCTCCCAATTGCAACTGAGAAGGTGGAAGAAATACCTGGTTACAGGCTGTCCTAGGATTCCTTGGATGGTAACGGACTTTGAGGACAGTCAGCTGGGACAGGAGATTAACACTGACAAGGCCGCACCAGTGTCCAGGAGGAAGTCAATTTTGTGGCCCTCAATGGTTAAACATACCCAGGGCTCAGTGAGGGTGATGACATGAGCTGGTGCTTGCCCTGGGCACCCTCAGTTCTATTGTTGGATCATCTGGTTGGGGGCTTCTGGCCCAGAGAACCTTTGTCCTCTGGGGCAGTGTGCCTTCCAGTGATTGCCTCAGCGTAGTGGACATGGGCAAGGGGGCAGCTTGTTTCTGGTTGGACAATCTTTTTTAAGGTGTCCTAGTAAACCACACCAATAACAAGCCCTACCAGGTGATTGGCCTGCTCCATTTTCTGTCCTCTCTGAACCACCAAGGTTTGTTTGTCTGAGGGCCACGACTAAGGCTGCAGCCTTTTTCTATCTCACTTTTCCTTTTAGGCCTGTTCTTCTTGGTCCCTATTATAGAACACCGAGGTTGCCAGGTTTTATAATGCCTCCAGGTTTTGTTCAGGGCCCAGGGCTCACTTTGGGAGCTTTCTCCTGATATCCGCTGCTGATTGGGTAATAAACTTATCTTTTAGGATCAATTGACTCTCAAGTGAGTCAGGTGACACAGGAGTATATTTTCTTAAGGTCTCCCGTAGCCACTCGAGGAAGGCAGAAGGATTTTCTTCCTTTTCCTGAGTTATGGTAGACATCATTGAATAATTCATGGGCTTTTTCCTAATTCTCCTTAGTCCTTCCAGAACACAGGTCAACAGATGTTTATGACTCCAGTCCCCATGATCTGAGTTGAGGTCGCAGTGGGGATCCATACTGGGGATGGCTTGCTCACCGGTAGGGAATTTGCCCCTTTCTGATGCTGTCATTCTATCATTTACTTGACTAAGATACCAGGTATCTCCAAACTCTCAGGCTGCAGCCAAAGCTGCATTCTTTTCATTAAAAGCCAGGGTTTGATCTAACAATAGCCTGACATCTCTCCAAATGAGATTGAAGGTTTGCCCTAGACCCTGTAGGACATCTATGTACCTATCAGAATCATCTGAAAACTTCCCCAGGTCTGCCTTGATCTGCTTTAAATCAGAGAGGGAGAAGGGGATATGTATTCGGGTTGGGCCAAATTCCCCTCCCCCTACAGCTTGAAGGGGACATAATTGATAGCCCAGGGGTTTTTGTTCCTTTGGAGATTTCTTTGCTTGTTTCCTTCTGGGCAGGGGAGATTGGAGGAGGCTTATCATTAAGAGGAAGGGGAGCTATAGGGAGGCTAGGATATGGGGGTAAGCTGAGAGGTCCTCCTGTGGGATGTAAATTGCAAGCTTTGCATAGTTGTGGATTCTCCTTCAATGAAAAGAAAGCTTGGACATAAGGTATTTCACTCCATTTGCCTTCCCTCTTACAGAAAAGGTCAAGCTGCAGGATAGTATTGTAATTTGTACTTCCCTTAGGTGGCCATTTTTCCCCATCAGAGAAAGAATATTGGGGCCAGGCCATAGTGCAGAAAAAAATGAGCCACCTCTTTTTCAGGGTTTGTGGGTCAATTTGGTCCCAATGGCTTAGGATGCATTTCAAGGGTGAGCCTGTTGATGCCTGAGTGCTTCCTTCTGAAAGACAAAACCACCCATGGTTTTGGTTTGTTTGTTCTCCCCCTGCCCAAGAACCCGCAACAGTCCCTGGACCCTGCTGATCAGAATAGTCACACTTGCCAATGCAGCAGCAGAAACACCTCTTGCCCAAGAACCTGCAACAGTCCCTGGACCCTGCTGATCAGAATAGTTGCACTCACTGACGCAGCAGCAGAAACACCTCTTGCCCAAGAACCTGCAACGGTCCCTGGACCCTGCTGATGTTACTCCTTTCTATCATGTAGACTCTTCACAAATTACTTTTGTATTTGTAAAAATGCATATATTCTCTCATTAGATTCATAATATTGTTTGAAGGTAAGTGCTCATATATATTTATCCCAATATTGACCTTTCTGGAATTTACCATTGTTTTATTAATTTCCATTTTTTATAGGATTATTTTCCTTCTGCTTGAATAATTCATATTAGAATTTATTATTGATCTGTTGGCAAAAAAAAAAAATATTTCTTTTCTCCTTTCTTTTCCTTTTCTCTTTTCTTTTCTTTTTTTGAGATGGAATCTCCCTCTGTCACTCAGGCTGGAGTGCAGTGGCACGATCTCAGCTCACTGCAACCTCCACCTCCTGGGTTCAAATGATTCTTCCGCCTCTGCTTTCCAAGTAGCTGGGATTACAGGCACGTGTCACCAAGCTCAGCTAATTTATGTATTTTTAATACAGACGGGGTTTCACCATGTTGGCCAGGCTGGTCTTGAATTCCCAACCTCAGGTGATCCGCCCACCTCGGACTCTCAAAGCGCTAGTATTACAGGCACGAGCCACCATGCCTGGCTAAAAAATTAGGTTTTTAATTTGAAAAAGTGATGTTTTTCTTCACATTTGAAGTATAATTTTATTAGGCATAGGACTTTAGGTTGGCAATAGTTTACATTCAGCTTTCTAAATATGTTATGTTATTTACTGCTAGCTTTATTGCATGCCTTTGAAGAAAGCACATTTTCCTGACAATAACTGCTTAAATTTTCTTTTATTTGGTTTTCAGCAATTTTACTATAATGAGTTTAGTTATAGATTTCTTATTATTTATTCTTTGAGATTTGTAGAATTTTGTTCATATGTGTGTTATATATACATATATATACACATATATGCATACATATACACATATATACACATATATATACACATATATGCATACATATACACATATGCATACATATACATATACACATATATATACACACACATACACACACACATATATATATATTTCAGTAAAACCCTTCCCCCTTGAATATCATTAATAAAATTTACATATGAACATCTGTTATAACAGGGCTTTCTTGATCAGTTTATAAGGAAATCCACTCAAAGCCAAACCCTGTACAACACAGAATTTCTCTGTCAATCTCAGAGCAGCAATTTTCTCTATAAACAGTACTTTGTTGGCTTATGATTATATTTTTGGTAAGGCAAAAAACAAAAGTAAACTGAATTCTAACATTGACTCTTTTGACTTCCTATAAAAATGCCATTACCTTTCAATCTTACTCATTGCTCCAAAATTCCAAAATCTGTCAACCTATTTAAAAATATATTTTCACAAGTAGCCTAGCAAAATAAAATTATCCTTATAATACTTTTGGTGCTTAGAGGATGAAGGTTTTGTATGGGCACTGTTTTTCTTCTTGAGATCAAAGCAATTTTCATTTGAATTCATTACAGAGAAGCAGCCTGAGCCACATTTCATCATCAGCTGCTAGAGCTATGAATATGATTTCTAACAATGTGCTCACTATAGGTATAATGAAATTTAACTATAATAAAACAGTATAGCGTTTGTCAAAATTGGACTTTACCATTATCTTTTCACAGAAATAAAATACCCAATAGTTTCCTCAGTGTTTCACTTGCACTGTTCCCTTTCTTTGAAAGATTCTTGTAATTTCTGAATTTATATTCATTGTCTATAAAATGAGACTGATTTAAGCACATTTCCTAGAAAATATAAATATGAATGCAGAGAGAAGGAGAAGCATGCACTGACTTACATACTCACACACCACAACCCACACAGGTATTCTAGAACATCATAAAAGATGATTGCTGTAATCTACAATACATCAGGTATAGATTTTATCAAGTTTTTTGGCTCTTACAGATAAAAATTTTCCTATAAATGGGTAATTATTATTTTAATATGTTTATACAATTTCAACTTATGCAATCATTTTCATTAATTTTTTCTGCTTTTAAAATGAGTAGATAAATTAACCTGGCTTTACAAAACCAGTAAATTAACAACAATAGCAACAACAATAATTAGCATTTAGGAATACTAAAATGTTACAGAGTTCCCTAAGACATATGGTGTAGCCTATAGCTCCTACACTACAAACTTGTACAGCATGCTACTTTACTGCATACTGTGAGTAAACGTAACACAATAGTAAGTTTTTGTGCCTTTAAACATATCTTAACATAGAAAAGGTATGGCAAAATTATGGTATAAAAGATTAATATGGCACTTATGATGAACAGAGCTTGTAGGACTAGAAGTTGCTCTGGGTGAGTGAGTGAGTGAGTGAGTGAGTGAGTGAGTGAGTGAGTAGTAAGTGAATGTGAAGGCCTAGGATATTACTGTACCCTAGGGTCCCTCAACCCCTGAGCTACACACCAGTGTCAGTCTGTGGCCTGGTAGGAACCGGACTGCACAGCAGGAGGTGAGCAGCAAGTGGGCAAGCAAGCATTACCACCTGAGCTCTGCCTCCTGTCAGATCAATGGTGGCATTAGATTCTGAGCATGAACCTTATTGTGAACTGCACATGTGAGGAATCTAGGTTGCACATGAGAATGGAATGCCTGATAATCTAAGGTGGAACATTTCATCCTGAAACCATTTCCACCTCCGCATCCACCCTTCCACCGCCATCCCCCCAACCCCCATCACCCCAACCCCACACCAAGACTCCAGACTGTAGTACCCATTAGAGCAAGAACTATTTATGTGTTGTTAACTATTATCTTCCTAGAACCTAGCTCACTTCTTGGCACAAATCTGCAATCAAATCATCTTTTTGTTGACCATGTGATTATCTTACATACTGATAACATATGATGACAAGACGCTTGTTCAAAATGATAATTATTGGTACCAAGCTGAAATTGTTCACCTCTCCAGCTTCTGTACTATTTAGTGTAACAACAAGACACTGTTAACATTTCCTGGGAATTTATTTTATCCAGATCAGTTTCTATTTCCTTTCCATGTTGTTCCAACACTCAAAATGCTATTACTACTCAAAAGGAATTTAAAAGGCCACTTACTATTCCTAGTAGAGTATTTTTTATGGTAATTCAAAGAAAGTCCTAGACATGTATGTTGCTGTAGCTATAGCTGTAGCAATTTAGATTATACCTACTTTCACAAATAAAGTGCTCTTCAGCTTAAGACTTTATTGCTAGTTTAATGTTGCTCAAACTCACATGTTCTTGGCAATTAAAATAGATACTATTGAAAAGAAATTTGAATAGCAATAGGCAGAGTATTTTCCTAACAGCCTGTTATAAATATTTAACCCTGCAATTTATTTTATGAGATATAGTAAAAACTCACTCTTTAGAGCAACTAAATATAGCTGTATTTCAATGCTTGTGCTCCTATAATATGAGCCAGCCTGCTTTTTAAGTGTGTATTTTGAGATACACAAGTTGGAAATTTCAGCTGTATTCACCTGAGAGGCTCTTGGTCTGTTTTGATTTTTTAAAATTATTTTGATAATTGGAATTATTTAATTATGAAAAGTATATCTGATTTTTAAAGTGTATATATACACATATATAAATGTTCACAAAAATATGTAAAGTAAATAAAATATCTCATTGAAGATCCTATTTACATTCATTAAGACTACTATCATAATAGTTTATTTCCTCCGAGAAAATTTCAGTTACCAGATATTTGCACATCTGCATGTACGTGTTTTTATTTTGTTGACAAATAGAATAAATGCTATGTATATTTTTGTATTTTTTCCACTTAAAATACACTTCGAATACCTTCACATAGTAGCAAATACATCTTTATTTCAGTTTTATTGAGGCCTACATAATAATTCATGGTAGAAATATATCTATAATGGACACTTAAGTTGTTTGTATATTTTGCTATTAAAACTGATAGCATAAGAAGCATTTATAATCTATACATAGATATCAAAGTATATATTTAGTATCAATTGCTACTTGAGTAGTTAAAATTTTGCCAAATTGCCTTTCAAAGAATTTGTATCTGTTTACATTCCCAAGGAGATATGTAAGAATGCTTATTTTTTAGATCTTAATAAACCCTGTGACTTAAATATATTTTTTAAATGTACAATCTGATGATAAGAACGTGAATACCAGTTAACCCTTAAATGGAACTTACTATGTGCAAGAAACTATATACTATTTGTGTTTGTACATGCATCTGTGTAAATTTGTGTATGTACATATCTCTATACATATATACACAGATATGTACAAATTTAAATTTATATACATTTATGGAGAGAGAGAGTTAAACAGATGTCTCAAATTTGTTAATTTCATATGCATTATTTATGAATCTTGATTACCACCATTTGAAAGTATCTACAAACACATACCATATATATACACATTCCAAAGGAATACGTATGCATATATAGTACCATATAAATAGAATGTTTTTAATAATTCACAAGAAGTTCTTCATTTCCACGAGGAAGGAGATTTGGCAGAAGGTATTACACTTTTGAAATTGATATTTTTATATTTGCAAACTTTATTTCTGTAATCAATAAAAAAAGCTATTTGAAGAAGTAGAAAGAGGAAGAGGAGATTAAAGAAAAAGAAGATGGAGTGATTACATTCAAAAGGATTAGTCTCAGCTAGGGATAGTGGTAATTTTTTTCAAGCCTTCGATAAACAGATAATAATTGGTCTATTTATTTATTTACTTTTAATTTTTTACTTAATTTCAACTTTTATTTTAGATACAGAGGATTCATGTGCAGATTTGTTACATGGGAATATTGTGTGATGCTGAGGTTTAGAGTGTGGATACTGTTACCCAGGTAGTGAGCATAGTGCCAGCCTGATAGGTGGGTTTTTTAATTTTTTAACCTCCTCCTCCCTCCACTTTCTAGTAGTCCACAGTGTTTATTTTTCCCATATTTATGTCCATGTGTGCTCAGCGTTTAGCTCCCATTTATAAGTGAGAACATGTGGTCTTTGGTTTTCCGTTCCTGCATTGATTTGCTTAGGATTATGGCCTCCAGGCCTATCCATGTTGCTGTAAAGGACATGATTTCATTGTTTTATAGCTGCATAGTAGTCCATGGTGCATATGTAAATTGATCTATTGAAATGCTTTTAGAGCATGCAGAAAGAAGCACAGATTCAAAATTATTTTCTTTTAATTAGCAGGTAGTAATATTAAAACTTAAACTTAATATAAGAACTAAAAATTATTGATCATCTTCATTTAAGAATGTTGAGGAAACAGTTCTAACAGTGACACCATTTTCTGTCTAATTTTGAATACTTTCTCCCACTAAAAATGTCTGTTATTCTAATGCACCTACTTTGTTAGACCCACTGCATTTTAATTCTCACTCTTACACATAAATTTGGGGATTTAACAATAAAGTAAGAATTGTGAACAAAGAAGATCTGGCTAATTTTTGCTGCTTTTATTCTAGTGCTGAAGACAGAATTAAGGCAAATAATTTAAGGTTATACATTTTATGAGATGGTTAGTACAAAACGATGTATTCATAGTGATTAGGAAGGTTTTTCCTGAGGATGTTTGTTTGAGCTGTAACTTGAATTTTCCGTGTAATTTACTAAGCAGAAATCAGAAGTAGAAGTGAAATAAGAAAGTATTCCAGATTAAAAAAAAAAAAGTTCAAGAAAAGAAGTCGCACACTGGAAGAATGAACCCAGTATGATTGAATCACAGCGAGAGTGTGAGGGGTAGCATGAGGCTACTCTGAAGAGTTAGACAAGGGCTTCATTGAGGAAAACGTTGTCAACCATATCATGAAATTTGAACTTTATCTTTAAGAAAGTTGCTTTATCCTACAAATACGTATTGTTAAATTGTGCCAGGGATGTTTCTAGATTCTGGGGTTTCATTGACGAACAAAACAGAAAAAAAAAAAAAAAAGAAATCCCTACCTTCATGAAGTTTACATTCTACTGTATTTTGCACGTAGTTTAACCTTAAGTGTGGAATTAACATCTGCAGGATGAATCTGACTGAATGAAGCACTGATATACACAGACCAAGCACAAATTCCCCAAGACCCAACAGTCAACAGTAGATTACGCCAGATGTCCTACACATGGCTTCACCCAGATATGTGTTCTTCCCTTTCCTCTTATCTTATATTTGATCGAATTACATTAACTTACTTAGTGACCACTTTTATTAGGAAGCATATCTTGTAGTGAAATGTTTCCTGATTTTAGCTTTCCAAGAGACAGGCACAAACCAGGTGATTTTTTGGGGGTGGGGGTGAGGGGGGGACACAGTCTTGCTCTGTGCCCCAGGCTGGAGTGCAGTGGCACGATCTGGGCTCACTGCAGGCTCTGCCTCCCGGGTTCACGCCATTCTCCTGCCTCAGCCTCCCAAGTAGCTGGGACTACAGGCGCCCGCCACCATGCCGATTTTTTTTTTTTTTTAATTTGAGAGAAAGTGTAAATTAACTCTAGGCAATACTGGAGAAAGAAATGAAAGACCAAAATAAATAATTTTAAGTTGTGTCAAAATCCAATATTTGCTCCCTTGCTATCACTGGCTCAGGCTTTCTACTGTCCCATGTAGTTTTAAAAGAAAGAATTTGACTTATAAAAGTCTTATAGTTGAGACAGTCTACAGTGAATGGTGGGAAGACGTGGAATAGTTAAGGCACAAATAAATATACATACTGACCTCTTGGGTGTCATACAGTAAGTTCTTTACAAAGACTAGTAAAAAGTGGAGGAAATAACAGAATATAGCAAAGGAGAAAGGAAGCAAACTTTTTGCATCCCTACCATTGTACAGACATTTGAGACATATGCTCATTTTTACACATCATTTTCTTGGATCTTTGCAATACCCTGACACTCCGACCCCTATGGTAGAGGAATTACAAGGTCATAGAGATAGACAAAGTCTTTGAATCCACACCTGTTTAATTTCAAAGACTTGAGCTCATGGGACACTGAAGTAATATTTTAATAGCCCTTTGTTCTCTGGACATACGTTCAAGTTGTACTTTCACCATATCAATAGAAATTTTTCTAATGAAATTAATATTAACTTTTATTAAAGGTAATAGTGACATATTACTTCTATTTTTACGAAGAGTGCTAAATCCCATTTTTTAGACATAGAAGTAGGTTACTATGGGAAAAAGTAAAATTGTATTCTACTTTTAGAAAAAAAGTGAAATAGGTTCTGTATAAGGAGGACAATATCTTCTTAAGATTTAATTCATATTGCAGACTACTATATATTCATCATCTACTTATTGAAAAAGCCAAGCATGCACTAGGGTATATTTATGTATAATATGGTTTCAGATATTAGATTTGAATGGAAAGTTTATCGCTATATTTATCTTTTTTGGATTTTCTTTAATATATGTTGCATGGGAATATTCATGGTAAGTGATATATCTTTTTTAAAAAAATAATGAGCTGTTTTACAATTCAGTCAAAGAAATATTTAAGAGGTAGAAACATGTTAACATACATAAAGGTCATATGAAGTGATGGAGTGGGTACTATTTCTCAACATTTTTCTTTTTTTTCTCTTAATTGTTTTTCATTAATCTGTCTTGTCCCCAGTTCTCTTCTATAGATCTAGGATAAAGATTGTATGTGGGATGGGTGAAGGAGGAGGTTAAGTTGTGCCAAGATCCAATATTTGCTCCCTTGCTATCGCAGGCTTTCTTCTGTCCTATGTATGGCAGTAATCAATGATTAATACCTGTCCCTTAATCAATGATTAATGCTTCTTAGACAGAAGAGATGGCAAAATAATAGGGTATCAATGGGAAAAGTATAAAGTGATACTAAGGAGAGTTCACATAGAATCTGCCAGACCATATATATTCCAAAGATTAGAAAACTGCTCTCCTTGAAGAATGATCATCAGTCAGTTGAGATGCATTATTAGCACAAAGATTTTTAAAAACTAGTTTGATGTAGATTTTGTAAGAAAATAACTGGAGTTTCTAGATCTGTTTAATTTTTAGCTCTGTTACATAAAAACTATTTTATTTTAGAGGGTATGAAACATCTGAAGACTCAGCTTCCTCATTTGAAAGCTATGGACAATGTCTGCCTTCATAGAATGCTATAGGTGTTAAAATAGAAAGTATAAAATGAGCCCTTAGTGCACTAACAGACAAATGGCTAGAATATGATAAAAGCTCCTCTCTTTCCTTTGTGTGCATACTCTATGAGTGACTGGAATTGGTAGTATTATAGAACATATCACCATAGACATTTTCAACTTTAACTTTACACCTTTTATCATAATTTTATAAGAATTGCTATTTCATATAAAATATATATAATTGGATTAATTGCCTTACCCAAACTGAAAAAGCCAGGCTTAAAAAAAAAAAAATATATATATATATATATATTGCTTTCCAACTTGGACCCAGTAGAATGGCTCCCGCAAAGAAGGGTGGCCAGAAGAAAAACGGCCATTCTGCCATCAACGAGGTGGTGACCCGAGAATACACCATCAATATTCCCAAGTGTGTCCATGGAGTGGGATTCAAGAAGCGTGCCCCTCGGGAACTCAGAGATTCCGCAATTTGCCATGAAGGAGATGGGAACTCCTGATGTGCGCATTGATATGAGGCACAACAAAGTAGTCTGGGTAAAGGAGTAAGGGATGACCCATACCGTATCCGTGTGCGGTTGTCCAGAAAACGTAATGAGGATGAAAATTCACCAAGTAAGCTCTATACCTTGGTTACCTATGTACCTGTTACCACTTTCAAAAATCTACAGACAGTCAGTGTGGATGAGAACTAATCGCTGATCGTCAAATACATCAAATAAAGTTACAAAATTGCAAAAAAAAAAAAAAAATTTAAGCCAAAAAGTCAACTAAAAGTTACCATGATTTATTTTACTAAATATAATAAAAAAAGATTTGTCATATTTCAAGAATGTTAAATGACATGGGAAAAGGTCCATGACATAATTATAAAAATTAGTATATATAACTACATAAAATATTATCCCAATGTAATAGATAGTAAGCAAATACAGAATATATCATATCTGACTAGAAGGAAATGCACTTTAATAAAACGATACCTATTTTCAGGTGATCAGATGATAGGTATTTTTTTATTTTGTGTAATGTGTATGTAAGCCTGCGTGTGTATGTGTGTGAGAAAGAGGAAAAAAAATATGTCTTCTCTAGGAATATTAGCTTGAAAATAGGAAATTTCCAATACCTGACCATTTCTGGTCAGTTTTATAAATACATAAAAGTAATTTCATCTGAATTTCAGTTAAATTCCCAATCAGGTAATTATAAAATCTGTTAGTTTTGAACAGTGTCATATCTGTAACGTTGTGCAGTTATTTGATTTTGATTTTTTTCAGTATGTGCCCTTCAAGATTTTAGGTCCAATATAATAAATTAAAAGACAGGCTGGGCGTGGTGGCTCACGCCTGTTATCCCAGCACTTTGGGAGGCCGAGGCAGGTGGATCACGAGGTGAGGAGTTCAAGATCAGCCTGGCAAAGATGGTGAAACCCCATCTCTACTAAAACTACAAAAAATTAGCCGGGTGTGGTGGTGCGCGCCTGTAGTCCCAGTGAGAGGTGACAACATGCTAGCAGCCCCCGCTCGTTCTTGGCACTTCCTCGGCCTTGGCATCCGCTCTGGCCGCGCTTGAGGAGCCCTTCAGCCTGCTGCTGCGCTGTGAGCCCCCTCACTGGGGCTGGCCAAGGCCAGAGCCTGGCTCCTTCTGCTCACGGGGAGGTGTGGAGGGAGAGGCAACAGCAGGAGCCAGCTCCCTCTGGGCTGCCAGAGTGCCCAGGCTGGGTGCCGCAAAGTCCCGCAAGGGGTGCCAGTGAGAGGTGAAGCCAGCTCGGCTTCTGGGATGGGTGGGGACTTGGAGAACTTTTCTGTCTAGTTGAAAGATTGTAAATGCACCAGTGAGTGCTCTGTGTCTAGCTAATCTAGTGGGGACTTGGAGAACTTTCTGTCTAGCTAAAGGATTGTAAATGTACCAATCAGCACTCTGTATCTAGCTAAAAGTTTGAAAACGGACCAATCAGCTGTCTGCAAAATGGACCAATCAACAGCATGTGGATGGGGAAGGATAAGGGAATAAAAGTAGGACACACGAGCCAGCAGCAGCAATCCGCTCGGGTCCCCTTCCATGCTGTGGAATCCTTGTTCTTTCACACTTTGCAATAAATCTTGCTGCTGTTCACTCTTTGGGTCTGGGCAGCCTTTATGAGCTGTAACACTCACCAGGAAGGTCTGCAGCTTCACTCCTGAAGCCAGCAAGACCACGAACCCACTGAGAGAGATGAACAACTCTGGACGGGAGGAAAGAACAGCTGCAGATGTGCCTCCTTAAGAGCTGTAACACTCACTGCAAAGATCTGCAACTTCACTCCTGAAGCCAGCAAGACCATGAACCCACCAGAGAGGAAGAAACTCCGAACACATCAGAACATCAGAAGGAACAAACTCGGGACACACCATCTTTAAGAACTGTAACACTCACCGCGAAGGTCCGCGGCTTCATTCTTGAAGTCAGTGAGATCAAGAACGCACCAATTCTGGACACACCAGCTACTCTGGAGGCTGAGGCAGAGAATTGCTTGAATCAGGGAGGCAGAGGTTGCAGTGAGCCGAGATCGTGTCACTGCACTCCAGCCTAGGAGATAGAGCAGAACTCTGTCTCCAAAAAAAAAAAAAAAAAAAAAAAAAAAGAGAGGGAATGAGCGAATGAGCACCATTAAAAAAAATTTAAGAAAAATAATTGTCCTACAAATTCTGAAATTCCTTCATTCTCTCTACAAAGTCTCTAGAGTGAATCAAGCTTTTAAACATCTTGTTCACATTTGTTTTCTAGAAAATGAAATGAAGACGTGGGCTGTTAAATAGATTTCTCCTAACAGCCAGTTATGAAAATCTCTAGGACCAGAATCACTGTTTTTTTTTGTTTTGTTTTGTTTTGTTTGAGACGGAGTCCTGCTCTGTCGCCCAGGCTGGAGTGCCACGGCGCGATCTCTGCTCACTGCATGCTACGCCTCCCAGGTTCACGCCATTCTTCTGCCTCAGCCTCTCGGGTAGCTGGGACTACAGGCGCCCACCACCATGCCTGGCTAATTTTTTGTATTTTTAGTAGAGACGGGGTTTCACCGTGTTAGTCAGGATGGTCTGGATCTCCTGACCTAGTGATCCGCCTGCCTTGGCCTCCCAAAGTGCTGGGTTTACAGGCGTGAGCCACCGTGCCCAGCCACACATTTAAAAAATTAATTTCTGAAATACAATAATCTTACCTTCAAAGAGTATGTAACTTCAGATACATTGTTTATTCAAATTTAACATCATAATTTACATTCTAGAATTTATTGTTCCAAAAATTACATATTATATGTTTCCCCTTAAGAACACTTTGTATATTTTTAGCATAGTTAATTTGGGTAACAGAAAGATTGACTTAAACATATGTTACAGTATAATTGACTTTTCCCATAAATATAATTGCTTTGCTTATACTGGAAAATATACCAAAGCTCAACATAAAGAGCTTTGTAAATAAAGAACTTCACTGTAAATTTTAGTTTGAATTGGCTTGAGTGTTTTGAGTATAAAGACAAATCAGAGGTTTGACCTCTGCTGCATGTATACAAAATTTAATAATGGTAAGAATTATTTATTACCTAAGTATTCCAATACCCATTCTAATATATGGAGAATCACTTATAAAAATTAGCTATGATAAACCCAGTTTACAGTTTTCACTAAAAAATGTGAAACAGAAATGTTTTTATTATTTCTCTTTTCAAGGCTTAGAACAGGAAATCAAAACAAATATAAGAAATAAGGAAATAATATGATCATCAAAATCTGTAAATGACCATATCCCAAACCACAAAACGTAGAAATCATTTGGAAAATACACTGAAATTTGAATCAAATTGAAGAACATCCCCAAGCTTTAATACATTCTTCTCTACATCTCTTAGCAGTTTTCAGCTTTTCCTAGGATAAAGCAACAGTCTAGAAAAAGCATAACAATGCTTGCACTGATGAAGTGACAAGGCTTTGGGGGGGGTCAGAGAAAAGTGGTCAACATTCTATATCTGTCCATATTCATTTTGCTGTTTGACAGTGAAAACAGAACTAAAATAAAAGTACTGAGTGTTATCATCTTCATTTGCTGGGATGTATCCTCATACTTGAAATGAAGCTTCCAAAGGCCAGGGAGGAGTTCTACTGCTGATCAGAATTAGCTGAAGAGAGAGAGATAAACTAAATCGGAGGTTTGTGACACGAGAGGAAATCCTGTTCACTATAAAAAATGAAGAGAAATATACTTCTAGGTTTGAGGAGAGAATGTGGTAAACTGGGTGCAAACACATGAGAGAACACTGCTTCTGATGTGCAATAGCCAAGTTCCACACATAGGCCACACTTTCCTGTCCTTCCAAGACTATTCTTGAGCAGGTAGCTGTCCCTGATTGAGTTGCCTCAAATCAAGATACGTAGTGATCAGTAAAAAACCAGCAAGAGAACAATTGATAGATGATGAATAAGTATAATAATTATGATATGAAATTTCAGATATGTGACTCTCAACACTCTAGTCCTAAGCATAATGCAAAATCTGGAAATCAATCAGTGGAATACCAGTTTGAGGTGGATAAATTTAAAGAACTTTAAGCAATTACCTAGGTGAAGTAAAGTGGAAAGGTGGAATATTAAGAAAACATAAACACAATAACCAGGATGAAGGAGTGAGAAATAACTGAAGAATAGCAATACTAAAAAGTATCTTTCATCTTCTAAAATTAAAGGATGTCATTTTCCAAAACAAAATATGCTGCTGCCTGTTCACTGTGCTTTGAATACTTTTAAATATATTTGCATGTCTTTTAATCTGGTTCCAATCTACTTTTACTTCATTCCCTTTCAACATATCTTATTTGTCGACTTGTTTAATTACATGCTGTGAACTTTTGTGGCTCTTTATTTTCTTCATATTGGTCTTTCTGTCACTCTATTTAAAAGATCTTTCTTCAAACTATTTTTGATGTTGCTGATATTCTGTAAGAACCAAGTCAAATGTCACTTTCTCTGTGAAATTTTCCATCATAAGGCAAAAGTAACCCCTCTTTTATTAGTCTGTTAAAATTTCTCTCAAAATATATGGTACATCTCTCCTTCAGGTAAATGTTTATTGAAGTCCTTTGTATATTTTTTAAATTATGTTATTTGTTTTTTGCTATTGAGTTGTAGGGTCTTCTTATATATTTTGACTATTAATCCTTTATCAGATTTATGGTTTGCAAATTTTTTCCCTTCCTTAGGTTGCCTTTTCACTTTATTTATTATTTTACATGCTGTGCAGAAATTTTTTAGTTGTATATAGCTCTACTTGTCTATTTTTGCTTTTGTTGCTTTTATTTTTGGTGACATATCCAAAAAATCATTGCCAAGACCCATGTTATGAGCATTTGCCCCTGTTTTCTTCTAGGAGTTTTACAATATCAGGTCTTATTTGTAGGTTTATTGAGATTATTTTTGACTATGTCTGTGTAAAATAGAGATCCGATTACATTATTTTGCACGTGGATATCCAGTTTTGCTAATGTCACCTATTAAATAGATTATCCTTTCATCATTGTGTATTTTTGGCACCGTTTTTGAAGATCAGTGGACTGAGTAGTCATGGGTTTATTTTTGGAATTTGTATTATGTTCAATTGATCTATATGTTTGTATTTATGCCAGTACCATCATATTTTAGATACTGTAGCTTTGTAATATATTTTGAAATCAGGAAGTATGATGCTTCCAGCTTTGTTCTTTTCTCTCAAGATCACTTTACCTCTTCTGGTTATTGTGTGTGTGTGTGTAGGTTTCAATTCATAGATCATTTTTTCTATATCTGTAAAAAATGCCATTGGATTTGGAAGGAAATAGCAGGGAATCCGCAGATCACTTTGGGCAGTATGGACACTTTTACAATATTCAATGACATTATTTTCTTAATTTCCTTTTTTGATCATTTGCTGTCAGTATACAAAAACACAACTAATATTTGCATGTTGATTTCCTATTCTGTAAGTTCACTGAATTTGTTGCTTATTTCTAACAGTTTTTTAGTGGAGATTTTACAGTTTTTTTTACATATGATTTTGCAAAGAAGCCTTACAAATGGTCACCCTATATATATATATATGAAAAGATGCTCAACATCACTAATCATGAGAGAAATGCAAATTAAAACCACAATTCTATATCACCTCACACCTATTAGGATGGATTCCATAACAACCAAAAGATAACAAGTGTTGGCAAGGATATACAGAAACTAGAACCCTTGTACACTCGTAGACTAGAAACGCCACCCTTGTAGTGGAATGTAAAAAGGTGCAGCCAGTATGAAAACCATAAGGAGGTTTCTCAAAAGATTAAAAATACAGTAATCATATAATGTAGTAATCTCACATATGGATATCTACCCAAAGGAATTAAAGTCTTGAATAGATATCTGCACTCTCGTGTTCACTGCAGCATTATTCACATTATCCAAGACATAAAAATAACCCAAAGGTTCACTAATAGATGAATAATTTTTAAAATATGGCAAGTACCTGCAATGGAATATTATTTAGCCTATAAAAGGAAGAAAATTCTGCTATAATACAACAATAAAGATGAACCTGGGAGACATTATGCTAAGTGAAAAAAGCCACTCACAGAAGTGTCTTTCTGTGCATAGTACATGATTTCACTTAAATGAGGTATCTAAAATAGTCAAACTCATAGAAGCAGGGAATAGAATGGTAGTTGCCAGGGTATGGTGGGATGGGGACATGGAAAGTTGTTTCTCAATGAATATAAAGTTCCAATTATACAAGATGAATAAATTCAAGATATCTGCCATATAACATAGCACATACAGTTAACAATACAGTATTGTGCACTTTTAAAAATTTGTTAAGAGGCCAAGCCAAGATATGAAATCAACCTAAGTGCCCACTGATAGATGAACAGAAGAAAATGTGGTATTAGCTGGGCTCAATTGCTATTGCCTCTAATCCCAGCACTTTGGGAAGCTGAGGTCGGAGGATTTCTTGAGGCCACAAGTTCAAGATCAGTCTGGGGAACATAGCAAGACCCCTTCTCTACAATAAATAAATAAATGGAAAGTGTGATATGTAGATATACAATGAAATACTATTTAACCATAAAACAAAATGAAATCCTATCATTTGTGGCAAGATAGATGAACCCGGAGGGTACTATGTTAAGTGAAATAAACTGGACACAGAAAGACAAATACCACATGATCTCACTCACGTGGAATCTAAAAAAAGTTGACCTCATAGAAGTAGAGAGTAGAATAGTGGTTACCAGAGGGTGGGAGAGCATGTGGAAGAAGAGATGGGAAGAGGTTGGTCAACAAGTACAAAGTTACAATTAGATAGAATAAATTCTGGTGTTCTAGAAGGGATACTATAGTTAATATTAATATAGTATATATCAACATAGTTAGAAGAGAGAATTTTGAATATTATTACCACAAAGAAATAATAAATTTTTTGTGTTTGTTTGTTGTTTTGTTGTTGTTGTTGTTTGTTTGTTTGTTTTTTGAGACGGAGTCTCGCTCTGTCACCCAGGCTGGAGTGCAGTGGCGCAATCCTGGTTCACAGCAAGCTCCACCTCCTGGGTTCATGCCATTCTCCTGCCTCAGCCTCCCGAGTAGCTGGGACTACAGGCGCCCGCCACCGTGCCTGGCTAATTTTTTGTATTTTTAGTAGAGACGGGGTTTCACCATAGTCTTGATCTCCTTACCTCATGATCTGCCCACCTTGGCCTCCCAAAGTGGTGGGATTACAGGCGCGAGCCATGGCTTCCGGCCGAAATAATAAATGTTTGAAGTGATAGATACCCAACTACCCTGATTTGATCATTATACAATGTACACATGCATTGAAACATCACACTGTAGCCCACAAATATGTACAATTATAATATTATGTGTCAGTTATAAATAAAATAAAACTTAAAACGTAATTTGTTAAGAGGGTAGATCTCATATTGAGTATTCTTAACACACACCACCACCCCCACAAAAACACAAAGGGACATAAGGAAACTTTTGAAGGCGATATATACATTTTTTATCTTGATTTTGGCAATAGTATCATGGGTATATGCATATGTCCAGACTCCCTAGATTGTATATATGTGCAGTCTCTTTGTAAAATCATATATACCACAAATATGCTATACTTACAATTACATTAATCAGTAGTTTTCATATAATCTTTTTCTTTTTTTGAAACAGAATTTTGCTCTGTCGCCCAAGCTGGAGTGCAGTGGCATGATCTTGGCTTACTGCAAACCCTGCCCCACGGGTTCAAGCGATTCTCCTGCCTCAACCTCCCAAGTAGCTGGGATTATAGGTGCATGCCACCAAGCTTGGCTAATTTTTGTAATTTTAGTAGAGAAGGGGTTTCACCATGTTGGCCAGGCTGGTCTCGAACTCCTGACTTCAGTTGATCCACCCACCTCAGACTCCCAAAGTGCTGGGATTACAGGCGTGAGCCACCATGCCCAGGATTTTTTTCAGTTGAAGAATTCAAGGTATATATTAAAAAACTTTGAATCAACAATTATAGAAAAAGGAAAAAAGGGCTGGGTTTGTCAGTTTCAATAGGAGATTCTATGTATTTAGTCTCCAAAGAACCCAGAATTATCTGTGGGGAGTTTTGAAGGAGTGAGCCATTTGTAAAAAACATAATATGTAGGGCATGGCAAACAGGAAGAAAAAGCAAAAAGGAGCATTAGAGTGACAAAAGGACAAACCCAAAACAGGATTTACATGGAAACCCATGCCAGCAACCTGCATCAGAGAAATGTATCTGCAGCCAGCAGTATCTCTGCTGCCATACAGAGGTCTAGAAATTTTGAAAGTTTATAAGGCAAAAAGAGAAAAGACAAATACCAAGCAAGGAATCACAGATGGAACAATCAGAAGGATTACTAAAACAAGAATCCAGTCCAAGGGGAATATTAAATAAGAATTGTCAGAATTGAGATGCTCATGAGAATGTCAGACTCAGAATAAGAGAGGCCTGATATCAAACCCCAAATATTTGTGATGGAATTTTAACTCTTTCCTGCCTTAGTTTAGAGTAAGTATATTCTAGTAAATCTCAAACCTGCATGATTATCAAAATGACTGGGTGTTTCATATAATACAAATCCTAAATCCCACTTTTAGAGTCTTAGGACCAGTAACCTTGTATTACAACAAACAAAAACCAAACCAGCGAACAAACAAACAGAAACCAGCAGCATGGGCAACATTGTGAGACTCCATCTCTAAGAAAAAAAATACAAAAAAAATTAGCTGGATGTGGTGGCAAACACCTGTAGTCCCAGCTGCTTGGGAGGCTGAAGTGGGAAGATCACTTGAACCCAGGAGGTCAAGGCTTCAGTGAACAAAGTTCACACCACTACACTCCAGCCTAGGCACTACAGTGAGACCTTGTTCAACCAACCAACCAACCAAACAACAACAACAAACAGATAAAGAAAGGTCATTATAATGTTCAGTATGTTTGTTTTAGGGTGGAAACATGGTACAGGTAGAGTCAGCCTATGCTTGACTCAATTTTTTCCTCTTCATCTAGAGCTTTTAATTTCATTTTATCTGTTTTCTTATTAAAAACTTTTCTTATTTGTAGTGTCTCACCCTAATTCTTGTCACAATTCTGCCCCTTGGATATCTTGCTTTGTGTGGTGGTTAATTTTGTTTCTGTTTCAAGGAAAGATCCCAGCTGTCTGTTGATGAGCTTTCTTCCACTCCCCCAGCAGGTCTCAGCCCTGAATCCCTACTGATAAATAAGCAAGCATCTTTGATTTTCCTTGCACTAATGTCAACAAGACCTATCTTGACTTAACAGCTTCTATCTGCACATATCTGTCAACAGATTCATCAAGAATGTCTGTAATTAATATGCTTATCCTAGTGTTAATGGTACAATTGCAAACCTATAATTAACACTTCAGTATATAATTAATACTAACATTTCAACCATATATTACAGCTGACACATTTCTGATTAAATGAACAAACTGAATTCAACAAACATTTATCTGCAACTACAGTAATTAGATGAAGATTGTGGGACAATGACAAATCAATTCCAAAGACAAATTTGCAATCTCTTGAACAATGAAAAAAGCCCACAATTGAACCATGCTATGATTTTAATAATGTCAAAACACTAACAGGTATTTTCACACAAACCATGGATAATGAAATGTTTTTTTTTAATATTCAATTATAGTTCAATACAAGAGTTGGAAATTTCCTTTCTACAAAGAGCAAGATCATAATTATTTTCAGTTTTGTGGGCCATTCCATCTCTTCCACAGCCATTCAACTTTTTCAGAGTAGGTGTGCCTGTGTTCCAACAAACTTTATTTACAAAAAATAAAAAATAGCAGGTGGTTCAATTTTCCCCCCAGGTTGTACTTTACCAATTCCTGTTTTAGTGGACATACTTGGATCTGTGGTGTATTATACATTAGGGCAATGTGATATGAAAAGATTGCTTTCATTTTCAAAATCCTTTGTATAACACATCGTGAAGACATGATAAACTTTGTATTATTTTCACAATATGAGAGTTCTAGAATTCACATTATCAAATATTTATTCCATACTCTGTGTTGTATGATGCACGAGGGATAGGAAGAGGAAAACATGTATTGGTATGAAATTCTTTCTGACAAGCTTTGTTTCAAAATGGCTGCACTATTTCCTAGGATTGCTGTAACAAATTACCATAAATCTGGTGCCTTAACATAACAGACATGTATTTGCTCACAGTTCTGAAGACTAAAACCCTGAAATCAAGGTATCAGCAGTGCCAAGGTCCCTCAAAAAGCTCTAAGGATGTATCTTGCCTTGCTTTTTTCTACTGCTGTTGGCTCTCAGCAATCCTTAGTGTCCCTGAGTTTGCAGCTGCATTACTTCAATCATCTTCAAATCATCTTTTCTTTGTGAGCCTCTGTGCCCTCTCCTTTTCTTTTAAGAACACCAGTCACCATAAACCTAGGTCGATTTTATCTTGAGATCCTTAACTGTTAACATATGCAAAGACACTATATCCAAATAAGATCATATGCTGTGGTTCCAGATGGATATGAATTTTGGGAGGGGGCAGTATTTAATCCACTACACTAGTCACTATTTTTAAATTAAATATGATTTCATGACTCCTTTAATTTCTTTCAAGTAGTGCTATTTTGCTTTTAACTCCTCAAAGAGCAGAGTTCAAAGCCTTTGTCAATTTGGTTTTGTTGAGCAATACAGAACCACGACAGATTTTAGCAGAATCAGGGAATTAATTAAAAATTAGAGCTTAAATAAATGTGAAAGGGTTGATATGAATTTTCTGGAAGGCTGTAGCTGAAAAATAGGAGAAAAATTCATGGGAGTGACTGTAGAAGCCAAGACTGATGGAGAAGTCTGAGATGCCTCTACTCTGTTTCATTAAAACTACAAAATGAGAGCTAATGGAAACATCTCCAAACTGTCAAGTATGTCCACCATGACTGCAAAATGAGAACTTATGGAAGGTCTACAGAACGGCTGTTCATGACTTTCATAACCTTCTGAGAATAATAGCTTCTACTTCATATACACCTTTACAGAATTTCCTCTTATTGGCAACGTCAAACCCAAAACCGTACAAAGAAAGGGATTCTGGGCATATATTTTCCAGCCTTCATAGGGAGTGGTGGTAAATATATATATATATATATATCCATCCAAGTGCCTTTATCAGCTTGGATATATACATATATCCAAGTGCCTAATCAAATATATATATATATATATATATCTCCAAGTGCCTTTATCAACTTGGCATCCATAATCACCATTTTAACCATATTTACTTTACATATAATATGTAAAGTGCCATCAGATTCTACAGTCAGTGCAGTATCCCTGCTATTTGCAGAGTAGTTCATTGGTATCAGGAGCCAAAATTGACATTGTAGACATCTCAGCTTTCATAGTTTTGAACTATGATGGAAAACATTACAAATCAGTAATGTTTTTGGGTTTTGTGGGGGGTTTTTGAGTGAGGTGGGGGTAAGGGAGTCAGTTTATGAGTACACAATTGCCTGACTCAGTCTGGTGGGCAGTGGTATGGTATGGTATGGTATGGTATGGTATGGTATGGTATGGTATCATATCATATCACAAAAATCAGCATTAGTATGTAACTGTTATCCAATAAAACCCTCAACTACTGAATATCATTGTTTCTTCAATACGCAATCACCAAAAAAAAAATGCCACCATAGTGCATTTAGAGAGAGTTAGAAAAGCAATTGGCAGAATAAATTGTTGGCACAGTAAAAGAGTCCTTCATTAAGGGCCTAAACTTTCTTTCTCTTAAAGATTCCTGGGCCTGTGAATTGACTCAATTTTGGGAATTACATGTGGGGCCATGAGTAATATAAAACCTCGTTTATATAAATCCTTAAGAAGGCTACTGTATTAGTCCATTTTCATAGTGCTATAAAGAACTGCCTGAAACTGGGTAATTTATAAAGAAAAGAGATTGAATTGACTCACAATTCCACATGGCTGAGAAGGCCTCAGGAAACTTACAATCAAGGCAGAAGGTGAAGGGGCAGCAAGGCAATCCTGAGAATTTCATGATATGCTAGCAAAAGATTGTTCAAGATCTTTGTAGGTCAAACCATTCTTGGTACTGCTCTGGTCCTGCTACGGATTAGGCTTACTCTACGTAGGCTGTCTATAGTGATTAAGTGGCACTGCATGGTCCCACCATTATAAAATTCCATCGTTTCATTATATTTAATAATCCCATTTTAATAGCACCATTTCCCACTACTATGCTTTGCTTGCAGAGAAAAAACACTACCATGCCTTTTGAAAGTGCTATTGCTTCCCTCATTGTGCGGGTTGAATTCCAAAAAATATGTTGAAGAGCTGTAAATGTGGCATTATTTGGAAATATAGACTTTGTAGACATTATTGAGTTAAGTTGAGGTCATAGTGGATTAGAGAGGGCCTTAAATTCAACGACTGGGGTACTTAGAGGAGAGAGATTTAGGGAAAAAATGACACAGAGGAGACATGCAGAGAAAAGAGCCATGTAAGACGGAGGCAGAGATTGGAGTTACAATGCCAAAAATCAAGGAATGCCAAGGATTGACAGCAAACAGCAGAAAGAAGAGGAAAGAAAAAATTATTCCTTAGAGCCTTCGGAGGGAGCACGGTGCTACGATTGGCTTGATTTGGGGGTTTCTAGCCTCTAGAATTGTGAGAAATAAATTTCTGTTATTTAAGCCACCAACTTTATGGTAACTTATTAAGGTAAAACTAAGAAACAAACTCACTCGCTAATATATCTCACAAGGCTGTGCTGAAGAGGTTGTCCTCTGGATTATCTCAGGGGAACTGGTTAGGAATAAGAGAAAAGGTTATATAAAATAAATCCACTCAAGCTTTCCTACCTTCTTAAACTTTGAACACCAAAGATTTTCTAGCTTGTCAAGTGTACATATTTTTAAGATATTGGCCTTCATTGTATCCTAATTATCAGACAATTAGATTATTTATCCCTTTAAATCTAATCAGATCAGATGATCAATTCTAATTTCACAACCTAAGTCTGTACTCACCAAAGCACTTACGGTACCAAAAATTTTATTAATCCTGGTGTATTCAAGGAAATAGAGCCACTACAATTTTTCAGGGAAGAATTTAATCAAGAAATTTGAGCTTAAACAAATGTAGAAGGACATGTTAGAGGGAAGGTCTGGGGTACCTTAGCCAAAGGCATGGAGAGACAGTTGCTAATGGCTTCAAACAGGAGCAGGTAGAGAAGGCAGAGCTTGTGGAGAAGACTAAGAAGTCATTACATTCATCCTCTAGTTTCAAAAAGGAGTTAGCTGGAGAGTGGCATGACTGCCATGTCTTGGTTGCCAAGAGTAATGGCTTCTAAATCTCACCTAAGCTCCTCTCATTGGCAAACCTTAAACCAGCACCACATACTTAAGAGGATTCTAGGAAACCTAGTTCCCAGCTTTGACAGTGAGTGTTGTGTAGAAGAGTGTGGTGGTCCGACACAGGGCCCCTCCACTCCAGACTAAAAATTTTTCTGTAATATTTCTATCTATATATTTCCATCTAAATATTTCTATATATGAGTTCTTCCTTAGAAATGGAGGTAAGACTATTCCTTGAAAAATTATCTTAAATTCTAGTTCTACTTAAATGCTATGGACCCAATTCAGTTTCTAAGCCTTATTGTCTAGAAGTATGTAAGAAAATATTCTAATTTTCTCTAGAGTTTAATTTCAGTATAAAGACCAAAGACATTTTTAGTAACATCTTGATGAGATTTCAGTGAAACTGTCTGCCTGCATCATTAAAGCATCTGTCTTAAACTGTGACAAAAACAGGTAATATGTTTCAACTAAGATGTGTCATACTTGGAAGTATTACTAGTCCACATTCAATTTCTGACATCATATGAAAAGATGCTTTGAGTTTAAATATAGATTCTATTGAATTGTAGCCACTTACATTTCTAATATCATACTGAACTATACAGTGAGGTAATAGAGTGATGCTGTATTTTTACTTATACCATGAAAGGCAATACATTGCTTAGTCATTCTCATATTCACAAGACAATATCATAATGGCATAAGAAACAGATTGATGATTTCAAAAGTCTCTCTAAAACCATTCATTAATTTTTAGATGAATGAGATTATTTCATAAGGCAAGAGTGTTTAATATTTCTAAATTATCAGTGATGAAATTTTGTTGTTGTCATTCTTCTTTATTATAACAAATATAACCCTGTATATGTGCTTGTACAAGCAAATTCCACTGAGTGAAATTCAGTTTGCTCAATTATTCATAAATAGTCCATCCTCTTCCTATTTCCCTCAAAAAAGATAAATAGAAACCAAACAAATCTGGAATTTTAACTATAAGGAGTCATGTGGTCTCAGAAAACAGAAGCCAATATATTGAAAAAAAAAAAAGAAAAACCCAAATCAGACTGCATAGACTTTGATTCTATGTTTGAAAGAATATGCACATTTGTAGATACCTATCTAACCTCTTCTGCTGATCCTTAGGGGTTATTGACACCTCTTCTGCAATATGTACCTTGTCTGCATTGTTAGTGGCAAAATAAAGAATAAAAGAATCAAGAGAAAATATTCTCTTAAGCTTGCATATTCTAAGTATATTTTGAGGGTACAAGCATGAAGCTAGAATTTAGGTTGCATAACTAAAAGTTTTTCAAATCCATTTATTTAATAACTATTATTTCATAAGTACTTGTGAGTCAGGACATTCTATTTGGCATCAAATTGATAATAGTTAAACTTAAATGCTATAATCATTTTGGAGAGCTAAATATCTGCCATGACATTATAGTGAAGTATATTCAGGATAATTTGGTGTGTAATGTTTTCAACACATCAGCTATTAGACTATCATTTATAGAAAAAGTAATTACACTTAAATTTTATCAAATTCTGAGTAGGTCATTGGTATATAGAGATACAGAGGTTATACGTGTGTGCCTAGAATAATGAGATATCAAAGTTGAAGATTTCAAATGAGCTTTTTAAGCTAAAAGGAACATATTTCTAAAATAATATCATAGTGGTAAAGAGCAGGACTATTGGAGTTAGACTACCCAGTTTGAAACCAGCTTCTAACAAGCATCTAAAATTCCTCAGTAAGAACTTTGGGAAGTGATTTAATTTTGCTGAGATTGAGTTTCATTTTTGTGAAAATGAGGGTAAAAAATAATCCCAAGCTCTCACATAAAACACGCAAACGTCTAAAGTGGTTGCAAACACATGGAAAAGGTGCAACAAGAGTAATGATTATTACTTGTTAAAATGTCAAATGTATTTTGTCCAATTACATTGAAACATGGAATATATATTTTGGCATGTAG
Organism: Homo sapiens; assembly: GCF_000001405.40. Classification (NCBI taxonomy): domain Eukaryota; kingdom Metazoa; phylum Chordata; class Mammalia; order Primates; family Hominidae; genus Homo; species Homo sapiens. Next base: position 125,285,277 of record NC_000007.14, on the reverse strand, counting down.
ATATCCAGCTCCACTCAAATGCAGAGTCAATTGCTATATGATTTATCTTTAGACATTCCTGCAATTGTAACCAAGATGTGCCATATTTTTTCACCATTTAAAACTAACACTTCCTTTAATGGCTTATCACAGGAAGTATAGTTTTCAGTTATTTGAGGGGTTCATTTTATTCCTTTTATTCCTCCCTCCTTCTGTCCTGCCTTCTTTTCCTTCCTTTCTCTTTAAACCAGGTTTTCCTATCCAAGTATTTCTGAAAATTCTCAGGGAAGATCATGTAACCTCTACAGGCAGCTGATTTTAGACCTTAGCCTCAGTCTGAAGTTGTTAAAGGTGATAGTTATTAAAGCACTCCCATATTGATTCATTCTAAATGTAGATACAAGCTGCTCACTGAGAGGAGACAAGTATAGTTAGTAAAAATATCACTGTAACAAAAGAAAAGATAAAACCAAATTCTATTAATGGCTGCAAGCCTGAAGTAGATATGCCTTCCCTGACCCAGCTCCCCAGGCCTTGAAATTTCTGTGAAATGTAAAAACGAGTGAAGAAACAAAAAGTCTTCTGCAGAAGGTAATTTTGGCCTTCATGAATACATCTCTGGCATCATGGCTTTTTTCTTATATTCTGGTCATTTCAAAAAATTATATACATAGTTTAATGGATAAATTATTTTGGAAGATATTAATTTTTAAATTTCAAACATCAAATTAACACTAAAGATATAACAACATAATAGGTAAAGACATGCTAATTTATTCATTTCTATTAAAGCACCAAAAATAAATGTGTTTTTTTTTTAATTTTTGAAGCCAAAATTATACATGGCATAAATGTTTGAAACATCTTACTGGCAGGTTTTAATGCTTTAAAAATTGAATAATATATCTTAAAAACAAAAATTACAAATAACACTAGAAATAAACACATTAAATAGGTAAAAATGTACACTTTTCAATTTGATTGCACACACATACTACCAATCTATTTGGGCTAAATAATTCTGATATATTAGATTCTATGCAATGGTGTTTGAGGTTTGACCACAATGGGGAGGTTGGCTTGACACCTGTATATTGGCATCGTTAGTCCTGCCTGTTTCAGTGCTATTTTTACCCATGTCAAGTTGTGTGTTTACTTATTTATTCATTTGAATTGTTGATGCATGAAGCTAAGTAAATTCTATTTCTTAGTTTATGACATATCACCTTCATTACAAGATGTGACTCCTGTTTTAATTTATTTGATTGTGTTTCTCCTTCATCTTTTACCATCGCTGACTTTCCTTTCCTTCTACAGGCACGCAGTCTTAAGATTTTGGTAAAATGTTGTTGATCTATTACTACTACTGCCTCTGGAGAAAATGTCTAGAACAAGATGCTAAAATAAAAATGATACCCAGTGAAAGACCTGTCACTATATGTTACAAAAGGCCCCGTGTTTTCAGGGTTTGAAACTAAAAACAACTAAATACAGAACTAAAAACAACAACAATAATAATAATATAGTCACATTGAAAGAAAACCACTCCTTTTGAATGTTTTGTATTTACCATTTTAGGACAACAGAAAAAAGTTTTATTTATTTATTTTTTTCTAGAAATAACTATGTTCAAAATGAATACTTCCCACAAGGTTGACATTAACTAAACTTTCTTAATAGATTCTATAGTCATAAACTTTTATTTGTTTAAATGCCAGTATAGATATGCAGAACTTATCTTTATACATGGGCTGTTGAGGATCTGAATCATAATTGTCTATTTTAAGAGGCACAGAGAAATAATATTCCTACTGATTTACAGCAGCTTCCTCCATAAGCCTCAATTTTTAATGTGATAGTAATCACACAAGGGGTAGAGAGGAATGTAGAGTAAGAAGTATTGATATTCTATATCAACTGTATTTGGTTGTATAAAACCATAGAGACCCTCTAAGTTTTCTGACATAACAAGATAGTGTCGGTTTTCTTAAAACAGTAGAGGGTGGGTAGGGGAAGGCAGCCTCAGAAACACATACTAACATTTACTACAAATTGTTGCCTTTTAATCAAATGACAAATGAGATCTATGACAACTTTATAGAATAACAGTTCTGTTTATCTAATAAGTACAGCATATTAACTATGCTATCCAAAGTACTTTTAAAAATCCTAATGATTGCATTGATGTTGATGGCTCTAGTGTTTAAATATCAGTAACACTGCAAATCTGACAGAGGATAGTAGAAACAATTGATCTAGTTTTTCCAACTTTTTGAAAGCAAACATCCAGCTTTTAGTTTGTTTTATATTCATAATGGCCTTTTGCATGATATTAGGCAAATTGAAGAGCAGTACGTCACTATTATGCAATTTTTTTTTTTTTTTTTTTTTTTGTGATGGAGTCTTTCTCTGTCTCCCAGGCTGGAGTGCAGTGGCACGATCTGGGCTCACTGCAAGCTCCACCTCCTGGGTTCACGCCATTCTCCTGCCTCAGCCTCCCGAGTAGCGGGACTACAGGCGCCCGCCACCACGCCCTGCTAATTTTTTATATGCAATTGTTGATAACCAAATCAATTTTCATGTTTTAATTTTAGGAAAAACTTTCTCTCATATATGACCATAACTCACTAGTTATAAGATAATCTGATGGGAGTTGGAGGCTGGACTTAGTGAATATCCATTTTCACCAGGGAGCAATAAAGAGAACATGCAACTGTACTGTACTAAAAAATAGGGCACTAAAATTTGAAATTAAAGAAGACAGAAAGTGAGGGCACAATGTAAATTTACAAGTATTTTCTTCCAGAGTTGCCTAAGTCCTCTTAAGAAAGGCAGTACGTGGACATTCGTCTACTTTCATAAGGAGTCTACAAGCCAGAAAAGTATGTGTGACAATGAGGTAGAGAAAGCAAAACAGCTACAAGTTGAAGAAGAAAAATCAGTGACTATAAGACCATTAAAAAGATAATATTTTAAAATAAAAATGATAGTGTATTAAAGTCAAATGGACAGAAACATTTGTTATAGATGTAGTGTTATTAGATATCTGTGATACTAATCATCATCATCAACATCATAGCTAAAAATTACTAAGTACTTACTATTGGTCTAACACCATAATGTGTCTATCTACTTCTTCAGGCAGCTATTTTCTCCAATTTACAGATAAGTAAATTAAGACTCTCAGAGTTTCCTACAGCCTTACAATGAAATCAAATAATTTATCTTGAAGTCAGATGAAATTAGAAGTTAGACTAGAATCCTGGGTGTTTTGTTTTTTTTTTTCCTAATCCATTAGTAGAATTTAATCCTTTTTTTTTTTTTTTTTTTGAGACAGTCTTGCTCTGTTGCCAGGCTGGAGTGCAGCCATGGGATCTTGGCTCACTGCAGTCTCCACCTCCTCCTGGTTTCAAGCAATTCTCCTGCCTCAGCCTCCCAAGTAGCTGGGATTACAGGCACGTGCCACCACGCCCGGCTAATTTTTGTGTTTTTAGTAGAGACAGGGTTTCATCACGTTGGCCAGGCTGATCTTGAACTCCTGACCTCAAGTGATCTGCCCGCCTCGGCCTCCCAGAGTGTTAGGGTTACAGGTATGAGCCACTGAGCCTGGCATTATCTTTTTAATCTCCTGTTTAACTGTGACTTATTTTATTAAATCAGTTTTGACTGTCTGAAAAAATGCACTGTATTTACAGTAGATCATTTCTAGCATTAATAACGTATAGTAGTTCAAACCCTTAAATAAAAGAACATTGTTTTTGCTTATAAAACTTAAAAATATAATGTCTTTATTGAGTTAATTCTTTCTAGACATGTTCTTTATAAAATGGCACTAAGTTTATAGCTTCCATACAAAAATAGTTTTTCGTTCCTTCCTAAATACTAAATAATCTACCTCAAATTTAAACTAGCACATAAATTTCACTAAGAGGTGTCTGTATACCAATCTATTGGCTTAAGTATAGGACAGAGTTGTTGGATTTTCTCTATGATGATTTCTAAAAATATTTTGGTGGCATAGCAATAATTTGGTGAGATGGCAAATTATACAACCCTGCCGAAAGTATAATTATATATTTTATTTCTCCATGCTAAAGACTGAAGTCCAGCATATCTTAGAGAAATGATAAAAACACAGAAAATATAATCAGGCTTCCATTGTAGCTTTACATTTCACTCCAAGGATTATGCTTGAATCTATAAAATACTCTCAGACTATATATTTTTTTAAATAAAGGAGACAGTGATATGGATAATTTAAAATTGTAAACAATTCTAAAATAGTTTCGTTGGTCTGTAGTATAAATTATTTTATTTTGGAGCTAATTTATCTTCCCAGGTGTGCTTGTCTTAGGCTAAAATTTTATTCCTATTTTTGACTATGTGATTGTTGAATAATCAATTAGGTCACGGGATGACCTAAAAGTGCATGGGAACAGAAAAAAAAAAAAAAAAATCCTACCCTAGAACTCCATGGAATAGAATTGGAACAAAAGAAACGTCCTTAAAAGTGGACATATATGTTAGATATTAACAAAGAGAAAACTTAGGCTATAGGGCTTAAATTCAGCTATTCAATCTAAAAACCTTTATGTAGTTCAAGTAACTTTCATGAATACTGATGTTTTTTCCTTTCATTCCTGCCTTTCTTTACATATGAAAGGAATGATACATGGAAGCAAACAGGTTCCCCTGGTCTATTTGCCATGAACAACTTGATATTCTTCTAGGTGGTATTTACAATGAGGAAAGGAGGGAAAGATAAATTAGAGCTCTCATTTTGTTGAAATTTCATTTTAGTAATCATCCTAATTTTATAGCAAATTTCTTTTTTCACCTAGCATATGTTCCATTCAGCACATATATTTCAAAAATGTATGTTGATCCCCAATTTTGAATTTTGGTTCTTTGTCATTCTGATGAATAGAAAGATGCATTTTTAAAAGCTGTCATCTGGGAATGAGTCAATGTTCTGCAGATCATTGGCAGGTAGGCCAAAGAGTTATTCCACCAAATTATATTCCCAGCAGGAGAGGATGTAGACACTCTAACAAACTCTGGGCACGGTGACATCTGTATCTTTGGAAAGAGACCAATTTGCATACCATCTGGCACCAGACAGTTGAGCTCCTTGAAGTGGTAATGGAGAGACATTTTGGTTCTGGTAATCAGGGTTACAGCTATGTGGTGAGTTAAATGCTCCACACAGAGATGCTGACAGGAGTATTACAGCCCTGAAAACGACAAACTGGGTGATGTCAATGGGCTGACTAGAATTATTGCAACAAAAGGAAGCCATCTAAATTGGAGATTTTTGTTATTTTGGAGAATTCAGAAAGGCTTATATTTCATATTAATTCACAGTATTGAAGTTAAGTTCATCCTTTGAACATGTTAGTTTTTAAGACATTATTCTTGAGACTCAATAAATAAGCATAGGGATGTTCTTTCCTAGGTGCAGCATACTGTGTGTGTAAGTAACAGCTTGAGAGAAAATTACAGTCATTAGGGTGCAATGGTAAAGAGTTTTTATTTCTATTTAATTCAAATTAAATCTGATTCAAAATACATGGGGAACAGGGATGGTTGTTGCCAGGAATGCTATTAAAGCTTCTGTTCAGCATTTCTGAGGACCCTTTATTAAAACGAGAGTGACAGTATCATCCTATCCAGTGCTGTTCTGTTTGCTATCCCTTCACAAAGCCCTAAACACAATTGCTTCTGGTTTAAAATCGGGGATCAGAGACAGCAGGCAAGGTAGTAGAGGCATGAATATAAATATTTACATATTAGAGTTTATAAAAAAAATAAAACTTTTACCATTTACAATATTTTGCTTATAAAATATTGTATAAACTCTGCACTTGGCTTGTGACACCTGCGTTTTTATAATGAATTAATTTTATTTCATTAATTTTATTGTTTCTTTATACAATGAATTGATTTTATTTTATTGCGTTGCCACGCTCATACTAAAGTAATTTTTATATAAACTTCTACTAACTTCTAGTAAAAAATACTTTATGTACTTGTTTTAAATTGTTTGCAACAATTCATGCTATTTCCTGCCCATCATCGGTTGTGATAATTAATTCTGTCTTACAATTTATGGCGCCTTTATTAACACCAACCAGAGATGTTACTTATAGCAAAGCACCCTATTTCTTCCAATCTTCTTTCTTTCTTTTCTTTCTTATTATCTTTTTGTTTTCATTTTCTTTTATTCCAGAAGCAGATTTTATAAATTTCCAATTGCTGCTGTAGAAACTTGCTATAAATTTAGTGGTGTGAAATAACACAAACGTAGCATACTAACGTTCTGGAGGTCAAAGATCTTAGAATCAGTGTGTGAGCAGGGGTGAGTTTTTTATGGAGATTCGAAGAGAGAATTTATTCCTTTTTTTTTTTCCAGTCTATAGAGGCTGCCTACATTCCCTGGCACATGTTCCTCATCAGCAATAGCACCTCTCTGACCCCTGCTTCAAATGTCTCCCTCTTATAAGGACCCTTATGATTATACTGGGCTCATATGGATAATCCGGGATGATCTCCCATCTCAAGGTTCTTAACTTAATCACATTTGCAAAGTCCTCTTTGTCATGTAAGGTAACATATCCACTGGTTCTAAAGATTAGGACACAGACAACTTTGTAGGCATATTATGTCACCTACCATATACATAGAAAGAACTAAATGATTATATCAGAAGGTATCAATTTCCACCAATGTTAACTGCCACTGTATTCTGACAGATGGTGTAAAACTGTCACAGTTAGCAATGTTCCCTCCCAGGAAAGGAAACAGAAGTCACACTCCTGCCTCTAGAGAGTCATTGATTCTCTTATGCATGAGTCTTATTGAGCAATATTCTGAGACTGTAGGAAAAAAAATACTCTCTCTTCTCAAGAAGCTTAAAACCTACCATAACAAAAAGGTAGGTAAATAAGTAATTAAAAGGAAGGGTAATGTGGTAACGTCCATGAGTTTACTCCAATATATCAGAACACAGAAGACAGAGAGACTACTTCCACTCCGGGTCATCAGTGAAGACTTTATTTTTATTTATTTATTTAGCAAATATTTGTATCGCTCTTACTTTGTTCCAGACATAATTCCACATATTTTTCAGACATTACCATTTAATTATTCTACCAATCATCTGTGAAACTTTATTATTATCATCCCAATTTTACAGATGAAAATATCTGGGGTATAAATAGAAGAGTTAAACAAGGTCACATACCTATAAAGAGGTTTGAACCTAGGCAGTTTAGCTTAATAATTTTTTATAACTACTGCACTAAGCAGCCATGTTCAGGTGAATATCTATGTCTCTAGAGTATCCATTTTACACCAACATGTTTATAGATGACCAAAACTCCAAATCACTGGGCCATGTCATCCAAGAGCTTCTTAAACTTTCAAATACTCTTAACATGAATCTTTGAATTTAGCACAAATGTACAGCTCAGAAAACCTTGATTTGAGGAATTTTAGCTTATTAACAATTACCTATCAGGGTATTCAGTTAGTTTCATGTCTGGAACTTCCTCTCTCAGTTCTTGGAATATGTTTTGATTTGGTGATGTTTTGTTGTTTGTTTGTTTGTTTTGAGACAGGGTCTCACTCTGTTGCCCACACTACAGTGCAGTAGCATAATCATGGCCGACTGCAGCCTCGGCCTCCTGAGCCCAGATGATCCTTTGGCCTCAGTCTCCTAGGTAGCTGGGACTACAGGCACAGGCCACCATGCCTGGCTAATTTTTGTAGTTTTTGCAACCATGGAGTTTAGCCATATTGCCCAGGCTTGTCTTGAACTCATGGGTTCAAGTGATCCACCTGCCTCAGCCTCCAAAAGGGAATATGTTTTTCTCTTTGTGAGAATTATTAAGCTATATATAACTTCACGATACCAACAAGCAAGAAAACAAAGTGGTAAATACTTACAGTCAGAAAGCTCTGGATATAAATCATATCTCTGCCATTTGCTAGCCATGAATAAAGACATACCCAAGACTGGGCAATTTACAAAAGAAAGAGCTGTATTGGACTTACAGGTCCACATGGCTGTGGAGGCCTCCCAATCATGAATCAGAAGGCAAGGAGGAGCAAGTCACATCCCACATGGATGGCAGCAGGCAAAGAGAGAGCTTGCGCAGAGAAACTCCTGTTTTTAAAACCAGATTTCATGATACCCATACACTATCATGAGAACAGCATGGGAAAGACCTTCCGCATGATTCCATCATCTCCCACCAGGTCCCTCCCACAATACATGGAAATTACAGGAGCTACAAGATGAGATTTGGGTGGGGACACAGAGCCAAACCACATCATTGCACCCCTGGCCCCTCCCAAATCTCATATATTCACATTTCAAAACCAATCATGCCTTCCCAACAGTCCCCCAAAGTCTCAACTCATTTCAGCATTAACTCAAAAGTCTAAAGTTCAAAGTCTTATCTGAGTCACAGCACCATCTAATCAGCTGCCAGCATGGCCAGGATATAAAGCAGGCAGAAAAATGTGAAAAGGCTAGACTGGCTTAGCTTTCCAGCCTACATCTTTCTCCCATGTGGAATGCTTCCTGACCTTATACATCAGACTCCAAGTTCTTTAGCTTTGAGACTTGGACTGGCTTCCTTGCTCCTCAGCTTATAGATGGCCTATTGTGGGACCTTGTGATTCTGTGAGTTAACACTACTTAATAAACTCCCCTTTATACATATATCTATCCTATTAGTTCCATCCCTCTAGAGAACCCTAATAAAAACAATATAATATATTCAAAATTATACACATAGAAATCTACATTGCCAGAAACATAGTAGATAATAAATGCAATGTTTGGTTTAACACTTTAATTGAACTCCTATTATTCCCTTCTAAAATGTTATTTGTGATAAAAGCTTCACCAATGGTAACAGAAAGATAGAAGATAACAAATTATTGGCATATCAGTGTTTGATCAAGAATTCTAACTGTTTCAAGATAACATCTAGTTATTTTACCCTGGGCCACAATAATTATTTGACAAAAAAAGTTATAACTCATGAATTATTTTTTATTAGATAGGTTTGTGCCTAAATTTGCCCACTGGTTGTGATGAAAGCAGTTAAATTGATCGTTCTTTAGGGACAATTGTATCTTCAACAAAATATAAACTGAAAGTAGTATAATACCCAATTTCATTGAAATTAGAGTTTCAGAATTTATATACGTAATCTAATGAATAGTTGCTGGCTGAATCAAAGAAATTACTTTAGAAAATTTAAAACAGTTCCTGACATCTGCTCTTGGGCCATTATTTAATTAACTTTACAGCAGGAGGGGTAATTATTATAAAGTTAATTGATCAACTAGGCCTTTCTACCAGCAGGTAAGAGCTGATTTTCCAACTGCAAATAGGTATGAAAAATTTAAAGCACATGTTCAGGCAGTCCCAGAATTACATACATAGCCTTTCTAATACCAATCATTTCATCTAGTATTTTTTTTTGAAATTTTAATGCAAAACACTTTACAAAAAGGACCACATTCAATTGACAGATTAAAATCTATGTTTGGCTTTTTAAAAATATTTCCCCTCTGCCTCATTTTCCAGATGAGTAAACTGAGGTTTAGATAAGTTTTGTTTTTTTTTTTAATTGCTCAATCATATAGTTAGACATTGGCAGATCCAGGACTTGAATTCAGGTATGGGCATTTCTAAAACTCATTTAAGGCTATTCAGTTTTTAATGTTTTTATGAATAAGCACAAAAAACATTATCTCTATAGATAATCACAGGAAATGTCTTTTCTGGTCTGCTATCTATAGGTGTTACTTTTGTCTCCCAAAGCTATCATACTGTGTCTGGAATTGGTTCCTTCCAGTGGGTTCTTGGTCTTGCTGACTTCAGGAGTGAAGCCGCAGACCTTCACAGTGAGTGTTACAGCTCTTAAAGGTGGCGTGTACGGAGTTGTTTGTTCCTCCCGGTGGGTTCATGGTCTCACTGACTTCAGGACTGAAGCTACAGACCTTCGCAGTGAGTGTTACAGCTTTTAAAGGTAGTGCAGATGCAAAGAGTGAGCAGCAGCAAGATTGTATCGTGAAGAGTGAAAGAACAAAGCTTCCACAGTGTGGAAGGGGACCCAAGCAGTTTGCCACTGCTGGCTCGGGTGGCCAGCTTTTATTCCCTTATTTGGCCCCACCCACATCCTGCTGATTGGTCTATTTTACAGAGACCTGATTTGTCCATTTTACAGAGAGCTGATTGGTCCATTTTACAATCCTTTAGCTAGACACAGAGTGCTGATTGGTACGTTTTTACAGAGTGCTGATTGGTGCATTTACAATCATTTAGCTAGACACAGAGTGCTGATGGTGCATTTTTACAGAGTGCTGATTGGTGCATTTACAATCCTTTAGCTAGACATAGAGCGCTGATTGGCGCATTTTTACAGAGTGCTGATTGGTGCGTTTACAATCCTCTAGCTAGACAGAAAAGTTCTCCAAGTCCGCACTCAACCCAGGGAGTCCAGCTGGCTTCACCTCTCATAATTAAACCTAAGATTTTTCTCAAAATACTATTACTAAAGTCAACCTCAAAATTAATTTCAAACTAATCTCAAAAGTATATTAGCTCCACAAATAAAAAAATAAGTATTTTGAATCAGATTTTTTAGATTGTAGTAGGAACACTATACATGAAATACACTCTCCTAACAAATTTTTAAGTGTGTAACACAGTTTTGTTAATTAAAGGTACAATGTTGTGCAGCAGATCTCTAAAATTTAACCACCTTGATTAACTGAAATTTTATATCCATTGAATAGCAACTTCCCATAAACTGCATGATTGGATTTACCACAAAGATTACTTACGTTAGACTTCAGCACAGTCTAAAATGAGGTATCTAAAATAATCAAATAGACGGTGTATTATCATTTTGATGTGCCATTGAATTATTTTGCTAGTATTTGGTCAAGGATTTTGTGTCTATATTCATCCAGGATATTGGTATGCAGTTTGTTGTTGTGTCCTCATCTAGTTTTGGTATCGGGGTGATAACAGAACTCATAGAATGAGTTATGGAGAATTCCCTCCTCCTGTGTTTTTTTTTTGGAACAATTTTGGGAGGATTGGTATCAGTTATTTGCATATTTGGAAAAACTCAACTTTGAATCCATCTGCTCCTGGGCTTTTATTATTGTGTTGGAAGAATATTTATGATGGATTTAATCGAGTTACTTATTATTGGTCTGTTCAGGAGTTCTATTTCTTCGTGGCTCATGCTTAGAAAGTTGTGTTTTTCCAGCAACTTATTAATTTCCCCTACATTTTCTAGTTTGTGAGCCTGTAGTTGCTCATAGTAGTCTGTAATGTCTTTTTCATTTTTGATTTTGTTTATTTGGATCTTCTATTCTTTTATTGGTTGGTCTAGCTAGCAGTTAATCAATTTTATGTTTTTGAAAACCGACTTTTTGTTTTGTTGATCACTTGTACTCTATTTTTGGTCTCAATTTCATTTAGCTCTGCTCATTTTTGTTATTTCTTTTCTTCTGCCAACCTGGAGTTTAGTTTGTTCTTGTTTTACTAATTCCTTGAGGTGTGAGGTTAGGTTGATGACTTGTGATTTTTTTTCTTCTTTGATGTAAGCATTTAATGGTATAAACTTTTCTCTTAGCGCTGCTTTTGCTATATCCCAGACATTTTGGTATGTTGTGTTTCCATTTTCATTCATTTCAAAAAAATTCTAAATTTTGTCTTAATTTTTTCATTGACTCAAAAATTGTTCAGAAGCATGTTATTTAATTTCCATGTATTTTTATAGTTTCTAACGTTCCTCTTGGTATTAATTTCTAGTATATTCTGCTGTGATCTGAAAAGATACTTAACATAATTTTGATTTTTTCAACTTGTTGAGACTGATTTTGTATCCTTACCTATGATGTATCTTGGAGAATGTTACATGTTCAGATGATAAAAATTTATATTTTTCAGTTGCTGGATAAAATGAAATGTCTACCAGATACATTTGGTTTACAGCCAAAGAAATAATCAATAGAGTGAACAGACAGCTCGCAGAATGAAAGAAAATGTTTGAAAAACTGTACCTTAGACAAGGGATTGATAGTCAAAATTGACGAGAAAAATCACACAACTCAACCAAATAAATAAATAAATAAATAATCCCATTAAAAAGTGGGTAAAGGACATGAACAGACATTTTGCTAAAAAAGACGTACAAATGGCCAGCAAGCACAGGAAAAACAGGTCATCAACCCTAGTCGTTAGAGAAATCCAAATTAAAACCATAATGAGATAACATTTTATACCAATCATAATTATTAAAAAAAAATTAATAGAGGTTTGCAAGAATGAAGATAAAAGGGAATACTTGTACACTGTTGGTGAGAATGTAAATTAGTACAACCTTTGAAAAAAACAGTGAGGTGATTTCTCAAAGAACTAAAAAGAGGACTACTATATGATCCAGCAATCCCACTACTGGGTAATTACCCAAAGGGAAAGAAATTGTTACCTCAAAAGGATACATGAACTCATGTTTATTGCTGCACTATTCACAATAGCAAAAATATGAAATCACTGTATGTTTACATCAATGGATTACTAGATTTTAAAAAATATGTTGTACATATGCAGAATAGAATGCTATTCAGCCATGAAAAAGAATGAAATCATGTCTTTTGCAGCAACATGGATGGAACTGGAGGCTATAAGAGAAATAACACAGAAGCAGCAAGTCAATTACCACATACGTGGAAACTAAATAATGGGTATTCATGGGCATAGAGTGTGGAACGATAACAATGTAGACTTGGAAGGGTTGGGGGCTGGGAACCGTATAAAACAAGAAACTACTTAACAGGTACAATGTGTGTTATTCTGATGATAGACACACTAAAAGCTCTGAATTCACCATTATACAATATATCCATGTAACAGAATTACACTTCACTTCATAAATTCATACAAATAAAATAAAAAGTAAAAATAAAATGAATCAAACACAGAAAAGCAGAGAGTAAACAGTGGTTGTCAGGAGCTGGGGAGAAGATGAAGTAGGAAGCTGAATCACATGTTTTTAAAGTAAAAGTTGAATCCACAGCTAACACAACAGCAAAGTCATTTATTGTCTTTAACAAGAAATTGTTGAGTTGATAATAGGCTGATCATTTCTATCTGTCATCAGAATCAGAGGAGTGTGGAATGTAAGATATCAAGCATTATAAGTATATTTGAAAAAGCATCAAATTAATTGGGAAAAGAAAAGCCCAATTTTTATTTTACAGCGAAAAAAATCAAAATAAGTTTATAATACAAAATACTTTTATGTAGGTAAATTCTAAAAATGCTCTCAACTGCACAGAATGATGCCTCAGAGTCAGTAAGAAAACTGGATCTGAAAAAGGCAAACTACATAAACATAACTACTGGCATCTTAGCACGTAAATTTGAAATATGACACATATTTTATTAATTACATATATATTTTTCAAAAACCTATTTTTTTCAGTCTACCCTCAGATTTCAAATCGACTTGCATTAGCCTTTTAAGATGACTGACAAGGATAAGCCAATTATTTTTATTGTCCCATGTTGTCTCATATGAAAAATAAAATGAGATTTTTCAATGATATTTGTATGAGCTGTGTCATGCTATAGTTACAAAAGACAAAACAAAAGCCTTGAAATCTCAGTGGATTCAAGCCACAAAGTTTTCTTTCCTGCTCATTTTTGTTCATACCTCATGTCCAGTATAATTTAGCTAGGGGCACTTGCACCAAGCTACCCTCACTCTTGAACCCAGAGTGATAAAACAGCTACTACCTGGAAAATCATTTCCATCTCAGAAGGAAGAGACAGTCTAGTGCATGATAACTTGGATAAACGTCCATCTAGAAGTGATTCGTGTTCTCCCTGCATTAAGTTTTCTGGTCAAATCAAGAAATATGACCATTCCCAAATTCAAAGTAAAAAGCAAGTGTGAGCCTATCAACTTGCCAAGGAAAAGAAGCAGAAGTGCTTTCAGGCAGCATCAGAGACTATAACAATTTACCTTCTGGGTTGCCAAATATGCAGTTTATGCTCCTTTCTACATTTCAGAACATAAAGAAAAACCAAAAATTATACTTAATCTCTGCCTCAGGCGCAAAGTCTAATGTCTGAGCATGATGACTGGCTGTGTCTTCATTTGATTTGGTTGCCATTCCTCTTGGTACAGAAATCTATAAACTTAAAATCCAATTTGTTTGCTTCCAGTGCTCTTAATATATGATGATGAAGCATCAAAAGGAAACTCACAGTAAATATTCCATTTGATAGAAAAATGATGGGAGAAGCAGCAGTTACTTATGCATAGAAAATCTATAACCTATTTGCATACTATGCAAGATCCTCTACACTAGATTATGAAATGTATCATTATTAGGTCCTAATTCTTCTCCACTGAAGGCCTCCCCAGTCTCTTATGCCCTGGCTCTACATTTAGGTAATTCCTCCTTTCTGATTTGCCAGATGCCATCATCATTCTTCACAGAACTAGAAAAAAACAATCCTAAAATTGATATGGAACCAAAAAAGAGCCCTCATAGCCAAAGCAAAACTAAGCAAAAAGAACAAATCTGGAGGCATTACATTGCCCAACTTCAAACTATACTACACAGCTATAGTTACCAAAACAGCAGAGTACTGGTATAAATATCAGCACATAGTGCAATGGAAAGAATACAGAACCCATAAATAAACCCAAATACTTATAGGCAACTGATCTTTGACAAAGCAAACAAAAACATAAAGTGGTGGAAAGGGCATCCTATTCATCAAATGCTGCTGGGATCATTGGCAAGCCACATGTAGAATGAATCTGGATCCTCACCTCTCACCTTATACAAAAATCAACTCAAGATGCATCAAAGACTTAAATCTAAGACCTGAAACCATAAAAACTCTAGAAGATAACATCAGAAAAACTCTCATAGACATTGGCTTCGGCAAAGAATTCATGACCAAAAAGCAAGTGCAACAAAAACAAAGATAAATAAATGGGACTTAATTCAACTGAAAAGCTTGCACAACAAAAGAAATAATAAGCAGAGTAAACAGACAACCCACAGAATGGGAGAAAATAGTCATAAACTATGCATCTGACAAAGGACTAATATCCAGAATATACGAGGAACTCAAACAAACCCAGAAGAACAAAGCAAATAATGCTATTAAGAAGTGGGCAAATGACAGGAATAGAGAATTCTCAAAAAAAAAAAAAAAAAAAAAAAGGATATACAAACAGCCCACAAACATATGAAAAAATGCTCAACATCACTAATTATCAAGGAAATGCAAATTAAAACCACAATGAGATACCACCTTGCTCCTGCAAGAATGGCCATAATTTAAAAATCCAAAAATAATAGATGCTGAGATGCATGTGGTTTTTTACCACATCCTTAATATTTCCTTTTTAGGAAACACTTTTACACTGCTGGTGGGAATGTAAGCTAGTACAACCACTACGGAAGACAATATGGAGAATCCTTAAAAAACTAAAAACTAACTTTTGATCCAATAGGAAATGAAAACCAATTATCATACAAGAAGAGGGTGGCTGCTGTAAAAATACCTAACCTGTAGACATGGCTTTGGAATTGGGCAATGAACATAGGCTGGAATAATTTTGAGGAGTATAATAGAACAGGCTCACTAGAAACATAGCCAGATTTTATTAAAAGGAATAGAAAGATGAAGTAATGAAAAAAGGTGTTGACTTCCAAAATTCTAAGAGCAGGAAACAGGCTGGTAAAACTACTAACCTACTGTGCCATCCTTCATGAAAAAAGGAGGACAATTATAAGGAAAGAGCCACTACTCTCAGGATTATTCTCAGGCCTTTAAATTCAATGGAGTTTTCCATCTGAGATTTTGAAATTGGAATTGGTGTCTCCTTTATTCTTCCCTTGTCTTCCTTTTTTAATGTGAATGTCTATAACTTGTGTCTTATTCCTGTCCCATCATTGTATTTTAGGAGCAGGAAACTTGTTTCCTAGTTTTATAAGTCTAAAGATAAAGGAACATTTTCCCTGTGGATGGATTTTACCCAGATTCTCACCCATACCTGAGTTAAATGTTTTAGGTAATGAGATCTGAAACTTTGAGCTAATAAAATTTAGATGAGTTTTTTTTTTAACTTTTAGTTGATTCTGTAATTAGTTGAGACTTTTGAGAATATTGGAGTAAATAAGGTGAAAGTATTTTGCATGTGGATTGGACATGAATCTTTGGATACAAGGGGATCCTAATGCTGCAAATTGCAACCTCTTCCCCTAGGGCTACAAGTTCATTAGATACTGACCTGCTTTGTTATCATCTCAAAAACTTCACCAACATTTTCACCACTACATAAGATAGATGGCATGTTTTCCAACATCCATTCATCATTTATTCACTAAGATAGGCAGAATAATGACTTCCAAAGATATCCACATCTTAATTCCACGGAACTCTGATTATGTTACCTTACATAACAGATGGGACTTTGTATATGTGATTAAGGATCTTGTGGCAGAAAGACTGTCCTGGATAATTCAGGTGGACCACTGTAATCACAAGATTCTGCAAAAGTAAAACAAAGGCAGGATAGGCAGAGTCAGAGAAAAAGATGTGAGAACAGAAGCAGAAGTCAGAATCCTGAGAAAGACCTAACCGGCCATTGTTGGTTTTTAAAAAGAGGACAATAAACCAAGGAATTTCGTCAGCTTCTAAAAGCTGGAAAAGTCAGGATATAGATTCTCCTCTAGAGCCTCTAAAAGAAACAGTTCTGCTGCTACCTTGATTTTATCCAATAAGATCAATGCTATACTTCTGACCAAGAGAAATGTAAAATAATACATTTGTGCAGTTTTAAGCCATTAAGTTTGTAGTAGTTTGTTACAGCAGCAATAGAAAATGAATACAGTGGGAACTATACCTTTGGCCTTTTTTTTCCCTGTGCTATTTTGTCCAGTTGAATGGACCTAATACACACCACTTTAATCCATTTAACTTTTTCAAGTACCAATATTGTACTTCTAACACTAATTGGATCTGAACAGAAAGGCTGAGGTTCAAATAGACTTCCGTGCTCAAATTTTTTATAATATTTTATTTTATATTGTATTATTTTCAAATATGTTACTCTTAATCTCATTCATTTTGAAATAATATCCAATATTCAGTGACATCTCATTTTTTCAAATTATTTCAAATGTCTTCTATCACTTTTATTTTACTTTATTTACTCGGTAATTGACAAGCATCTATCTTTTGCAAACTTGCAGGTACCTAATTTTGTGATTTTTCTCTATTCTCTTTCATTTCTAGTTGCAAACTGATCAATTCTTTCCTCCTTTCATCTCTTCCTTTTAATACATCGCCAAATATAGCCAATAGCAATCAACATATGCTTCCAACCCTGCACATCCCAACTTCTTCCCTCAAAGCTGCAGGTTCATTAGTAATTGACCTGCCTTCCAAGCTATCATAGCAAAAATGTTACCAACATTTTCGCCATTACATAGCATAGATTGCTTGCTTTCCAACAGCCAACCATTATTTATTCACTATCTACCAGTCAGACCCTAAACAAATACCACATATTTAAGTGTTTCCCCTTATGGGAACATTCATTTATACTAGGTTAAGATGTACAACAAACAACTTAATGATGTAAGCACTGAAGGTTAGTTTTTTACTCAAATTTTATGTCCTATGAAGGTTAGCTAAGGCCTCTTCTCTAAGTCATTCTTATTTTGGGACCTAGGCTGAGAAAACAAGAAGATATTTTCTGGAATATTTCCTGGGTACTCTGTGTATCACTTCTTTCTCATGCTGCTAATAAAGACATACCCGAGACTGGATAATGTATAGGGAAAGAGGTTTAATTGGCTCACAGTTCAGCATGGCTGGGGAGGCCTCAGGAAACTTAAAATCATGGTGGAACTGGAAGGAAACATGTCCTTCTTCACATGATGGCACGAAGGAGAAGTGCCGAGCAAAGGGGGAAATACCCCTTGTAAAACCATCAGATCTTGTGAAAACTCACTCATATAACAAGAACAGCATGAAGGTAACCACCCCCATGATTAAATTACCTCCCACCAGGTCCCTCCCATGACCTGTGGAGATTATGGGAACTATAGTTCAAGATGAAATTTGGGTGGGGACATAGCTAAACTATATCACTGTGGCAGAGAAAAAAAATGTAATGGATTATTGCTGTTTTAAAAATCTCAGTTCATAAATGATACAAGTCACTTCTGTTAACATTTCATTGTCCAAAGCAACCTAGACCATAGAGCTTCCCAATTGCAAGGTGGCAGGGAAGAAGGCCCAGACATAACTGATATGGACAGCAATCATGACTACCACATACATTATTTGAATGAAAGTTGTGATACTCATACATTTAGTTTTCTGGTTGAAAATGAAAAGCAGACTTTTTAAGAGAAAATTTAGGCACTATTCATAACTGCATAATACCAATATTCAACTGTGTGATGTTCTGAAATGCAAAACACAACAACAGAGTTTCTTTGTACTGTATGATACAGAATCTTAATGATAAAACCATTACTTTGTCTATGCTTGGATTACTTTTACAATGCAGTTAGTCTCATATTCCAAGAAATTTAGAGGAAGTCATTAAAATATCATTTTTATACAGTACAATATTTATATGAAATGACACTGTTTATCATGCAATATTGCTAATGCTTTAGAAAATGAGAGTGTAAACTACAGTTTTACCACATTTATTTACATCTGTATGAAAAGATGCTGGACTATCTCATAAGGAGATCATTTTCATATAAAAATTAGTTGCATAATAACAACCTTATATGTGAAAGCAAAGTCAGAGTTTTCTTTTCAGAAAAGTGGAAAGGGAATATAATGGTGCATCAGGAAATTAGTTATTTTGTGGTTTTTATTTTAGGGTCAGTACTATTAGTGCCTGTCCCACTGGAATTCCCAAGCACTTGTCTGAGCCACAGTGGCATGGCCTTTGGTGAGGGGTAGAGAGAGCACCATGTTGGACAGTTTCCACATTGGTATACCATGGAAAGTATAGAAACTTTCCAGAATGAGCCTATGAATGGCCTTGTGGTTTACTATAAAGCTACATAATCTACCTATAATTTGGAAATTATAAGATGATAAAGAAAAGAAGGAAGGTAATTGTCACAGAAAAGACAAAGAATTCGTATTGTTAATAATTCATATTCTACAGTGTTAGCAATTTTATAGCATCTTTCAGGCCATTTTATGGACTTTCTTGTAGGAAGAACTTATCATTTTGTAAACAACAAGCTGTCAGAATCAAAAAGGAAACAAATTATATGAGCGACGCCAAACCTGAGATCACCACAGAGTGCAAGACTTATTAAAAATCCATGATTCTATAAAGGGCTTGTAAGAGACAGAGAGAGTAATAAATGAACGAATGGCAAGAACCTATAGTGAGCAATTACTCCTGTAATGATGCCTTAGTGACCTCTAATAAATGCTTAATTTGTTTCTTGGCAGGAAAACATCGTTGGAAGGCCTAAGGTGATATGGTCAAAGTAATATGAACAAAAAATTGCTTTTTAATAGCTACATAATGAAGATTGCAGGACTTTAAAACATTGAAATAAACTCTAATATTTCACATTGCTGTTTTCCTATTCCGTATTCCAAAACTACAATAACGGTGCAACTTTAGTATTTTTGCCATCTATATTTTTAAACAATATTCTTCTAACTCTTCATACTTATTGGAATATGTGAATAACTTTAAGATATACTACTTAATATGGCTTAATATTCCTAAACACAGTGACAAATTTTACTAAATTAATAATTCATAAATATTAGTTTTAGATACACTTAACATGTTTCTATGCCTAAATTATCTTCTATATTTATCATATTCTACCATTCTTGTACTAATTAAAATATATTGTCAAAGAAACTGTCTGCTTAAGGAAATATAACTCTTGCTTTTTTTCTTAATATTTAACTAAGGAAAACTATGAAAAAGTTATATATACACCTGTACACTTTTGATACTGCTTGTCCTGAAATTTTACTTATGTTCACTTCTTTATGTTGTGGCTTCTGAAGAACAAAACATTCCGCAAGTTAGAATTCATGCACAATTAGGTCTTGTTGGGTATATTAGAAGGGTCAGTGTTTAATAAAATCGTTTTCAAAGCCAGACCTTATCTCTTCTTCCATGTTCATGGGTAAAAGCCCAAGTGTCTTATCAGAGGATTCCTTTGTCAGGGAATCTCTGAATGAATGAGCTTCTTATGCATCCCTGATGCTTTCTGATCAATCTCACTGAACGTCATTGCAAGTCCTCTGTAGCTGTACCCAAGTCAGCTTTTAATTTTTATCCTTTGTCTTCATCTTTGATTTAGTTTTGCCATTTTCGAAAGTCCGTCTTGGTCCAAGAGCCCATAGTTTCCTGTCTGCCATTAGTTTCTAATTTCATGTCTTACTGATACAGGTTCATCTACCCCACTCAGATTAGCTCTGGATTCTGGGCTTCAGCTCAGGCCTGTGGTGCTCTTATTCCTGAGAAGGATGTTTAGGCAAGGAGATAAGAAAAGTCAGGTGATTCCACCAGTACCTACTGTCAGGCCTCTGAGCCTAAGCCAAGCCATCGCATCCCCTGTGACTTGCAGGTATACGCCCAGATGGCCTGAAGTAACTGAAGAATCACAAAAGAAGTGAATATGCCCTGCCCCAACTTAACTGATGACATTCCACCACAAAAGAAGTGTAAATGGCCGGTCCTTGCCTTAAGTGATGACATTACCTTGTGAAAGTCCTTTTCCTGGCTCATCCTGGCTCAAAAATCACCCCCACTGAGAACCTTGTGACCCCCACTCCTGCCCGCCAGAGAACAAACCCCCTTTGACTGTAATTTTCCTTTACCTACCCAAATCCTATAAAACGGCCCCATCCTTATCTCCCTTCGCTGACTCTTCGGACTCAGCCGGCCTGCACCCAGGTGAAATAAACAGCCATGTTGCTCACACAAAGCCTGTTTGGTGGTCTCTTCACATGGACGCGCATGAAATTTGGTGCCGTGACTTGGATAGGGGGACCTCCCTTGGGAGATCAATCCCCCGTCCTCCTGCTCTTTGCTCCATAAGAAAGATCCACCTACGACCTCACGTCCTCAGACCGACCAGCCCAAGAAACATCTCAGCAATTTCAAATCCGGTAAGCGGCCTCTTTTTACTCTCTTCTCCAACCTCCCTCACTATCCCTCAACCTCTTTCTCCTTTCAATTTTGGTGCTACACTTCAATCTCTCCCTTCTCTTCATTTCAATTCCTTTCATTTTCTGGGAGAGACAAAGGAGACACGTTTTATCCATGGACCCAAAACTCCGGCGCCAGTCACGGACTGGGAAGGCAGCCTTCCCTTGGTGTTTAATCACTGCAGGGACACCTCTCTGATTATACTTACACGTTTCAAGGGTGTCAGACCACGCAGGGACGCCTGCCTTGGTCCTTCACCCTTAGCGGCAAGTCCCTCTTTTCTGGGGAAGGGACAAGTACCTCAACCCCTTCTCTCCTTGTCTCTACCCCTTCTCTGCTTTTCTGGGAGAGGGGCAAGTACCCCTCAACCCCTTCTCCTTCACCCTTAGCGGCAAGTCCCGCTTTCCTAGGGGGCAAGAACCCCCCAATCGCTTATTTCCACGCCCCAACCTCTTATCTCTGTACCCCAATCCCTTATTTCCGCACCCCAACCTCTTATCTCTGTGCCCCAATCCCTTATTTCCGTGCCCCAACCCTTTCTCTGCTTTTCTGGAGGGCAAGAACCCCCCACCCCTTCTCTGTGTCTCTACTCTTTTCTCTGGGCTTGCTTCCTTCACTATGGGCAACCTTCCACCCTCCATTCCTCCTTCTACTCCCTTGGCCTGTGTTCTCAAAAACTTAAAACCTCTTTAACTCACACCTGACCTAAAACCTAAATGCCTTATTTTCTTCTGCAATGCCGCTTGACCCCAGTACAAACTCGACAGTAGTTCCAAATAGCCAGAAAATGGCACTTTGAATTTTTCCATCCTGCAAAATCTAAATAATTCTTGTCGTAAAATAGGCAAATGGTCTGAGGTGCCTGAAGTCCAGGCATTCTTTTACACATCAGTCCGTTCCTAGTCTCTGTGCCCAGTGCAACTCGTCCCAAATCTTCCTTCTTTCCCTCCCGCCTGTCCCCTCAGTCCCAACCCCAAGCGTCACTGAGTCTTTCTAATCTTCCTTTTCTACAGACCCATCTGACCTCTCCCTTCCTCCCCAGGCTGCTCCTCTCCAGGCCGAGCTAGATCCCAATTCTTCCTCATCCTCTGCTCCTCCACCCTATAATCTTTTTATCACCTCCCCTCCTCACACCTGGTCCAGCTTACAGTTTCATTCCATGACTAGCCCTCCCCAACCTGCCCAGCAATTTACTCTTAAAAAGTTGGCTGGAGCCAAAGGCACAGTCAAGCTTAATGCTCCTTTTTCTTTATCCCAAATCAGATAGCGTTTAGGCTCTTTTTCATCAAATATAAAAATCCAGCCCAGTTCATGACTTGTTTGGCAGCAACCCTGAGACACTTTACAGCCCTAGACCCTAAAAAGTCAAAAGGCCGTCTTATTCTCAAAATACATTTTATTACCCAATCTGCTCCCGACATTAAATAAAACTCCAAAAATTAAATTCCGGCCCTCAAACCCCACAACAGGATTTAATTAACCTCGCCTTCAAGGTGTACAATAATAGAAAAAAGTTGCAATTCCTTGCCTCCACTGTGAGACAAACCCCAGCCACATCTCCAGCACACAAGAGCTTCCAAACACCTGAAGCGCAGCAGCCAGGCATTCCTCCAGAACCTCCTCCCCCAGGAGCTTGCTATAAGTGCCAGAAATCTGGCCACGGGGCCAAGGAATGCCCACAGCCCAGGATTCCTCCTAAGCCATGTCCCTTCTGTGTGGGACCCCACTGAAAATCGGACTGTTCAACTCACCTGGCAGCCACTCCCAGAGCCCCTGGAACTCTGGCCCAAGGCTCTCTGACTCCTTCCCAGATCTTCTCAGCTTAGCGGCTGAAGACTGACGCTGCGCGATCGCCTCGGAAGCCCCCTAGACCATCACAGATGCCGAGCTTCGGGTAACTCACAGTGGAGGGTAAGTCTGTCCCCTTCTTAATCATACAGAGGCTACCCACTCCACATTACCTTCTTTTCAAGGGCCTGTTTCCCTTGCCTCCATAACTGTTGTGGGTATTGACAGCCAGGCTTCTAAACCTCTTAAAACTCTCCAACTCTGGTGCCAACTTAGACAATACTCTTTTAAGCACTCCTTTTTAGTTATCTCCACCTGCCCAGTTACCTTATTAGGCTGAGACACTTTAACTAAATTATCTGCTTCCCTGACTATTCCTGGACTACAGCTATATCTCATTGCCGCCCTTCATCCCAATTCAAAGCCTCCTTTGCGTCCTCCTCTTGTATCCCCCCACCCTAACCCACAAGTATAAGATATCTCTACTCCCTCCTTGGCGACCGATCATGCACCCCTTACCATTTCATTAAAACCTAATCACCCTTACCTCACTCAACGCCAATATCCCATCCTGCAGCATGCTTTAAAAAGATTAAAGCCTGTTTTCACTTGCCTGCTACAGCATGGCCTTTTAAAGCCTATAAACTCTCCTTACAATTTCCCCATTTTACCTGTCCTAAAACCAGACAAGACTTACAAGTTACTTCAGGATCTGTGCCTTATCAACCAAATTGTTTTGCCTATCCACCCTGTGGTGCCAAACCCATATACTCTCCTATCCTCAATACCTGCCTCTATAACCCATTATTCTGTTCTAGATCTCAAACATGCTTCTTTACTATTCCTTTGCACCCTTCATCCCAGCCTCTCTTCGCTTTCACTTGGACTGACCCTGACACCCATCAAGCTCAGCAAATTACCTAGGCTGTACTGCTGCAAAGCTTCACAGTCAGCCCCCATTACTTCAATCAAGCCAAAATTTCTTCCTCATCTGTTACCTATCTCGGCATAATTCTCATAAAAACACACGTGCTCTCCCTGCCAATCTTGTCCGACTGATCTCTCAAACCCCAGCACCTTCTACAAAACAACAACTCCTTTCCTTCCTAGGCATGGTTAGCATGGTCAGAATTCTTACACAAGAGCCAGGACCACACCCTGTAGCCTTTCTGTCCAAACAACTTGACCTTACTGTTTTAGCCTAGCCCTCATGTCTGCGTGCAGCGGCTGCCACTGCATTAATACTTTTAGAGGCCCTCAAGATCACAAACTATGCTCAACTCACTCTCTACAGTTCTCATAACTTCCAAAATCTATTTTCTTCCTCATACCTGACGCATATACTTTCTGCTTCCCGGCTCCTTCAGCTATACTCACTCTTTGTTGAGTCTCCCACAATTACCATTGTTCCTGGCCCAGACTTCAATCCGGCCTCCCACATTATTCCTGATACCACACCTGACCCCCATGACTGTATTTCTCTGATCCACCTGACATTCACCCCATTTCCCCAAATTTCCTTCTTTCCTGTTCCTCACCCTGATCATGCTTGATTTATTGATGACGGTTCCACCAGGCCTAATCGCCACACACCAGCAAAGGCAGGTTATACTATAGTACAAGCCACTAGCCCGCCTCTTAGAACCTCTCATTTCCTTTCCATCGTGGAAATCTATCCTCAAGGAAATAACTTCTTAGTGTTCCATCTGCCATTCTACTACTCCTCAGGGATTATTCAGGCCCCCTCCCTTCCCTACACATCAAGCTGGAGGATTTGCCCCACCCAGGACTGGCAAATTAGCTTTACTCTACATGCCCTGAGTCAGATAACTAAAATACCTCTTAGTCTAGGTAGATACTTTCACTGGATAGGTACAGGCCTTTCCTACAGGGTCTGAGAAGGCCACCGCAGTCATTTCTTCCCTTCTGTCAGACATAATTCCTCAGTTTAGCCTTCCCACCTCAATACAGTCTGATAACAGATGAGCCTTTATTAGTCAAATCAGCCAAGCAGTTTTTCAGGCTCTTAGTATTCAGTGAAATCTTTATATCCCTTACGGTCCTCCATCTTCAAGAAAAGTAGAATGGACTGAAGGTCTTTTAAAAACACACCTCACCAAGCTCAGCCACCAAAAAGGACTGGACAATACTTTTACCACTTTCCCTTCTCAGAATTCAGGCCTGTCCTCGGAACGCTACAGGGTACAGACCATTTAAGCTCCTGTAAAGACGCTCCTTTTTATTAGGCCCCAGTCTCATTCCAGACACCAGACCAACTTAGACTGTGCCCCAAAAAACTTGTCATCCCTACTATCTTCTGTCTAGTGATACTCCTATTCACCGTTCTCAACTACTCATACATGCCCTATTCTTGTTTACACTGCCGGTTTACACTGTTTCTCCATGCCATCACAGCTGATGTGATGAAACCTACTATAATTGAAATGATGGTAAATTATAAACATGATAACTTCAGAATCCCATGAGGGAACAGGATGGCTGAGGTGGGAACCCAATCGCCTAGACAAGCATTTTTAGAACACTAGATGCTATATGGAAATATATGCCCCCCTGGATTTACAGACTCAGGAAACAGACTTGGTAAAACTCATTAATTATAGCTATGTTATATGAGGAGCATGGATAATGTAAAAGAAAGGGAAGAGGATGAACAATAATTCTAAAGTAAGTTATAAGTAATTCAAAGATGAGAGGGTTATAAAACCCTTGACCAAGGATTATGAGTAAATTTCACTTTTAACTGACTCAATGGCATAACGCCTTTCCAAAGAAAACCATAACAAAGACCAAATTGGAATTCAACCTTGGTTTAAAATCCAAAACAATCTTAGACCTTAGACCCATAGCATTCGAATATATTTAAATTTTCATGCCTGTCGGTGTGAAGAGACTACTAAACAGACTTTGTGTGAGCGATAAAGCTTTTAATCACCTGGGTGCAGGCAGGCTGAGTCCGAAAAGAGAGTCAGTGAAGGGAGATAAGGGTGGGGCCGTTTTATAGGATTTGGGTAGATAAAGGAAAGTTACAGTCAAAGGGGGGTTGTTCTCTGCCGGGCAGGAGTGGGCATTGCAAGGTGCTCAGTGGGGGAGATTTGAAGCCAGGATGGGCCAGGAAAAGAACTTTCACAAGGTAATGTCATCACTTAAGGCAAGGACCGGCCATTTTCACTTCTTTTGTGGTGGAACATCATCAGTTAAGGCAAGGACCGGACATTTACACTTCTTTTGTAGTGGAATGTCATCAGTTAAGGCGGGGCAGGGCATTTTTACTTCTTTTATGATTCTTCAGTTACTTCAGGCCATCTGGGCATATACGTGCAAGTCACAGGGGATGCGATGGCTTGGCTTAGGCTCAGAGGCCTGACATAAATGACATACTAAAAAAGCTCAGAGTTATTTTAATTTAAACTTAATTATGAATCATCTCAGTATTGGTCTGGGTTCTCCAGAGGAATAGAATCATATAAATATATATACACACATAGAAACACATACACCCAGCCCTATCTATGGACCTCTTGTCACACACACACACACACACACACACACACACACACACATATATATGCATACACATACACACACACAGAGATTTTTTTTTATAAGGAATTGGCTTATGCAGTTATGGAGACTTAAGTCCCACAACTTGAGATCAGCAATCTGAAGGCTTAGGAGAGCCAATGCCATCGAACTAGTCTGGAGCCTAAAGGTCTGAGACAAGGAAAGCTAATGGTGTGAATTCCAGTCTGAGTCTAAGTCTGATTCTGACTTTGATAGCAAGAGAAGACTATTGTCTCCACTTGAAGATAGTCAGGCAGAGAGAACTGTGAAAGGAAAATAAACCTTGGGGCCCCAAAATCACTAAGCAAAAGGGAAAAGTCAAGCTGGGAACTGCTTAGGGCAAACCTGCCTCCCATTCTATTCAAAGTAACCAGTCCTCTTACTGAGATAAATGCATGGTTGATTGCCTCCTTTGGAGAGGCTAATCAGAAACTCAAAAGAATGTAACCATTTGTCCCTTATCTACCCATGACCTGGAAGCCCCCTCCCTGCTGTGAGTTGTCCCCCCTTTGCTTTGAGTTGTCCCAGCTTTCCAGACTGAACCAATGTTCATCTTACATATTTTAATTGATGTTTCATGTCTCCCTCAAGTGTATAAAACCAAGCTGTGCCCTGACCACCTTGGGCACATGTCATCAGGACCTGCTAAGCCTGTGTCACAGGCATGCATCTTCAATCTTGGCAAAATAAACAATCTAAATTAACTGATACCTCTCTCAGATATTTGGGGTTCACAGAGTAAATTCTCCTTTCTCAGACTTTTTCTTCTATTAACGCCTTCAGTGGATTGCATGAGGGTCACACACGTGTGGGAGGGTAATCTGCTTTACTCAGTCTACCAATTCAAATGTTAATCCTATCCAGAAACACCTTCACCCTCACCCACACACCCAGAATAATGCTCAGTCAAATATCTGGAGCCTCCTATGGCCCAGGCCACACAAAATTAAGGATCACAACCTCCATACAGAGATGAGGTCTTAAATTGGAAATTGTGTCTTACTTTTTTCTGAATGTATAGCTCAATCACTTATACTCACACACTGATCTATCCAAAAACAATTTCGTAAGTATTTCCTTTGTCCTTAGAATTTATCTAAGTGAAGGAGAGAAAATAATTCTGCTCTGCCTGAGAGTTTTTGTCTGTGGAATAGGAAACACTAAAAGGTTGAGGGACCGCAATAAAGTTAATTTTCTTTCTGTGAATGAAAGACAGTGTGCTCTCTCCAGCACAATAATGGTGGCCCTTGAGGATCATACTATAGATTACACAGAGACATTCACTCAACGATATTTATTTTTGGTCTTCAACTATCATAGTGTTGATAGTGATGTGTGAGAAAGAAATGTAGAGTGGCAGTTGGAATGTTTGGGCTGTAACTACTTACTAGGCATTATTTTTGTGGCAATCTTTATAAACTTCTTGAATACACATTTAAAAACTTATGCTAGTCACACATGCATGACACGTAAATTTGAAAGCATTCCACATTATAATAATAAAATAAGTACAAAATATGCTGATCAGAACTATCTTCTTATTTTGAGGGGTAAAAGGAGAGTATTTTGGTGTGTAATTTTTTAGATCTTTTCTTTTCGAATAATTTCAGATTTACCAAAGAGATGAAAAGACAGCATAGTTTTCACTCAGCTACCCCTAATGTTAACACTTTACATAACTATGGTACATATATTTTGGAAATATCCTCATATAAACAAGTAAATCTGTAATAAAAATGAACTTATAAACATTGGCATAAGTGTGAAATCAGCAGCCTGCCTGGAAGCTTAAAAAAAAAAAATGAGTCTCCTAGACTAAGGAATGGATTATATGAGTGAAATTTCATTAACAAGAGAAAGCATTTTAGTACCCTTTAAGGCTTTCAGTAGTGTATAAAAAGTTATTTAGAAACCAGGAGCCACTTCCGCATCTCATTTACCTAACTGATGAGAGATAAATGAGCTCAGCATTTAAAGCACAGCCTGGAGGTATTGTTTTACACATGAACTACAGTCTAACTCCACTAAAAGACAAGAGAATCATTAACTTTCTGCTACCACAGTGCCAGCAGCAGTCACTAACCTTTCCTACCATAAATAGTTTCAGAAATAATAATAGAACAATTATAAATCCTGATTTTCATCACTGGTTTAGTGAATTTTTATAAATCTAAGCCAAAACGCTATAAATGTAATACTTTATTATGTGTAAACAGGATATTGTTATTTATTTAAAATGTCATTAAATCTCACTGTGATAGTGCGAAAATAATTTTTACCACCTCTTGGGAGCTCTTTTTGATGAAGCAACTGAGAGATAAATATTCTGTAGATTGCTTTAAAAACAGATGAAAGTTTCATTTGATGAGAAGCGTGAACATCACCATCATTTGGGTAATGTTGAAATCAGACTTGAGGCTATTGCCAAGACTAGAATCTCCCTTGCTGATACAAAAGCTGGTGATAAAATGTCTACATTTAAAATGAGATAGAATTAACATTAATTTGAAAATACGAGAATGCACTCCAGTCCTCAGCCCTGTAAAGAATCATGTTGCACTCACCCGGCAGTGAGACGGGTGGCATTAACATTGCACACCAGCACAGTTTACATGAACTACTGATTTAAGTCTTACCTTCAGGAAGTCTCATGACAGCTAAATGCTGCCAAATGCTGACACAGAGTTTTATCTGTGTATTTGCTGTTTTCACCTTTCTTAGTAAAGCATCTGTAAGCACTGTGCAAAACAGTATGTAAAGCAATCTTATTAAATTTATTATAATTCATGGATTTTTTATTTTCTAACTATATAACCATTGATAGGCAAATTATAAGAATTTTCTTTCTCCTTTTCTATGCACATGATCTCTACTTTTGTTTCTTTTTTTCTTTTCTCTATTTTGTGTTTGATTTGTTTTATTTTGTTTCTTTTGTTATATTGTCCTGGCTAAACCCTATAGTGAGATGTAGAACAAAAGTAATGATAGGGGTGATTTTTCCTTTGTGCACTATCTGAAGTAGTGGGAAAAGAAAGAGGGCAGAAGGGAAGAAAGTTTTCATATTTTACCATCAAATATGAATGCTCTTAGATTTTTGCAGACAGTCTTTATTTCATAAAAGACAATTCTTTGTACACCTAACATACTATTAATTGTTTTTAAATTATGAATGGGTATTGAATTCAGCAAAGGCATCTTAAAAACTTATTTTGAGATAATCATTTTTAATCTTTTTTGTAGTTATTATGGTAAATAGCATTGACATATTTTTTATGTTAAATCATTCTGTGAGTTTGCTTTGTTATCTTGTTTAGGATTTTTATAACTATATCATGAGAGAAACTTTTGGAATTACAGAGTGGGTGATATCCTTGTCAGATTTTACAATCAAGATTGCGGTGACCTCATAAAAAAGAGCCATTTTCCTATAATTCAGAAGAGTTTGTTTAAGATCGGGGTAATTTATTCAGAAATAAATGGAAGAATACACCAGTGGAGGCATCTGGTATCAGGATTTCATTTGTGAGAGTTTTTTTAAATGCATTGAATATATGTTAGGAATTTAATATAGTTGACACGATTCTGTTTTCACATTTATTCTTCTACATCTTTGGGCCCAATTGAACCCTTTCTTGAGTATTGAGTAAATAACTAGGAGTGTGATTTCTGGATTGTATGGTAAGTCTATGTTCAGCTTCATGTAACACACAACCAAAACGTCTTTCAAATGGTTACATTTTCCCCCTCCACCTCATCAGCTTGGATGATACAATTACATTTTCATGCAGAAATTCTCCTATCTGATTCTCTCTGGCCATAAAAAATGAGATTTCTTTTTTTTTGAAATAATGATCAGATTCCTGGGTAATGCTCAATGAGATGTTGTGCTTTCCAAACCAAAGAGGATCCTAGCCTAGTTAAAGCCTGAGGCCATTTAAAAGCAATCTCCTTATAATTGTCAGCTTATAAAATTGAGTAAGACTATTCAAATTATGTAATGCTGAATGTAAAATGACACTATGCAATTAAAGGTTAACTTCTAACTCTAGAGGTTTTTTTAGTAAAAAAGAAAAAATAATAAAGTTTTGATATTAGAATACTTTTTCCAAGAAGGTTAATCGGAATTTTTTTATTTTACTTTTTGGCTTCCTTAAAATAATTTGTTGTCTTTTGCTGAATTGTTGGATAGATTTCCTATTCTAAGTGTGTGTGTGAGTAAATATATTAGTAAAAAATACACTCCTCTAATGTAAAGTACCTATTTTTTTTTTTTTTTCAGTTACCATGATTTTTTTTCTTTCTTCCTATCTCTAAAAATGTTTACAGTTCTTTTTGTTGCTAGGGTTACTTTTTTTTTTCTGCTCTAATTTCCTTTTCTAAAAGTATCATTATGACTTCTAATTCTTTCTGCCACTATTCATCTCTTATTTGTCAGTGTTCATTCTCGTTTCTTTTACTAGACTCACATTCTTAAGAATCCATTTTGCAGTTCCAGTTTCTAAAGCCAAGCAATATATTCACCTGAATCACCTTCAGTTTTAATTGCTCCCCCACACAATGAGTATTACGGTATTTGAGCATGCTACTGTAGATGATATCATCTATTTGAGAATAACTTAAAACTTCAGATGAACTGTACCTGAAAATATTTTGGTTGAGACTAGCCAGAGCTAACTTATGTCAGAACAGGCTGTCATTATGAGACTAATGGGAACAAAAGTAATCACTCTTTGCCCTCAAATATTTTTCATATTCATAGAATATTTCTTGCATGAATTACTTATTAATCATACTTGAGACATGTCAATACCTGAATTCCTATTACAACATAGAGAAAGGGAAAGAAGAGGAAGGTTTCAGAAATAGCAATGTCAGTTGTAAAAATGTGGAGTAACTATTTTTTTTCCACTGTTGCCAGTGGTTAGCCCTTTCTGAGCCACTATTAGTGCTGTCAAATGTTTACAGCCATGCCTCTGGAGTGTCACAGACTCAGCCAGCCTCTTGCTACTGCCTGTACTCAAGTGCTTTGTCCATTAGAGCTTCTTTCCAGCATTTACAGTTGTGGTACACTGCCTGAACTCATGCGTTTGTGTGCCTTTAGAAAGCTTTTTAATGATATTTGAATAGTGGTACCTCTCAGCTCTGCATATGTTTAAAAAATAAGTTAGTATAGTTAAAAATGAGATGTGGCTTGGCAAATTAAGAAAAGGAATTTGTGGTTGTATTAATTTTCTCAGGCTGATATAATAAGATACCATAGACTGGGTAACTTAAACTACGAATGTTTATTTCTCAGTGGTCTGGAGACTGGAAGTCCAAGATCAGGGTGCCAGAATGGTCAGGTTCTGCTAAAGGCCCTCTTCCTGGCTTATACACAGTCACCTTCTCACTACATCTTCACATCTCCCAGAGAGAGTTCTGGTCTCCTCATCCGCTTATAATGCACCAATCCCATTACAGGAGCACTATCCCCATGACTTCATCCAAATCCAATCAACCTCTCCAAGGTCCCACCTTCAAACATTATCACATTGGGGATTAGGACCACAACATAAAAATTGGGAAAAGGGGGACAGAAATATTTAATCCATATCAGTGGCCATATTGTAAAGGTCTTATGTATCATTCTTTTCTGTCCAATATTTGAAATAAGTGTTAAAGTAGAGGATATTGTGCTCAAATCTGTGGAAAGGAAGACATAGAGGATGAGACATCACAAGAGATCTCTCAGTTCAGGGATAACTGAGACAATTGGGAAAAGAAGCCTGCACTGATAGAGCTATGGAGTGGAGGAAAGTAATTTCATATTTAACATAGGCAGAATAATAAGAATGACTTGGTAACAACTGATACGAGGTTGAAGGAAGGCATTTCAAAAATGTTTGAGCTTTTGTGTTTGGACACCTCGTGAATAATAATGTCATTGGCTTCATTTAATGAAACAGGAAACACAGGAAACTTTAGGGACAAATTTACTTTGGCCTTTTTAGTTTTGCTTATTTAAGAATGTCTATTGCTGTTAAGAAAATCTGCATAAGAGAATAATAGCACACACAAATCATGTCTATATGAGTTAAGGAGCAAAGATGAAACCATGGGATGCACCAACTATTGAGATACGGCTGGAAGAAAGCCAGAAAGACAATGATCAGTGAGCTGAAGGGTGGGTAATAAAATAATGTGTTACAGTGAAGGAAGAAAAGCATGATCAATGTTATCATTCTATAGAGCAGCCTAACTAAATAAAAGGCAATCACTGGATTTAACGATTGCAGGTGCATGTCTATCATATTAAAAACAGAAATCATATCCAAGTGAGTTTACTAGAAAATAAGAAATGAAAGAAAATAAGTGGTTTTGTAGGTTCTCTAACAAAGTTTGTTTATAGAAGGGAGAAAATGAGGGTAGCTGCTTACAAGGAAACATGGTTGTATGTTTAGAGGACATGTTTGTAGATTGAAGGTGAGATTAATATTTCTGAACAGTTGGAAAAAGTGAACGTAAACAGAGGAAGGGTCAGTTTCTCTGTTCAGAAAAAAAGATATAGGGAATGATAAAGATTGCTGGAGGAGAAGACGGATGGACTGCAAATGGTTTGATGAGTGTGAATGACATGCAATGGGTTTATGAGACTTGAAGAGAATATAACATATCCACTGGATGATGTATAATTCAAACAAAAATGAAGCCCCACATGCCAGCCCAAGCATGGAGTTGGATGGGACAAAATAATATCTAGCAACTGAAAGTAATGAAAAAAACATTGCTGTTTACTGTCATCTCTCAGATAATGTCAAAGGGTAAGAAACATATTCTCTTTGTTCTGAACAGCTTTATCAAATTTTATACTTCTGTCATTAGAAATATCTTTCCCTTGAATCACAACCGATTTCCTCAAAATCTCTCCCCTACAACTCTGAATTCCTACTGGTTTTTTTTTAGCCACGATTCTTTCTACTCTTTTTTGAGTATGCAGGCCCTTTTCAATGATGCTCGATTTATGTGTTTGTCTCTTTCTTTTTTTAAATGGAGTCTTGCTCTGCTGCCCAGGCTGAAGTGTAGTGGCATGATCTCGGCTTACTGCAACCCCAGCCTCCTGGGTTCAAACGATTCTTCTGCCTCAGCCTCCCAAGTAGCTGGGACTATAGGCACGTGCCACCATGCCCAGCTAATTTTTGTATTTTTAGTAGAGATGGGGTTTTACTCTGTTGTCCAGGCTGGTCTCGAACTTCTGACCTCATGATCTGCCCACCTCGGCCTCCCAAAGTGCTGGGATTACAGGCATGAGCCACTGCGCCCAGCTGGGTGTGTCTCTTTCTATTTGTTGTCCAAAATTCATGATGCTCTCCTTGTTTTTATCTCTATTTGTTATCTTAAAACTACATCACAGGACAGGTGCAGTGGCTCACACCTGTAATCCCAGCACTTTGGGAAGCTTAGGTGGGTGAATCACTTGAGGTCAGGAGTTCAAGACCAGCCTGGTTGGAAGGGTGAAAACCCGTCGCTACTAAAGATACAAAAATTAGCCAGGCGTGGTGGCAGGCACCTGTAACCCCAGCTACTCAGGAGGCTGAGGCAGAAGAATCACTTGAACCCAAGAGGTGGAGGTTGCAGTAAGCCAAGATCAAACCACTGCACTTCAGCCTGGGTGACAGAGACTCCATCTTACAAAAAAAAAATAAATCTACATTACAAAAAGCCCAAAGGCATAGCAGACACAAAGCAGGTACTCACTAGATGTGGATGAGGATATAGAATCACAATAGAAAAACATAAGAATCTTCTTGATCATAGAGAAAAAAAGTAGACTGAAAATATGCAAATGTAGATATCTTTACCTTGTCAAAGATGGGAAAATAAGTTAATGTTCCAAAAAACATGTTCATCATTTTCTTCTAGAGTTGCTAAAATATTAATAACTCTTCAAGGGTAATTCAAAAACTATATCATTCATAATTTGGGTATATATGTATCTAGAATAAATTACTATGGTATTATATCTTATTAAATTCTCATATATTGCCTCATAAGTCCTACCACATTCCATCAATATACGTGGGTGGTGTAATTTTTAACTCCATGAGGGTATTTGTAAAATCATATTATTTGCTGCAATAATAATAGCTTCTTAAGTATCTGATATGTGCCAGAACCTTCAAAGCATTTACTCTTCAGAACAAACCTAAGTTGTTGTAGAACTCTTATTACCTTTTACAGATGAGGAAATGACAGCATAAAATTAAAAGTAATAAGCTCCCCGTTGAATTGATTCGATTGATGATACAGAACCATAGTAGGCAGAATAGTAACTTCCCCCACCCAATTAAGATGTTCATGGCTTAATTCTCACAACCTGTAAATATGGTATATTCCATCTAAAAAGGGATTTTGCACATGTGACTAAGTCAAGAGTCTTGAGACAGGTAGATTATACTAGATTTTCCAGGTGGTTTCAGTGTAATCACAAGAGATTTTATAAGAGGGAGACAGGAGAGTCAGGGTCAGAAAAGGAGATGTGATTAATGACCCAGAGGTCAGAGGGACTTTAGAATTCCCTGCCTCTCCCAACCTACAGGTTCCAAACCTTATGAATCTACTGTAGCTGATCTAGATACACTTCAGGTCTCAGCTGAGAACTCACATCCTTCTGAAGGTAAGCATTCTTTGACCCACCAAAAAGGAGAAAGTGTTTGTGTCTCTTGTCTGTCCCCACAGCACTCAACACGGTCTCCATGTTGTGCTCCATTCCACATTTCAGAAGTGCAGAAAAATATGAGTACCAAAATTCCTCTTTGGGAGAGTACTGCTTTTTGCTTTTTGCTTTTTTTTTACTATTGGCAAAAACTACATTGACAAACTATGCAGAGTGATTCCAAGGAAATTATCACCAGACTGTTATACATGAGTCTATGAGGGAAATTTATTTTATTTTGCTAAAGGGAAAAGAGGGAAGAATATAAGGAAAAGAAGATTATAAAACAGGGGTGCAGTTAGATGATTCCAGCTGCTATACATTTACTTGTCTGTGCCCTAACATATACCAACAAGTGTACAATGAGTACCTCCAGATAAAGTCATTGATAATTTTGAATTCTCTTTTTACTTCTTTATATTATTAAAAATTCTAAAATGAGCATTTTTACTTTTGAAACTTAAAATAATTACAGGTGTATTTATTTAAAAAACACATATTGGATCTTTACTATGTGTCAGGCATTTTCCCAGGTTCTGGGAATAAAACAGTGAACAAGAGAGACAACATCAGACATCGAGAGTAGAATGATGGTTACCTGAGGCTGGGAAGGGTAGTGGGCAAGTGGGGAGGAAATGGGGATCGTTAATGGGTACAAAAAGTACAGTAAATAAGATCTAGTATTCAACAGCACAACAGAGTGACTATAGACAATAATGATTTAATTGTACATTTTAAAATAAATGTATAATTGGATTGGGTAACACAAAGGACAAATGCTTGAGGTGATGAATATTCCATTTACCCTGATGTGATTATTATGCATCATATGCCTGTATCAAAATATCTCTCATGTAACCCAGAAATATATACACCTACCACCTACTATGTAATAAAAAAATAAAAAATTAACATAGACTATGTCCCTGCTTTCAAGAAGCTTGCATTTTAGTAGGAAGTGTAAAAAAAAAAAAAAAAACCTAAAAATAAGTAAGGCGGTATCAGATAGTGAGAAGTTAATAAGTAGTATACTAGAAAATACAAAGTGATATACTAGAAAGTAAGTCTAGTATATCACTATACTAAATATAGTGGTTACAAAAGGACCTTTTCAGTGAAAAGAAGGCATCATTCAGGTGAAGACATAGGGAGGTGCGTTCCAGGCATGGGGAACAGCTAATGTGAAGTTCTGACAGCAGAAAAGTCAGGGTATGTTCTGGAAGTAAAACAAAGACCAGTGTGGATAAATTGTGATATGGAAGGAGACAGATGGGTAAGATAGGAAGTAGAGTTAAGCAGGGGACAGATTATGTAGGACCTTAGAGTCCAGAATGATGAATGTAGATTTTATTCTCCATGTAGTAATAATAAATTTATTATAAGCATTTCCCAATTTTACTAAGCATTCTTCTAAAATACCATTTTAATGGCTTCACATTATTCTGTCATATGGATGTGCTGAGATTCAATTAATCATTCCCTTATTATTGGATATTTAGCTTATAAGACTTGGGCAAAATCCAACTTGAATCAATTAGTGAAACAGAATGAATCCACCTTTTCACCACTTCAATCAAATGCCAGTTAGTAGCAATTAGTACTCACTGAAGATGATATACGATCCTGAAAATTCTAATCAGGTAAGAAATATGCATTATTTTCCCCGATATAACTTATTTTGACATGTGTGAAAAATAGTAGATGCTTAAATTAATCTCATGCATGTTTGCGACCATCTCTGGAGAGCTATTACAAATCTAATAAGTGAATATGCTAGTATAAATAATGTGATAATTTTAAAAGAGTTTTATTTGAAATAAATAGAATATTCATTTCACAAAAGAGAGCCTCAGGAGATATAAATGTAAGCATAGCATATGGATTATTTGAAAGAATAGTAGAGAAGATGTTTATATTTATAGTGAGGGCCAGCCATCATTTTAAAGGGAGCTATGTTACCATGGGACATGTCTACCATGGTCAGGGATCCTGTCCTGCCTATCACTTCCGGATTTCTGAGGTTTGAATTGCATCTGCAATAGCTGCCAATTTCTCTTCCTCTGTTCACATATTTATTGCTATTACCTTGTGATAGTTGGGCAAAGCCTACTGACCCTGTCTCACAATATTGATTTTAGCTGTATTAAATTAAATACACAGGATTATAAAGGAAATCAATCATTGAAATGTAGTTTCATCTGTCTTCTCAGGACTCTGATGTAGACCTACATTATCAGCACTTCATGGATGATTTCTAAATTGTAGTAGAAGACTCCTCTGACCCTTGGCTCAAGTAGATATATATGTATTGTAAAGAATATTTATGACCATATTGTGCAGTGTGTTTATAAAAATTGGTCCCTCAGGCTACAAAAGCCTGGATGTATAGTCAGTGTACAAGCAAATTTAAAATGCCTTACTTTGTATCTGGGCTCAAGGAATCCCAACCCAATCCAGCCCATTCATTTACTTTGATTCAGTGGTTGATATTGTGGGTCACAGGAAGTCCTTATATTTTTGTAAAAGCTGTCATTCTCTGGGTCTCATATGTATTGGAATGCAGCACCAAATGAGCTGTCATGTTAGTTCTGCAAGGATGCTGGTTATAAGGAGGGATAATTTCTGTTATGGTCACTGCAGGTGCTGAATTCCTACAGCTGTATCTGTTTCACTGATCCTAAGGCTAGCAAACCCTGTGTTCTGCTGGACTGGAGTTGCTAGAATGGTTCACACACCACTCCTCACATAGAGGTGCTGTGCCCTTTCCCACATTTCCCTTCTCCTCACCCCACATCAAAAACTCACTCAAAGAAGTCACATTGCACACACCTAGACTCCAGGTCAGACCATATCTGCCCATAGACTTGAGCTTTTTTTGTTATTGTAGACTTGATTCTGTTTTCTGGGGTCTTGTTTTTGTTGTTGTTGTTTAACTTCTGGCACCTTCACAGATCAGGAAGCAATGTTTGTTCTTCTTCCCCACTGTCCTCCACGGAACTCCTCCATACTGTCTCCCAGAAGCCTGTTTTTATGCTTACTCATTGTAGTTATTGGTCAGCTCCTTCTCTCAACACTCAAGCAGCAAACTAGATTCAAAACTAATTTTTCATGGCATTTGAGACTAAATAGCTAAGTTTGAGTTGGATAATCTCACATACTATGATCAACTCTTGCTTTATCTGCCAGTTCTCCTCACACCAAGTCTTTTTTTCCTTTCTTTTTTTTTTTTTTTTTTTTTTTGAGGCAGGGTCTCACTCTGTCACCCAGGCTGGAGTCTGTCACACGATCACAGTTCACTGCAGCCTTTACCTACTGGGCTCAAATGATCCTCCCACCACAGCCTCCTGAGTAACTGAGACCACAGGCATCTGCCACCACACCTGTTTTTTTGTTTGGTTGTTTGTTTGTAGAGATGGCATTTCACCATGTTGCCTGGGTTGGTCTCAAACTCCTGAGCTGAAAGTGATCCTCCCACCTTTGCCTCTCAGTGTTGGGATTACAGAAATGAGCCACCACACCTGGCCCACAGACACCTTCTAATATGCTTATGTGCATGTCCACATTAGTGAATGGAAGAATGCTTTCTTCTGTCTCTATGTGAGTATCTACTATTGGAATTGTAAAGATTGGAATATATATGTGTATTTGTAAGGATTTTTTTCTTTATAGATATATGAGGATCATAAAGAAGACATGCGCATCTTTTTCTGGGTAACTGTGTCTCTGCTAGAGTGCCTCTGGGCACGCACATAAAAACTAGCATGCTTTAAAATCATTCTCATTGAGAAATGAAACAGAAAACTGAAGGAAGAACAGAGCTTCTGAACATAGAATAAGAAAGCAAGCCAGTACTTTGGAGTCAGATGATCCTGAGATCTCCTTCATCTACTAAGTGCTATGTAGCCTCAAAAGGTTATTCAGGGCTTCAAATTACCTGCAGATAAAATATACATATAATTATTTGAGGATGAAATACTTGGCACAGTGTAGGGAATCAATCTATATAATCAATAAATGGAAACTTCCTACCTCAGTCAGCAAGTGTTGCTTTTTAAGATCTTAAATGCTTAGTGATCAAATTTGTATAAGTCCATAAAGATAGCAACTGTTATTGAGTTCTTAATATATAGGAGGTGTTCTCCTCAGTGCTCCAAATCTTTTATATTGTTTGATATATGTAAAAATCTATAAGATAGGTATTTCTGTTATTTGTACTTTGCAAGTGAGTAACCTGAGGCCCAGAGACAGTAACACGATGAAGATGACAGAATAACAAGCAGAGGAGCTGGGTTTGAGCCACAGCAGTCTGGATCCAGAGCACATGCACTCTTACACTCTTACTCTATATACCAAACTACCTCTTACAAAGGAGGCAGAATTGACACGACTTGGCAGGATGCAGAAGATAGAGATGCTTTCCTACAGACCCAGTTTTGGTGAATTAAGGAGTAAAATAGTCTCTTCTTAGAGAATAGTGAGTCTGTATCACACAAGAATCAGGACTGTTTGAGTAAGATCTTAGGGGCTCACTCTGTGTTCCTTAAACAAAGGGCTAGCTGGATTTCAGGAGACTTATTTTCTCAGCTAGAGAGCAAACCAAACTCAGTTTTTCATAGGATCAGTGGTGCCCTCCTTTTGGCATGTAGCATCCCAAGGACTTTGTTTCTCAGCTGTCCCTTGATCAACAGGTGCAGGTTACCTGGCTTTCCCAGACACTCTGTTAGCAAGCAACACCCTTTAATAGAAATTATCTATGCCAAACAGCCTATTTATTTTCTCCTGTGCAGATCTGTTCTTTGAATGTCTTCTATATGAAGAGATCCACAGGTGGAAGTAGTATTAGAATGAATCTCACACTCCATGGTATGATGGGAAACTTGGGACTGCTTCTATTCTCTGCCTTGTTGATTCCAACCACAGAGATGATCCGTTAGACCACACCTGGCCACATCCTATGCACAACAGGTGACACTTCTGAAAATATCCACAATGCATGAGAGTTTATCAGCAATATAAGAAAAGAGAAGACAGTTCTCTTTAGCCACTGAGTGGCTGAAATGACCTGCTTATGTGAGCAGGTTGATGATGATGATAGGACCACATCACTTTGCAGTATAAAAACCATTTCCCCATCTATTATGATATTTTATCTTCAGGGAATGCAATGCAAATTATTCACATATAACAGCTGAGAGAACTAGGACACTAAGAAATAGAGACATTTCCAAGTTTGACTGCTAGTAAATTCAAGAATCAGCACAAGCCTTCTGATTATATTATATCATGATGCCTGAGAAATATCAGGCAATTAATTCAAAACTATCAACTCAAAATATCAGTTTAGAGATGGGTCCCAGATAAATGGGAATCCTGTGTGCAATGAATTATAATATTAGCTAAACATAAACAAGATATACATAAATTATAACTAGTCAGGGCAAATTGCAACTTAAATGCTGTATGTTTCCTCTGTACCAGTAAAAATATGAAGGTCAGCTGAACTGAGAAACCTTTCCATTAGAGCGTATTTGAATGCTGTTTAGCATAATTCTGCTACCAGCATTATTTTTCTTTCCTGTCAGATTGACTACTATTTTTTAGTTACCAAGATAATTTGATAGTCATCTAATTAAATAAAAGGAACAAAAAGGAACAAACACAGTACTGTTTTCCCCAAAACCAATGTTCTTTAATTGCTCATTGTTCTTTATCTTTGTAGTCAATGTAAAGAGTTGCCTCTAAGTGGACCTTTTTATAGGTACATATCTTCTCAGCCAGGTTCTCCATCTTGGCACAAAAAGGCTGCATACACAAATTGAACATGAAGTTAATGCCAATGGTATGGACAGTAGTTTTATAAAAACTGAAGTACTTTATCATGCCGTTGTTGCTTGTGTCATTCTCTTTGCCACACATAGACTTTTTTTTTTTTTTTTTTTTTTTTGAGATGGAGTCTCACTCTGTCACCCAGGCTGGAGTGCAGTGGCTCGATCTTGGCTCACTGCAAGCTCCGCCTTCCGGGTTCACGCCATTCTCCTGCTTCAGCCTCCCAAGTAGCTGGGACTACAGGCACCCGCCACCACGCCCAGCTAATTTTTCGTTTTTTGTTTTTTGTTTTTTTAGTAGAGATGGGGTTTCACCGTGTTAACCAGGATGGTCTCGATCTCCTGACCTCGTGATCCGCCCGCCTCGGCCTCCCAAAGTGCTGGGATTACAGGTGTGAGCCACCACACCCATCCTCACAAAGACTTTTAGTCAGTATTGAAACAATTGCCAAAAACTGCTAAAACTCACGTCTGAGTACTTTTGATCCCTTGGACACTAACATTTTAACTGGACATCAGTGAAGACCACTGACTTTTTAAGGTTCATCACAAGGGACTGAGTCTGATATCATCTAGCCTTTAAGCCTTCACCACATGTAAATAATGACTCTCCTTGTGTGCATTTCTCTACTGGATTTGAAGGGGTCAACACATTTTCACAGGAATAACTAGTCAGGAAAGTAAAAAGTGATGCATTTCTAACACAGATTAGTTTACTCTTGAAATCCTGCGATGATACTTTCTCTGCCATCAGCGAAATACTATACGATCTTTTACACTGACATAGAAAAAATGTTTTTTAGTAACTCATTTATTCATTGAGCTACCCTTTATATATAACACTATGTATATTGTTTATATGTATGTTATTTATATTTTATATCTATATTATATGCCACTTTTGTTGAAAGAGTTTGAATTCTGGATACTCTATAACTGGTTCACTGGATTCTACTGATGATCCAACAACATATATTTTGAAATAAATAGCATGAGTCCCAGATTGACATTATTATCTTTTAAAGAGGAAATAACAATAAAATATTAGTATGTTATGGCCAGGCATGGTGGCTCATGCCTGTAATCCCAGCACTTTGGGAGACCAAGGCAGGCAGATCACCTGAGGTCAGAAGTTCGAGACCAGCCTGGCCAACATGGCGAAACACCATCTCTACTTAAAATACAAAAATTAGCTGGGCATGGTGGTGGGTGCCTGTAATCCCAGCTATTCGGGAGGCTGAGGCAGGGAGAATTGCTGGAACCCAGGAGGCGGAGGTTGCAGTGAGCCGAGATCGCACCACTGCACTCCAGCCTGGGCGACAGAGCGAGATTCTGTCTCAACAACAACAACAACAACAAAAGAATTGGTTTCTAGTATAAAGTTTTCCACCCTGCCTTTCAACGTTAGAGTTATCCATATTGATATATCCAAATGAGTTTTTTTAAATAATATGGGAATAATCAGTTAATATTTATCAAAGTCTTCTTGGGTAAATAAAATGTATGACTGAATTTGATTGAAGAAGTACATTATTATTTGAACTCTTTTTTATATTCTGATATTTGTAATTCTACTGTATCTGATGTATAGTCAGCCTTCTGTTGCCTTAAATCCAGAGACAGCAAATAACCGTCTTGTATCAGACAAATATACTATCCTAGGTATTAAAATTCAGTGATGATTTAAGACTCTTCACTGATAAATAAAAATAGCTGATGACTGTGCATTTCATTTGATTTTGCATATATTCAGCTTATTGTTTTTGTTTTTAAGGCAAAAACAGATTCA
Organism: Homo sapiens; assembly: GCF_000001405.40. NCBI lineage: Eukaryota > Metazoa > Chordata > Mammalia > Primates > Hominidae > Homo > Homo sapiens. The sequence continues at coordinate 125,242,326 of NC_000007.14, read as the reverse complement.
AGGTAAGTGGTTTAGTGTAGGAGTCCTTTTAAATTGGATTAGTCAGAATGAGGAAATTTCCCAAATGTCATATTTCTAAAAGCATCATCCTCTTTCTCTTTTATACACTACTTTTTCTTAAAGAGCCCTCCTCCAACTGATTTAAAAGTGCAAAAATTTCACTATTATTATTGCTTTACTCCTTTAACCTCTGTTAAAGCAAATTCCCTTTGATAGAATAATAATTAAAGTGATTAATGTTAATAAGCTCCTCAAAGTGTTTCCACAGTGATGGTTTTCATAAGGGAAAAAGAGAAAATATAAATCAAGAAATAAGTATAAAATGAAGACAGACTTCACTTATTTGACTTTTCCCCGGGGTCATCTCTAGAAACTCAGAAAGTAAAATACACAGCACAGTACAGTAGATCTTGTGAGCAAAAGGGATGACTCCCAATCATGGACATAAACATGTAGTGGATTTTCTGTCCTATGGAATTGCAAATCATCTGTGTAACATATAGAACAGTATAGTAACCTGAAAGAACACATACTTTTAGAAACTCAGAAAATCCTACTTTGAGAACTGAAAGTGAAACAAATGAAAATTGATTGACATTAATATTGAAACTACACACACAAACACTGAAAATCCTCAACAAACATTCTGAAAGATTACTAACATAAAGTGTAATCTGATGTTCAGTTGGGATTTATCTGCCATGAGATCATTTTAAAGAGAGCCTCTGACAATCAAAAAATAATATAGAAAAATAAAGAGAGTCCAGCAAATAAGTATATATTTATCCAACACCCTTGGATGGCATTGGATGAATAAGGAAAATGAGAATTTTTCCTTAAATGACATGAAAGTGGGACAACTATCCCAATTCTAAGGGTGCTTTACAGCTTAAATAATCTGGCATCTCCATGATGCACCTACAATTCTGAAATAATTATCCATGGGGGCTCAAAGCTCATTAACTAGACTATACCAGCATGTGGTGAAATACCCCAGGGCTAAATGAATTTCTTCAGACTAAAAGAAAATGACTACTAGAAAGAAAAATCATATGGTCAGGAATAATTAATTTCAGAAATCATAAATATGTGAGAGAGTATGAAACAGCATTTTTCTTTATGCAAAATACATATAATGGCTTAAAAATTATAACTTTGACTCTGGGTTTCTAATACATGTAATTATTACATGAATATGCCTTAGAGATATCACAGGTTTGGTTCCAGACCATCACAATGAAGCAAGTCACATAAACTTTTTGGTTTCCTAGTGTATATAAAAATTATGTTTATATTAGAGTGTAGTCTATTAAGTGTGCAATAGCATTGTGTCTAAAAACAATGTACATACCTTAATTAAAGAATTTAGGGGCTGGCTGCAGTGGCTCATGCCCGTAATCCCAGCACTTTGGGAGGCCTAGGCGGGCGGATCACGAGGTCAGGAGTTCGAGACCAGCCTGGCCAATATGGTAAAACCCCATCTCTAATAAAAATACAAAAATTAGCTGGGTGTGGTGGCGTGCACCTGTAGTCCCAGCTACTTGGGAGGCTGAGGCAGGAGAATTGCTTCAACCTGGCAGGCGGAGGTTGTAGGGAGCTGAGATCACACCACTGCACTCCAGCCTGGGCAACAGAGCAAGACTCTGTCTCAAAATAATAATAATAATTATAAAAATAATAATAATTTATTGCTAAAAATGCTAAGCATCACCCGAGTCTTCAGTGAGTTAAAATATTTTTGTTGGTGGAGGGTATTGCCTCAAGTTAATGACAGCTGATGAATCAGGGTGATGGTTGCAGAAAGTTGAGGTGGCTGTAGAAATTTCTTAAAATAAAACAATAAAATTAGCTGCATTGATTGACTCATCGTTTCACAAAAGATTTCTCTAAGCATGTGATGTTCTTTAATAGCAGTTTACCTACAGTATTAACTTCTTTCAAAATTAGAGTAAATCCTCTCAAACCTTGCTGCTGCTTTATCAACTAAATTAATCTAAAATTCTGAATTATTTGTTGTCATTTTAACAATGCTACAGCATCTTCATTAGAAGTAGTTTCTATCTCAAGAAACTACTTTTTTTGCCCATCCATAAGAAATAATTCATCATCCATTAAGTTTTTTCAGGAGATTGTGGTAATTCAGTCACATCATCAACTCGATTTCTAATTTTAGTTCTCTTGCTATTTCTACCATATCAGCAGTTACTTCCTCCACTGAAGTTTTGAATGCTTCAAAGTCAACTAGGAAGGTTAGAATCAACTTCTTCCAAACTTCTGTTAATGTTGATACTTTGACCTCCTCGCACAAATAGTGAATGTTCTTGAAGGCATCTAGAATAGTACATTCTTTCTAATGGATTTTCAATTTATTCTACCCAGATTGACTGCAGGAATAACTATCTATGACAACTGTAGCCTTACAAAATGTATTTCTTAAATCATAAGATTTGAAAGTCAAAATTACTCTTTGATCCATGGACTACAGAATAAATGTTTTGTTAGCTTACATGAAAATTGATTGCCTTGTAAATATCCATCAAAGCTCTTGGGTGACTAGGCACATTGTTAATGAGCAGTAATATTTTGAAAGGAGTCTTTTTTACAGAGTAGTAGGTTTCAACAGTGGGATTAAAATATTTAGAAAACCATCCTGTAAACCAATGTGCTGACATCCAGGCTTTGTTGTTCTATTTACTGAGCACAGGTAGTGTCAATTTAGTGTAATTCTTATCAGCCTTAGGGTTTTTCAGAATGGTAAATGAATGTTAGCTTCAACTTAAAGTTACCAGCTTCATTATACTCTAACAAGAGTACCAGTGCCCTTTGAAGGTTTGAAGCCAATCATTGTCTTCTCCTCTCTAGCTATGAAAGTCCCAGAAGGCATCTTCTTTCAATGGAAGGCTGTTTGACTGCATTGAAAATCTGTTATTTAGTGTGTCCAGCATCATTATTGCTGTTAGCTGGATCTTCTGGGTAACTTGCTCTAGCTTTTACATCAGCACTTGCTGCTTTACCTTGTGCTTTTATGTTATTGAGACAACTTCTTTCCTTAAACCTCATGAATCAACTTTTGGTCACTTCATACTCTTATTCTCCAACTTCCTCGCCTCTCTCAGCCTTCACAGAATTGAAAAGCGTTACGGCCTTGTTCTAGAATAGGCTTTGTCTTAAGGAAATGATGGTTTGATCTTCTATTCAGTCCACTCAAACTTTCTCCATATCAACAATAAGGCTACTTCACCTCCTTATCATTTGTTTGTTCACTGAAGTGAAATTTCAGTAGATGATTAAAATTTAAGGATACATTTTGTAATCCCTAAAGGAAGTTGGATATTCTAAAGAATATCTACTATAAATTGAAGGAAAGATACATAATTAAAAAGTCAATACATTAATTGAAATGTAACTGCTAAAAATTCAAAATCAGAATAAAAAAGGAAGATGGGAACAGAAGAGAGAAAAAAAGAGAACACACTGAAGATCAAAATAAAATAATAGATACAAATCCAGCCATCCTTATGATTATATCATAAATGTAAATGAAATAAATTAGGTAAACAAAAAGGAAATAAAGGTAAATAACATTCTATTTATGGGAAATGTAACTAAATATACTGATACATTGTAGAGGAGGAGATGGATAAAGATAAAACATGCAAAGAATAAAATACAAAGCTGGAGATAAAATTGACTTCAAGAAAAAGTGTATTGGCAAAGATAATAAGAAACATTTTTAATGATGAAATGTTCAATTCAGTAGGAACACATAACAATTGTGAAAGTATAAACATCTAAGAACAGAGCCTCAACGTGCATGTAGCATAATTTGAATTAAAGGCATAGAGAATTCTACCATTAAGAAAGATTTTAATACCCTTCTCTGAAATACAGTAGAATAAGGAAACAAAAAATTAATACAGAAATAAGTAATCTGAATAGTACTACCCACCACGATCTAATTAATATTTATATAACACTGTACCCTAAATTTGCAGAATAAATATTATTTTCTTCTGCACATGGCAGATGCACCAAAATATATATGTTAGACATAAACAAAATTAAGATTGGAAAGGTTGTGATTATGCAGAATATATTTTAGGGCCATAAAATATTTAAAATAGAAATTAACCACAATAGGTTATCTGTCAAACCCCTAAATATTAAAAAATTAAACAAACATTTCTAAATAATTCATGTGTCAGAGTAACATGTTACTATGAAAATTAGAAAGCACTTTAAACTTAATGAAAACCAAATAGAAGTGTGGGATATAGTTAAAGCAATACTTATCAGACAACTTACATTATTAAATGCTAATACTAGAATATAACTTTTATAAAAGTTAACAACAAATAACTAAGATTCTACCACACCATACTAGAGAAAAAAAAATAGAAAAAAGAAACATGGAAATAACAGCAGAAATCAATAAACATCAGAACAGGAAAAAAAAAAATAGAGAAAGTCAAAGCCAAAAGCTGGCAACATGAAATGATCAACAAACAGTGAGAGAACAATAATAATCAATTTGAGGACAGAAAAAAGAAATATCCCAGGACATCCTATAGATGTTATAGTTCTTGACTTAACGTCTGTTCTATATAATTATTTTCCATCTTAGTTCATTTTCACTTTAAGAAAACGATCCAAAATCTGTTTTCTATCCATGACCTTGACTTGACCTTATATTTTTATGTTTAATTTCTTTCTCCATGGCTTTACTTGAAACACTCTTGCTCAGCCATAGTTTTCTACCTAGGCAATATTCAGATTCTCTATTCTTTTTTTTTTTTTTTTTTTTTTGAGATGAAGTCTTGCTCTTGTTCCCCTGGCTGGAGTGCGATGGCACGATCTCAGCTCACTGCAACCTCCGCCTCCCAGGTTCAAGCAATTCTCCTACCTCAGCCTCCCGAGTAGCTGGGATTACAGGCACCTGCCACCATGCCCAGCTAATTTTTTTAAATATATATTTTTAGTAGAGATGAGTTTCACCATGTTGGCCAGGCTGGTCTTGAACTCCTGACCTCCGGTGATCCCCCCACCTTGGCCTCCCAAAGTGCTGGAATTACAGGCATGAGCCACAGTGCCCGGGTGAGATTCTCTATTCTTTATCCTATAAATATAGCTATGGTCATTGAAGTGGTAAAAGGGTGATGAAAGACGTTGCACTGTCTATCACTAATTACCAGTAATGTTTGAAACACTGAGCAATTTTCTGGAAATATTCAAAACATACCTCATATTATAAGTATCCCAGTAGAAAGAAAGAGGGGATTTAAAAAGTCCTTTTGAGGGTGATTCACTTATAAAAAATGCATAAATATGGGTTGTAGTTGTTCTAAAAAATATCAGTCCTATAAATTTCAATTTAATAGAAGAAATTGGGACTGCTATTTATTTTTACCTCTTTATCCTTGAAATTCTGTATCTGGTATATAACAGAAGAGCTTCACAATTACAACCAATGTATTTGTGCAATGAGTAAAATAAAGGGGGTCTAAATGCCAGAGGGATTGTGTACTATGTTGATCATAACATTATGAATTAGGTTTTAAATCTGTAAAAGTTTTAAGCACACAAATGCTATTCATTATGAAAAACAGAGGGATTTTAGAAATATATTATATTCAGATGTGTCTTTTTTAGGTCAGGCTTTTATTTAAAACCTGGAGAGGTAGAGGGTTTATAGTGGAATGTCCTATGTATAAATAGTACTGCATTTGAAAATACATTATTTTTGAGGAAATTCTCCAAAAACATTTTAAAATTAAAAAATAAGATTTGTTTTTTGAAAGCAACATAAAATTTCATGAATTAGAAAATGTTCGAGGGGGAAGTACTCTTAAATCTTCCTGTTTGTTCGATGAACAGAATCAGATAATGTTTCACAGAAAATATTACTCACTAATGCTAAAATTAATTAGCTTTTAAAAAACACACAAATAGTATCTAGATATAAGGAATCATTTATTTATAATAACTGCTAAAGAGCATAAAGGGAAAAAATGTTAGAAACTTTTTATCATGACAATAACCCTTCATCATACAATTTCTCTGATATGAAGAGTCAGTAATGGAAATGAAACACTCATTTGCTTTGCATAAAAATAGTAATTTATTCTAAAACAGGGAAGTATAAAATGAAATTAGAGGTATGTAGGTGAACTGCTAAGTGGCTGAACTGATCAAGGTTTAATTATAAAGTACTAATATGGATTTATAGATTCAATCTAATTTATTCCTGTAACAGAAGTATTTTCCATGAGAGAGGCACTTTGCAACATGGGTTATACTAAAACTAGTAAGTATGGTTTCTGCTTTAATATGAAATAGTATAAAAAGTAATTTGTAGGTGATCCCAAGGAAATAAGAAAAAGCCTTTGCATTACATTGAGTAATAGAATGGAGAAAGGCTGAAATCTTGGCAATAATAATTCTAACAATAATAATGAATATGGACCAGAGTTTGGACCTATTTGCCTTCAGATCCATTCTTTGCCCTTCTCTCTGAACACTCTGTACAACTGGCAAGCTGATTTCATGAGCTGGATTTTTAAGGTTCTCTTATCACTTGACTTCTAGTTAGGTTCCTTGAAGGGGAGGATAGAAGGTGAAAAGATGAGAGAAAGCAGGGTATTTGTGGTCCATCTTGTCATCAACATCAGGCAGTGCCTCCATCTCCTTCAAGGCAGCAGCTTCCAATCATGTGACTTTGCCCCTGAGCTCTCATGTTGCCTGATCTCTTTGTCCAGAATGCCTAGAGGTGGTAGCGGCATCCTGCTGTTGCTCATTTATGGATTGCCTCACCACAGTTTTTTTCAGCTTTTCCACCACTTGTGTAAAAAGCTGTATACATCAAAACAGAGGGTTTACTGTCTTTCTCATTAGACACTGAGGATATAAACACCATAGTTATGAACCAAATATTTGTGTTCCCCTAAAATTCACATGTTGAAATCTTAATCCCCAATGTGATGGTATGTGGGAGTTAATGAGTTCATGAGGGTGGAGCCCTTATGAATGGGATTAGCGCCCTTATAAGAACAGACAAGAAAGCTCTCTCTCTCTCTCTCTCTCTCTCTCTCTCTCTCTCTCTCTTTCTCTCCTCTCCACCATATGAGGACACAAAGAGAAGAAGGTGTTATACATATCAGAAATACTTCCTAATCAGACACCATGTCTGTTGGCATCTTCTCTCGGACTTCTCAGTCTCCAAAACCATAAGAAATAAATTTATGTTGTTTAAGCCACCTCATCTATGGTAGTTTCTTATAGCACCTTGAACTGATTAAAATGACTAGCAAGTTTTACTGGGTGCTAGGCACCATAAAAATGATTTATATATGATGCTGCATATATTGCTTACAACAACCATAAATATAGATAATATTAGTAGAATCATTTGGTAGATGAGAAAACTTTAAAGTTATTCAATAATTTTCACCATGTCACACAACTATAAGTGTCAGAGTGAGAATGTGAATTCAGACAGACTCTAAATTTAATGCTCCTGACCACCAGAATACTAAATAAAAATCACCCCTGTCACCTGTAATTATCTCCAATACAAATAAGTCCAAGCTGACCAAATCTCCGAAAGATGAATCTGGTTCAAATACGTATTAATATCCAAGAAGGTAGGGCAAAGCACTAAGGCTGCAATTCATTAATATCCTATGAAAAAATTCACTGCCTTCATGAATTAGCTTACAAACTATTAGAGAGTAAAAGATTACAAATAAATAAATCATATAAATATAGTATCATGGTATTATCTAGAATTAAGTCCTATCATATAAAGTAAAAAAAAATGGGAAGAAATATGAGAAGTCTCAGAAAAGGGTTTGGAATTTTAAATGAAAAGGTTCTATGTTAGGAATATTCTTCCAACTAGTTCCTTTCCTCTTTCTCCTGGTCCATATCCCACCTCTCAGAACTTCATTTCAATCCCATTTTTAGACATGGATGAAATATCATACTACAGGTTATAGGATATGGCTTACTGACCAGTCACCCAGAGGCTGGACATCATCACACAGAAGTGAAAGAGGTGATTATTTCCAAATGTTCTGCATCATGTGATCTCATGGGAAGCAGGAGGCAGGAAAGCACTAGGCAAATAGCCTCCCTCCGTTTCCTCTCTAGTGAACTACTCTGATGTAAAATTTCTCCATTCCATGTTTTCAAAAATTGTTACGTGGCAAGTGAAAAACTGTACTGTCTCTTGTGTTACTATGCCTCCTGGTGAGCAGATACGCAGAGAGAGATACATTGCATTATTTTACTTGGCATCTTCCTTTCCTTTGCTGCCGTGTTTTCATCACCCACATACTCTATGTGTGTTTCTCTTAAGTAAAGTATTAGCGCTTAGGTGTTTCCATGGACTCAGTTGAAAGAAACCGAGGTTACACTATCACATAATTAAAAATTTGGAGGGAGGCAGCTAACAATCACCAGATCTCTGTCTCGGAGATGTCACAGATGCATCCCTGATGTTATCTTGACCTTTTACTAAAATCCAAATGAAGGCTAAAGCTCTTCTCATTGTATTTAAGTTTGTAGCAGGAAGAAGAGGAATGGAAACACCACCAATTGGGTTTCTCTTTTCATCATGAAAGAAAGAACTTCCCACAAGTTCCAACAACACAATTCCAGTTAACATTTCATCTTTAAAACTGTACTTGGCAAGTCTTGCCTTTAAAAGAGGCTAGAAAAGTAAATATTTAGCAGCGCTGGTCTTTTTAATGAAAGGGTGTAAGGAAGAAGAGGTCTGGGAGTATACTGGCCAGTGGTAGAATCCACCACATTCATTAGTAGGAGCTCCAACAGCATAGTATAGAAGGAATGTCACAGAACCGATTCTTGTAAAAATAATGACTGAAATCATTCAGCACTTAGTAAAGATATGAATTATCACATTAAAATATGCCATTTATTCCCAAGCAAAACGAATAAAAAGAGTCCATATATAATTAATAGTTAAAATAACCCTCACAAAAGCAAATAAAAAGTATTGAAGCCGGTCACAGTGGCTCACACCTGTAATCCCAACACTTTTGGAGGCTGAGGCAAGCAGGTCACTTTAGTCCAGAAGTTCAAGACCAGCCTGGGCAACATGATGATACAAAAATGAGCCAGGCGTGATGATATGTGCCTGTAGTCCCAGCTACTTGAAGGGTTGAGGCTGCTTGAGCCTGGGAGGGTGAGGCTGCAGTGAGCCGCATTTGCACCACCACACTCCATGGTGGGTGACAAAGTAAGACCTGTCTCAAAAAAAAAAAAAAAAGGAAAGAAAGAAAAGATGTTGAAAATAACCATAAAGATGAATTACTTATAAAGAATAACAATTAGACTGACAGTTGTTGACAGCAACAAGAGGCTCAAAGACAGCAGAACGGTATCTTAAAAGTGCTAAGAGAAAATGAATATCACCTAAGAATTCTATACTCAGTTCAATTATCATTCAGGAGCATAGATGATATAAACACATTTTCTTTCAAATACTGGAACAGTTTAGCCCTAACACATACTTGCTAAAAGAATTACAAATAACATACCTGGATAAGAAAGAAATTGAATTAGAGGAGAGAAGTAAAATGCAAGAAGCAGTAATATAATCTGTAACCAAGTTACCAGATCCTGGTTGAGAACAATTGCAAAGAAAAGAAAGAATATTCAATTCAATATTAGTTGACCAGATAGCTTACTGATCCAAATTGGGAAAGTTTTGCAGTGAATGGGGTTACTAAAATAATTATAAAATATAATTTTATAAAAAATTTTATTGACTAGCCATTGGTTTCATTATATTGGTAGACCTTAACAGAATTATGTTTTAAAATATTTTTGAAATTAATATATTTCTTAAAAATGTTTAAATATATCCACATATTTATTTACATTAAAGAAAATTTTTGAAAGTGTTTAATTTTCTAAGCCTTTAAAAATACTACAAATTCACCTGGGCATAAATTTACATACTTTATTCAGTTTCTTAGTCGTATCTGTTTCTAGTACAATGCCAATGATGCTAATATAAATACATTTTAAATATGTTCTTAATATTTTTAATATTTTTTATAAAACTGCCTATATTTGTTCTGAAAATAGTATTTTATAGTTAACAAATAGGAAAATGCTAACAAATTATATTGAAGAGTCTTCACATATTTTTAAATTATGAAAATCTCTCTACATGCTGAAGTCCCTGGGAGCTGAGAAAAAAAAAATTTCTACTAAGCATAAGACATTTCAGTTATTGTCTTTTCATCTCCAATCAGAGTATATTCCTTCAATAAATATTTTCACAAAATAAAACTCATAAAACAAGTTGTAACTACTTCTGAAACGTGAAGTATTATAGAAAGTAAAAAGAAAGGCTGCACGTATCACCATACTGAGCTTTCGTATATGGGTTCATTCAACATCAGTTTTGCTATAAGTTTTTTAGTTTATTTACTCTAGTGGTATCTATATACCACTAGAAAAATTGTAAATGTTTACAACTTCATGCTTCTATGTCCATTAGTAGAACATTCATCTTATTTGAGTATAATTATAACTTATGTGTGTCCAAAAACCAATTCCAGCTACACTTCTGCTCCATAGGTTTAATTTATTTATTCCTTTTACTACAAAGGAATTTAAAATATTCCTTTTACTACAAAGCTTTGCCTTGCCAATTGGCTAAAATATTTGTATCATTCCCAGTCAGTTTTTACTGATATTCCAATAGCATGGTAACTGTTTCACTTTTAACAAATTGAACTTCTACATCCATATTTTCAGTCAATGAATATATAGGAAAAAGAAGCATTTGAAAACACTATTAAAAAAAAACTAGAATAATTTATTTTTGAAGTTTCTCTTGCACCAATGGAGCCAAGACATTTCACATCTATCACATCATTCTTCATGAAAATGGACTAATATAAGAAATTGGTACAAGGAGAGGGGCACTGCTATAAAGATAGCCTGAAAATGTATAAGCAACTTTGGAAATGGGTAACAGGCAGAGGTTGGAACAGTTTGGAAGGCTCAGAAGACAGCAATATGTGGGAAAGTTTGGAACTTCCTGGAGGCTTGTTGAGTGGTTTTGACCAAAATGCTGATGATGATATAGACAAGGCTGAGGTGGTCTCAGATGGAGATGAGAAACTTATTGAGAACTAAAGCAAAGGTCACTCTTGCTATGCTTTAGCTGGAGGTATTTTGCCCCTGCCCTAGAGATCTGTGGAACTTTCAACTTGAGAGAGATGATTTAGGGTATGTGGAAGAAGAAATATCCAAGGAGCAAAGCATTCAAGAGGTGATCTGGCTTTTCCTGAAAGCATAGTCATATGTGTTCACAAGGAGATGGTTTGGAATTAGAAATTATGTTTTAAAGTAAAGCAGAGCATAAAAGTTTGGAAACTTTGCAGTCTGACCATTTGGTTTAGGTTGATGCAAAAGTAATTGTGGTTTTTGCCATTATATTTAATAGGGAAAAAAAATCCTGGGGAGAAATTCAAGCTAGCTGAAGAAATTTGCATAAGTAATGGGGAACCAAATGTTAATCACCAAGACAATGGGGAAAATGTCTCCAGGGCATTTCAGAGATCCTAGAGGCAGCTTTTCCCATCACAGGCCTGGAGGCCTAAGAGGGAAAAAGTGGTTTCTTGGGTTAACCTTGGGATGTGGCATCCTGCATCCCAGTCACTCCAGCTCCAGCCACGGATACAAGGGCCAAGGTACAGCTCAGCCCATTGCTTCAAAGGGTGGAAGCCCTAAACGTTGACAGCTTCCATGTGGTGTTGAGCCTGCGAATGCACAGAAGACAAGAGTTGAGGTTTGAGTACCTCCACCTAGATTTCAGAGGATATATGGAAATACCTGGATGTCTAGGCAGAAGTGTGCTGCAGGGGCAGAGCCCTCATGGAGAACCTTTGCTAAGGCAGTGTGGAAGGGAAATGTGTGGGTTGGATACCCCACAGAGAGTCCCCACTGGGGCACTGCCTAATGGAGCTGTGAGAAGAGATCCGATATCCTCCAGACCCCAGAATGGTAGATCCACCTACAGCTTGCCCCATGCACCTGGAAAAGCCACAGACACTCAACACCAGCCCATAAAAGCAGCCAGGAGGGGGACTGTACGCGGCAGAGCCACAGGATGGAGCTTTCCACAACTGTGGGAGCCCACTCCTTGCATCGGCATGCCCTGGATGTGAGACATGGAGTCAAAGGAGATTTTGGACCTTTAAAATTTAATGACTGCCCAGCAGGGTTTCAGACTTGCATGGGGCCTGTGGCCCCTTTGTTTTGGCCAGTTTCTTCCATTTTGAATCGGAACATTTACCCAATGATTCTACCCTCACTGTGTCTTGGAAGTAACTAACACCTGCTTATTGATTTTACAGGCTCATAGGTGGAAGGGACTTGTCTTTTCTCAGGTGAAACTTTGGACTTGGACTTTTGAGTTAATGCTGGATGAGATAAAACTTTGGGGGCTTTTGGGAAGGCAATGACTGGTTTTGAAATGTCAAGACATGAGATTTGGGATGTGCCAGGGGTGGAATGATATGATTTGGCTCTGTGCCCCCACCCAAATCTCACTTCAAATTGTAATCCCCATGTGATGTGGGAGGGACCAGGTGAGAGGTGATTGGATCATGGGGGTGGTTTTCCCCATGCTGTTCTCATGACAGTGGGGAGTTCTCATGCGATCCGATGGTTTAAAAGTGAAAGTTTCCCCTGTGCTCTCTCTCTTTCCTACCACCTTGTGAAGAAGGTGCTTGCTTCCCTTTCGCATTCTGCCATAATTGTAAGTTTCCTAAGGTCTTTCCAGCTATGCTGAACTATGAGTCAATTAAACCTGTTTTGTTTATAAATTACCCAGTCTCAGGTAGTATCTTTATAGCATGTGAAAATGGAATAATACAATACATAAATGCATAAATGGAGCCCTTGCAGCTTTGTGTCCAATCTTCTTAAATAACCAAAATTTAGAAGTAGACAATGAGACCATGACAAAAGCTAGAAATAAGATGCTTTGAGTTTTCCCACACCTATCCTGATTTATTCTAAAGCAACTATTTACTTTAAAAAAATCTTGATTAATAAATGAAAATCTGGGACAAATGCTAAACTAGATGGATGCCAGGACAATAGACAGAAACCAGACCTGTCCCAAGCAAACCAAAATGTGCAGTTGCCCGTAACAAACAGCACATTACACTTGGTCATTTACATATAGTATAGTGGCATTTTGGATAATGTGCTTTAAAAATCTGACTTCAATTTTGTATAGCCAGCATTATGGACTTAATCTATAAGGTTTAGAGTAATGTATATAAGGCATTGAAGAGGATTTTACAAGGCTTAAAAACTTACTTAAAAATATTGAATGCTTTTATTCAATAAAAGGAAGCATGTTATAAAATTGTTTGAATCTACGGTTGTCATGACATTTTATTTTTTTTCATGAATAATATGACAAAGTGCTATTGTTAAATGTTGGTCTTCACTTAAGGCCAACTGCTTCATTTTCCCCACTGCTAAAAAATGAGGAACTATCTTTTTTATTGATTTATTTTTATATAAAAAACTGTTAGAACTGGTAGGTGAATCCAATAAAGTTGTAGGGTATGAAATCAACATACCAAATCAGTAGCATTTTTATACACAAATAATGACCTAACTGAAAAAGAATTCAAGACAATTATCCCATTTATGATAGTGTCAAAAAATAAGATATGAAGGAATATATTTAACTAAGGAGATTAAAGATCTGTACACTGAAAACCATATAATATTGATTAAAGAAATTGAAGAAGACACAAATAAATAGAAAGCTATCCCATGATCGTGGATCAGAGGAGTTGATTTTCTTCATGTATTCATGCTACCAAAGGCATGTATATTGCCATATACAGATTCAGTGTAATTCCCATCAAATGGTATTCTTCACAGAAAGTTTCAAAAACCTTAAAATTTGGCCAGGCACACTGGCTCACACCTGTAATCCCAGCATTTTGGGAGGCCGAGGCAGGCAGATCACGAGGTCAGGAGATCGAGACCATCCTGGTTAACACGGTGAAACCTGTCTCTACTAAAAATACTAAAAATTAGCCAGGTGTGGTGGTGGGCGCCTGTAGTCCCAGCTACTCGGGAGGCTGAGGCAGGAGAATGGCGTGAACCCAGGAGGCGGAGCTTGCAGTGAGCTGCTGAGATCGTGCCACTGTGCTCCAACCTGGAGGACAGAACAAAAGGCTTTCCAAAAAAAAAAAAAAAAACACTTAACACTTAATATTTGTGTGGAACCATGAAAGGCCTGAATAGCCAAAACAATTTTGAGAAAGAAAAACACAATTGGAGGCATCAGACTCCCTGGTTTAAAATTACTGTGTATTCCAAAGCTAAAGGAATCAAAAGAGTATTGTACTGGCATAAAAACAGACACATAGACAAGTGGAACAGAATAGATTCAAACTCCAGAAACAGATTCAAACTCCAGAAATAGAAACATATAAGGTCAACTCATTTTTGACAGGGACACCAAGAGGACACAACGGGGAGAGGAGAGTTCTTCAAACAAAGGTGCTGGGAAAACTGGAGGTCCACATGCAAAAGAATGAAATTAAATCTTTATCTTAAATCATAAACAAATATCAACTCAAAATGGATGAAAGACCCAAATATTTAAGATAAGAAACTATGAAACTCCTGGAAAATAGCATAGGGGAAAAGCTCCTGGGTATTGGCTTTGGCAACAGTTTTTTGGCTATTACACCAAAAACTCAGACCACAAAAGCAAAAATAAACATAGGAGACTACATCAAACCAAACACTTCTGTATGGCAAAGGAAACAATCAACAAGATGAATGAATTACCTACAGATTGGGAAAAATATTTGCAAACCATATATCTCATATGTGGTTCATATTCAAAATTTATAAAAATTTATATAACTAAATAGTGAAGAAACAAATAGCCTGATTAAAAATGGGCAAAAGACATGAATAGACATTTCTCTAAGGAAGACATAAAATAGCCAACCATTATACGAAAAGGTACTCATCATTATTAACCATCAAGAATATGCAAGTCAAAACCACTGTCAGATACTATCTCACACCCATTAGAAAAATCCTAAAGACAACAAATGTTGGCAAGAGTGTAAAGAAAAGGGAACTCTTACACACTATTGGTAGGAATATAGATTGGCATAGCCATTATGGAAAACAGTATGGAGATTTCTAAAGGAATTAAAAAGAGAACTACCATATGCCCCAGCAATCTCCCTTTGGGCATATGCCCAAAAGAAATGAAATAACTACCTCATAAATATACCTTCACTTCCATGTTCATTGCAACATTATTTGCAGTAGTGAAGATATGTAAACAACCTAAGTTTTCATCAGTGGATGAATGGATAAAGAAACCATGGTACATATATGCAATGTAATATTATTCACACCTAATAAAGAATGAGATCTTGCCATTTGCCACAACTGGATAAGTCTGGAGAATATTATGCTAAGTGAAATAAGCAAGATGCAGTAAGAAAAATGGTGCATGGTCTCACTTAGATGTAGAATCCAAAAAAAATTAAATATACAAGGAAAACAAAATAAGTCTAGAGAGCTAATGTATAGCATGAGGGCCATAGGTAATAAAATTGTACCATGTAAGAGATTGATGTTAAATGAGTAGATTTAAGTGGTTCTTGCCACAAAAGCAAAACTGTGGGTAAATATTTGAGATGATAGATGTGCTAATTTGCTTCATTATAGTAATTTCTTTACTATCTTTATTTATACCACAACGTGTTTATACCTTAAATATGCACAATAAAATTTATTTTTAAAAGTCAATGTATAGCCATTTTTCAACACAGAAACTATAATTTAAGTTTGAACAATCACAAAGAGTATTGCCATACAAATTATATCGTTTCTTCGTCTTTACCTGTAGTGCAGCAGAAGTCTGGATAAATTTCAGAATGTATAACATGAGTTAAGGAATACACTTTATTGAGAAAATCTGTGTATGCCCAAGGTCAGCAAGCAAAGTTTTAGGAACCCCTTATCCTCTTATCATTCATTCCACAGAGAAATGTGCTCAATCTCTGAGCCTGTTAAATCATTGAGTCCCCTCTAATATGAGTTTCCTTTTTCATATAACAAGTATAGGGAAACAGTATCATCACTGAAGGAATAAACGAATGGATGGATTTAGGGTCCATCTATTTCCAAAGGTGTTCTGGAAATACTAGCATTTCAAAACCTAGAGATCTTGGATCTCAAGAAATCCTTCTGTTGGGGGAGGAAGCCTCAGGCCTATGGGAAGATGATTTGGTAAGGGAATCCCTACCTTCAATTTGCTAATATACAGGCAACACAAGGTGAGCATGTGAGGTCACTTTCAGCAATTCTTGTGGCAGCACAAGTCTTATAAAAACTCATATGAAAAGTATCTTTATTATTTAGTTATAACCATTACCATAATATTATCTTACACCAATGGTAATTTAAGACTAACAAGTACTACATCATACCATTGCAAATTTACCTGAACTTTCTATATATGGTACAATTTTAAGCTTCATATTTGCAAGAATAATAAGGTCACCTGGTGCCAAACAATCTTAACTGTCATAACCATTACTATACTTTGGTACTTCAAGATGATGGACCTGAATGAAAACGGATTCAAGGCTGCAGTCTATACTTGCCTCATGCAAGCAGGATATGGCTGTCACTGCCTTGAACCACAGAAAATCTGCAAAGTAATTATATAAAAAGTTGCTGGTTTTTACATCAGGAACATATAGTGTTTGGAGTCTAACTAGCTATTAAGTTATATATATATATATATATCGACCAATTAAGTATTAAATTGAATGAAGTCAAAAATGCTAACTAAATAACTGATTAGGATTCCAAAAAGCTGAATTAGAAATCACTGAAATTGTATGACTGAAAATTCAGCTCTGCAATACACATAGAGAAAATTTTACCATCAGATTGTCGATTATGTTAGAGTGTATGAATTATAACGCCTGCTTTTATGTAAATTTTCTATGCAAAACCACCACAGATTAATCACATTCCCTAATTTATGGTATGAAAAGGACGAATTTCGACAATTGCAGGGGACACATAAACCACTTGAAACACAATACGCTTCTTTTCACTTTTCCCTGGAATTTTGTTTGCTTTAAAATAAAATTAAAGCCTTTCATTCATGTAAGTAAAAAAAAAATTGGATGACAGACAGTAGAGACTTAGAAATGACAAAAAAACAAGGTATCAGAGCACACAAGGGCATAGACTGGTTTTATTCCCATTGATTCCATCTTCACCATTCAAATATAAGATAATCATGAAGAGGTATGTAACCTACCTGTGTTTCAGTTTTTACAATTCTAAAATGGAAATAAGAAGACAATCTCAAGGTAGAACTGATATAAATTATTATGCCTATCACAATAATTTTAAGGATGTCTGCCTGAATTCCAAGTTGATGACTACATTATATTATTTACCATGAGTTTCAGAGAATAGTTTGATGATCATTTACCTCAATACTTTTTTAGAGTTAATAATAATAATAAAAGTGTCTCATATTTAAATATCTTAAAGAAAAGCTTAGTTACATTTGAACAAGATTCTTTACTTCTGGCCTTTTCAGGGAATTCTTATGCCATTGTGAAAGTTGAAGACAGAAAAGCCAGCATGCATTGATTGCCAAATACATAAAGTCCATTTTATTTTTTTTTGTGAATTTCCTGGGGCTAATTTCTCTTAGCAAACTTTGGGGAGCACTCATCTTATTTTTTTTTAAAGAATTTCATCTTTATTGCCAAGTGGTTTGAAACTTATACAATCATTTTTAAAAAGAACATTTTATTTTCACTCATTAATTACAATCTAATCTTTAAACCGCAGAAAGTATTTATTTACACTTACACCTTTGGTGGTTTTAAAGTTACTTTTGAATTGATTTTTTTAAAGGGCAGAAAGAATACTTGTTTGTTTTTCAAAGAACATGAATCCATTGGAAAGAGGTGTTATTTGTTGTTGTAGTGCCAATTTGGAGAATGTTGTTGGTATATAACTTAAGTTCAGTTGTTGACCACAAAGAATGTCTTTCATTTATTGATGTAAAAAAATAAACAAGAAGCAAGAACAAGGGAACCTCCTGGTAGCATTGCACAGCATGTTCAGACAAAGTGTTGAGCATTTTCTGAGCAGAATATTATGGCACATACAAGCATTGCCTAACCTTAGACTTAATATGTGAAACTTGATATTCCAAACATGTAAGTGTACATATGTGTGATTCCCCACATATTCCAGTGTACTGCAGGACAATGATGACAAATATTGTCCTTCTTTATGCAAAATCCACAATAGCCATAAGGCAAATGACTACATTTGTTTCCCTTTTCTATTGTAACAAATTACCACAAATCTAGTGGTATAATGGCTTAAAGCAATGCAAAAAAATATTTTGCAGTTTGGAAGTTCAAAATGGGTCTTATGAGGCCAAAATCAAGGTGTCAGCAGGGTTGCATTCATGCTGGAAGCTCTAGGGGAGAAATAGCTTCTCTGCCTTTTCCAGTTTCTAGAGGCTACCTTTATTCCTGGACTCATGGGCCCCTTCCATCTTCAATAAAAGGCAGCAATTAAATCACTCAAACCTCTGCTTCTGTTGTCGTATATCTTTTCTTTGACTCTGCCTCTCCTGGATCTCTTTTTCACTCATCAGAACCTTTATGATTACATTAGGTTCACCCAGATAATCCGAGATAATCTCCCCATTTCAAGACCCTTAATTTAATCACATCTGCTAAATGCTTTCAGCAATGTAAGGTAACATATTAATGGTTTTTAGGGATTAGGACATGGACATCTTGGGAAGGCCATTTTTCTACCTACCATGACAATACTTTTGTTTACATTTAAAAAAAACACAATTCAAACCTTTCTATGAGTTAGCAATCATAATTCTCAATTTCCTGAATATCAACAGTGATGATTTAGATTTTGAGTATTGACAGAAGATTTACTTGCCAAATGACTGAATAATATAAATAGCACCTGCTACTGAGTTTAAAAAATAGAGGACATTATTTTAGAGTTTTTATTGCATATGGCTAACATAGACACAGAATGATTTTGTCTCCCAGCTACCACATCCATCAACTCAATTTTATCACTTTGTTTTCCTAAACAAGAAAATGTTTTATAAATCATGCACATCTGTCATCTGTAAGAGGCATCATGTGTTAAGAACAAGTGTTTAGAGTTTAAAGTGATGTATTTTCTCTTTTTAATAACTTGTCTCTGCCTGGTATTTTCTCACCTTGCAGCAAAATTTTAGAGGTTGCAATGTTCTCCAATGAGCTATTCTATTATAAATTCAAAGAGGTTTACCACATCAAAAAAAAAAAGCATCCGTTGACTTGATAATTCACTGACTCCATTCTTCACATCAGATAAATGCTATTTGACCATGTGAGATCTAATAAAAGCCAATGCCAATTTTGTTAAATTCTCTCACTGCTGCATCTGTGCATGGATCATTAAACACCTTTAGCACATCATGTATGCTAGACATTAGAGCCAGACCTGGTTCATCTAAATCAATTTGTAATTTATGTAGTTCAGTTATGGATTTTCACTGCTAATGCTTCAAAATGTGACCCAAGTATTCTTTTAAGTTAACAAACTAATCAAGTACAATTCAAACTGAGAACAATTGCTTTTATTATTATTTTTCGTCAACCTCATTACAGCTTTGAGTTTCACTTTGCTTGTATTCTGGATTCAAATAAATTCACATAAATCACAGATTCAGATAATTTGGGGCTCTCTCAGCAAGCATAGTCAAGACTATCAGCAAACTTGTGCCACAACAAAATAATGGACCTTCTATAATGTAATGCCCTGAGTAATCTGTTCTGAATTACATCGATATAGAAGAAACACAATGAGATTATTTTAATATTTTTATATTTAAAATTATTTCTGTGAAGCTTTAGATGGATCTGACTTATTCTGAATTCCATTCTAGGATGAGTTTTAAAACAAGATTTCATTGTATTTGGATATCAAAATGGGACCCTTTATAAGAACTTAGAGGAAAGGAATTCATTTGGCAACTATTCTTTCAGAGATTGTTGTACAAGATTAGTCTAAAGTGTGGGGAAAAGCAAGAGAGATCAGATTGTTACTGTGTCTGTGTAGAAAGAAGTAGACATAGGAGACTCCATTTTGTTATGTACTAAGAAAAATTCTTCTGCCTTGAGATTCTGTTAATCTATAACCTTACCCCCAACCCCGTGCTCTCTGAAACGTGTGCTGTGTCAACTCAGAGTTAAATGGATTAAGGGCGGTGCAAGATGTGCTTTGTTAAACAGATGCTTGAAGGCAGCATGCTCCTTAAGAGTCATCACCACTCCCTAATCTCAAGTACCCAGGGACACAAAAACTGCGGAAGGCCGCAGGGACCTCTGCCTAGGAAAGCCAGGTATTGTCCAAGGTTTCTCCCCATGTGATAGTCTGAAATATGGCCTCGTGGGAAGGGAAAGACCTGACCGTCCCCCAGCCCGACACCCGTAAAGGGTCTGTGCTGAGGAGGATTAGTAAAAGAGGAAGGAATGCCTCTTGCAGTTGAGACAAGAGGAAGGCATCTGTCTCCTGCCCGTCCCTGGGCAATGGAATGTCTCGGTATAAAACCCGATTGTATGCTCCATCTACTGAGATAGGGAAAAACCGCCTTAGGGCTGGAGGTGGGACCTGCGGGCAGCAATACTGCTTTGTAAAGCATTGAGATGTTTATGTGTATGCATATCTAAAAGCACAGCACTTAATCCTTTACATTGTCTATGATGCAAAGACGTTTGTTCACGTGTTTGTCTGCTGACCCTCTCCCCACAATTGTCTTGTGACCCTGACACATCCCCCTCTTTGAGAAACACCCACAGATGATCAATAAATACTAAGGGAACTCAGAGGCTGGCGGGATCCTCCATATGCTGAACGCTGGTTCCCCGGTTCCCCTTATTTCTTTCTCTATACTTTGTCTCTGTGTCTTTTTCTTTTCCAAATCTCTCGTCCCACCTTACGAGAAACACCCACAGGTGTGTAGGGGCAACCCACCCCTACATAAAGAATATGGAAGCCATGTATTTTTAGAGGACATGCTATTTTAACTTGCTCAGCTGTGATTATCAAGTACCCTGTATCACAGGTGATATTGTATTTGCCAGTGAGCTGGAACTGGGCCAAGACCCACTACATGAAACATGGCACTAGCAAGAGCTAGAAAGGAGCTCATGATGCCCTGAGAGCTGACAAGGCTCATACATTACAGCAGTTCAGGGAAAGGCTCACTTCTTCCTTGATGCTGTGATACTAAAGACATTATTTTCATTCTTTTTATGCCTGCATAGTATTCCATGGTGTATATACAAAACATTTTCTTTATTCAATCTTCCATCGATGGACACTTTGATTTAATGTCTTTGCTATTGTGAATAGTGTTGTGAGAATTATGAGTGCAGGTATCCTTTTGACATAATGATGTCCTTTCCCTTGGTAGATAGTACTGGTATTGCTGGGTCAAATGGTAGTTCTGTTTCTAGTTCTTTAAGAAATCGCCATACTATTTTCCAAAGAGGTTGTAGTAATTCACATTCCCACCAATGGTGTATAAGCATTCCATTTTATCTGCAAATCTCTATTAATTTTTAGTCCTTTTAATAATAGCCTTTCTGATTGGTGTAATATAGTATCTCATTGTGGTTTTAATTTGCATTTATCTGAAGACAAGTGATGTTGAGCATTTTTTCGTACATATATATGTTGGCTACTTGTATGCCTTCCTTTGAGACATGTCTGTTCATGTCCTTTGCCCATTTTTTAAATGGAATTATTTGTTTTTTTCTAGTTAATTCCTTGTAAATTCTGGACATTAGCCCTTTGTCCAACGCATTGTTTACAAAATTTTCTCCCATTGTGTAAAGTGTTTATTTATTATGT
Source organism: Homo sapiens (assembly GCF_000001405.40). Classification (NCBI taxonomy): domain Eukaryota; kingdom Metazoa; phylum Chordata; class Mammalia; order Primates; family Hominidae; genus Homo; species Homo sapiens. Next base: position 125,220,294 of record NC_000007.14, on the reverse strand, counting down.
TGATTCTTTTACTGTGCAGAAGCTTTTTAGTTTAATGAAGTATCATTTATATATTTTTGTTTTTATTGGATTTGCACTTGAGGTCTTAGTACAAATTATTTGCCTAGGTTAATATTGAAAAAAGAACATCCTAGATTTTCTTCTAGAATTTTTAGTTTCAAATCTTTTTATGGTTGAATAGTACTCCATTGTGTATATGTACTACATTTTCCTTATCAATTCATCTATTGATGGACACTTAGATTGCTTCCACATCTAAGCTATGGTAAACAGTGCTGCAACAAACATGAGAGTGCAGATGTCCCTATGATATACTAATATTCTTTCTTTTTAGTATATATTCAATAGTGGGCTTGCTGGATCATGTGGTAGCTCAATTTTTAGTTTTTTGAAGAACCTCTAAACTCTTTTCCATAGTGTTACTAATTTACTAATTAGTGCTACTAATTTATATTCCCACCAGCAGTGTATGAGGGTTCCCTTTTCTCCACATCCTTGCCAGCATTTGCTATTGCCTGTCTTTTTGATAGAGGTCATTTTAAGTAGGGTGAGATAATATCTCATTGTAATTTTGATTTGCATTGCTCTGATGATTATGTTAATCAATTTTTCATATTTCTGTTTTCTGTTTATATATCTTCTTTTGAGAAATGTCTATTCAAATCTTTTGCCCATTTTTTGATCAGACTGTTATCTTTTTCTTAAGAGCTGTTTAAGCTCCTTCTGTATTCTGATATTAATCCCTTGTCAGATGGGTAGTTTGCAAATATTTTTCTCCTGTTCTGTATGTTGTCTCTTCACCGTGTTGATTATTTCCTTTGCTGTGCAGAGTCTTTTTAACTTGATGGGATTCCATTTGTCCATTTTTGCTTTGGTTGCCTGTGCTTGTGGGGTATTGCTCAATAATTTTTTGCCCAGACCAATGTCCTAGAGATTTTCCCCAAAGTTTTATTGTAGCAGTTTCATAGTTTGAGGTTTTAGATTTAAATCTTTAATTGACGTTGATTTGATTTTTGTATCTGGCAAAAGATAGGGAATTACTTTCATTCTTCTTCACATGAATATTTAGTTTTCCCAGCACCAATCATCAAAGAGATTGTCTTTTCCCCAGTGAATGTGCATAGCACCTTTGTCAAAAATGAGTTCACTGTAGGTTTGTGGATTTGTTCCTAGGTTCTCCTATACTGTTTCATTCGTCTATGTGTCTATTTTTATGGCAGTACCATGCTGTTCTGATTATTATAGCTCTGTGGTATAATTAGAAATCAGGTAATGTGGTTTGTCCAGTTTTGTTCTTATTACTTAGAATTGCTTTGGCTATTATGGGTCTTTTGTGCTGCTTCCATATAAATTTTAGGATTGTTTTTCTATTTCTGTGAGGAATGTCATTGGTATTTTGATAAAAATTGTATTGACTCTGTAGATGCTTTGGGCAGTATAAACATTTTAACAATATTGATTCTTCCAATCTATGAAAATGGAATATCTTTTTTATTTTTTGGATCCTCTTCAATTTCTTTTATCAGTATTTTATAGTTTTTATTGTAGAGATCTTTCATGTTTTTGATTAAGTTAATTCCTAGGTATTTAATTTTTTGTGGCTATTGTAAATGGGATTTTTAAAATTTCTTTTACAGATGGTTCACTTCTGGCTAATGATACTAATGCCTCCAATCTATGAGCATAGAATGTTTTTCTATTTGTTTGTGTCATCTATAATGCCTTTCATCTGTGTTTTGTAGTTGCCCTTGTAGATATCTTTTACCTCCTTGGTTAAATGTATTCCTAGATTCTTTGTGTGTATTTGTGGTTATTATAAATAAAATTGAAATCTTGATTTGGTTCTCAGTTTGAATATTATGAGTGTATAGAAATGCTACTGAAATTTATATGTTGGTCTTGTATCCTGAAACTTTACTGAAGTCATTTATCAAGTCTAGGAGTCTTTGAGAGGAGGTGGGGATTTTTAGTTATAAGATTATGTCATCCATGAACAGACATAATTCGACTTCCTCTTTTCCAATTTGGATGCCTTTTATTTCTTTCTCTTTCCTGATTTCTCTGGCTAGGACTTCCAGTACTTTGTTGAATAGAAGTGGTGGGATTGGGCATCTTTGTCGTCTTCCTTTCTTAGGGGAAATGCTCTCAACTTTTCCTCATTTACTGTAATGTTGGCTGTGGACTTGCCATAGATGGTGTTTATTATTTTGTCATATGTTCCTTTGATGCCTAATTTGTTGAGGGTTGTCATCATAAAGGGATATTGGATTTTATTGAATACTTTTCTGCATCTATTAAAATGATTATATGGGTTTTGTTTTTAATTCCCTTTATGTGGTGAATCACATTTATTGATTTGCATATGTTGAATCATCCTTGTATCCCTGAAATAAAACCCACTTGATCATGATGTATTATGTTTTGATGTGCTGTTGGATTCAGTTTGCTAGTATTTTTTTGAGAATTTTTGCATCTATGTACATTAAGGATATTGGACAGTAGTTATCCCTTTTATTGTGGCCTTCCCTGATTTTGGTGTCTGGGTGATACTGGTTTCACAGGATAAGTTAGAGAGGAATCATTCCTCCTCAATTTTTTGAAATTATTTCAGAAAGATTGGTATCAGCTCTTCATTGTACATTTGATAAAATTCAACTGTGAATCTATTTTTTCCTGTGCTTATTTTTTGGGGGAAGGAAGGAGAATTTAATTACTGCTTCCATTTTGTTACTCATTTTTGGGAACTTCAGGATTTTTATTTCTTCCTGGCTCACTTTTGGGAGCTTGTATGTTTCCTGGAATGTATCCATTTTCTCTAGGTTTTCTAGTTTGTACACAAAGAGATGTTCATAGTAGTCTCTGATGACCTTTTGTATTTCTGTGATATTCATTGTAAAATCACCTTTACCGTTTCCGATTGTGCTTATTTGATGCCTCTCTCTTTTTCTTGGTTAATCTAGTGATTGGTCTATCAATTCTGTTTATCTTTTCAAAGAAACAACTTTTTATTTTGTTGATCCTTTGGATAACATTTTTGGTCTCAATTTCCTTTTGCTCTGCTGGGATCTTTGTTATTTCTTTTATTCTGCTAGCTTTGGGTTTGGTTTGGTTTTGTTTCTCTGGTTTTTTTTAGGTGCAATGTTAGGTTGTTAATTTGAGATCTTCCTATGTTTTTGATGTAGGCATTTAATGCTGTAAACTTTCCTCTTAGTACTGGTTTTGCTAAATCCCGAAGGTTTAGATAAGCTGTGTCTGTATTTTTATTCATTTAAAAAATTAATTCTTTTTTAATTTTATTGTTTACTCAAATATTATTCAGAAGCAAATTATTTAGTTTTCATGTATTTAGGTGGTTTTGATGGTTCCTTTTGGTATTGATTTCTAATCTTATTCTGCTGTGATCCAAGGAGATACTTGATATTATTTTTATTTTTTTAATTCATTGAGACTTGCTTTATGGCCAAGCATCTGGTTAATTTTGGAGATTGTTCTATGTGCAGATGAGGAAAATGTATATTATGTGATTTGTGGATGAAATGTTCTGTTAATGTCTATTAGGTCTATTTGCTCTAGAGTTCAGTTTAAGTCCAAAGTTGCTTTGTTGCTTTTCTACCTCAATGATCTGTCTAGTGCTCTCAATGGGTTGAGAAGAATAGAAGTCCCCTACTATTATTATGTTGCTGTCTGTTTTTTAGGTCTAACAGTATTTGTATTTTGCATCTACATGTTCCTGTGTTGGCTGCATATCTTTCATTTCAGAATTTCCATTTTGGTTAAGGTCTATTGCTAGAGAGCAAGTATAATACTTTGATAGTGTCATAACATTCAGTTTTTTCAAGGTGCCAGAGTTTTTATGCTGTTTCCTTCTCATCTGGAGAAGCTGACATCCTTGTTTTTGAATTAATTTTCATTTCAATGGAATTTTTTCCTTCCTTAGAGATGATTGCAGTGTTGAGTACAGTCTTTTGGCTTTGCTTCTATAGCCCTATGAACTTCTGTCAGCAGGTGTTATATTGAGTCGTGCAGTTCAGCCTCCATGCCAGTAAGGTGGTTCTTATGGGTAAAAGGTGGCTGTGACAAATGCAGATGGGTACGTACTTGATCATTATTTACTGTGTGCTCTCTGTTGTTTCAGGTGATGGGCTGGACATTGGAATGCCCAGTGCTTGAGCTTCCTGTTCAGTTTTAGCCGTGGGGAAGCTAGGCAGAGTTGGACCACCTGGCTTCCCCACAAATACTCTAATATTGAGCATGGGCACAATTCCTGATGGGAGTGGCTGGGGATCTCCTGCTGAAATGTGCCAAGGTCTCTGCAGGAGGTGAGATGGCCGCAGTAGCTTCACTTCTTAGACAGGCATGAATGTGATCTGTTTCTCTATTACATCCCTGTCCCAAGGCTCATGACTGTCAATTCAGACATACACTGTCATCTATCTCATGGCCACAATGTATCTGAGACCCGCGGAAAACACCTGTCCCATGGTTCTCCGTGGGAGTGACTTCAGGGTGGAACCTCTTCACTCAGCCCAATACACCATTCATCCCTTCCCTGCATCAGGGAGCCTCTCCCAGCTTCAGGCTGGTCCCATGTCTGCAGGCTGCCTGGCTTTGCTCTCCTCTGCTTTCCATGATTCCCATCACTTCTCTGTTGAATTCCATGTGCTCTCTTAGGTGATCTACTTGAAGTGTTAATATTTACTTGCTATCTTGATTTCTTTCTGTGAGAGAGGTGCTCACCAGCTGCTTCTAGTCAGCCATCTTGCACAAGGACCTTTGAATATTTTAGATAGTTGATTCACGTAGAGTTAAAGTGAGCAGCATTCTGAGCAGGCATTTTGTAAAATGAGTTAAGAATCAGGATTAGATTTTGTATTCATAGATATATAATATTATTAAATATTTAATGATAGTCCTGACACTAAGCCAGCAACACTGCTGAAAACAGCAGATGTCATGCTATGTTACACATCATTAAGGTCCAAATTAATTATGTGTGAATTCAAAAATAGATTTCCAGGGTCAGTTTCTGTGCCAAACAACTCACCACCAATCTAAGTTTGCTTAATACTTCTAAAATCCAAGAATTTTCAGTGACACCCTTTTAGAATGCATTATAGGCATTTTGAGGGAATTAATACAACTGTAATCTAATAGCAAATATATTTCAGACTATGTAGAAATTTCTCACCGTAAGTGATCCTTATCAAAACTATTAACCAACACATGATCAAACTATGTCTATTGAGTACATTTTTTTCTTTATAAACTTCTCTTTTAAGTTTGCTGTGTTTATTTATGAATCTTCTTATCTTCCTTGTGCCTTTAAAAAAATCAAAGTTACGGATATCAGATAAATAGTTCACATCAACATTTATGTGAGAGATAAGGATCCTGGTTGACTTATGAGGGAATGTGGATTAATTCTAGTCTTTCTAAATATGTTACTAAAGTTAAGGTTTGTGAGTGGAAGTATAAAAGCGGTTTGAGAAATTGTCACATTTGAACATAGTCATGAACACAGTCACTAAAAAAATTTAACAATTTAATTATACGTTTACATAAAGGACAGGACTAAGTCCCATGCTGGCTATTTTTTGCTTAAAATAATAATTTAATGGTTTTAACTTAGCATCTTCTCAACATATGCAAATCATTCTAATCTGCTATAGTGTATTCCCATGAACATTTGTTAACAGTAGGAGCTAAAGATTATAAAAATATTTGTTCTCATGGGATTGAATGACTTGAAGTGAAAACTACCCATAAGTGACCACGCTGCTGACTGGGTATTACAAAATGCACAAGGAAGAAAAGTAGGAAATGACAACCTAAATCTCCATACATTTGATGCAAATGGGAAAGGAAATTTGCAGCCACAGGGGTGACTCTCAAGACTAAATTAAAATAAATTTACACCAGAATTGTCTGTATTCCAAGACAGATAAAGAAAAATAAAAAACTCTTATATATCATGTGATGGAGAACTTATAAGTGGCAATATAGTAAAGCAGTGCAAATTTTGCAAAATTCCCTTTATCTTCATAGTGTAGCTATAATACTTCACATAATATCTAAATGTTTGTAATGAACTTTCTTTGCTCATGATTTGAGCTATAGATTTATTCATTTAGTCATTACAATAAGTCTATGAGGAGAGCTCTTTTGTGATTCAAACTCCATAAACGAGACAAATGAGAAAAGAAAAATAAGCAAAACAGGGAATCCACCTAACATGAGTATAGCATATCTACCATACTTAAACACCATGCTCTTTTGCCTGGTAAGCTTTGGAGTGCTTGGAATTGTACATGGGAGATATTTTATGTGTAGGTGGGATAAAATAATTTTCAAACTCTTCCAAGTATGACAACTGCCTTAATGCATGCCCTCTAAAGTTAATATTATCATTCAACAATAGCTTTGCACATTGTCTATTGTCCATTTGAAAGGATAAGTATGGAGATTTTATATCTTACTCATGCCATTTCTTAATTCTTTAAAACTTTATGTCACATAAAAAAATTGCAAATATAGTAAAGGCCTCAATTATGATTAATTTATCTGAAATAATTGAACATAATGATTTTTAATGTTTATAGATTTTTATTGATTTTCAAAATCTTCTCCTTGAGTTTTAAAAATCTAACCAAAAGAGATTTTAACTTGTTTTCAAAATATTTGACTCACTTTTACAGTAAACCTAATTATGTATCTCCTATTACTCTTTCTTTGAGTTTAGGAATATAGTTTATTTTATACTTCTAAGGAAAAAGTCAATTATACAGTAGATATTTAGTACATACTTAATTGAAAAATTGAATTAGCTTATTTTTTGTTTTCCAGTAAATTGTACTATTATGCCATATCAAATAATTCTTAATGGTAACCTAAAAGTGATCCTTGCTTGAATTGAAAAAAAAAAACTTTTAAAAATTGAATTAGAAAAGATTTGTCACTTTTCCCCCAAATATATCAAGTAATTCATTGTTTTGCAAATTTTTAAACTGACATGTTCCTTTTCCTGATCACCTAAGCCATTGGATATTATGACTTCAGAGAGACCAATGAATTCTGCACTTCCCTCACATTAAGTGTGTGTTTTTTTTTAAATTTATTTAAAGTTCTCTAGTTCCTTGTGAGAATTAGTTGCTGATGAAATATGAGTGATAAATTTCAGCTTTGACAACTGACTTTCTATGCTAACCCATGCTTTGTTCAAAGTAGTCATTCCATCTTAAAGAGTGCTTATTTGTTTCACTATGCTTTTCAAACTCAATCTTCTGTCATTTTTGCTAGTTGCATTCCAGATTTTAACTTTTCCAGCTCCCAGTTGTGTCTTTTTTAACTTTTACTCTAATTAGATTTTCAGTCATTGATGTCAATTGCATTTTTACTTGTATTAAGCTCTGTTCTTGCCTACCTTAGGACATTTTGTTTGTTTGTGTGGTTGTTTATCAAGTAGAAGCTTAAAAGCCTAGAAACCAAGCTCCTTCTATTGATGCAGCAGTCTGCTAATACTGGTCCCACCATAAAAGTTTGTGGGTGAATGAGCTGGTATCACGTACAAATGATTGAAGTGATCTCAGTGGCACTCTTTCATGTTCCTTCATGATACCTTTGTGTCATTCACTTATTAACATACTGAAAAAGTCATTTACTTTTTCTACTTCTCTTACTGTCTTACTTTCCTTTTTCTGATTTTGTTTTCATTCTTTTTTCTCTTCCTCCTCCAACTATACTTTTGGTTTTCTTCTGGCAGTCAGGGCTGAAAAGTTACTGATCTTGCTTTAACAATAGATCCCACCATTAAATGCTCTGCCTCCTGTTTTGAATAATCAAATAGAAATTTTAAGGTTTTCATGGAATTGTTGAGAAGCAAAACAATTTAACTTTGAATATTTGATATACCCTTTGACTTCCAGCGGACATAGCCAGAGTTTAGGCATTTTGCTTGCAAATAAAGCTGATGTATTCTTTCGAGCCATAGAACCATCCAAGTCACTTAAGGAAAGAATATATGACATTTTTGAAAAATAAAAGTAAGAAAGAAAAAGAAAAAAAGGAGAAAAATAACCCAACAACAGCATTTTGCTCATGTCTGCACAGGATCAAACAGCCTTATTTATTCAGTCTTAAAAAAAATAAAAATAAAACATTTGTGTTGCTTTCACAAAGACATATTTCATTGAGGGTGGTGTATTTTTAAAATGAATTTAGGATTATGTTAATGTGATTATTATCCTCAAAAGTGTCACTAGACTATAATTTAGAATAATGGAAGATGTGACTGCTGATATATATTCTATTCAAATAGAAAGATATGCCAATAAAATCATTTTTCTGCCCTTGAAAATATGTTTTGTAATCTCACAAATGTGGCTGACAAACTAACTTTGGAAGTTTGCAATAAAGGCATGGGTCTCAATAAAAACATTTCTGTTCTTTTTTTCTCCCTATAATACCTTTCTATTTTCCAGATGTTTGTGACTTTGTTTGTTCATGCTTCTCCACCAAAGGAAGTAGTTTTCTCTTATGTACACAGTGTCATTTTCAAGGTCTTTAATTTGCCTTCTGCATTGGTCACAGTCACCTTGCACCAATGTGATGTTGGAGCGTTCTAGTGTAATGTGTAGGCTATTAAAATGAAGCAATCAGGGGGAACTGGTTTCAAGTCCAGGAGAAGAAGTGATGAAAATTATATGCAACTAATGCTTTTGCTATTTGAAGTGACTATAAAAGATAATGGATATGCCAGCAAACAGTTAGATCAGCAGTGCAAAGAAAAAAAAATGCAATAGAGGAAAAAATTTCAATATAAAGCAATTGTTAAAGAGAAAAAATCTCCTCAGTTGATTCTTTGGAAACATTTCCCCCTACATACCCAAGTATGACTTGAATGTATTATTTTTCAAATTTTGTCAAACTGATTATTAAACTTATAAGTATATAAATTATTTGGAATATTTTTAAAACTAATCTAAATTAATAATGGGAAAAGTCAAGCCTCTAAATGATAGAAAGTGTTTTACATAATTAAAATATTCTACCTTTTATTTGAGTGTTCTAGAATTTACATAAGCTTTCATTTTGTCTGTGTGCTATGTGCTGTGTGCTTCGGAAATCCTTGTTAAAAAACTGAATAGGCCGGGTGCTGTGGCTCACGCCTGTAATCCTAGCACTTTGGGAGGCTGAGGGGGCTGGATCATGAGATCAGGAGATGGAGACCATCCTGGCCAACATGGTGAAACCTTGTCTCTGCTAAAATACAGAAAAAATAGCTGGGCATGGTGGCACACGCCTGTAGTCCCAGCTACTCGGGAGGCTGAGGCAGGGGAATCGCTTGAACCCAGGAAGTGAAGGTTGCAGTGAGCCAAGATCGCACCACTGCACCCCAGCCTAGTGGCAGAGCAACACTCTGTAAAAACAAAAACAAAAAAAAACAAAAAACAAACAAAAAAAAACTGAATAAAGAAGCAGTTACAAATGATAAAGAGGAAATGAGAGATTGCTTTTTTTTTTTTTTTTGCAATATATTAACTTCATTGTCTTAAATGCTTAGAAAATCTGGTTTTAACCACAGTTTCTCATTTACATTAGGAGAAAAGAAAAAGACAGTTTACAACTAAATATCATCATTTCAGAGTACTGTGCTTAGAGAAGAATCAAGAAAATAATTTCTATGTTCACCCTCTGCCTCAGCGCTTTGGTGATTCTCCTTAACACGTGTTTACAATTCCCTTGTGAAAAATAAAGCTGAATTTAACAATGTGAAGAATTCAGTTTCACATTTTGCAAAGTATGAAAAGTGTTCCACAAATGAACTGCATTGCTAGTTTATGTTTCCTGAATGAAAGTGTAGGTGATTGATGATGAAATGAACTAACAATTTCAAAGTAAGTGTATATAATGGAGAGACTTGGAACATGGCTGTGTTCTCACCAATGTGTAACTAACTGCCTGGGGATAATACAGAAATTGCCTTTTGCTTGATAGTATAAATTTTAAATCAATCTCTCTCATTTAATCAGAAGAAGAGAGGCTGGTCTGGCTCCTGCCACAGCCCTTATATTTGTTATTAACTTTGCTCATAGAATTTATGATTTATTTATTTTTTAATAACCAACTTACACAGCAGACACTGATGGATCAGCTATGATTTAGGTTTTGGAAGAGTTTCAGCCTATATTTTACACAAGATTACATATCTTTAGAAACGTCATATCATTTTCAAAATCATCCACAAATGTTATAAAATGAAATAATTTATAAAATGTTATAAATTAAATTATACGTGTTATAAATTAGCCACATTTAGAAAATATAATTACTTAATGAAATATAATATTCACCTATGTAAAGAAAATATATTAAATATAAACTGAAAGATGTGTAATTTATATAGTGTGAGTACAATATAAGGGGTTTCTGAATTGTGCATTACTTAAATTCTCTTTCTCATGCCAGGTACATTATTTCATTTCCTTCATGAATTTCCTGGACACACTCAAAGTTAGACTTACCCTCTGTAGACCTCCACTAGAGAGGACCAGTCCAGAACTTCCTCTTATATGACCCAACCTCTAATGCCATTTCCTCTTTCTTTCTTTCTTTTTTTTTTTTTTTTTGAGACAGAGTCTCGCTCTGTCGCCCAGGCTGGAGTGCAAGTGGCACAATCTTGACTCACTGCAAGCTCCACCTCCCGGGTTCACGCCATTCTCCTGCCTCAGCCTCCCGAGTAGCTGGGATTACAGGCTCCTGCCACCATGCCCGGTTAATTTTTTGTATTTTTAGTAGAGACGGGGTTTCACCTTGTTGGCCAGGATGGTCTCGATCTCCTGACCTTGCGATCCACCTGCCTCGGCCTCCCAGAGTGCTGGGATTACAGGTGTGAGGCCATTTCCTCTTTCTCTGAATTTCATCGCTATCTATTTGGAATCATTGGGCCCAAACTAATTATAACCTTTATCACTGTTTTCTATCTGTATAAATTTAAGGGTAATAAGTCCAATTTTGTTAAGGGGTTGTATTAGTCCATTTTCGTGCTGCTGATAAAGACATACCTGAGACTGGGAAATTTACAAAAGAAAAGAGGTTTAATGGACTTACAGTTCCATGTGGCTGGGGAAGCCTCACAATCATGGTGGGAGGTGGAAATCACATCTCACATGGCAGCAGACAAGAGAGGAGAGCTTGTGCAGGGAAACTCCCCTTTGTAAAACCATCAGATCTTGTGATACTTATTTACTATCACGAGAACAGCATGGGAAAGACCTGCTTTCATGATTCAATTACCTCCCACCAGGTCTCTCCAATAACACATGGGAATTCAAGATGAAATTTGGGTGGGGACACAGCCAAACCAGATCATGGGTGACGTCTGGGCTCCTAGCATATTCAAACTGGGATGATGTACATCGTATCCACTAAGTAATTTCTCATAATCTGCTCCCTCACAGACCCCCAACCTTCTGAATATACGGTATCATTTCATACTTTATGTCCATGTGTTACTTGGCATCTGCCTATAAGTGAGAACATGCAGTATTTGTCTTGCTGTGTCTGACTTTTTTCTTTAGATAATGGTCTCCAGGTACATCCATGTCGCTGCAAAAGACATTATTTCATTCTTTTTTATGGCTGAACAGTATTCCATTGTATACCACATTTTCTTTATCCAGTCATCCATTGACGGACCTTAGGCTGAGCCCATATCTTTGCTATTGTAAATAGGGCTGTGATAAAAATATAAGTGCAGATAACTTTTTGATATAATGACTTATTTTCCTTTGGGTAAATACCCAGCAGTGGGATTACTGGATCAAATAGTAGTTTAATTTTTAGTTCTCTGAGAACTCTTCATACTTCTTTCCATAGAGGTTATACTAGTTTACATACCCACCTACCTGACTTCAACTGCAAGCCTATAGTAACCAAAACGCCATGGTACTGATATAAAAATGGATACATAGATCAACATAATAAAATAGAGAACCCAGAAATAAGTTGCATACTTGCAGCCAACTGATTTTTGACAAAATCAAAAAACCGTACACTAGGAAAGGACACCTTATCAACAAATGATGCTGAGAAAATTGGATTGCCATATGAGAATAATTAAACTTTGTCTCTTTTTATATTAATCACCAGCAATCTCAGGTCTCCAGGTTATTCCTCATACCCCAGATTCTAATTCCTCTTTTCTATCTATTTTTTCTCCCTTTCCCAACTCTTGAAGCCTTTCTATTTTTTGGTCTCTAGACCTCACTATATTCTCAAACTTTTCTGAATATTCCTGCCATTTTCCTGCTCTACTGCCCTCTGGCTTCTCACACAGCTCACGTACCTGCTGTTTGTCTCCTTTCTTACCACCTCTAACTACTGGGCCTGGAGATGTAGTAGATATTCATCTTATTCTAATTGTCAATTCTAATATATTATCTTCTCTTTCTCTCTAAAGACCCTAAGTTCAAATGACACAAGTCATTTGCTCCTCATCCCTTGAAGATTTGACACCTGACTCACAATTACTGTCTTTAAAACTACTCCTCTACTTTTTTCTGTTGATATCAAATCACGAAGATAATTTTCTTCATATATTGGCCCCTTAATTTCCAAGATAATTTTTTCTAACTCCACCACAGTCACTCACTACCATATTCATATTGTAAACATTGTCTTTACTAATCAAAGTAACCCAACCCCATAGTCTCTGTTTCAAACCTACCACTCTCCAGTCATCACTTTCTATCTTTGCAGCTCAAGCTCTCTAGTCCTCCTCCCCATTTCTTCCGCCCCATCCAGAATTACAATCCATTTATCTTACTGAATTTTCACAAGCACTCACACTATTCATGTCATTATCCCGTTTCTATAGCTTGAAATTTATAATCAAATTTAAAATCCCTCACTTGCCTATCCTCTCAACTGTCTTGCCACTTTCCCATTCTTCCCCTTTTAATAACCCCCTGGTCCTTAATAAAACTCAATTCTCAACCTATTTCTTCTCTTTATCCATGGATGGAGAAAAGCAGTGGTCATGCAAACTGGTCACATTTGTTGATATTTAAGAGCTTCCCTTAAAATGGTCTGCAATGCTTTCTGAACACACAGGACAATTCTCTAGGCCATTTAATCTCTTACCCTTCCAGATAAGTATTTCATTTATTCCCTTTTCTTTTTAAATCTCAAAAGACTTGTCTTGGTCCATTTGGACTGCTGTAATAAAATACTATATGCTGGGTGGCTTATAAACAACAGAAATTTATTGTTCACAATTCTGAAGACTGAGAAGTTCATGATCAAGGCACTGACCGATTTGGTTTTTGATAAGGGCCAACTTTTCAGTTCCTAGAAGGTGCCTCCTTGATGCTTTTTCATTGGAGGAAAGGGCCACCAAGTTCCCTTGGGCCTCTTTTATAAAGCCTCTAATCCCATACATGAGAGTGCCATTTTGCCATCTTCCTGCCTAATCACCAGCCAAAAGCCCCACCTCCTGAGACCATCACCTTGGGAATTAGGATTCCAACACATGAATTCGAGGGGGGACACAAACATTCAGAACATAGTGCCACCACACATTCACTCAATGGAAATTATTGATTCTCATTTCACTGGGAAAATAGAAGCAATCAAAAGATAATTTTCACAAATTCCTATTACTATATTTACCGACTTACCTGCACCTCTTTTCTCTTCTGTTGCTGTGACTAAACTTTGTCCTTGGAAAAAACCTGCTTCCCAGTGGTGAACCATAATCCACTACCTCTTGCCTGCTCAAGATTTGCTTCCTCAAATATCCTCATTCTCTCCTGAATTATAATTTGTCCTTGTCTTTCTATCATATCCTCTCCTTTACCATATTAATATGCAATATTTCTCTCATTTTAAAAGTTCTTTGATTCCTTTCTCCAACCTATTTCTCTATTTTGTATTACATTTAATTTATTGGCTCCCTCAACTTTCTATTTTTTAATTCTCCCCTAAAGCCATTACAAACTGGATCCCTGCCCTCACAAATATAATGAAAGTAATCTACTCTTACTGAAGTCACCAATGACCCCATGTTGCTAAATCCAAGGGTCATTTTTATTCAATTATCATTATGTTTAACCTTTGAAGGAATATGAGATGCAATAAATCACTTCTTTATTAAAAATATTTCTTTAATTTCTTCATCATGCAGAGCCTCAGAGCTCTGTTCTTGTACTTCTCATTTTAAAATATCTGCTCACATCAACTAGTCTCAACACACATCTATTAATATATATTGATAACCCTCAAATTTGCATCTCAGCCCCTGCCTTTGCCTGCCACTTCAGACTCATGTAGCCTAATGATTTCTTGAATTTCAAATTAGCTTCCAACACTGAATATCTACAAAATTCCTGTAAGTCCTATTTTGTCCAAATCATTCCCCAGATCTATTAATAGCAATGCCTTTACAGTTATTCAAAACAAAAACTTTGGTCTCATCTTTGATTTTCTTTTCACTCACATCCTACATCCAATTTATTTCTAAATTATGCTGACTTTATTTTTGTAGAATATCAAAAATCTAACTCTTTTTACCACTTCCACCATGGTATATGTCATCTTTCTTTTCTCACATGGGCAATTGAAATAACTTTCTAACAAGTGTCTTTGATTCAATCCTCAATTCCCTTGAATCTATTTTTCCAGCAGCCAGAGTTTTTCTTTTAAAATATGTGGCATGTTATATCTCTGCACTGCCCAAAATTCTCTAATAGTTTTCAATTTTCCTCAGAGTAACCTAGTCTACAAGGCCCTACTGTATCTAATATCATCACCAGAGTTCAACACTCCCCTCTCAGTAATCAATAGAACAAGATGACAGAAAATCAGTAAGGATATAGAAGACCTGAACAACACTATTGGACAACTTAACCTAATTGACATTTATAGGACACTTCCCCCAAGAAAAGCAAATATTCATTCATTTCAAGTTTACACTGAACAGTCACCAAGATAAACCATACTCTGGCTCATAAAACAAATCTTAAGAAATTTGAAAGAATTGAAATATGTTCTCAGGTAGTAGTGGAATTCAACTAGAAATAAACAACAGAAAGATATCTGTAAAACCCTTCAGTATTTGAAAATCAAATAACATATTTCCAAGTAATCCATGAATATAAGAGGAAGTCACACGGGAGATTAAAATATTTTTAATTGCATAAAGAAAACAACATACTGAAGTTTAGGAGATGCAGCTAAAAGAGAGCATAGAGAGGCCTGGCGCGGTGGCTCACGCCTGTAATCCCAGCACTTTGGGAGGCCGAGGCAGGCAGATCACGAGGTCAGGAGATCAAGACCATCCTGGCTAACATGGTTAAACCCCGTCTCTACTAAAAATACAACAAATTAGCCAGGCGTGGTGGCGGGCGCCTGTAGTCCCAGCTACTCAGGAGGCTGAGGCAGGAGAATGGTGTGAACCCAGGAGGCAGAACTTGCAGTGAGCCGAGATCGTGTCACTGCACTCCAGCCTGGGCAACAGAGCGAGACTCCGTCTCAAAAAAAAAGAGAGCATAGAGAGAAATCTAAATGTTTATATTGTAAAAGTGTCTCAAATCAATGACTAATCTTCCACCTTAATAAACTAGAAAAAGAAGAACAATTCAAGTCCAAAGAAGTACGAGGGAAGTGCATAATCAAGAACAGAAACCAACAAAAATAAGAGCAAAAAAAAAAAAAGAAAAGAAAATCAGTGAAAACAGAAGGTAGTTACATAAAAATACAAATAACATTGATTAGCTTCTAGAAAAGCAGACAAGAAAAATGAAAAGAGAAGACAAAGGTTTCAAATATCAGGAATGAAAGAGGGGATACCGCCACAGGCTTTAGAGGCATTAATACAATAACAATGGAATATTCTGAAAAAACCCTCTGATCACAAATTCAAATAACTAGATGAAATAGCTCAATCTCTTGAATGACACAAATTACCCATAGGTATTCAAAAAGAAATAGTTAATCTGAACTATCCTACGTCAATGAAAGAAGTTACAATTATAGTTAAAACCCTCTCAGTAAGGAAAATTCCAGTCCCACATGACTACTGTGGCATAGCACAGACACAGACCAACAGAATAGATAGGGATTCCAGAAATAGAATCACACATATATGGCAAATTACCTTTTGGAAAAAGTTAATTCAATGCAGAAAATATTGTTTTTTAACAAATGGCACTACAAAAATTGGATATCAACAAACAAAACAAAAGAAAGACTGAAAAAAAGGAGAGAAGGATAGAAGAAAGAGGGAGGTAAAGAGAAACGGAGGAGGGCCTAGAAAAACGAAATAAAAGCTTCAAACTACACTTTTCACCATATACAAAAGTTAACTCAAAATAGACAATAGATGTAGTAAAACTAAAAGATTCCAGAAGAAAACATAGGAGAAAAATCTTTGTGATCTTTGATTAAGCAAAGATTTCTTGGATAAGATAACAAAATCACAATTCACTCAAACATTGGTAAGTTGGACTTTATCAAAATTAGTAAATTTTGCTCTAAAAAAATTTTAAGAGTTCCGAAGAACTCTCAAAATTTATTATTAAGAAAACCAACAACCTAATTTTTTAATGTGTGCAAAGAATTCAATAGACATCTCTCACAGACAAAAAGTTAATTATATGAAAAAATGTTTGACATCTTCAGTCACTAGGGAAATGCAAGCTAAAAGCACAATGATCTGCCATTATTGACCTATTAAAACATCTAAATTTAAACAAACTGGCAATAGCAAACAATAGTGAGTGTGTAGGGCAATTGGAACTGCTGTACTTTACTGGTGGTAATAAAAAATGATACAATGACTATAGAGAACAGTTTGGAGTTTCTTATAAAATAAAACATACTTAATATGTGCCCAGTAATTTATTCCACCTGTAAGATTCCACCCAAGTTGAAATAAAAACATATTTATATTAAAAACTATACATAAATATTTCTAACACCTTTATGTGTAATTCCAAAGGTAAAAACAATAAACTTGTCCCTCAACTAGGGAATCAATAAGCAAACTATGGTATATCTGTACAACAGAATTCTACCCAGCTATGAAAAGAGCAGTTTAGTGATTTGTGAAACAACATGTATAGATCTCAAATGCATTATGTCAAGTGAGAGAAGGCAGTCCCCAAAAGCTGTATATTGTATGATTAATTTATATTATATTCTGGAATAGGAAAAACTATAGGGGCACGATACAAATCACTGATGCTAGGGCATGAAGATTGAGGAGCAAATTGACTAGTGCATAGGGAAATTTTGAGGGGGTGACACTACAGTTCTATATATTGATTTTGATGATGGTTACATGATTTTATGCATTTCTCAGAGATCACAGAACTGTATGCTAAAAACAGTGAGTTCTACTGTACATGAAGGATATCAAATTGTTAAAAGGAAGCTATGCAAATAGCAAATAAGCATATGACAACTGATTGAACATCATTAGTCTTCAAATTATGTAAATTAAAACCACACTGAAAAACTTTATACACTCTTGATTAGGTAAAAGTTAAAAATGGACAACACTAAATTGGTTGAAAATGTGGAGCGACTGGAACTCTCAGACACTGCTGGTAGAGATAAAATATTATTTGGCTGCTTCTTATAAAGATAATATATTTGTCCTCTATCTAAACAATTACTCTCTTAACTATTTACCCAAAATAAGTGAAAATATGTCCAGAGAAATTGTACAAGAATATTAATATCTGTGTATTAAAGGAGTGTTATAACGTAAATTATGGGACATTAATAAATAGATAATACTTTAATAATAAAAGGAAAATGTTGTACATGTAACAACATCAAGAATTTCAAAAACATCGAGGTGAGAGAAAGACGTTAGACTTAGACGTATATCCTGTATTATTCTATTTATATGAAGTTAAAAAAATCCAATCTATATGGTAATTCAAAGTTTGGATGCCTGTGGAGTAGAAATTGACTGGGAGGAGACACCAGAGGACTTTGTAGAGTGATGGAATTATTCTAGGTTGTGATCGAGTTGTTATTACATGGGTGTATTTGATACATGTATTTGATACATGTATCAAATTATACATTTCACAGTAATTAAATTTTATCTCAATTAAAAAAAGAAAAAGCTTGCTTGGAAGGTTTGCAATTTTTTTTTTTTTTTCTAAGAAGCTTTCCCAGCCTGCTCAGCCTGCAGCAATAAAGTGGTTGGTTCTGAAGAGCTTGCTGGGAAGGCAGTGTAAAGCTTTTGCCAGCCTGCTCATCTGACTGCAGAGGCTACCCCCAAACAATAATAGCTTCCTCTTTACTTCTGACTGCTGTACCTCATGCAACTTCTCTTACTGGCAAATTCTAACCTGGAACTACAAAGACAAAGGAATCTCACTAACAGAAAAGAGTGATAGTGATCCCACATTCATAACAGACAAGTACTCAGGGTAATGTAGTACAAATGCAAGAAAATTCATTGAAGCCATTTGTGAAAAATTATGTAGCCAAAATAAGCAATCAGCTGTTCTAGTTTTGTTTTTCTTTTATCAAGTAGTTTTTTTCTGGTATTGTTATATTCCAAGCAATTAATATTTTTAGTTTTTCATAATTAATTATATAATAGAAAGACTTTAACTCTATTCCCTTTTGCAATTCCACTAAAATGACAGTAAGATATCTATTTTTTAAAGTATTCAACTAGAGAGATTAGAACAAGAGATGTCAACAGATTTTTGGAAGTTATAAATTGATTAGGTTAGTAGTAATTATGAGAGCAGATATAATAGAAATTTAAGTAGCTCAGGACTCAGAACATGATGCCCCCAAAATATGGCATATTGACATACTGAGTATTGAAAACTGAAAACAAATTGAGAAAAACACAGGAGCAGAAAGGTCCCTCTCTGACCTTCTCCCACGTTTTTTCCTCTGACACATCGTCATACAAGTCTCTCTTAACTACTCGCCTTGAAAATAGGTCCTAAGATCCTCATTCCAGAGGTAATCTGCTCTATACCCAGAAGCCAAGAAGAATCTGAAAAAACAGGCCTTACAAAGTTCTCTCAATTTATTATTTCTGTTTATTTGTTTTTATTATTTATTATTGTTTTATTTAAATTTATGTTAAATTTATCATTATTTTTATTTATCATTATTTGTCTCCAATCACACTCCTGCATGATTGTCTGTAACAAAACACAATTTCCCCTGAGTCTTTGAGTCTTCATTTTTGAAGCCTCTTTGTCTCATAAAAACGTATATTAAGTAAAGTGATATGCTTTTCTCTTGTTAATCTTTCTTTTGTTATAGGGGTGTCAGACTTAAACCTTGTGATGGGTGAGGAAAATATATTACTTTCTTCCCCTTACATGTCTAAAAGAAACAAGTTGATGCGCACTGCAGAATTCTACAAACCTCAAGAAGTAGAAGCCTTCTCTGAAGGCAGGCGAGCAGGGGAGCTGATGTTGGGAAGTCTATTTGAAAAGCTGCATAGGTGGCTCACGCCTGTAATCCTAGCACTTTGGGAGGCCGAGGCAGGCAGATTACAAGGTTAGAAAATCGAGACCATCCTGGCCAACCTGGTGAAACCCCATCCCTACTAAAAATACAAAAATTAGCTGGGCTAGGTGGCGCGTGCCTGTAATTCCAGCTATTCAGGAGGCTGAGGCAGGAGAATCGCTTGAACCAGGGAGTTGGAGGTTGCAGTGAGCCGAGATGGTGCCTCTGCACTGCAGCCTGGCTACAGAGTGAGTCTCCTTATCAAAGAAAAGGAAGGGGAGGGGAGGGGAGGGGAGGGGAGGGGAGGGGAGGGGAGGGAAGGGAAGGGAAGGGAAGGGAAGGGAAGGGAAGGGAAGGGAAAAAGAAAGAAAGAAAAGCTGCAAAGGAAGCCAGCAGATTACTAGGGGTCCTCCCTCACTACCCTCAACTGGGAGAGTACCTTCATACACTCTGGCATTAAAGATGATGTGTATTCTCTGGAGGAATGTAATAGAAAGCTCTGTACTAAGAAAAGAAAGGAATAGATGGAGGCAGAGTGTTGCAACCTAGGTCTTTGCTACTCAAATTATGTTCCATGGACTAGCAGAATTAATGATTCCTGAGACCTTGTTAGAAATTCAGAAACTCAAATTCTACACTAGGTATCTGGAATCAGAATCTGTATTTTACCATATATTTGTATGTGCATTGTTTAAGAAGCACTGACTATTCATTTACTAAATGTGCAACGTCAGCCAGCACTGAGCAAGGCTTGCCCTGAGCAAGGACCTACAGGTGCTGACACTTTGAGAAAATGTCTGTGCCATAGATAGCTAGCTGCCAACAAAATTAATACTCTTCCACCACATAGAGTTGTCATTGGAAACCAGTTGCCTAGGCTGAGACTGCATTTCCTATCTCAATTTGTACTAAATGTATAACCTTGAACTATTCTGGCCATTGTAGTT
Source organism: Homo sapiens (assembly GCF_000001405.40). Lineage (NCBI taxonomy): Eukaryota > Metazoa > Chordata > Mammalia > Primates > Hominidae > Homo > Homo sapiens. Next base: position 125,199,850 of record NC_000007.14, on the reverse strand, counting down.
TGAACAGATGTGTGTCAGTTCCAGGCCCAGGATGGAAAAAGTAGTACGCCCTCTTCTAAGTGCTCTTTCCCTTTTTGCCATACAGGTATTACAACACCCTGTGGCCAGTAGGATTGCAAGATGAAGAAAGTCTGTTTTTGAATCTCTAAAGAGAGAACATTAATCCATTAACCACAGAAGTGAATAGTAAAACATTTCTGTTGCATTTAAGCTTTTACACATTTAGGATCTATTTGTTTATGAAAGCTGGCCTTGCTTTATCCAATACCAACTCTCAAACAAATAAATGGGTATGCATCTGATCACCTCACGGTGAAGCTGAGCAGTTGTTAAGCTGAGTTCTATACAAAGTTTTCCATTTTCATTTTAATGCCCCACTCTCAAGTATGAATGAATAGCTAGCATGACTGAATATTTGCGGAAAGTCTCCAAAGCCTCTAAAAGACTATTAATAAGTATATAGAAAACCAGGCAAAGGGCAAAACAAGGGGCCATTAACACCATCAAGAAAAGCCAAAAAATTATACAGGAAAGAAAATGCAATCAGAGCATATTACAAGATTGATGTGATATCTACAAAGTCACTGTAATATAAACATTGGTTTGACAAATAATTGTAATATAACTATACTGGGAAAGAGAGGGAGGAGAGTGTGAGGAGCAAGGGATACAAGAGAGAAATCCTTGTCTTCAAACTAAAATTGTATTTTGTCTGCATTTTTAAAAATCAAGAAGTAGCAAGTATTTTATGTATGATACAGAAGTAAATACGAGAAGATGCAAAGAGTTGAAAATGTCAGGTTCTGCAGATTCTGGGGTGAAGAGAAATGGAAAAGGGTGAATGCAGTCTTGAGGTTCTAAGACTTTGGGGGCATTTTAACTCTTTAAATTCTGTACATGAATAACAGAAAATTAAAAAATAAAATAATGCGAGTAATTTTTTCTTATGTAACTCAATCTATCTCTTAATACTTTATTTATAATAATACGTTATTCGAGTTAGTTAATTCTACAATTCTACAATGCTATCTCATTCTACCTACCACCAAATTTTGTCAGTTTGTTCAATCTGAAGATGAGGGTCTATGTTTCTTTGAAAAGCATGTTTGTTAAATTTGCTAATAAATAGTTACACTAAAGACAGACATGGAACTGAGGAGCCATCATTTATTCCATTAAAAATAATATTTTACCCTAAGTATTTTGTAAGTTGCCTCTAAAACAATGCATTTGATTTTCCAGTTAAATTATTAAAGCCTTAAATAATGAACTTGCTTTTGTTAATACACTATGACTATTAGAGAAGGTAAGAGTTTATAGAAATTAAATAAGAATAAAATTTCACCATGTCAAACCCTAAAGACTGTGCCTGTAAATCATATGTGTCACTTTGAACCATTACAAATAATCTTCAGTGATGTAGCTTCAAATCAAAATTAGAAAATATTAATTAACTGAAATAGGAAATATCAGATGTAAAACACCAGTGGAGTCTCCCTCTGATTCCCTGGGAAATTACTGCTCAATTCCTTAGAAAATACAAACTTAATCCATGCATAAATACCAAAGTCAAAGCTACATGCCAGGAAAGATGACAGGAATAAACCCACGATTGGACAGGCTGAATTAGAAGACCTCAGTCTTAAAATAGCTTAATTCCTAACTAGAAGTGAAATGTCAAGTGAAAATACTCAACGTAATTGATAGATTTGTTGTCCAATAGCCAATAAGTATTTAAGAAAAAAATTCCTTGTGATCACTTTACATTTATGACTTAATATGTTTTCACCAAAATTATCAGCAATATGCAAAGTGCTCCTACTAGTGTGGAATACAGATCTCAGAAAGATTAACGGCCACATGTGTAGTTCCATTACTGTGATTTCGACATAAATTATAAAAGGAACATTATTTCTCGACTTCAGTCTGATCACAGAGGCTAAACACAGATACAGGTTCAGAGATAGAAAGCAAGCTGAGAGTGATTCACTTCACCCTTATATTTTTAAAGACTGCAGCTTCACAAAACAAAGCCCTCTCATGCAGTAATTATATTATGTCACTTTACATAATAATATATCTTCCAGTCTACTTCTGTTTTCGAAATCACCTGGGGATTGCAAATTGTTCTTGCAATTATCTGATTTTCTGTCTAACTGGGACAGTGTTTCTCAAACTGTGAGGCTGATCACACTGGAGAGACTTCAATCTTTTCATGGGGGTATGAAAATCAACCCAAAGAAGAGGGTGTTATATTTCTCTGCTCACTAATTATTTTCACTAATGACTGAGAAAGCAAAATCATTTCATTAGGAATTTTTTTTATATTAGTACTTTTTTAATGAAGTATATAATTTCTCTTCCATATTGTGTCATCAAAATATATTTACATGTTTCATTTGCATTCATACATTAAAGAGTAAAAGATGTGGCTGGCGGCAGTGGCTCACACCTGTAATCCCAGCACTTTGAGAGGCCAAGGCAGGTGGGATAGCTTGAGGCCAGGAGTACTAGACCAGCGTGGCCAACATGGGGAAACCCCGTCTCTACCAAAAATGAAAAAATAAATAAAACTAATAAAAAATATTGGGAGGGCATGGTGGCAAATGTCTGTAGTCCCAGCTACTCAGGAGGCTGAGACATGAGAATCGCTTGAACCCAGAAGGTGGAGGTTGCAGTGAGCAGAGATCAAACCACTGCACTCCTGCCTAGGTGATGAAGCGAGACTCGGTCTCAAAAAAAAAAAAAAAAAAAGTAAAAGATGTAATTAATTTCAGTCATCAGATAATGATTTTATTTGTATTTTAGAATAGGAAAAAATACAAAAATTTCAAGGACTGAAAAAATAAGGGTCCTACTTGCTTTTTAACGTATCCTAACATACTCAATGGAAATGTTGACAATTGTATCATTTCTGAAATATCATAATACTCTAATTTCTCTTTGACTCTATGATTAATTTTTGACCCTTCTAATTTATGATATGCCCCTTACAAAGTGTATTAAAATATTGCAGAGTATTTTCTATGTCAATAATTTTAGAATGACATCATGGAAAAGCTATTTGTTTACATTCTAGTCCCTGATGAGACAGAGAGCACAGCTGTAAGTAACAGTGCCACTGAAGAGTGAATTTTCCCCAAGTCCGTGTACTATGCAGGTGAGAAGCCCTCACAGCTCAATAGTTGATCTACTCTCCAGAAGAGGCATAGCCAATTCTTTACTATTTGCAAGTAGAATATACATAGATAAAAACATAGAAATTATGGCTTATCTCTACCTTATTTAGCCAGAAGCCTAGCTTTCATAGCCTTTTGAGCTATCTTTACAATTTAAAAAATTCTCTTAATACCGCCTTCATTCTACATTTTTATGGAATAAATATTTTTCTATTTGTTTATGCAAAATGATCTTTCTTTTTTACTCAACCTGGTCTCCAAAGATAATCAAGAAAGTAGCGAAATATAGAGATAATCATCATATAACCATTGCTGACATTTTAAAATAGTTCCTACTAATAATTTTGACATCATATATTATGAAAAGAAAATAATTTTATCTATAATCTTAAAACCTGTTTTATGTTCTGCTTAACATTATTTTCTATAAACTTTTAAAATAAATTTTTGAATATGCATGCATTTCAAAAGTATATCATATATACCAAAGTTTTCATAGCCAGGCTGGGAGAATACTAAACAGTTAATGCAATTGGCTTACCTTGTTCAAAGATATATTAACTGAAAAGACTACTAATTAAGAGACAAAGGAGCTCTGCTCATATTATGTGTCAGTCTAATTACATACATTTGTTTCTATAGAGGAAAAACGAATTAAAAAATCAAATAAAATGGCATTACATTGAAATGCCAAGGTTACTGAACCAAACATACTCAGCTGTATTCACAGACCAGGCAGAAGATATTAATAAATGAATAAAACATGTTTTATTTAATACAATAGCAATTGGTGAGAACTACAGCAGGTGGGAGAATATGTATCCTGACTATAGCCAATCAAATAGAAATTGTCAAACAATGTGTTTCTAATAACCTGTCAACAGGCTTCTAGTTGATAACCTCTGGACATCTAGTGTGATGTTTTAAATTGTTCTTGAAGAGTATTTCAGAACATCAGATCTAATTGTGTATAATTATGATAATACTATCCATAGACAAATATAAGAGTTAAATCATTTCATTTTTTGCAATGCCTGTGGCTTTCATTTTCATGAATTCTCTTCTGTGACATCTTCTACTCAACAAGATACATTTATTTACACATCTGCTACATAACCATTCACAAACACTCAATAATCACCATACACTAGAAAGTTTTGTACAATCTCAAATGTTCTATGTTTTTATCTCTGAGCTGTGGAGCCCTGTAAGACTTAGTTTCTCCTACACATTTTCCTCAGACTGCGTGTCATTTGAGTGCTATGTGCTAAGATTATTCACTGCCTAGATATGCTGTTCATTTGGTTCTCACTATTAAAAGGCAGTGCTATAAACTACTTCTCACCCAGAAAACACTGCCAAGGCTGTCAAACTAGCCAAGAACTGTTCCAGAGGAAAAATGTATATACTATTTAAAAGTTAAACCAACAAAAATGACTCAATGAAAAGAAGTAGGACTATGCATATGCCTGTTAAAAATAAAAAATAGCAACCTGAGTTGCAACTTTGACATTTATACATTTTAACCTAAAGTCCCAGAATATTCTGACCACCGAAGAACATGTTTTTCTAATAGAATTTACTTACATGAGTGTGTTTGATGATAACTGTGAACAAATTCTATGTATGGCATTGAATAAAAATCATAAATTTTGATATAAAGCAGACCTTGATTAAATTCTCATTGAACCAGTTAAATAACTTCAGAAACTCTCAGGACATATCTGAAAGATAAAGAGAGAAATTTCTACTGGAAATAGTCGTTTTGAATATTTGAAATAAGTATTCAGTTTTAGGCTCATTTTTGTACCTCTTGTGCTGCAAACTGGTTGTCCTTTCAGACACTATGCTTGTGATGCTATGAAGAAATAACTGAGACTGATTAATTTATAAAGAGGTTCAATTGACTCACAGTTCCACATGGCTGGGGAGGACTCAGGAAATGTACAATCGTGGTGGAAGGAGAAGCAAACACTTCCTTCTTCACATGGAGGCAGGAGAGAGTAGTGCTGGGAAAAGGGGGGAAAGCCCCTTATAAAGCCATCAGATCTTGTGAGAACTCACTCAAAATAGCATGGGGATAACTCCCCACCCCCGTGATTCAATTACCTCCCATCAGGTCCCTCCCACAACATGTGGAGATTATGGCAACTAGAATTCAAGACAAAATTTTGGTGGGGACACAGCCAAACAGTATCATTCTGCCCCTGGCCCCTCCCAAATTTCATGTCCTCACATTTCAAAACACAATCATGTCTTTCCAACAGTTCCCCAAAGTCTTAGCTCATTCTAGCATTAACCCAAAAGTCCCAGTCCAAAGTCTCATCTGTGACAAAGGCAAGTCCGTTCCACCTATGCACCTGTAAAATTGAAAGCAAGTTAGTTACTTCCTAGATACAATGGGGATACAGGCATTGGGTAAATACACTCATTCCAAATGGGAGAAATTGGCCCAAACTGATGGGCTACAGGTCCCATACAAGTCCAAAATCCAATAAGGCAGTCATTAAAACTTACGGTTCCAAAATCTCCTTTGTCTCCATGTCTCGCATCCAGGTCACACTGATGCAAGTAGTGGGCTCCCACAGCCTTGGGAAGCTCCACACCTGTGGCTTTGCAAGGTGCAGTCCCCATCCTGGCTGCTTTTATGTTTGGTGTTGAGTGTCCATGGCTTTTCCAAACTCACAGTGCAAGCTGTCAGTCGGTCTATAATTCTGGGGTCTGGAGAATGGTGGCCCTTTCTCACAACTCCAGTAAGCAGTGCCCCAGTGGGGACTCTGAGGGCTCCAACCCCACATTTCCCTTCCACACTGCCCTAGCAGAGGTTTACCCTGAGGGCTCTGCCCCTGCAACAGACTTTTGCCTGGACATTCAGGCATTCCCATACATCCTCTGAAATCTAGGTGGAGGTTCCCTAACCTCAATTCTTGTCTTCTGTGTACCAACAGGCCTAACACCACATGGAAGATGCCAAGGCTTGGGGCTTGCACCCTCTGAGGCAATGGCCTGAGCTGTACCTTGGCCCATTTTAGCCATGGCTGGAGCAGTTGGGACACAGGGCACCATGTCCTGAGGCTGCACAGATCAGGGGGACTCTGGACACAGCCCAAGAAACAATTTTTCCCTCCTAGGTCTCCGAGTCTGTGGTGGGAGGGGCTGTCATGAAGGTCTCTGACATGCCTAGAAGCATTTTCCCCGTTGTCTTGGCAATTAACATTGGGATCCTCATTACTTATGCAAATTTATGCAGCTGGCTTGAATTTCTCCCCAGAAAATGGGTTTTTCTTTTCTATCACATCATCAAGCTGCAAATCTTCCAAACTTTTATGCTCTGCTTCCTCTTAAATGCTTTGCTGCTTATAAATTTCTTCTGCCAGACATTCTAAATTATCTCTCTCAAGTTCAAAGTTCCACAGATTTCTAGGGCAGGACAAAATGCCAACAGTCTCTTTGCTAAAGCATAGCAAGAGTCACCTTTACTCCAGTTTTCAACAAGTTCTTCGTGTCCCTCTGAGACCATGTCAGCCTGGACTTCATTGTCCATGTCACTGTTAGCATTTTGGTTATAGCCATTCACCAAGTCTCTAGGAAGTTCCCAACTTTCCCACATTTTCCTATCTTCTTCTGAGCCCTCCAAACTGTTCCAGCCTCTGCTGGTTACTTAGTTCCAAAGTCACTTCCACATTTTCAGGTATCCTTATAGCTGTGCCCCACTTCCTCAGTACCAATTTATTCTATTTGTTCATTCTCATGCTGCTAATAAAGACACATCTGAGTCTGGGTAATTTATAAAAGAAAGAGGTTTAATTGACTCACAGTTCTGGATGGTTGGGGAGAGCTCAGGAAACTTAAAATCATCAAAGAAGGGAAAGCAAACATGTCCTTCTTCACATGGCAGCAGGAGAGAGATGTACCGAGCAAAGTGGGAAAAGCCCCTTATACAACCATTAGATGTCATGAGAACTTATTCACTATCATGAGATCAGCATGGTGTAACTGGACCCATGATTCCATTACCTCACACCAGGTCCCTCCCATGACGCATGGGGATTATGGGAACTATAATTCAAGATGAGATTTGGGCGAGGACACAGACAAACCATATCAGTTGGAATTCATGTCTATGAATTACGCATGTCATAAGCCTCCAGATAATGATGCTGGCTGAGACTCTGTGGCAGAAAAGCAAAACTTATTTTCTTTTAGTAGTTTCATAGTTTCATGTCTTAGACTTAAGTCTTTAATCCATTTTTATTTGATTTTTGTACATGGTGAAAGATAGAGGTGTAGTTTCACTTTTCTGTATGGATTTATTTCTGGGATCTCCAATTCTATTTCATTGATCTATGCCAATACCATGTGATTTTGGTTACTATAGTTCTATAGTGTAATTCAAAGTCAGGAATGTGATTCCTTCAGTTTTGTTCATTTTGCACAGGATGGCTTTGTTATTTCTGGGTCTTTTGTGGTTCCATGTAAATTCTAGGATCATTTATTTTTTATTTCTGTGATGAATGTCCTTAGTATTTTGATAGAGATTGTATTGAACCTGTAGCTTGCTTTGGGTAGTATGAAAATTTTAACAATACTAATTTTTTTCAGTCCATGAACAAAGAGTATCTTTCAACTTTTTTTGTGTTATCTTCAATTTATTACATAAATATTTTATAGTTTTCATCCTAGAGATCTTTCACTTTTTGTTTGATTTGTAAGTATTTTATTTTATTTGTAGCTATTGTAAATAGGATTACTTTCTTGATCTCTTTTTCAGAGTGTTCACTGTTGGTATGCAGAAATGCTACTGATTTTTGTATGTTGATATTTTTTCCTGAAATTTTACTGAATTTGTTTATCAATTCTATCAATTTTTGTGGATTCTCTATGTTTCTTTCAAATATAAGATTATACCATCTGCAAACCAGGATAATTTGACTTCTTCTTTTCCAATTTGAATATCCTTTATTTTTTTCTCTTGTCTGATTGCTCCAGCTAGCAATAGTACTTTCAGTATTGTGTTAAACAACAGGGTGAAAGTGGGCATCCTTGTCTTGTTCTAGATTGTAGAGGAAAGTCTTTCATTTTTTTCCCATTCAGTATGACATTAGCTGTGAGTCTGTCATATATGGCTTTTATTGTGTTAAGGTAAGTTTCTTGTATGCACAGTTTTTTGAGGGTTTTTATCATGAAGGGGTGTTGAATTTTATTAGATGCTTTTTCAGCATCTATTTTAATGGTCACATAGTTTTAGGCCTCGTTCTGTTGATACGATGTATCATGTTGATTGATTTGTGTTTGTTGAACCATTCTTGCATCCCTGGGAAAAATCCCACTTGGTCTTGATGAATAATATTTTTAATGTGTGTTGTTGAACTCAATTTTCTAACATTTTGTTGAGTTTTTTTCCATCAGTGTTTATCAGATATATTGGCTAGTAGTTTTCTTTTTTTGTTGTGCCTTTGGTTTTGATATCAGAGTAATACTGGCATTGTAGAATGAGTTTGGAAATAGTCTCCCCTTTTCTATTTTTTAGATTAACTTGAGTATGGTTGGTAGTTTTTCTTTAAGTGTTTGGTAAAATTCTAAAGTGAAGCCATTGGATTCTAGACTTTTCTTTGCTAGGAGACTTTATAGTGCAGCTTTCTTCTCATTACTTTCTATAGATCTCTTCAGGTTTTAGATTTCTTCATGTTGTAATCTTAGTAGCTGGTTAGAAATTTGTTGATTTTGTTTGTGTTTTCAAAAAAACGACTTTTCCATTTTGTTGATCTTTTGGGTTTTTTATTTTTTGTCATTTATTTCTGTTGCAATTTTCATTATTTATTTTCTTCTAATTGTGGGTTTGCTTTCCTCTTGCTTTTCTAATTCTTTAAGATGCATTGTTAGATTGTTTAAGTTTTTTAATGTTTTGATGTAGGCTTTTGTAGCTATACACTTTTACTATTGCTTTTACTCTGTTCCACAGATTTTGTATATTATGTTTCCATTTCCTTTTGTTTCAATAAATTTTTAAATTTCCTTCGTAATTTTTTTATTAACCCACTGGCTACTCAGGTGTACATTGTTTAATTTCCGTGTGTTTGTATAGTTTCCAAAGTTCCTCTTGTTATTGAATCCTAGTTTTTTTCCACTGTGGTTGGAGAAAATATTTGATATAATTTGATTTTTTTTAAAGTTTTTCAGATTTGTTTTGTGACTTAATATATGATCTATCCTTAATAATAATGCATATGCTGAGAAGAAGAACATGTATTCTGCAACCATTGGCTAAAATGTTCTGCAAATATCTATTAAGCCCATTTGGTCTAGAGTGTAGATTAAATCCAATGTTTCTTTGTTGATTTTCTGTCTGGGAGATCTGTTCAATGCTGAAAGAACAGTGGTGAAGTCTCCAGTTATTATTGTATTAGGGTCTATCTCTCTCTTTACCTCCAATAATATTTGCCTTATATATCTAGGTTTTTCAGTGATGGGTGCATATATATCTACATTTCATCCACTTGTTGAATTGACCCCTTTATCATTATATCATGACCTTCTTTTTCTCTTTTTATAGCTATTATCTTGAAATCTATTTTATCTGGTATAACTATTTCTTCTTTTTTTGGCTTCCATTTGCATGGGATATCTTTTCCATCCCTTTATTTTCTATCTATGTGTGTCTTCATAAGTGAAGTGTGTTTCCTGTAGCCAACAGATTGTGTGTTGTTGTTTTTTTTATCCATTCAGTTACACTATGGCTTTTTATTGGAGAGTTTAGTTTAGTTACATTCAAAGTTATTGATAAGTAAAGACTAACTCTTGCCATATTGTTATTTGTTTTATGAATGTTGTGTGGCCTTCTCTTCCTCCCGTCTTTCCTTCCTGTCTTCTTTTTTGAAGGTAATTTTCTCTGGTGTATGTTTTAATATCTTTTTATTTTTTGTGTTTCTATTGTAGGTTTTTTTATTTGAGGTTACCATGAGGCTTGCAAATAACAACCCATTATTTTATACCAATGGCAGCTTAACACTGATTGCAAAAACAAACAGGCAAGGAAAAACGAATTTTTAAAAATCTGCACTTTAACTTCATCCCTCTCCCGCTTTTTAACTTTTTGCTATTTCTATCTCAGTATCCTGCCTGTGTCTTAAAAATTATGTAGTTATTATTTTTGATAGATTCATATTTTAGTCTTTCTACTCCAGGTATGAGTAGTTTATACACCACAAGTACATTGTTATAATATTCTGTGTTTGTCTGTGTACTTACTATTACCAGAGAATTTTGTACCTTCAGATGATTTCTTATTGCTCATTAACATTCTCATCTTTTAGATTGAAGAACTCCCTGTAGCATTTCTTGTAGGACAGGTCTAGTATTGATGAAATTTCTCAGCTTTGTTTGCTTGGGAAAAATGTTTGGAGGATATTTTCAGTGGATATGCTATTCAAGGATAAGAGTTTTTTCCTTCAGCACTTTAAATATATCACACCACTTACTCCTAGCCTGTACGGTTTCCAGTGAAAAATTGGCTGACAGACATATTGGACCTTCTTTGCATGTTTTTTCTTTCCTCTTACCACTTTTATAATCCTTTCTTTGTCTTTCATCTTTGAGAGTTTAATTATTAATTGTCTGGAGGTAGACTTATTTGGGCTAAATCTGCTTGGTGTTTTACAACCTTCTTTAACTTGAATATTGGCATTATTCTCTAGATTTGGAAAGCTCTCTGTTACGACTTTGAATATACTTGCTGCCCCACTGTCTCTATCTACATTCTCTTTAAGGCCAATAACTTTTAGATTTGTTCTTTTGAGGCTATTTTCTAGATCTTATAGTCATGCTTATTCTTTTTCATACTTTTTTCTTTTATTTTCTCTGATTGTGTATTTTCAAATAGCCTTTTTTCAAACTCACTAATTCTTTATTCTACTTGATCAATTGTACTTGATCAATTCTGCTATTGAGAGACTCTGATGCATCTTTCAGCATCTCAATTGAATTTTTCAGCTCCATAATTTCTTTTTAATATTTCTAATTATTTCAATCCCTCTGTTGAAATAATCTGATAGGATTCTGAATCCCTTCTCTGTGTTAGTTTGAATTTTGTTGAGCTTCTTCAAAATAGCTTTTTTGAATTCTTTGTCTGAAAGGTCACATATCTCTGTCACTCTGGGGTTGACCACTTGTGCTGTATTTAGTTCATTTGTTGAGATCATGTTTACCTGGATGGTCTTGATGCTTGTAGATATCAATCAATGTCTGGGCATTGAAGAATTATGTATTTATTGTAGTCTTCAGAGTCTGGGCTTCTTTGTTTCCATCTTTCTTGGGAATGCTTTCCAAGTATTCAAAGGGTATTGGGTGTTGTGATCTAAGTGCTCACCGAAGGTATATTTGCATTAGGGGACATCCCAAGCCCAGTAACACCATGAGTCTTGTAGACTCTTAGAGGTACTACCTTGGAGGTCTTAGGTAAGATCTGAGAGAATTCCCTCGATTATCAGGCAGACACTCTGATTCTCTTTCCTTACTTTCCCCAGCAAATGAAATCTAACACTCCTGCTGGTTGTCCAGAGCTGGGACAGAGGTGACACAAGTACCTCTGTGGCTATCACCACTAGGACTGTGCTGGATCAGACCTGAAGCCAGCACAGCACTGGGTCTCACCCAATGTACATGGTGACCACTTTTTTCTTATCCTTGATGTTTACTTAAAGCCCAAGGGCTCTTTAGTCAGAATGGGGAGAATCTAGCCAGGCTTACCCTCTTCCCTTCAGGGTGGTAATTTCAACCCCCACTCAGTCCACATGGGTCCAAAAATGCCATCTGGGAGCCAGTGCCTGGAGTTGGGAAGCTTAAGGATGTGCTTTGTGCTCTATTCTACTGCAATTGAGCTGGCACCCAAGCCACAAGACAAAGTGTTTCCCACTTTTCCCTCCCCTTTCCTCAAGCAGAAGAAGTCTCTTCCCATAGGTAACCATCCCCCCACTTCCACCCACCAGGCCCATGGTGAATACTGCCTGACTACCACCAATGTTCCCAGAAGGCCCAAGGGCTTGTCCATCAGCTAGTGGTAAACGTTTTCAGATCTGGGTCTCCCTCTTCAGGACACTGAAGAGGGCTCCCCTCTGGCTCCCCTCTGGCTCAGGGTAGGTTCAGAAATGCTGTCTAGGAGACCAGGCCTGGAATCAGGGACCCCAAGAGCCAACTTGGTACTCTTCCACACTGTGGCTGAGATGGTACCCAAGCTGCAAGACAAAGTCTCCTTTGCTCTTCCCCCTACTTTCCTCCTGCGGAAAGAGTCTCTCTCTGTGGTTACCACAGCCAGAAATGTCCTGGGTCACATGTGATGCTTGCATGGCTCTGGGCCTCACCCAAGGCCCATGACAAATACTGCCTTGCTACTACTGGTGTTTATCCAAGACCCAAGCACTCTTTAGTCAGCAGGTGATGAGTTCTCTTAGGACAAGAGGTCCTTCCCTTCAAGGTAGCAGATTACCTTATGGTCCATGGTATGACTAGAAATGTTGCCTGGGAATTGTCCTGGAATGGAGGCCTCAGGAATCTGCCTGGTGCCCTATTCTATTGTGTCTAAGCTGGTTTCCAAATTGCAAGACAAAGTCCTTTTTATTCTCTCCTTTCCTCAAGCAGAAGGAAAGGGACTCTCCCAGAGTTGCAAGCTGTGCTGCCTAGCATTGGGGGAAAGGTGTTGCAAGCACTCCCTTGGCCATCCCAGCTGGTGTCTCACTAGGTGTCATGCACCCCAAGTCCACAGGCTCCAAGCTCAACACAGGACTAGGACTTGCCTAGGAATTACAGTCCTCATGGCCTAGACTGTCTTTCAGGTTTATTTAGTAAGCCCAGAGAGCCTTAACCTGTGGTGGCTGGTCTATCTAGAAATCAGGTTCTGACTGCTGGAATGGACAATTTCCCTCTGGCTAAAGCTGGTCTAAATGCTCCCTTTGTGGGTGCCCCGTGTTGCTTTCCACTGTGACAGTCAGCACTGAGTTCTGACACAATCTCCCACAATCACTGTGCTCTCTCTCCCCCAAGCACAGAGATTCTCTCTCTGTGCCACATGGCCTCTGCCGGTAGATGGGGGAGTGGTGGTGTCAGCAAATCAAGACTGTCTTTCCTCCCTTCTTCAGTGCCTCTTTTCTTGCTATAATATTAAAACTCAGTACTGTGATTACTTACCTGATTTTTGCCTCATATGATGGTGCTTTCCTTTGTGGATAGTTGTTCAATTTGGTCTTCCTGCAGGGCAAGTTAGGGATAATCACTGGAAGGTTTTTTCTGGTCATCTTCCTCCACTTCCTCCCTATAATCCATTTTGAGTTAATATTTTTATATGGCGTGAGGTAGGAGTCCAGGTACATTTTTTGCATGTGAATATCTATTGTCTCACAATTTGTTGAAAAGACTATTCATTCCTTGCTGAATGGTCTTGACACTCTTTAAAATTTCCAAAATCTGGTTTCTCTTTCATTCATATATGTTTGTCCTTAGGGAAGTACCATACTGTCTTGATTACTCTTGCTCTGTGGTAAGTTTTGAAATTGAAGTTAAGTCTTCAATTGTTTTGATTATTCTGGGTCTGTGAGGTTGTTTTGAGAACTCCTCTTTACATCCTATTACCCAGTGACCTGTACAAATGTACAATAAATTTTTGTTCAATAAGTGGAATAACTGAAAAATGAACAAGGTCTGTTAACCTAAGAATATCACTTGTAAAACCATTAAAGAGCCTGATCCTTTTGTTAAATGCCTCAGTTAATATTTTAAAATGTAACTTAATAAAATAATGTTGCTCTGGACTTAAAATGTGCAGTAAATATCTTGCCATCTTTAATATCTATAAACTAAATATTCTTAATTCAATTGTATCAGAATTAGCAAGAGCCCTATATTCTAAGAATAATAGATATACTGCATCTGTGATTAGCCTTCTTGACTTCTGTTGTTTGTAGTAATGGTATGCTTATAACTTTTATTCTAGTCCATCTGTTTATAAATAAAATTATTAGCAAGCTTATATAATTTACCTTTAATATAATATAAATAAAATACATGTTTTATAAATATATTTATTATATTTATAAATATAAACATAATTATTAGCAAGCTTACATAATATAATTTGCCTTTACCTTTAATATAATATAAATAAAATACATATTTTATAAACATACTTATATTTATAAATATAATATAAATAAAATTAGCAAGCTTATATAATTTACTTTTAATATAATTCACTTTTATGATGTCATCTAGAATAATTCTTCTTAGTACTCAAACTTTCTACATTCAGATACAAATGACTACTTTGCCTTTAACAGAGTGAAATCAGCAAAGTTTAGAAATTCCCCAAAGGTTAGGGAGGATAATAGCCACTGAGTTTCAGATACATGAATTTACAGTGCTTTAATCACACCACAGACATTAACAGACCAAATATGGTATACTTTATAATAATCTCTAAATGCTCTGAAGCATAATTAGTAGGGTAGCATTGAGAAACATCATTAATAATTTTGGGGTGAAATAGAATGTGCATTGTGAAGATCCAAACTTTGCCAGAATTTTTTTTCCACAAGATGACTGTATGGGTCTACAAAGAAGAAAAAAAACAATTTTGAAAGATTAATTTCATTATGCTAACACAGGCTCTGAGGGTTCATGAGTCATTGCAGGTTAATCATGAATATTTGTTATTCATTCTTAAACTAAAATGTCCTGAGCTTTTTACTAGCATGAAGACGGTCTTTTTTTGACAGTGTGTCAAAGTGGCAAAATCACATGCTTTATGGCTAGACTGACCTGTTATTTAAACTAACTTTGACAAGTCACCCAATTTCTCTGACAATCACAATTTTTGTGAGGATTCAAATTAAATGAGATAATTTGTGAAAAGTACCAGTAGAATTTGTCACCCTGATGCCCTGACTTTGTTATCAGCTCATATTACAATTGAAATTCACCTCTGTTGTACTACTCACACCAGTATAGGTATAAAGTGACTATAAATTAAAACTAATCTGAATGGGTTTGATTTTTGGAGCTAAAAGTTCACCTTATTTGCACAGCAATTCCAAAGAGAAAGTCCTCCAGTATAACACTGTAAAAAAAACATTACATTATTTATGAAAAATTTAAAATGAAAACAGTCTATCCTGTGATAAAAATGATATGTCTAATCAAGGTGTCTATGCATTTTTTTAACCACAAGAGACATACTTCTAGCATAAGCGAGATGAAGGATGATCACTAGCATTGTGTAGGATACACTCTGCACAACTGTACATAATGGCCTTGCTTACTTCTAGAATATCCTGAGGCCCTGACATAATTCACGTTGGCTCTTTACCTTGACTTATCCACAAAAATAATTCAGTGGTATTTCCAACTTCCAACTTTAAAGTAGTATAGATGTATGGATTTATCCTAGTAATTTTCCCAGGTTATATAATTATATACATACACACATACATATTTGTAAATTAATGGAAAATCTACTCAAAATATTTAGAAAGCCATTCTTGTAAAATACAGTGATTGTCAAAATGTTTCTCAAGCACAGACATAACCCCCTCAGATTAGCCTAAATGCAATCTTTTCACCACCTTTGTTTTGGGCCCTACTCAAGCTCTTCATTTTAGTTTTGGAATTTACAGAGAACTTGGAATTCATGCTTCAGACTGTGGGAAGATGAGACATCCAGTTCCAAAATTAGGATAAAATAGTGCTATTTATAAGAGAATTTAATGCCTTTCAAACTTTAGTAATATACCGGCCCCAGTAAGATAAAATAAAATATAAAGGATTCACCAATAGTTGAAGAAAATTATTTTATTATTGTATTTTAAATATATGAATGCATATAAGTCCAATATAAAATTGCTTACAGCACTCAAACAAAAATGAATTTAAACTGGCTTATAAATTAAGCACAAAAAATAGTGTAATACCATCAAAATGAACATACATGTGATGGCTGGTCACAGCTAACTATTCATCTCATGTTCTCTTGAGTTTCTTTTGCTTACGTTGTTGTGATCAACTACCCTCCACCATGCCCTGAGAATTTTTCTTTACTTGAACTATTACTAAACTTTCACTGATAGGTCAGTGTGATACCATTTGGCTTTCACTAGTCCTCAATTCATCATTTACCTCATTTTTACATTAAACCTAGTTCAGTGCTTTTCTCCTCAGCCAGAGACAATTAATGTGCCTGGCATGAATGGGATTGACTTGTAGGGAAACTAGAATGAACCTCTCTGTTTATAGCATCATTTTAACTTGCTGCATAATATTCTTTGAATGAAGTATAACATTATGAGATAATCCTGTATAGTTATACATTAGGTTGATACTAAATTCCAAGAGTGTTAAATATAACTGTCATATACATGTTTGTACATATATTTTTGCTTACTGATCCAATTTTTTAAATATAATATTAAAAGTGAATTTACTTGATCAAAGGATAAGCACATTTTTAGGTTTTGAGATTCATTTTTAAATGCTAACCCAGAGTTTACATTAATTAAACTCACACAGGCCATGAAGTAGAGTATCCATTTCCTTTTTTATTAGATATCACTATTTCTTTTAATCTAATGGGTATGATAAACAAAAATATAGTGCTTCAGTGTTGCTCTACTTTGCAATTTTTTTAATTCAGTAAACTAAGTACATCTTTTATATCTTTATTGCCCATTTCTATTTCTTCTTTCTTTGAAATTCCTGTACATATTATCTACCTGTTTTCATTGGTATTGCTGATTTTAAATTATGTGTTAGTACTCTCTGGGAGTTAATATTAACACTGTTTTCCAACTTGTGATTTACCTTTTGTTTTCTGATAAAATTTTTAAATACTATAGTCATATCTATTATATTTTTACTTATTTGAATATATCTATAATTTTCTTTATGTAAACTTATATACACTTAATATCTTTAATTCTCTATTAATTCTTTATCAATTGAATAAAAATATATTCATGTTTTATTGTAAAGATAATGCTTGTTTATTGTAAAACTTCTTAGATTACAGAAAAGTATAAAGAAGCAAGGGAAAAAAACAACCTGCAGCTTCACTACCCAGAAATTAACAAAGATAAATTTTTAATTATTATTTTATTCAAACACTATGCTGTGGGATATTCTTATGTTGGGATCAGCATTACATTAATTTGACTGTTATAATTTTAATGTACATTTTAATGTCTGATAGGCAAGAACCTCTTTTTTTTCTTTTTTAAAAATGTTTCTGGTTACTTTCACTCATTTTTTTCCATAGAAATTTTAAATTTTAATTGAAAAAAATAAAGATTTTATTTGCAATTGACTTACACACATATATTTGTGGGGCAATTAATTTATACTTTTACAATGTCTTATTCTCATCAAGAGACATGTAATATCTGTCTCTTTAGTTCAGTCTTTTTTTATGACGTGCAGTAAAATTGTATACTTACTTAGCGCATCCTCTGCCACCTGCTGTAGTTGTCTCCCAATGAGTACCTCCAGATGATCCAGAAGGCTGAGATTTGCCCCACCCATAGTCTGATACACAGCCCTCCCCTTCATTTCCTGCCCTGGTGTGCTTATGTCACTTCAGAATTTCAGTTACCTGTGTGAAGCAGAGGTATAGCTCCTGGAAAAGACAGCCTCTAGGCAGGGAGCTTCAAGACTATGCCGGGGAGGAGCCAAGATGGCCGAATAGGAACAGCTCCGGTCTACAGCTCCCAGCGTGAGCGACACAGAAGACGGGTGATTTCTGCATTTCCATCTGAGGTACCGGGTTCATCTCACTAGGGAGTGCCAGACAGTGGGCGCAGGCCAGTGGGTGCAAGCACCGTGCGCGAGCCGAAGCAGGGCGAGGCATTGCCTCACCTGGGAAGCGCAAGGGGTCAGGGAGTTCCCTTTCCGAGTCAAAGAAAGGGGTGATGGACGCACCTGGAAAATCGGGTCACTCCCACCCGAATATTGCACGTTTCAGACCGGCTTAAAAAACGGCGCACCACAAGGTTATGTCCCACACCTGGCTTGGAGGGTCCTACGCCCACGGAGTCTTGCTGATTGCTAGCACAGCAGTCTGAGATCAAACTGCAAGGCGGCAGCGAGGCTGGGGGAGGGGCGCCCGCCATTGCTCAGGCTTGCTTAGGTAAACAAAGCAGCCGGGAAGCTCGAACTGGGTGGAGCCCACCACAGCTCAAGGAGGCCTGCCTGCCTCTGTGGGCTCCACCTCTGGGGGCAGGGCACAGACAAACAAAAAGACAGCAGTAACCTCTGCAGACTTAAGTGTCCCTGTCTGACAGCTTTGAAGAGAGCAGTAGTTCTCCCAGCACGCAGCTGGAGATCTGAGAACGGGCAGACTGCCTCCTCAAGTGAGTCCCTGACCCCTGACCCCCGAGCAGCCTAACTGGGAGGCACCCCCCAGCAGGGGCACACTGACACCTCACACGGCAGGGTATTCCAACAGACCTGCAGCTGAGGGTCCTGTCTGTTAGAAGGAAAACTAACAAACAGAAAGGACATCCACACCGAAAACCCATCTGTACATCACCATCATCAAAGACCAAAAGTAGATAAAATCACAAAGATGGGGGAAAAACAGAACAGAAAAACTGGAAACTCTAAAACGCAGAGCGCCTCTCCTCCTCCAAAGGAACACAGTTCCTCACCAGCAACGGAACAAAGCTGGATGGAGAATGACTTTGACGAGCTGAGAGAAGAAGGCTTCAGACGATCAAATTACTCTGAGCTACAGGAGGACATTCAAACCAAAGGCAAAGAAGTTGAAAACTTTGAAAAAAATTTAGAATAATGTATAACTAGAATAACCGATACAGAGAAGTGCTTAAAGGAGCTGATGGAGCTGAAAACCAAGGCTCGAGAGCTACGTGAAGAATGCAGAAGCCTCAGGAGCCGATGCGATCAACTGGAAGAAAGGGTGTCAGCAATGGAAGATGAAATGAATGAAATGAAGCGAGAAGGGAAGTTTAGAGAAAAAAGAAAAAAAGAAATGAGCAAAGCCTCCAAGAAATATGGGACTATGTGAAAAGATCAAATCTACGTCTGATTGGTGTACCTGAAAGTGACGGGGAGAATGGAACCAAGTTGGAAAACACTCTGCAGGATATTATCCAGGAGAACTTCCCCAGTCTAGCAAGGCAGGCCAATGTTCAGATTCAGGAAATACAGAGAACGCCACAAAGATACTCCTCGAGAAGAGCAACTCCAAGACACATAATTATCAGATTCACCAAAGTTGAAATGAAGGAAAAAATGTTAAGGGCAGCCAGAGAGAAAGGTCGGGTTACCCTCAAAGGGAAGCCCATCAGACTAACAGCGGATCTCTCGGCAGAAACCCTACAAGCCAGAAGAGAGTGGGGGCCAATATTCAACATTCTTAAAGAAAAGAATTTGCAACCCAGAATTTCATATCCAGCCAAACTAAGCTTCATAAGTGAAGGAGAAATAAAATACTTCACAGACAAGCAAATGCTGAGAGATTTTGTCACCACCAGGCCTGCCCTAAAAGAGCTCCTGAAGGAAGCACTAAACATGGAAAGGAACAACCGGTACCAGCCGCTGCAAAATCATGCCAAAATGTAAAGACCATCGAGACTAGGAAGAAACGGCATCAACTAACGAGCAAAATCACCAGCTAACATCATAATGACAGGATCAAATTCACACATAACAATATTAACTTTAAATGTAAATGGACTAAATGCTCCAATTAAAAGACACAGACTGGCAAATTGGATAAAGAGTCAAGACCCATCAGTGTGCTGTATTCAGGAAACCCATCTCATGTGCAGAGACACACATAGGCTCAAAATAAAAGGATGGAGGAAGATCTACCAAGCAAATGGAAAACAAAAAAAGGCAGGGGTTGCAATCCTAGTCTCTGATAAAACAGACTTTAAACCAACAAAGATCAAAAGAGACAAAGAAGGCCATTACATAATGGTAAAGGGATCAATTCAACAAGAAGAGCGAACTATCCTAAATATATATGCACCCAATACAGGAGCACCCAGATTCATAAAGCAAGTCCTGAGTGACCTACAAAGAGACTTAGACTCCCACACATTAACTGATTCCATATTAATGGGAAAAAAACATATTTTTGTTTTACTTTCAACTACTAAAATAGGCTATAATTTTCAGATAACTTTACATTTTCAACTAATTTCTACAAAATTTTCTGGCTTTGTGCATCTCTGGGCATAAGGAACAAAATGAACAATTAAAAATTGGAAGAATATATTTAACGATGCTAGCTTACAAACATTGTCACTGTAAAAGACATAATTTACTTGCAAGAAGAAAAATATTTAATAAAGAAAGCACCTTTTTTAACTTTTATTTTAAGTTTAGGGGTACAAATGCAGGTTTGTTACATAGGTTAACTCGTGTCACGGGGTTTTGTTGTACAGATTATTTAATCACTGAGGTATTAAGCTAGTACCCATTAGTTATTTTTCCTGACCCTCTCCCTGCTCCTAACTTCCACCCTCCAAAAGGACCTAATGTGTGTTACTCCCCTCTATGTGTCCATGTGTTCTCATGATTTAGCTCCCACTTATGAGAACATGC
Source organism: Homo sapiens (assembly GCF_000001405.40). Classification (NCBI taxonomy): domain Eukaryota; kingdom Metazoa; phylum Chordata; class Mammalia; order Primates; family Hominidae; genus Homo; species Homo sapiens. Next base: position 125,179,067 of record NC_000007.14, on the reverse strand, counting down.
AGTATTTGGTTTTCTTTTTCTGTGTTAGTTTTCTAAGATTAATGTCCCCCAGTTCCATCCATATCTTGGCACAGGACATAATCTTGTTCTTAATGGCTGCATAGTATTCCATGGTGTATATGTACCACATTTTCTTTATCTAGTCTGTCATTGATGGACATTTAGGTTGATTCCATAACTTTGCTATTGTGTATAGTGCTGCAAGGAACATATATGTGGCATGTGTCTTTATAATAGAATGATTGTATTCCTTTAGGTATATACCCAGTAATAAGACTGCTGGGTCAAATGGTATTTCTGTCTTTAGGTCTTTGAGGAATTGCCACACTGTCTTCCACAATGACTAAACTAATTTACACTCCCACCAATGATGAATAAGCATTCCTCTTTCTCAACAACTTGCCAGCACCTATTATTTTTTAACTTTTTAATAATAGCCATTCTGACTGGTGTGAGATGATGTCTCATTGCAGTTTTAATTTACATTTCTCTAATGATCAGTGATATTGAGCTCTTTTTCATATGATTTTTGGCCACATGTATGTCTATTTTGAAAAGTATCTGTTCATGTCCTTTGCCCACATTTTTAGGGGTTGCTTTTTTCTTGTAAATTTGTTTAAGTTCCTTATAGCTGCTGGATATTAGACCTTTGTCACACATATAGTTTGCAAAAATTATCTCCCATTCTGTAAGTTGTCTGTTTACTCAGTTGATAGTTTCTTTTGCTGTGCAGAAGCTATTTAGTTTAATTAGATCCCATTTGTCAATTTTTGCTTTTGTCGCAATTGAAAAGCACCTTTTTCATATGCCACAACTTCAGTGTTTTCCACTGCAAAACAAAGGGCTAAAATAGAGTCACTTTTATTGTTTTATTGTTACTACTGAATATGTCAGTATTAGCCATTCATTGGTTCAATTTTCTTTTCTACCACTATGTTGCTAGTAATGCTCACACTTAATATGTTTTCAAAAAACATCATGTTTAATGAAGCTAGTTGGTCTAGTCACTCAAAAGTGCTAAGCATCAGTAATTTTATGGGAATAGCATTGAATCTATAAATTACTTTGGTCAGTATGGCCATTTTTATGATATTGATTCTTCCTATCCATGAGCATGGAATTTTTTTCCATTTGTTTGTGTCCTCTCTGATTTTCCTAAGCAGTAGTTTGTAGTTCTCCTTGAAGAGGTCCTTCACTTCCCTTGCTAGCTGTATTCCTAGGTATCTTACTCTCTTTGCAGTAATTGTGAATGGGAGTTCATTCATGATTTGGCTCTCTGCTTGTCTGTTGTTGGTGTACAGCAATGCCTGCGATTTTCCACATTGATTTTGTATCCTGAGACTTTGCTGAAGTTGCTTAAGAAGCTTTTGGGCTGATACAATGGAGTTTTCTAGATACAGGATTGTGTCATTTGCAAAGACAACCTGAAAAAAACAAGCAATGGGGAAAGGATTCCGTATTTAATAAATGGTGCTTGGAGAACTGACTAAGCATTTGTGAAAAATTGAAACTGGACTCCTTCCTTACAACTTATATAAAAATTAACTCAAGATGAATTAAAGACTGAAATGTAAAACCCCAAACCATAAAAACCCTAGAAGAAAATCTAGGCAATACCATTCAGGACATAGGCATGGGCAACGATTTCATAGTGAAAACATCAAAAGCCGTTGCAACAAAAGCAAAAACTGACAAATGGGATCTAATTAAACTAAAGAGCTTCTGCACAGTGAAAGAAACTATCATCAGAATGAAGACACAGCCTACAGAATGGGAGAAAATTTTTTCAGTCTATCCATCTGACAAAGGTCTAATATTCAGAATCTACCAGGAACTTAAACAAATCTACAAGAAAAAAACAACCCCATTAAAACGTGGGCAAAGCACATGAACAGACACTTTTAAAAAGAAGACATACCTTCAGCCAACAAACATATGGAAGAAAGCTCAACATCACCGATCAGTAGAGAAATGCAAATCAAAATCACAATGTGATATCATCTCACGCCAGTCAGAAGGGTGATTATTAAAAAGTCAAGAAACGACAGATGCTGGCAAGGCTTCAGAGAAACAGGAACGCTTTTACACTGTTACAGGGAATGCAAATTAGTTTAACCATTGTGGAAGACAGCATGGAAATTCCTCAGAGACCTAAAGAGAGAAATACTATTTGACCTAGCAATTCCATTACTGGTTATATACCCAAAGAAATAAAAATCATTCTATTACAAAGTTACATGCACATGTATGTTCACTGCAGCACTATTCACAATAGCAAAGACATGGAATCAACCCAAATGCCCATCAATGATAGACTGGATAAAGAAAATATAGTACATATATACATGGAATACTATGCAGCCATAATAAAGAATAAGATTTTATTCTTTGCTGGGACACAGGTGGAGCTGAAAGCCATTATCCTCAGCAAACTAATACAGGAACAGAAAACCAAACACCACATGTTCTCACTTATAAGTGGGAGCTGGACAATGAGAACACATGGAGACACCGTGGGGAGCAACACACACTTGGGCCTGTCAGGGCTCTGGGAGGAAGAACATCAGGAAAAACACCTAATGCATGCTGGGCTTAATACCAAGGTGATGGATTGATAGGTGTCACAAATCACGGTAGCACGTTTACCTATGTAACAAACCTGCACATCCTGCACATGTACCCTGGAACTTAAAATTAATTAACATAGAATAAAAAAGTACTAAGCATCAAAATGCCTAATGAATGGGTAACAAAAACTAGCTACTTTTCTTTCTTTAATAGCCTTATTGAGACATACTTAACATACTATATGGTTTACCCATTAAAATATGTACTTAAGTGGTTTCAGTATATTCACAGTTTTGCAACCATTACAACAAACTAATTTTAGAACATTTTCATCACTCCAAAAATGAAAATTGTGTATCAATCAGCGGCCACTCCCTGTCCTGCCTGATATAGCCTTTTATATAAATAAAACCACAAAATATGTGATCTTTTATAGATGGATTATTTCACTTAGCATGTTAGCATAATGTTTTCAAGGTTCATCCACACTGTAGCATGTTTCAGCACTCTATTCCTTTGCATGGCTGAATAGTAAGTACAGCAATGTTTGGATATGCTATCTTTTGTTTATCCATTCACCATTCGATGGACATTTAGTATTGTTTTTAACTTTAGGCTATTATGAATAGTGCTGCTCTGAACAGTTGCATGTAAGTTATTGTATGAACATGTTTTCACTTTTCATGGCTATATACCTAGAAATAGAATTGCTGGAGCATATAATACCTCTATATTTAATATTTTGAGAAACTACCAAACTCTATTCCAAAGCAGTTGAATCATTTTGCATTCCCACCATCAATGTATAAGGATTCCCTTGACTCCACATCCTTGCTAACACATGTTGTCTATTTTATTATTATGATGATGATCTTTATAGGTATAAAGTGGCATTTTATTGTAGTTTTGATTTGCAGTTTCCTAATGACAAATGATATTGAGCTGAAATATGGCTGATTCTGTATTACTTGCATTTTCATACATATGTGATTATTAGATCAGCAGTTTCTGCATGGAGCCAGCCAGAATGCTGTTAGTGATCATATTCAATTAGCAGATTGATTTAGAGAAAATACCCATCTTAATAATACTGAGGATCTATGGTATCAAGGATCTATGCCATTCCATTTCCTTAGAACTTCTTAAATTTTTCAGTTTTCTAGTTTTCAGTGTAAAAATTTTCATGACTTTGTTAAATTTATTCCTAAGTATTTTTATGTTTTTGTAAACAGAATCGTTTTCTTAATTTTATTTTCTGATTGTTAATTGCTAGTATATAGAAATAAAATGGACTTTATATTGATCTTGTATCTTGCAAAGTTGCTTAACTCACTTACTATTTTAATAGTATTTTGGGGGATGTGGGTTCCAAGGTCATGTTATCCGTCAATACACAAGGTCTATACACAAAGTCATTTTATCTGTCAATACACCAGTTCAATACACAAAGTCATGTTACCCATCAATACACAAGGTCTATACACAAAGTCATGTTATCTGTCAATAGAGGTAGTTTTACTTTTTCCTTTCCATTATGGATACTTTTAAGTTCTTTTTCTGTTTTCTTTTTTTTCTAATTGCTCTGGATAGAATTTTTATTACAGTGTTGATTAGAAGCGGCCAAAGTGGATATTCCTGTCTTTAGGGATCTAAAGGAGGAAAGCACCCACTCTGATCTTAGGAGGAAAGCACCTCCTAAGATCTTAGGAGGATCTTAGGAGGAAAGCACCCACTCTATCTCCCCACATTATAGGACAGATTCCATAGCTAGGCAAAGAAGCTATTAAATACTTTGGCATGGTGGTAATAACATCTAATATTGCAGATACTCTGTTAAAGCTAATCTATAAAAATCATTGCCCAGGCACATAATCAGTTGGGATTTTTTTTAACCAAATAAAATGCCTTCCAAGGGAGAAGGTAGGATTTTTACATGCATTTTTCATTGTAAGGCATTTAACAGTCTAAAAATTTTAAGGTTTTAGTCATGTTTGCCATTACTATTCAGTGAGTAGAAAGAAGTGTTTGAATATCCATTTCTCAAAAGTTCTATCACACAAGAGCCACCAAGCTATATTCAACTTCATCATTCTCTGTCTTCCCTAATGAAAATCTCTTATAGAAGAGTTTGCTTGAGTGTAATGCAAATATTCTTTTAAAGAGGGTGCACAATAGGAGTATCAAAAAAGATATGCTGGTTTAGACTTTGCATTATTCTCATTTTCCACGGGAATATATATCTGAATCTGCTATAAATATTCTTACTTTTCTTTCTCCCCATTCACACCTTCTCTGTGATGTTTTTCATTATCACTGTTCTTTTCCCCCACAAAAATCTGTTTAAAAAATACAATCATCAAGCCAGTGTCCATATATTCCTTCTTCTATAGCTTCAAATAAAGTCCTTTTTTCCTATTTAACTTTGTTGGTTGTCTCCCTTGAGGAAAGATCCCATGTTGTGAAAGAAGGGAGCAAAGATATATTTGGAAGATGGAAAGTCAGACTAAGTCAGAGATACAATGGTCAGCAAATAAACCCTGTCCTTCTCTCATTACCCATCTTCCTTGCAAGTAATGCACAGGAAGAGCCATATGAAAAATGTTAATTCATTAGGCAGGTCCATATGAATCATGTTTCAATAATGAGGTGAGAGCACAAGTGATTTGTGTCACTGAAAAGCTGACGCAAGTGTGATACTCTATTTTCTCTTCCACTGACCAAAGAGGCTGAACATTCAGTTTCTCCGTGAGTCAGCATTACTGAGTAGCCATATAGAAGGTGATTGCCCAGATCCACAGAGAACACTGGAAACAAGAAATAAAAGAAGGCTCTTTCTTATTGCAGCATTACAAGGCCTTTCCTGACTGAAACATGAACAATTGGTTAGTCACCCCTAACCAATATAAGAATGGCAGTAAGAAATGCATTTATTACATTTTAGTTTAAGCTTCTTTACAAGAATTTTTAAACAAATACAAGATTTTTGAAAGTACATTTTAGAATGCCTTTTGTAGAGACATTCATTACTACATTTAATGTGTTCTAGATAATCTAATTCATGTAAGCATTTTAATTGTCCACATGCAAACTAAGATTATTGTGTGGAAAAGAATTCTTTTACATTGAACAAAAATGTTCCTAAGTAATAAAAACTGCAAACACTTGTGTAGCATTTAGTGCATCACAGACATTTTCTAAGCAATTTTATATACAATAACTTATTTAATCTTCAAAACCATATAAGTAGTTAATAAGAGTCTGCACATTTTGTAGGTGAAAAATCTAATATGCAGACTATTTCAGTAACTAGTTCAAGCTCATCCAGGTAGTGAATGATGGAATTGGGACATTAACTCTGCCAGTCATAGTCCATATCCCTATTTTGACCACTATGTACTATTATTGCTTGAAATCAACATTGAGGCTCAGCCAATCAAAGTAGGTTGATAAAGCCCTTAAATTATTTATATACAGGTTAGTGCCACTTTAAAAATCAATTATTAGAAATGTAATTTAACCAACAAACTAAGTGGGGATTTGTAACATCACAAAGAAAATTTTTAAAGAGAAAGACTCTCCTGCACCATTTCAAATGTGATTTAAATGACAGACAATCCATTCCTAAGTTTGGAAAGCCAGGTCCTCCTACACACCTGTGGGGGAACATAGAGGTACCATTTGCATTGGGAATCAATGAACTATGATCAATAGGGGCAAGGATGGAAAGTAATATCATTGGATATCTTCTTATCTCTCTTTTTATTATGCCAAGAATAGAAATGCAACTTGGTGCAAGAATAATTTATTTGTAACGACTGAATTGCTTTTCATTTTAATACGTAGATTATTCAACTGCTTTTTGTGATCAACACTTGCATTTAAAAATTGCATGTTGAGGCCGGGTGTGACGGCTCACACCTGTAATCCCACCACTTTGGGAGGCTGAGGCCGGCAGATCACCTGAGGTCGGGAGTTCGAGACCACCCTGACCAACATGAAAAAATCCTGTCTCTACTAAAAATACAAAATTAGCCAGGCATTGTGGTGCATGCCTGTAATCCCAGCTACTCGGGAGGCTGAGGCAGGAGAATCACTTGAACCCGAGAGGCGGAGGTTGCAGTGAACCAAGATCGTGCCATTGCACTCCAGCCTGGGCAACAAGGGTGAAACTCCATCTCAAAAAAAAAAAAAAATTGCCAGTTGAAGACATGATTTAATTCATCATATTAATCATATACTTATTTATATTTATAGGTTGCACTTACTTCTTTTTCATATATTCCTTGCACATGTACCTAAGAAAAATTAGAGAAATGTAACTTGAGGAAGCATTCTAAGAAAGATATAAGATATGAAATTCTTAGAGATAAGATTGAGATTCCTATCAATACATCCAGTTCAAAGACTTATCGCTGCATGACGTTCAGGGGTGTCTACATAAACTCAAGGCATGACTGTGCTGGATGTGTAGACTTATGAACTAAAAATGCAAGTTCACAATCAAGTGTAATAATAAAGCTTCTACTAAATCACTACCATTTGGAAGAAGAAAGAATGGGAGACAGCTGGGCATGGTGGCTCATGCCTGTAATCCCAGCACTTTGGGAGGCTGAGGTGGGTGGATCACGAGGTCAGGAGTTCGAGACCAGCCTGGCCAATATGGTGAAACCCCATCTCTACTATAAATACAAAAATTAGCCAGGTGTGGTGGCACGTGCCTGTAGTCCCAGCTACTCAGGAGGCTGAAGCAGGAGAATTACTTGAACCCGGGAGGCGGAGATTGCAGTGAGCCAAGATCACGCCACTGTACTCTAGCTGGGGCAACGGAGTGAGATGCTGTCTCAAAAAAAAAAGAATGGGAGACAGAAAGTGATGCAGTCTATTTAATTTAATGAGAAACTGAAAACATGATACTGTAAGAGGTGGGAGTGCTCAGTAACTATTTTATTTGTTCCTTTACATCTCCGTATATACTGTGATGTCAGCCCTATATCCATGCTGCGCACCCACTGGACAGGCATTATAAAGGTCCTCATGCCATGAGAGTGAAAAATTACCAGAATGTATCCCCAACCATGTTCTATGGGAGGAGCAACTATCCAATGTTCTCTTTGGACCTTGAGCCTGTGTTTATCCTCCTTGCCCATGTCTGAAGTGGGCCTTTGGTGGTGGAGGAGGTATCTCAGCTAATTTCCTTAATCTAAAGTATTCTGGGCCTGAGAATGATTTGAATCTTAGTCTTAAGATGTTTGCCTTATGATATAATACTCTCAAAAACTAGTCTTCTTATTATACTTGATTCCAATCAGTTCATATGCACAACAGCCTTTCCAAGGTAAATTTCAGATTTACTCTGTTTGCTTTCTCGCTCCCGTCATCTTCTTTAATCTAAATGAGGATATTTTGAGGCTGTGGGCTTTTCTGCGTTCCAATCAGATTTTTACCCTAAGTCATTTTATTCAGTCGAAAGTATTTACTGGCTCTATACTTTTCATCTGATTTTTTCTCCTGAGTCAGTTTAAAGATCTTACTGGATCTTTCAAAGTTTTCTCAATCTTATCTTTTATTGCTGGCGATCAGGAAACAATGACTTTCTCAATACTGAACAACCTAGATTTTGTGGACTATATCTATTTGCTTTCCAACCAGCAAACTACCACCTGAACCCATTGCCTTATAATATCTTGCCAAACACACTCATTTACAATTACACAAAATTATAAAATTTTCAAACTCTCTTTTCCTAAAGCCACACATTTTTGTTGTTATTAGTGGTGTTTTTACTTTTAAATTTTGTTTCGTTTTGTTTTAGGTGTACAATCTGTCTCCCCAAACCCTGCAGGGGTTTGCAAAATGCAAGGGTTTATGCATTTTGCCGAACATTTTACTACTGTATAATACAGATTACCATCTTTTTAAGGCTTTGATATCAGTTTCCTTCTGCTCGTATTTTAGGTTTTTGTTAGGAAAGCTTTCTAGTTCTGGTTTCACTGTCAGTATTTGTCAGAGCAGGCGTGATTATTCTGCACTAACAACCTTCAATTTCAGTGGCTTGTAACAAAAGTTTATTTCCCTATCACACAAAATTTGGTGTGTCTGCAGAAAACTCTACAGCAAAATTGTCCTCCAGAAGTCCACTCAGGCTAGCAGAAGTTCCACCATGTGAGTTGCACTATCTGAAATTATGTATTACTCTGTTCACTTATGTTCATAACCCCTTGGTCATTACTAGTAACAGTATCCTGACTAATTCCAGGGGCTCGAAAATGTAACCAAACAAATGAAACAGATGGTGAACAGACTGCTTCTGACAGTATTACATTCTCAATTTCTCAATAAATTAAATAGATTACATAATGCCATGTTTGTCCTCTTAGCATTATTCTATAAAAACTATGGTACATTTTTGTACCTTCAGAGCTGATGACGAAGTTGGTAGTTGCCAATTAGATCTTTTTTCTGTGCAAAGTTAAGAGACCTCTCCAGAACTGAATGTGTGACTTTACTTTCATAAGCACCATGCTTTACTGCCATTGAAATCACATTAGGGAAATGAGTATGGAATCTAAGGCTAGTGGTGTTATGTTCAGTACAACTGAGATAAAGAACTTGAGAAGAATTTCCATAAGAATTTAAATATTGTATAATCTAATATTAAGCAACCCTCAAGCTTAAAATCTATTTTATGTGTATGAATCTTAAGAGAAAATGATCAAAGGATAGCTAACATGCACACTGAAGAAGCACTATAAAAAATCCATGAATAAAATTCGAAGACAATCTCTGTTTTGAAAGTAAAAAATATTTAGGTTTAGTAAGACTCTGTGAATCAACAAGTGACAGGATAATAATGTGTTGACTTAGCCTAAGGACAATGCAAAAATACAGTGTGCAGAAAAAAAATTCAATATAACCTTTGATATTAATATATTTCAATTTACTGTATTTTCTTACTGAAAATCAATAAATCTATATGTAATTTAAATTTGGGTATATCTTCAGAGAAATACTTAAATTTTTAAGGCTTATGACATTGAAAATGCAACTAAGCTACCAATAAATTAATTAGCAAATTTCTTGTCTCTGCTGTGGAGTCCAGTGTGTAAAATATAGTTCTCAACTTGACATGGCTTATACATTAAAGAGTCTACCTTCAGGGTGCTTTAGTGTTCAAAAAATAAAAAGAAAAGAAAAATAGACTAATCAGCAATTTTACCTTGCAATAAGCCTTACCAACACAACATAGGTCCACCTACCGGAAGGAAAATAATACTAAAAGTTGTTTAGGCCATGTCATCTTGTCCATTTTAAAATAACACTAGTTTAATAATGTACTTCCCTATTTTGCTGCTAATTGTATAAAATATTTTTTCCTTAATGAGCCAAACTTCATTCTCATTACCAGTACAGATCTTATAAAAAATCAAATGAGACTTTTAAAAAGTAGTTTTAACCATGTGCTATTTAGCATTTTACTAGCAATCTTAACACTGATAACAATCATTGTCTCTGATAAAGAGAACTATACTTTTTAAGGCAAAAATTGAAGTGAATCTGCAAAATAAATTGAACATAATCCCTTGCTGCACATACTATAATTGCTGCTCATAATGAAATTGGACATTATTTTGGTCATTAGAGTGGAAGTTTGGAGCTGCATTTGGATTCCTTATAGGAAAAATAAGTAATGTCACACCCAAGTAAGTACATCATAGGAAAAAATATACAGAAGAAAAATACATTTAGAATTTAGTTGCAAATTCAGGTTTGAAAAATGCATCATGAGAGCCCAAGATAAAATTCTTCGGCCACGGTTAACTTATGAAGCAAAGAAGCAAATGGGCGTACCACTTGGGGCTCATTACTAGCTTTGCTTTTGGCTCTGAGATTTACAGTTTCAAGGTCAGGGCTTCCCATTAAATTCAGTCGGACAATTCAACCTTAGTAGGCTTGGGACAAGACAGCCAGCAGGTGCCTGTGGGGCAGGAGAGAATACAGAATTCTCATCCACAATCTGCTCCTCTCTAGATTCTTAATGCTGGACTAGGAAACCTGCCAACTTGTGATCCTGATGGGCAGAAACTTTAGTAGCCAGTTCTCCTTAAGGCCCCTTGTCTGATGAATGCCAGTGCTCATTAAAGGTTCCCTACTAAGCACTCTCTCTTGGTTTCTTGGGTCTCTATTCAGTACCATTGAAATAGTACACTAAATTTGGAGAAAATTGAACTTCTTCTCTATATTTTTGCTTCTAACTTGAGTTTCCTCAAAGGCAGAGCCATAGACAAAGGCTTGCAAGGCAAGAAATGTAATCCCAAGAGGTTGAGGGTGAGAAGAGGTTAGCAGGAAAATAGAAAAAGCAAATGAAAAGTTGCCTTGTTTCATTACCCATTAGGCTGAGACGTGGTATTTGATCTTGCCAGATATTGTGAAGTTTATGAAATGCATGTCAGAACTTGCAACCCAGAGGACAACAGGGAAGAAATTTTTTCCTGTAACTTCTGTCCCCTACTCATCAAAGATAGCACCATCGGCATTGAAGCCCCACTCCTAGCTGTCTATCCGTGAGTGTCCATCAGACCCCTCTAGGAATACTAAGCTGTGTCTTCAAAAATGACAAAAAAAAAGGGCCGAAAGCAAGAAAAAGCCCTTGCACAAGATGAGACACTGTCAGATTGCACCTGTGAGGTTGAGGGACATCTTAAAGAAACAGGGAACCACATCAATGGTTGTAGTATGAGGTTCAGTCAAGATAATTTGGAGTGGTACACAAGAGCTCCTCATAGATTGGTTTAAATTTTAAACTAAACCAGAATTAAAATACTAGGAATAGAAATGGAAAGAAAAGGGAGAAGGAGAAGTTACTGGACTACTTTCTAAATACAACTTAATTATTTTGCCACCAAATATTCAGTTTTTTCTTTCACACAGAGTAGACGTGTCCCATGTGGCCTTGAAGAACATTTATATATCACTCGTAAACATTCAGTGTAGGCAAAGTTTATATCTTACTAAAATTTTCTCCAAAAAGGAGTTAAATCATTATAAAAATATGTAATTATTAAAGAGCATTATTAAGGAAAGAAGCCTTCTGAATAATTTAGTTTTCAGGCTAATTGAAAGCTGAAACATAAATGATGTGAAATACCTGGGGGGTGGTAATTTTTTCTCCTGATGTAATAGAAAGAGCATTGAACTTGGATTTAGAATCTGTAGGTCTGAATGTTAATCCTGTCCCCTTGTTATTGTACAACCTTGGACAATAGTATATAAAAATATTGAGACTCTCTTGGGTCTGGATAGCTTTATAGGTAAAACTCAACTAATAAAACTTGCCTGCAAATGTCACTGTTGAATATAAAGTCAAACAAGATAATGTGTTAGAAGATATTGTCCCCTGGACCACCTACCTTGGTCTTTATGACCTCACACAATTCAGAGATTTCAGAAACCATGCCAGATTGGTCCTTAGTCTATGACTAAGGGAGGGCACCAGCTCCAGTGCCTCTTTATCTCTATTACCTCCGAGGAGGCTTTAGGCAACTTCAGAAATCTCCTTATGCTCATAAAATTTTGCACCTATGTAGGTCATTCCCAACATTACCAACCTATGCTCATAACAACTTAGTCCTCTGATTCTGCAATTGTACCTCCAACATAGATTATTTTTAACATATACTTTTAGATGGTATATATTTTATTATTCTTCTTTCTCCAATGTGGAATACTCCAGTGTTGAAATTTTGCTCCAGTTCTTTAAAAGAATCATCATCTATATCATCATCTTTACTCCAATGATCTGTTTAGACCTTGGCTGACAATAATCCTCTCAAAATGCTAAATACAGAAAATTAGGATTTTTGAGCCAATATGTAACCTGGTATTGGTTATAATTTATTTAATCTCCTTCAGTTTTTGAAATATTCTTGACTTACCAGTTTCTACTTAAATACAAAACCTCACTGCAGAAAAGTCGACATGTTAAGTAGTACTCCTTAGCTAGCCATACTCAGAGCATGTTATGTTTTCCTGTGTTGTAAGATAGCTCTCTGTCTCTAGAACCAACCCAGGTTCTTCTTGAGTATATAAAATTCCTTCAAGAAGTCAAAATGCTAATAATTTTATTATAATAAGATACCAGAAACTGCCTCTGAAAGTTTGTTTTAGGTAGTTATAATTGCATACTTGATAATTGTGAATTGTTCCATTTTAAAAATACAGAACTTTTGCAATCAAACATTTATAATCTATAACTATCAATCTCACCAACAACAAACTTTCAAAGAGACTTCATAAAAATATGCAGTTAAAAGTGTCTCTAAGGATGTTTTTTCCAAGTAGAATTAAGCCAGAGGGAAAAACAGTCTTTTCCTAAAACCTCACAAAGGCAAAAACCAGAAATCTTTAGAACTTCTGAGAGATATATTTTAGAAATAAATTATAATTGGAAATATTAAGAAGCTAGAGGTGAGTATAAAAGACAAAGGGGCACCTAATATGGGAATTGAACTTGCCAGAGTAGCTTGAGTTGAAAATATAAACAAAAAGTTGACTTTGTACTAAAAGAATAAACTAATACACTGGCGGAGTAGAAAGCAGAGTGTTACGGAAGTTTTTAAGTTAAGCAACTGTTCTAGTAATATTCACATACACTGCATATTCATCAGACTGCTGTACTTGCTATGGCACTAATATAACATATAGATAATTTACTCATCCTGACTCTATACAGTAAGGAGGTAGTCTCTGCTTTAAATAGACAGATAGATAGATGATAGATAGATAGATAGATAGATAGATAGACAGATAAACAGATATAGACATAATTTGCCTGAATCATCCTAAATGCATCAATATTTATCTCTTGAGTTAAAGGCTATTCCATAAGAGTAGCAATAGATTAATGAAATATCCCATTTTTAAAGCTGAAAGAGAATTCTTCAGAGGTCATAAACTCCAACCCTTTTATTTTGCAGATTAAAAACTGAGGCACAGAAAGTTGATTTGGTTAGACTAAAGATGCACAGCCAGTTTGTGCCAGAGTTAAATATTTTTATTCCTGAGCCAGTGCTCTGATAATTTCACCTAGTTATGATGGCATAACTGATTGAAAAAAATATCAACTACACTTTTGGATATCAACAAGCTGACACTTGCTACTGTGCTTAAAATATGGTGCCATGATGCTGTCCTCTTAATGATAAATTCATAGGCAACCTGCTAGCCAAGTTTTTCCAAATAATTCACTGTTTCTTACAATTAGAACTTAACTCTAGAACTCAGATATATTTTTTAAAATCCTCCAATTATAAAATTGCATTGCTTCTACTATTCTTCCCACTGATGTCTTTGCTTTAGAAGTTTAGAAGTTATGTATTACTGGTAAATTTCTTCAAATACCACCAAATAGCTTCACCCCAGGCAAAAGTTCTTAAAGAGCAGAAAAGTTCAAAAACAGCAGAGAACTACTGTTCTTCTGTATTTTCTATCAGTTCCAAACATGTTTAATGCTTTTCTAAGAAGTTTGCTGTTTTTGGAGGAGATGTATTGAGCGTTTTAATACTTAATATACTAAAGATGAAAATTATGTTTGATTTCAACTGAGTCACTTTTTAAACAGAGTAGCATAAAGACCTAGATAGGGGCACAAGAAGAGATGGCAAATTTATGTATTGTTTCAAAACTAGACTACACAAATCCAGTGTTCAAATGATTTTTAAATGAAATTTTTTTCAAAAGTGAATTATCAACCATGTAATAGACGTGTGTGATTTTCTATGTACGAGTCTGAAGTAAACCTTAAATGTCTTAGGAAAGGTGATGCCTGCCATGATCTCCCTCGCATGTGCAAGTTATTTGGTATGGAAAGAAGAGGTGATCCAGGACACTAGATCCTCCATCTTTAAATTAATATTCACAATGAAATTGAAGGAACTTTGTTGCCTGTGCGTAGGAACCCAGGATAAAAACAAGTGCCCAATGTTGCATACATCTGCATTCATCTCAGGGCATAAATCCATATGTAGAGAAAAAGGTCCTGGTAGGAGAAGCACAAGTAGGGAAAAAAAACTAACATATATTTCTCTTTATCGGGATGTGCTGCTAATATTATCTATTTTAAAAATAAGTACGCTATATTAGCAGATTAGAGAATGAAAAAAATAATTTAGCTGGTTTGATCTGTTTTATGGAGAATGAGGGTCACAAAATTTCTGAGATTCATTACTAGTTAACATAACCAAAGATTCCTGGTCCCACCTCATTCTGAAGGCATACCCTAACTCTTTCTGAGTCTGTTGACCTCCACTTCTGTCAGTCCTATAGCATTTACTTTAATAGTCACACACTGTGTTTGTCTGTAAAAGTTATTTCTAAAAGCTTTATTTGTGAATATTTAAATTTGTTGATTCACATTTAAAAATGAAGCAGATTCAGCCACTGTTCTGATTTTTTTCCTCTAGAGCTAACTTGTTGCTGCTAAAGGCAAATTATTTATTAATGTTCAGAATATTAATATTAAAAATTCAGAATGAAGAAATAATTTGGCTCCAAAAGTACCACTAAATAAAAAATATTTTACAGTGCTCAGCCTGACTCAACAAAAGATCTGATTTATTGAACTTGATCTGTAAGAAAAGTAGTAAAGCTAACAGAAGTAAGAGCTATTTTTTCTCCTGCCGAGTATTTCTTTCCTTCTTCCCTTCCTTTCTTTTCTTTATCTCTAAGGACAAACATTTTGCACCTTCCCTTCCACAGTTAGTGGAATGGGATTATAGCAAAAGAGAGAGAGCATGTCTGAACTCATGAAACTTACATCCTGCTGTGGGATATGGACAATAAGCAAGAAAATAGACGGTAGATATCAACAATATAACTATAGGTTGTAAAAAGTTGTAATAAAGAAATAAGGCGAAGTGAGATGACAGAGAGTAACTGATAGAACTCAATTTTGGCTAGAGGATCAGAGAAGATCTCTTTGAATAGATGATATTTGCAAGGAGTCCGAATGATAAGGAGAAGCCACTCTGAAAGGGAAACAGAACTGGAGGTGGAAACAAGACGCTGAGATGGGAAAGGGCTTATGCATCTCACAGACAGTAGATGGCCATTGTGTCTGGAGCACAGTGAGCATGAGGGAGACTGCTATGGAAAGCTGAATGTGAAGAGATTATGCAGAGTTTGGGAGGCCAGGACAACTATTTCTGGTTTTATTCTTGGTGCAATGTGAAGCTATTAAAAGACTCTAATGAGAGAAGTCTACATGGCATGCATTGTTTCAGAAAGATCATTCTGGCTGCTGTATGGACAATAGAAGCTGAACTTAAGAAGAAGGAAAATGAGTAAGAAAGTTATTAAAGTGATCAGAGAACAATGGTGGTCTTTAAAAAAAGTGAGAGCACCTCAATATTATACCAGTGAATACAGAACATGCAGTTACATAATATGTTCATGCCTGTTATCCCAGCACTTTGGGAGGACGAGGCAGGCAGATCACTTGAGGTCAGGAGTTTGAGACCAGCCTGGACAACATGGTGAAACAGCGTCTCTACTAAAAATACAAAAATTAACCAGGTGTGGTGGCGTGCGCCGGTAGTCCCAGCTACTAGGGAGGCTGAGGCAGGAGAATCACTTGAACCTGGGAGATGGATGTTGCAGTGAGCCGAGATCGCGCCACTGCACTCCAGCCTGGGAGACAGAGTGAGACTTCATCATGAATAAATAAATAAATTAATTAATTAAAAAGGTCTTGTGCAATTTTAAGTTGATCTCCTTTCATTACAGAACTTCCCCCCTCCCCCTCCCCCCTTTTTAAAATAATTCCCCCCTCCCCTCCTTTTTTTAATCGTGAATCCTGCTTCTTTGAAGAGTCTGAAATTTCTTGGAAGTTAAAAGAAACTTTATTTTCTTCAGGTTAAGGAAATACAAATGCTTTCAGGCACATTCATTGGTGGTACTAATCCTCAGAATTAAAACTTTAGCATGCTGAGGCTTAATGCACCAAGATGACATCTAGGCCGATAAAAATTATAACAGCTTCACCCTTTTAAATGTAAATATCTGTGTGCCGTAGATTGATACATCCTATAATACCAAGATATTCAGAAGATTGTTAAATCTTTTAAAAACATGGATAATCAGAGAATATGATTAAATATAACTTTATTCTCAAACTACACATTCACAATTTTATTCTAATAATACATTATGAATCTACTTATTTTATCGTTTGTATAGAACTTCTAGCTGTTTCATTTATACATGTGCTGAATACATTTTATATAAAGATAAAACCTTGTATTTATTTTTAGTTCTTGTGGTACAGAGCGCTATACAGTGCACATGTTAGATGCTAGGTAAATGTTTATAAAATGACTGTGTTTTCTGAATTCCATTTTGAAACCCTACATACAAAATCAATCATAGACAATAGTTGTATCCTTAATCACACTGGACTATTTCACCAATGTTGAAACACATAGAATGTTCTCATTACAGAAAAAATATTAATTAAAAAAAACCATTCTCATTCTCTGTTATAGTAAAATCAATTTTCAAATAGCATGTCTTCAGTTATTAATTAATGATGGCCACCCATGAAGTACAGACCTATAACTAATACAATTGTTCCTAGAAAGGAGTGTCTGCTTTATATAATTTTCTAGTGAAGCTCTGATTTTAACATCATCCCCAACCATTAGAATCTGCTTGATAATTATTTGACAGATTATTATTATTATTATTATTATTATTATTATTATTTTTGAAACAGAGTCTTGCTCTGTCGCCCAGGCTGGAGTGCAGTGGCATGATCTCAACTCCTGCAACATTTGCCTCCTGGGTTCAAGCAATTCTCCTGCTTCAGCCTCCCGAGTAGCTGGGACTACAGATGTGCACCACCACACCTGGCTGATTTTTTATATTTTTAGTAGAGATGGAGTTTCACCATATTGGCCAGGCTGGTCTCAAATTCCTGACCTCGTGATCTGCCCACCTCAGCCTCCCAAAGTGCTAGAATTACAGGCGTGAGCCACTGTACCCAACCCAGATTTGTTTTTGCATTATAACTTTTAATTTGCAAATAGATATAAAAATAATTGGCTATTCCAATGTCTTATTTTAAGTATTACAATTCAGAGGCTACTTTCATTACATTCATTTTTTTAAGACAATCTTTCACAATTAATTTATAACTTAAATGAGGTCCCTTAGATATTTATAAACTTTTTAACATTTTAATGGCTATTATTAATAATTGAAAATTAGTTAAAATGTGTATGCAGTGAATTTTTAAAAACATTTTAATAGATATATAACATTATGACAGACTTAATTTATTCATCTCTCTGGTGAGTCATCTCAAATTAGTCATATGTCCTCTAGTGATAATTACAAATTTTGGAAACTGCTTAGCTATATTTTATGATTAATTACCTGTAGTAAGTTAAAAGTATGCTAAAATAGAAAAACATTTAAATGTGAATAAAACACCTATGTGTTTCATACGTTTAACATTGTATTTCATACTTTAATAAAAAATGAACATGTATAAAATGTCTGTTAGTGTAGACTAATGAAATATAAATATCTGCATCACAATTGAATGCAAAATTATGAAATTATAGCTATATATTTAAATAACATCCTTTTTATAAGAGAAGAAATATTTTTTATGGTTGATCCTTCTTATATGGTAAAATATTTCTAAACAATGCTTTCATATGCCTTGACTAATTAATATTATTATTAAATTAGAGAGTTTGCCCCTAACAGAAGTGTTTCCTTTTCCTTTACATGATTTTTTTTTATAACCCCTTAAAAATGAATGAATTGTGAAGAGCATTCTCGAGTGGGCTACTTCAGCCCTGGCAGATGGCAGGCTGCTGGCAACACTGCTAAGAACCACAAGTAGGTTTAGCGTTTTCCTTCCAGATCCCAAAATGATGAGCACCACCATGGGAGTCCTATCCTCACAGGGTGAAGTGTTCAGTCTTCACAGACAACAATCTTGGACCTAGCAATTTGTAATTAGCAAACTTAGGTAATGAAGAAAGAAAGTAAACATTCTTTAGACATGGGTGTAGAAAAGAAAGAACAAACTGGCCGTCTTGTTACAGGAGATCAAAAATCAATATCTTACTTCTGAAAAGGGGAAGAAGACAAGAAAATTGATGAGGAACTGGAGTTTCAATATCAGCCAGGTGTCAATAGTCAATTTTCAGGAAGGGACAGATGACACTGTGAACTTGGCTTTAGTGAAGTACATCATGATGAAGAAGGTGATGTAGCTGGAGAGGCTGCTGCTGCTGACCATGATGAAGATGATGATGATGATGAAGATGATGATTATGATAATGTGAGGATTCATCTGATTCTAAAAATCCAGATGACTCTGAAAATGACTTATTCAGGAAAAGAAGAATCTGTTGCAGGACTCCAAGCTGCTGAGCACCCCGAGGAAACAGAGGATTCTCAAAACAAAAAAGTTGCCAAAAAAATTATAAAATGATGTGTATTAAATCCAGTGGTTCATGACTCCACTCATAACGCTTTGTATTCAAAATTAGCCTTAATGTTATACTGCACAGTGGAGCACTGCTTATAGGCACAGGCCTTTGTGTTATAATGTTAGAAGGGCCTTTTAAAATAATTACAAAGTATGTTTGCTTTCAGATGCCAAGGATTAAAATTTTATGAGCAAGACTATCACCATTATTATAAAGAGTAATAGTTATATAAAATAAGAAGTAAATACAAAACTCAACTTCCAAAAAATGCACTTCAATCCCACATAAATTTAAAAGACTACACATATATAGTCATATTAATCAAGTTAAGCTTAATTGCTAAATCAAACATGGAAACAAGACCAACGTTCTTGAAGTTACTACAGAATTGCAACATCACTGGTCCAATAGAATTAAATATAAACTGGGGAAATTTACTGACCACAGAAACATTAATACAATTAATGATTTATTCACCTTCAACTATTCATGTTTTAAATAGTTCTAAAAAATTGTAGCTAATATACATTAAATGCATGCTTGGGAGATAAACAAGTATAATACAAAAAAATAGATTTTAAGATGAAAAAATAGCTTGATGATGAAATTTATTTTTTAAAAAACACTGATGTATGACAGAAATCATTTTTAGGGAAATATTGCTGAAATGCTAATCATAAATATAAATAAGTCTACCTCTAATATAAAATTTACTGTTTTTTATTTAAGCTCCTAGGAATGTCTTGCTATTTATTATCACTATATTTATTAAAATGTGCTGAGTTTATTTCCATTAACATAAGATATATTGTTTATAACAGAAACTCATTTATATCTAATTCTGTTGGTTTCTGAAGTAGTTTAGGTTCTTAGTAAAGACCCTCAGGAGTAATTGTCTGCAGCACAAGACTATTATGCCATCTAGCATGTTTAACAAGACACATGACTAAAATATCAATTATGCCCCAAATCAGTGCTGAGATCAGTTAAAGAAATCAGCTTAGCAACTTTCCCCATAATGCATGTCTCCAGACAACACTCTATCTAAGTAGCAAATATTTGCTGTAATTTTTTGGTATTTACAGAATCCAATAAGCAATGGATTCTTTGATTCCATTTTGTTTTCTGGAGTACATATAAATTAGGAAAATCAGCACTAAGATGACACATGGCCAGTCATGAATAAAAATAACAAAATTAGATGCAGCAACACTTTCTAACAACTTAAAAATCAACTTCGAATGCAGCGATTTTCTTTGCTTGTATTTTCAAGGCCTCCATCCACTCCTGCTTTCAACTGTTTTCTTTAGGACTTCATTATGTTCTTTGGGAGACTATTTCACACTCTATTAGTTACAGTCAATTTCATCGCATCACTTGAAGTATAAATGCCCACAGTTCTCTGCACCTCTTAAAACTACATCTCTTCCTTCTTGGTATTTAATAACCGGTAGCCTGGCCCTTGAATTAGGGAATAATTTTACCCCTTCTGCCCAAATAGTCTTAAGTGAGGAAAACTCTATTTGTCAATTTTAAATTCTATATTGTATGAAGATAAGTTGCATATCTATTTTATAAAAGAAAAAAACGTCCAAAACTTAATAATAAGGAAAATAATATGGATCACGCATCCTTTCAGTTTTATATAGAGGTAAAAGCTACACAAGGATTGTCCAGGAGAATGTACCTGGTTCATTTTACTGTTAAAGGTCACAGATTTATTTACTTGTTAATTTGCAGAATTTGTCCAATAAACGTGGAAACAATTTGTCTGCTAGGACAGATAACCCCCAAAATTCATAAACTACTGAAAATTAAAGAGTTTTATATCCAACTCAGCAATCTTATACTAAATTTTCTTTGATAAATTGACTACAAATAACCTAACTTCTTAAGTGTTCTTTGAACCAGTCGTAACATCTTACAGGTTTCTTTACTAATAAATGAGTTAAATAAAATATTTGACACGTTTATTTTATATTTGCCTGAAGGACTTGATTTTGCTGCTTTTGAAAATTATATTTTAACCTATGCAATAATTAAAATCCCTCCAGGTAATATGAGGAGTACGTTAAAGTCACAGAGCCTATCCATAATCTTACTAAGATAATCAAACACTGATCTAAAGCTATATTATTAGCATTGCAGTCGGAGGAGACTGATTGAATTTGCCTTTGATATATATCTTACTTTGTCTTAGTCATTGTCTTTCAAGTACTTTACAGTTGGCAATATGATAGATGAATGAGTTTTAAAAATCTGTTATTTCAGTAAAATAATAGAGTGTAGCATCATTAAATGCATTTACAGTCCTAAGACCTCATAAAAAATGATTTTACACAATAATCTAGGTATATTTTATTTAAAAGTGTATCACATACCAATACCAACATACATGTTATTTAATAAAATTCTTAAATGCTATATTCAAGAATTTGTTAAATACCATATCCTCAGACATTTACAATGATACCTATCCAGCCAGTTGTAACTTTTTATTAAGAAAATTATATTGCTTCTCACTTCTAAAAAAAGATGTTTCTAATACAGCATCAACATATGGGTTGTTAAACACTACCTTGATTGTATGTCATTATATTTATCTGTTCAAAAATGTTATTTTTGCAGTAAAAAACATAGAAATGTAGAAAAATATAAAGCATGTATTAGCAGGTGAAATGAGCTCGAGTGAAATATGAGGCAACACAATATGGGACTGTACAAACTATATTAAGTTCATAATTATTTCTAATACTTGCCACAAAAATAGCAAATATAAATATCACCTATAGAAGCAAACATGAACAATTGAAAGAAGTTGAATAGTACCATTTACTTTGAACTCATCAAAGTAAAATTTAAAATCTCCATTCATATCATTAGTATTTATACCCATATATAACTTATTTTACTTAGAAATAGTTGCTTTAGGTGTTCATAGTTTATTCATATATTTGTGATGACCTAAATGTTGTCTTTAGGCTCCTTAAATAAACTTATGTTCATTTGGGTTATTTGAGATAGAACATTTCTAAAAAATATCATCTGCTTGATTTTTGCCTGGGTACTGCTTCAGAGAAATCATTTCCAGGTGCTTAATATAAAAAATACTAAATAATATTATCATAATTCCATTTCAGATATAGATGGATCAGAGTAAATAAAAGTTATTTCCTTCATCTACTTTCCCAATATAAACTAGATAGCCAAACTCACCAGAATGAGGCTTAAAATTAATGAAGCTTTTAGAAATAAGGCTGCAAAGAAGGCTCTCAACTCACTTTTAAATCTCCAGGTATATTGTATTCCTGTGGTTAAATGTCTAGCAAGCTGATTTAATTGCATTCTAAGCCTTAAATTATCTGTGTAGGTAATTGAGTAAAGAAATTATTATATTCTCCAAGTGACGTAAATGCAGCTAAACAAAACGTTTTCCAGGAATGCTTAAAATTTTTCTTTCTTCAATGTGCTACAAATATCTGTGATACCATGACTTGGCTGATGGTAGTAGATATCAGCAATAGGATTAATTTTTTTAAGGTGTGGTTGTAAAAATAGATACAGAGAAATCAAAGTTTGTCTGAATTGAAAATTGTATAAAACAAGGAAAGGACTAGAGCTTCAGAGTTTATGAGCAGGCTATGGGCTATATTACTCAACTTTTCATTCCTTGATAAGCTTTATTTTTCATATTTTTCAGTGAACAGTATCATATACACAGAATATGTTCAATTCATATGTGCAGAGTTCAAATAGTTATCACAAAATAAGTATACAAAGATGATTAGCACCAAATTCAAGAAAAATAGCTAGTATTGCAACCACACCAGAAGCCTCTCTCATGCTCTTTTATAATAGCGACCCTTCCTTTATCACCAAAGGTATTTTCTCTGTGAATTATAATAGCCATGATTAATTTTTCCTACTTTGGAACTTTAAATCAATGAAGCATAAATATACATTTTTGTCTGGTTTCTTTCACTCAATATATGTTTGCAGAATTGATTTATGCTACTGATTTACCAGCAGTTATTTCATATTTCTTGTTATTTTGGAGGTTTTCACTTTGGGGCTAGTGAAAATAATGCTGCTCTTAGCAAACATAGACAAACAAGAACATATCAAACTCAAAAACTTCTGTACATCAAAATAAACAGTCAACAGAGTAAAAAGGCAACCTGCAAAGAAAAAATATTTGCTAATCATATCTGATAACAGATTAGTATCCAGAATTTATAAGGAACTTCTGCAACTCAGGAACAACAGAAGTAAAGTTGATTAAAAATGAGCAAAGAATGTGAATAGGCAATATCCAAAAGATATACAAATAGTTAATAAACATAAAGATGTTTAACATTACTAATGGTGGGAGAAACACAAATCAAAACAACAATGAGATTATAATGTCACATCTATCAGGATGGCCGCTATCAACAACAACAAAAAAGAAAATAAGTGTTGGCAAGCATGTGGAGAAGTTGAAACCCTTGTGCACTATTGGTGGGAATGGAAAATGGTTTTGTCACTATAAAAAATAGTATAGAAATTCCATGCGATCTGGCAATACCACTTCTGGGTATTTACCAAAAGAATTCAAAGCAGGATCTCCAAGATATAATTGCACACCCATATTCATAGAGTCATTATTTACAATGGGCAAGAGGTGGAAGGAAATCAAATGTCCATCAACAGATGAATAGACAAAGAAAATGTGATATATTCACACAATAGATTATTTGGCCTTCTAAAGAAAAGAAATCCTATCACATGCCACAACAGGACCAAACTTAAGCACATTATGCTAAGCAAATTAAGCTAGTCACAAAATGACAAATACTATATGGTTCTACTCCTACAAAGTATTTGAATTAGTCAAAAGCATAGAAATAGAAAGCAGAAAGGTAGTTGCCAAGGCTGGGGGAGGGACATATGGAAGAGAGGAAGTTAGTGTTACGTATAGAGTTTCAGATGAAAAATTTCTAGAGATCAGTTGTTCAACAATGTAAATATAGCTCCTACTTTTAATTATACATTTAAAAATGGTTATCATGGTAAATTTAATGCTATGTTATTTCACCACAATAAAAATGTAGAAAAAATAATGCTTCTCTGACATTTTTGTGCATGTCCTTTGGTGCACATATGTACACGTTTGTTGGGAATATACTTTGGAATGGAATCCTTAGGTTATAGAGTGTATGTGTGTTAAGCTTTAGAAGACACTGTGTAGTAGTTTTCAAAAAAGAGTTAACAATTTATTGTCTCATCAGAAATAGGATTGTTCTACATCACTGCGAGCACTTGGTATTATTCGTATTTTTAATTTCAGTCATTATGGTTGATTGCAGGCTGTTGTAATAAGATTTCATTTATTTGTTGTGGAATGAGGCTGAGCACCTTCTAATATATTTATTGGCCATTTGGAGATCCTCTTGTGTGAAGAGCTTGCTCAGTTCTCTCATATATTTTTCTATTGGACCATCTGTCTCATTTTTATTCGTTTGGAGGAGATCTTTATGTATATTGAACATGAAACTTTTAAACATTATATATATTACAAATATATTCACCTACTCAAAGATTTGACTTTTCCCTCTCTTAATAATAGTGTCTTTTGATAAATTAGAATTCTTAATTTTAATGAAAGCATTACTAATATTTTTGTTAGTACTGTTTATGTCCTATATTATAATCTTTCATTAAAAATTATGTTATTACCTTTAAGAAGCCTTATTATTTATCATTTATATTTAGACACAGAATTAACCTGGAATTGAAATTTATCTAGGGTGTCAAGTACTGATTGATGATTTTCCTCTGTTTTTGTATGTACATTAGACCCAGCATTATTCACTGAGAAAAACCACTCTTGTCTTACTATTTGCAGCTACATCTTTATTATAAATTAACAGTCATTGTACATGTGTACACCTATTCCTGTAGTCTATTAGACTATTTGTCTGTCATTAGATTATTTGTCTGTCATTGTGCCAATTATCATTTAGTAAAAATAAATGTTGGTATTCAAATTTGTCCTATTTTAAGGTGATCCTATTTTTAGCTTTTAAATTTTTAATATAAATTTAGTCATATAAATTTACATAAACATAACTGATAGGATGTTGGTTGATATTACACACAACCTTTATGTTTTCTACCAAATCAGTCTGTAGCAGAGAACACTAAACACTTAATTTATTGAAAAGGGGCCCAAAATTAAGGGAGAATATATTGTCATTCTCATACCTTATTCAAAAGATGAGTTTCAATAATAGGCAGTAAGTTTCAAAAAGAGATAACACCTCAGAACCTTTGGATCCCTTACTCTCTGGTAATAATAAATATTCATGCCTATCACCTTGATTTGTTCCATACCTCTCCTTAGGGAACAAGAATACTTGGACACAATTCAAAGAACACCATCAGATACCTGAGGTCTAGCTTCTGGTCCCAAATCTGTCATTCAGAAGTGTGTAACTTGACAATTTGTTGAATCTCACTGGATTTTATTTCTGTCAAGAGTAAAATTAACCAGGTACATTTTATTATTCCTAAGATCGTTTCCTTCTGTTTTTTAAAAAAGTTATATTCTTTTAAAAGCATCCTTGGCTTTATTTTAAAATTTTTTCATTTAAAAGTTGATGGACAGAGAGTTCCCCTCCCCCCAGGATATAGAAACACACAAGGGAAGAATGGTTTACCCTAACAAAATATTAAAAGATGGATAAATTATAATATATAGACACACAGGAGGCATGTAAGTGACTACACCTGGGGAACAGGCTCATGTCGCTGAAGCGATAAACTGAAAGAACTTACCAGTTGAAAAGATGGTGGATGGTAGAGTATTAGGTCATTTTTAGAGTTGCTATAAATATCTGAGACTGGATAATTTATAAATAAAAGAGGTTTAACTGGCTCACATTCTGCAGGCTATACAGGAAGCATGGCACCAGCTTCTGCTTGGCTTCTGGTGAGCCCTTGGGGAACTTTTACTCTTGGTGGAAGGTGAAAGAAAGTAGGTGCCATCACATGACCAAAGAGAGGACAAGAAACACAGGGGAGGTCCCAGACTCTTTTAAACAGATCTCATATCAACTAAGTGTGCAAGAATTCACTTATCACCAAAGAGATGGTGCATTCATGAGAAATCTGTTCTTATTCATGAGAGATCTGCTTTCATTCATGAGAGATCTGCTTTCATTCATGAGAGATCTGCTCCTTTAATCCAATCACCTCCCACCAGGCCCCACCTC
This sequence comes from Homo sapiens, assembly GCF_000001405.40. Taxonomy (NCBI): domain Eukaryota; kingdom Metazoa; phylum Chordata; class Mammalia; order Primates; family Hominidae; genus Homo; species Homo sapiens. The sequence continues at coordinate 125,152,741 of NC_000007.14, read as the reverse complement.
CAACATTAGGAATCACATTTAAACATGAGATTTGGAGAAGACAAACATCCCAACCATATCAGGTGGTTAGTGATATAATGCCATCATTTACTCTTCTCTCTTCACACTTTTCAATTTGCTAATTAGAAACCATATCCAATTAATTTTAACAGAATACACCTATGTCTAAAAAACAACAATAAAAAGTGGCAGTCCCCTACAGGAGTATGGAAGCATATATTTGTAGAAAAAGTCTAATGAGTATTTCAAGAAAGAAATTAATATCCAAATGTGTTTTTAATAAAATATGTTTACATAGATATTAATTCTAGGATATGCATAAAATTGTAATTAAACCTTTTCAGAAATGTGTATTTTATTTCTTTCTATGATTGAGGGTGATATTATATTTTAGAGGGCATCATTTTAACCAGACTACATAAAAACAGTAATACAAACAGTTCTTAAATACCACATGGAGAGTACATATGTACAGCAATTATTGACCATATTTGTCATGGCGTTAGTATTTTTTTTATATAACTATATTGGTTACTGTCGTTGAGACTACACACAAGGCTTTGATGAAGTGCATACTAAATATGCTATAATAATTGTTTGAAGGTTCTGTTAAATATCACTATGCTTACTAAATCATTTATTGCCAATGTTATGATTTGCAGTAATAAAGTTATGCTATGGTAATTTTTTTGGAAGTTTGCAGCATACGGTGCCATATGCCAAGGGCATACTAATTAATGAGAAAATTAGCACATAGATATTACTTCACAATAATGCATCTAGAGCCAAGGCTTAAAGTGTAACTCAGAAAGCGATTTGAAATGTTAAGGTTAATGTTACATCAAACTTAATATTGATCCATAGTAATGTCCATAGCAATATACAAGCAAAATACTGTGGTCTTTTGAACAATGAGAACATAGAAAGTGTGCCATTTATACAATTACTCAATTGTTCTCTTTCAGATAAGAATTATGCTGAGACATAGCAGTACCTCAAAAAGTGGTGGAGGTAATAAGCTGCAAAGTTGGAACTTGAATCCCGGACCTCAAGCTCCAAATCCAGAATTCCTCACTTTCCCCCCGCTACCTGATACAGAACTGGAGAAAAATAAATTTGATTTAATTAAGTGTAGCAGATCCCAGGAACTATTTTATGTTTAATGATTACTTTCAAGCTTAATTTGCCTCTATTTAAGTGTAACTAACACATAATCTTTAGGATAAACATCTCGGAATTCTTTCTGAATTATCCCCAAATTTTAAGTTTAGGTGTGCATTTGACAATCTGCATTGCTGCCAACAGTAGTTGGAAGATTACTACCTGAAAGCTGAGGAAGTTTGCTTCAGCTACTACATGCCCTTCCTTGTGGTAAATGTGCAAGTCACGGCACAATAATTGAGGAAATAAATGTTGGTGCCTTAAAATAAATGTTGATATTCAAATTTGTCCTATTTTACCCTGGTAAATGTGTAAGTCATGGCACAATACTTGAGGAACTTGAGCAGATAAGTTTGGAGTAAATAACCTGTGTTATAAAATGCACAACACTCAAAATAAAATGAAACACTACAACTATGTACTTTAACTTATGATTCATAGATTTTGTAGGCCAATTCTTTGCTATTGGAAAACACAAAACTTTTCCAACTTTGAAGACTGGAAACAAAACACAAACTGCAAGAAAACATTAAGTTCATCTATATTTGTTCTGTAGGAGGACTCCTTCCTGTAGTTTGCAGACAGTCATGAATCCCCTTAGGTCAACAGCTGTCAACTTCAATTCTCATTTTATCCACTCCTTCCAGTCCAAAGACTTTAGACCAATATTTTTAGGAAAATAAAAGATATTTTCATTTAAGTAGCAAAATCACCAAAACTACCTACCAGAGAAAAACCAAATACTCTCAGAATCGTTGCTGAGGCAGGTTCAGAAGGATTGTTCTGAGAACTACTTTGCAAGTGGAAAAAATGAAGCCTAAGAGACTTACATTAAATAGGGGGTTAAAGTATGTTTAAACACACAAATCGAAAAGCATGACCACTAATAGAACCATGTCATCTTTGTTAAAAATATGAAAATCAATAACAGATTTTATTGCCTCTTCAAAGACCCTTTATAGTGAACTTCGGACCTTAAAAAGCAAATCATTTTAAACAGGCATTACTGATGAAGCTGATTCTTTTCTAAATTTATTTTTTATCATCTCAAGTGCATAGAAATGTTTCTTTCCCTAACTCCCTTATCTGCATTGTATTTACTCTTTTATGCTTTGCATAAACTGTAACAGATTATTTTATAAAATGTATTAAATGCCAACTAATCTATAGACTGGCTAAACAGAATTAATTTTCTTAAAATCTGAATTATGTATGCCCAGAATGTAGTTTAATTGCATCCAATATTAGAAAAAAATCTAACTAACTTCAAATTACAACAAAAAACTACACATGTAAAATCTTTGGGAATATTCCATGAGATATTTAGAAACATCTGACTCCAATTTGGAAAAAAAAAAAAAAAAAAAAAAAAAAAAAATATATATATATATATATATATATATATATATATATGAGATTTGCAACCAGGAGCCAAATTCATTTCGTTCATTTTCAGTCTTTAAAGCTTAATGCATATTTAGAGAAATTGCATAGTTACTTTTGATGTTATTATCTTCAAAACTGTTGCATTAGTTTTTCTTTCAGTCTTTAAGAGTTACACAATGTTTCTTGTATTCCTGAATGGCAAATAACATAACTATATATCCATATTATAATAATGAAAGAAATTCTCATCATATAATTTTACACATTTCTTCCCTCTACATGAAGGCCTCGTGGTATTTTTATGTCTTTTATAGAGCCATCTTCAAAATGGAAAATTTGGATAGATTCTGCAATAGTCCTAGAAATGCTAATCGCCAGTGAATTAATCATCAAGTTAAGGTTTAAAGAGCTGGAAGTAATCATTATAAGAAAAATATAATTGATTTACTATATCTTAAAATACATGTGAGGAGTATTATACAGGAATTGCATTCAGCTGGTAGTCAAACCCTTCCTCCCTGCCAACACAATGCCTTAAACTTACTGTCCATTTTTCTCTCATATACACAAAATTTAGCAGTAGGTGGTCAAGATCAGGTATGGTAACTCTGCAATATAAGCTGCAATCCAGTCTCCTATCTTTTTGCTCCTCCATCCTTAGCATCTGGCTTCTGTCCTCAAGTTTACCTTACAGGTATATTTGGAGCTCCAACCATCACATCTACAGTCCACGAAGGAGGAAGAATGAAGTGAGTTTTCTCAGATGCTGTATCAGAATTTTACTTAAATTCCATGCAAACCCTATTTATGCAAGAGAAAACTATAGCTGTACTTGTTAACTACTGGGCACATTGCCATCCAAAATAACACAGGAGTTCAGTTACTGAAAAAGAAGAGATAGATGGCTGTAGGCAACTAGCAGCCTCCCTCACAGGCTCTTAAACTAAATAGTTGCCAACTGTTATTGATCATCAGTGTAAACAAGATAGCTAGATAAACAGACATTAGCTATTTCATTTACTTTAAGAGAATCTGTAGAATCTCCTTTCTGGAGACCTTAAAATTTTAAGTTATTTTCACATGTATGAAATTTCTTTGATTAAATTTATTTCCTCAGACACTTAGTACAGTATTGAAGAAATCTATTACACATACAAGGAATTCATCTTTGCTTGGTAAGATAGTAAATAGCATGTAAGACAAAATAGAATAAGGCTAAATAGCAATTAGCAATTATGTTTGAGCGATCAAAGGAAAAACACTCGTTCTGCCTGAGGTAATTTTTAAAAGTTTCACAATGATAATAGATTTAGGAGTAGGTATTTATAAATAAACTTAATAAATATCTATAGAAAATATATATTCTTGGTTGAGAAATTGACCCATTAGGTTATTTTAGTCTATTCAGAATATACCTTCTTAACTCCTGACCATTCCTCAAGCAAATGTAATCAACTTTTCACTCCACCATAGTATTCACAATGATCATGCTAATTTCATTCATTTCAATATATTTATTGAAACAATTGAGGAGCATCTAAATAAAACCCCAACAGATATTTATGTTTATATTCACTGTCTCCTTAATATATTGCACTGTTAGATATCCTGTATTTTAACTCCTCCACTCTACAATTATTTATCAAATATCTGATCATTGCTGGGTCTCAGTTTTGAAACCTCCTGCATGACTACCATCATCCTCCTCCCTGCCCAAAAGTAAATAACCAAATACAGCATTTCAGTCATCTTGAATCTTTACAGTTAACCTTTTTGAATGTTCCTGAAATGATTTCTTCACTTGGCTTATGTTGTCTTACAGGGTGTAGTCAACGAGATTGCCTGGGTAAACTCTTAGATGACATTTACATTTCAAGATCATATAAAGACAAAAATGCTATTAAGTCAGAATGAACACAATGTCTTACTAAAATGGGTAAAATTTTATTTCAAGAAACCATGTTCATGACTAGACTGATTACTAAGAAGAAGTAAGTTGGGCATTTATGTCATCTGCGATCTTTGAAATAGCAACAACTGCAAAACACATTTTAAAAAATTAAGATCGATCTCTATGAATGATAAACTGGATATAAGAACTATGTAATGCAAAATGTGTTGTTGCTTAAAAGTCAAGGGAAAGCAGTGAATAAAACCTGCAAGTATCTGTTGGACATTCCCTTAGCATTAGATCGTTGTATAAGCTATTACCAGCTACCACTTTGGTTTGATGGTGCTCAGTGATCCGCCAACCAAAATCCATGCCTAACTTGAGGAATAGAGTGACACTTCTTTTTTTTAAATCCCTTTACTGTGAAAAATTTCAATTATATACAATAGTAAAGAAAATTGTATAAAAGGCCCCAAAGTACCTATTAACCAAGATTTAATAATTGGCAGCTGATAGACAATCTTGTTTCATCTATAACCAGCACCACAAGAACACCACTTACCAAATTATTCTGAAGCAAATCCCTAACATAATATAAAATAACATAATATCTATAAGTATTTTAGTATTTTTTCTAGAAACTAAGAACATTTTAAAAATATAACCATAATATACTTGGAAAAATTTAAAAATTCACAAACATTTTTTAATTCACCCAGCATTCGTATTTCCTGATTGTTCTGATTGCCTCATAGAATTTTAACATAGCATTTGTTCAAATCATAATCCAACTAAATGCCATACATGGCAAATAACAGAAATATCTCTTAAGTCTCTATTAATCTATAAATTTTCTCTACCATTCTTTTATTCTTGCAATCTACAAATGGAAGAAACAGTATTTTTCTTGTAGTTTCCCACAGTTTAAATTTTTCTGACAGCACTCCTCTGGTGTCATCTAACATGTCCTCTGTTACCTATCTTTTCTGTAAATTGATAGATAGAGAGGTGGCACTGATTCAGATTTATTATTTTTTGTGTCAAGGATACTTCATACATGTCAGGGCACAGATCTACCATGAGTAATATAACATCTGGCTGTCTTCTGTTTGCCTGTGTTTGATATTACCACTCACCGATGCTCAGTGTCAAGATGTATTATTTCTGTACTGGTTTCAAAGTGGTCACTGTCAAATTCCATCACGTTTTCTTTATGTATTAGCTATAATACTTCTGTGAAAAGGAACTGCCTCTTAGTAATTATATAGTACAGATGATATAGGAAAGGCAGAATAAGTGCTTGATACTTTCTCATTTGTTTACAAGCATTCACAAGTTTGCTCCTTAGCCTTCTCCAAATTATGAACAAATTATTTTTGTTGCCATTTTAAAGTCTTATATGTAAACATATTTGATATGTTTGCAATCTATTGCAGATATTATCCCAGATAGATGCCCATTTTTAGCTAATGGAAAGCCTCTACATGTTGGCACTAAAGTTCTTGTAACATGACATGCTGCAGTTTAGTTTCAGCAGTTTAAGGACTTCATTTAAATGAAATCACAAAGTATGCAATCTTTTGTGTCTGAATGTTTCCACTCACCACAATGTCTGTGAAATCCCTCCTATTTGTTGAGTATATCAGTAGTTATTATTGTAGAGATGTACCCTACTGTATGAATGTAAAGCAATTAATACATTCAATCACTTGTTAATGGTCACTTTGATGGTTCCAGTTTGAGACTACACTGTGTTATAAATAATCCTGCTTCTAGGAACATATATGTTCATTTCTCTTGAGCAAATAACTAGGAATTGCTAGGTCACATGATAACAGTATTTTTAACTTGACAAGTGTTACTAAACTTTTTTCTAAAGTGTTTTTATACCACCAACAGCAATATATAAGGTATTTCAGTTCCTCTGGCTCCTCACCTGCACATGCACTGTCAATTTTTTTAGTTATATCTATTCCAGAGAATATGAAACGTTAACTCGTTGTGATTTTAATTTACATTTCTTTGATAACTAATGATATTGAGCATTATTTAATGTAATTTTTAGACATTCCTGTAACTTTTTTGTAAAATGCATATTCTAATCTTGCACCATTTTATTTGGGTGTTTATCTCTTTATTGAATTGCAAATTATTTATATAGGTGGTCTCCTACTTATGATGATTTGACTTAGATTTTTTCACTTAATTTATTTATCAGAATATCAAATACATTTTAAATTATGATATTTTTGACTTACTGGTTTGTCAGGATGTAATCCCATCATAAGTCAAGGAGTATATGTACCCGATACAAATGAATACGTGTGTGTGTGTGTGTATATATAATATATATATGTGTATGTATATATATATGTGTGCATATATATATATATATGCACACATATATTTGGAAGAATATTGAAAGTCTGATAAATACCATCAATAACTTGACCTAACTGGCATTTTCTTTTATCAATATGTAATGTTCTTCTATATCTACTTTAATACTCTCTTTGTCTGATATAATATGCCACTCCAGCATTCTTATGGTTAGTGTTTGTATCATATAGATTTTCACACTTTTATTTTTAATTTTTTATATCTTTATGTTTATAATATCTGTCTTGTATATATCATCACATTGAAGCTTGGTTTATATCCAGTCTTCAAATCTTAAACATTTCCGTTCTATTTAGACTATTTTCCTTTACTATATTATTGATATGGCTGGTTTTCACTTTACCAGATTGTTATTTGTATCATTTGTCACACCTATTCTTTATCCTTGTTCAACTCTTGTCCTGTCTTCCTTTTGTTTGACTATTTTAGTATTTCATTTTATTTCCACTATTGGAGGACTGGGCCAATTTGGTTAACAGTATGTTCAAGTCTTGCATAGTTTTTCTAAACTTCTGTCTGCTTGTTTTATTAATTACTGGAAGAGGAATGTTGAAATCCCTAATAATGATGGAAATTACGGATTTGTCCATTTCTCTTTTGAGTTCTATTTGGGTTTTTTCTCCATATGTTTTGAAACTCTGTTATAGTTTTAAAATATCAAAGTCAGAATTTAAAAGTTAGAGAATACCCTTTTATTTATTTAGAACTTTTCAAAACACTGTCTCATCATTACAGCATCAAAATAAACTTGTAAGGTAATAGAAAAAAATATTGATAACACAAAGATGTAAAAACTGAGGCACTACACAGTCACTTTTTGACCTTGAGCAATAATAAACATAGTGAAAATGCAGCCCCAGTTTGTCCCCTCCACCATGTTGCTAACTGATATCAGTAATCACTCTGATCCACACACACTGAGGAACAAAGGCACGTACCTCAAGCTTTCAATCCTCAACAGAGGTCTGTGACCTTCTGCTCATCTAAATAACATCTGCTGCCTTTGCCTCTTTACAATATTATCTATTAATCCCTCATGTTTTCTGATTACATTATGATAGACAGCTTAAAAAGGTAATCCATTCTGTTTTACTTTTTTTCAAAACAACATTTTATGAGTCTAGAGAATTAGAAAATGTTTTGCCACTAAATGTTTTGGCAGACAGAAAGGTGGAAATGGAGTAAATTGCCTAATCAGAGGAACAGAGGTTTGCAGGCTCAACACTAAAGTTTTAATGACAGGGTCTCACTGGGGTCACTCCTCTGATTATAGGCTGTTTTCCTAATCCATTTTCCAGGTTACCTTTAATTCAAAATAAGTGAAACTGAGAATCGTGTTCTGACAAATTTATTTATTAGCTTCCTTTCTGTTGGCTGTCCAAGTTTCAAGACCTGTAATAAGAGACATTCTTGAATAATTCTGCTTAGAAATATATAAGTAAAATAAGAGCTCCAGGCCAAGCCACATATTCCATGGGCAGAGGCATGGGCTTTTCACAAAATCACCACTCCCATTTGTCTTTTAATATAGTTATTTATCAAAATCACATCAATCTCAGAGCATATAAATGAAAGTTAAACAATTATTTTATTACCCATTGTTTTGTTGTTTGTTTGCTTGCAAGGGATTCAGAAAAGGGGCAACTTTGGAAAAATATCTTGGAGAAAAGGCTATGGAATATGGCTGAGTAGTAACATATGCTATTCTCAACACCATTCGTTGCTTCTGGAGAAGGTAAGGATTTATGTAATGAGGAGGCTTAGGATGGTCATCTCAGTTCAATCACACACTGAGAAATACGAAGGACTTTTTTTCAGTGCTTAAAGTTAGAAGCCAGATAGCATTAAGCATAGTAGTCACATGTAACACCAACTGATCAGCCCTGAAAAATAATCCTATAAACCATGGAAGAGGCAAGGAAGGGAAGAAGATTGGTCAATTTTAAGAATAGCAAGTTGATCAAAATAAATTTTAACATTAATAAAAACAAAGTTTTGCATTTCCACTTTTCTTTAGTTACTTTTTCTTTCACTTTTTTTTTCCTCAAATACATGTACATTGCAATTATAATGTAACTAAGAGAAATTTTACTGGACATTGCATGGGCCGAAAAATTTGGAGCTTGGGTTTCACATACAGTGTATAGTAGATTATAGCATACCATTTTCTGTTCAGTGCATATGTATTGATTTCCAAGTTCCCACTATCAATTCCAATTAAGCCATTCTCTTTCAGGCTGTGCCCCCTGATATTTCCAGTCATCAATGCCTGCTGATACAATGATGATGAGTCACCTTCCTCCTAACTACCACCTCTGCTCCTTCTATCAAAATTAGCCCACCATCCCTCAGAGTTAGTGATGGCAGGCTACTCTGGGAATCAACTTTATCTTAACACACTAAAGAGAGAAGACTGTGGTGCACATCGTGCTTTGCCCCAGGTATTACTTCTGTTTTTAGGTCAAGCATGTTCAGTCTAGATTGTACACAGCCCTGCAAATATAGAGACTTGGACGTGAAGACATAGACAATTTTAAGGGACTTAAATTCAGGTGCTATTTCCTAAAACTAATATGTTTGAAAAAGATCTTGCAATTAGGCTTCATGCTATCTATGTCTGCCTTTTAACTTTTCTTTTAAAGTACTTCCTTCTCCAAATTGCAAAAAAAAAAAAAAAAAAAAAAAAAGAGAGAGAGAGAAACAAAAAACAAAGGAAAAGAAGAAAGCAAAGGAAGCAAAGAAGGATGGAAAGATGGAAGGAAAGGAGGGAGAAAATTACCTGCTAATTTTATATCCAAAATTTTTCTGTAATTATCCATTTGTTTGTTTTCTGTGTTATCACAGGACACAACACAGCAGAACCTTTTAATTAGACCTGTGTTCTAATATTAATTTATTCACTTATATTAGGCTGATGCAAAAGTAATTGCGGTTTTGTTAATGGCAAAAACCACAATTACTTTTGCACCAACGCAATAAATTATGTGACTTTATGCAACTCACTAATCCTGGAAGTTTGCAAACATAAAAGGAGTAAACTGTTACAACCGTTTTAGAATAATTACTCTTCAGTTTTCCAAGTCAATGTTCTCTTTCTAAAATTGATCTGCCTGAGAAAACACTACAATTAGGATGTAATTCAATTTCTCTTTTCCAACTTTTTTCATGCATTTATCCTGTGGGACAATCCTGTGAATAAAAAACAGAAGGAACATTGGTAAGACATGTTAAAAGCAATGGAACCTTATTTCATCTAGGGTACGACCTACTCAAGACAAAGTTTAGACCTTATCCATCTATTCATCTTAGAATTCAGACTCAAGATGATTGTCACAAGGAAATATATTAACATGTTTATTTAAAATGAGAAATGAAGTTGGAATTTTTATAAGAAGAAGTAATTTTGATTTGATTGATGAGTTTGACAAAGATAAGTGGCTTTTCCAATGAGGATTTATGGCGAATATTTCCCATAAATTAAATAAACAAAATCAGCAACTCCAAAGGTTTGATAATAATTCATTCAAAACATTAAAATAAAAGAGTCTTACCAAAGCTATTTTATTAGGAAAGTTATGTTGAAATTAACAATACTTGGATTTTTCTAACCTTTCCTGAGAAAATCAGGTTAAACAAGGTACAATTGTAAATGACAAAGTAAAAGTAAAATGACAATTAATGGTGAATAATTTTTGGTGAATTATTTTTATATTCTTTCCAGAAATTAAGGAAGAGGTTGAGTCTACTTTCAGGGTGTCATTTATAAGTCATATTGTATTCTACTCTTTGCTTACATCGAATATGCAAGACATAATTGAATCATCAGCTAATACAGCATCAAAAATAATAACAACTTAAAAGTAATTCAGAAAAATGTGTGATGTATGTATAATAAATTTCCTAATTTATGTAGAAAACATTTCTCAATGTATTCATCTATTTTAAAAGATGAAAAATAGGAATAGATTTGATTTTCAATCCTGTCTTATTATAACATTAAAAAATAATCTTTTAAAAATTTTTTTATTTCAATAGCTTTTGGGGAACAGGTGGTTTTAGGTTACATGGATAAGTTCTTTAGTGGTGATTTCTGAGATTTTGGTGCACCCATCACACAAGCAGTATACACTGTACCCAATATACAGACCCCATATATAGTCTTTTATCTCTCATTCCCCTCCTTCCCTTCCCCACAAATCCCCAAAGTCCATTATATTATTTTTATGCTTTTGCATCCTCATAGCTTAGTTCCCACTTATAAGTGAAAACATACAATATTTGGTTTTCAATTCCTGAGTTACTTCACTTAAAATAATGACCCCCAACTCCATCCAAGTTACTGCAAAAGCCACTATTACCATTCTGTTTTACGGCTGAGTAGTATTCTATGGTGTATATATACCCCATTTTCTTTATCCACTCTTTGATTGATGGGCATTCAGACTGGGTCCATATTTTTGCTATTGTAAATTGTGCTGCCATAAACATGCATGTACATTTGTCTTCTTCATATAATGACTTCTTTTCCTTTGGGTAGATACCCAGTAATGGGATTGCCAGTAGTTCTACTTTGGGGAATGGTAGCTCTACTTTTAGTTCTTTGAGGGATCTCCCTACTGTTTTGCACAGTGGATGTACTAATTTACATTTCCACCAGCAGTGTAAAAGTGTTCCTTTTTTATCACATTCATGCTAACATTTATTATGTTTTTTATTTTTTAATTATGGCCAAGAAAAAATTATTTTTGAGCATATGAATGAACTACGTGAAAAATATAGTCCCTTTTAAAAATTAATAGTTGCATTTATAACAAAAATTGTACTTTATATTATACACATAAATTTAAAAATTTTTATTTTATACATTTATACTTATCATGTTTTATATATGTTACTTTGATCAATTGTGTATTAATTATAATTACAAATATAACTCAGTCTAGGAGAAACATTTTAGCACTCAGAATCTTGGGTTCATAGAACATAATGTAATCCTAGCACTTAATGAGGCTGAGATGAAAGCATTGCTTTATCCCAGGAGTTCTAGACCATCCTGGAAATACAGTAAGAACCCATCTCTATAAAAAATTTAAAAATTAGCTGGTTGTGGTGGTGTGTGCCTGTGGTCTCAGCTACTTGGGAGGCTGAGATGGGAGGACTGCTTGAGCCTGGGAGGTTGAGGCTGCAGTGAGCCATGATCATGCCACCGCACTCTAGCCTGTGCAACATAGTGAGATCTTAACTCAAAAAATATATAAATGTATATTACTTTCTTATAAAATTATCTAAGGCAAATGAAATGTCAATAAAATTTAAGAAATGAAAGACATTATTTAACATTTGTATTGAAAGAAGAGTTTGCTAAAGAATTTTTAAATGGCTAGTTGTGCATATAAAAGTGCTGTGGTAATCCCATTACTGGGTATATACCCAAAGGAATATAAATCATTCTATTACAAAGATACATGCATGCATATTTTTATTGCAGCATTATTCACAATAGCAAAGACATGGAATCAACCCAAATGCCCATCAATGACAGACTGGATAAAGAAAATGTGATACATATACACCATGGAATATTATGCAGCCATAAGAATAAATCAGATCATGTCCTTTGCAGGGACATGGATGGAGCTGGAAGCCATTACCCTCAGCAAATGAATGCAGGAACAGAAAACCAAACACTGCCTGTCCTCTCTTATAAGTGGGAGCTGAACAATGAGAACACATGAACACAAGGAGGGAAATAACACACACTGGGGCCTGTCATAGCGGGGAGGTGGAGGAAGAGCATCAGGATAAATAGCTAACACATGCGGGGCTTAATACTTAGGGGATAAGTTGATAGGTGCAGCAAACCACCATGGTACATGTCCTGCACATGTATCCCGGAACTTAAAATAAAATAAAATAAAATAAAATAAAATAAAATAAAAAAATTTAAGTGCTGTGGTATTTCGATTCTACTGAAATTTAAAAGGTAAAGGTTCTAGGTAATTTTTTTAAGAGATAACATTTAAAATATGCCTTAAATCACATTATTTATTTTTTAAAACATATGACAAAATCTTAATGGCAATTTTTAAATACGTAAAGAGACCCAGACTTTTTCTAAATATTCCGTGAATATACATAATCCAAAATGTGGAAACCTCTGGTCTAAGTAATATGCATCTTCACAGAGGTTTTCCAATCTTCCTGAAGAGTTCAATCCATTAATTAGTCTATCTTATTTTTCTCTCAATCCTTACCATTAACAGAATGCTTGGAAGATATGTGGTGCTCAAAAATATTTTCCAAGATAATAAATAGCATTATAAGCACAAGTTAGTCCTAAGCACAACTGAAATTTCAGCAACTTACTTTCTGAAACATCTTTATATCATTTATAGATCACTTACTCGTTCACCACTGGCTTCTAGGATATTGTTTGAAAATATGGGCCGGGTGCGGTGGCTCACACCTGTAATCCCAGCACTTTGGGAGGCCGAGGTGGGCGGATCACCTGAGGTCAAGAGTTTGAAACCAGACTGGCCAACATGGTGAAACCCCGTCTCTACTAAAAATACAAAAAATTAGCCGGGCGCGGTGGCGGGCGCCTGTAGTCCCAGCTACTCGGGAGGCTGAGGCAGGAGAATGGCGTGAACCCGGGAAGCGGAGCTTGCAGTGAGCCGAGATTGCGCCACTGCAGTCCGCAGTCCGACCTGGGCGACAGAGCGAGACTCCGTCTCAAAAAAAAAAAAAAAAAAAAAAGAGAGAGAAAATGTATAGTTTTAATTGAACATAACTTAATGTCACTCATCCCAGGGACAGTTACATTCTACAAGGGAAATACTGAATTTCAATACAAATTCAATTCATTAAATACTTCTTAAATTCCTACTATCTATCCTCATTTTGTTAGAGGCTGATGATATATCAGTGAACAAGATAGTCATGGCCTTGCTTTCAAGGAAATGACTTTTTGCAAAAAAGATGGATGTTAAACCAGTAATGACAAGTATGATGAGGATTCAAAAGGAAAATAAAATGAGTAAGGAAGCATCAATGAAAAGGATACAACCTGATCTCTGAGATCAGGTATAGACACACTAGTGGAGAAAAATATTACAACAGGGTAGAAAAATGCATATATGTATATAAACACCCTACTAAATAAATTATTAAAATAATATATGAAAATGTATGTGTGTGCAAGGGCAATAGTTGGTGAAAAAAAGAGCGAACTATTGAGCACTTACCATATTCAAAACTATGTATTAAGCTTTTCTGAAAATAAAAAGTCAAATATGTTTGGGTTCATCTTGTGTAACAAGTTGCATTAAAATCTGAAAGACAAATTACAGTTTAAAAACTTTATCTCTCAATGGATCACATACCCACAGTTATTTTAAATAAATGATATCTATATCATTGATGATATATGATATATATCAGATTTTATGTGATGATATATATCATATTTTATATGTTGATATATATCATATATATCAACATATCCATAATCAATTATATATATACAATATTTTAAAGAGTTCCTAAGACTTCTTAAAATATCCAAAATTTGCCTACAATATGTAATTATAGCTTCAGTGAATAACAACATTTATTTAAAATTGTAAAGCATCAAAAGCTTAACTTTAGTTCAGTAATCTTCTCTCTTCTTCCTCCAACAGCTAATCCATATTTTCTATCCATGCGAAACAAAGTAATAATATAAGGCCCAGGGCCATTGTAGTGCAATAGATCTAGCTTTGATTTCCTATTCCAACAATTCTGACTCCGCAATCTTAGAAAAGTTACTTAACCTCTCATCTTAATATCATCAGGACAAAATAAGAAAACACTACTGTTAATATATTCATCATATAATTGCCATCAAACACATGTGAAATCCTTTATCCTTATGTGTTTTTAATGTTAATATACACTACTTTATATTATTATTTTGGCCTAAATCAATATGTTTTTGCATTTTAATCCTGAAGTACAAGAGCAGAATTAAAAGTTTTTCCACATGTTAAAAAGATGCCACACAGCTAAGGGTGTGGGTTGATAGAGATTTGGAAAAGAGTAGGACAGTCTAAAGTGGAATTTCTAAACACAAATTATAAAGATTTTTGGTGATTCTGCCACTTTCAAAAATCAAATTTGCATGTATGATAGAGATATTCAGTACACACACATACACATACACACACACATTCATACATACACAAAATTGAGACTGGACAACGTTCAAACATTTTGTTTTCAGTCTTGCTGACCAATTTGATAATTTCCTCTAATTTCTTTATAGCCTTGGTTGATATTGGTAGTTTTATTTTCTTTCCTGGTTTATTATTTTTGTTCACCTGAAATAGCTCTGGGGTAAAAAAATGGTAGGGAGAACCTTATTTCTGGTAGTATAGTTTCCTTCTAACTAAAATGAAACCTACTGCTCAAGTCCCAGAGATAGCACAAACACAGAAACTTAATTTCCTGAGGTGACTCAATGCAGCAGCTAATTCATTTTCAGACTCGTGATGGTGCAATGTAAAGAAGCTTGCCAGAAACTTAAAGTGACCCTTAAAAAACTCAGCATGTTTGATCTGGGAAAACTATTGCCCTTATGAGATTTCAGTTGCTTCACCTTGTACTTTTTATTTATACAATTACTCAGAGGACAGGAATAGTAGGACAATTTGTAATCATGGCAAAAAGTAGCAGTAGCATTAAAAGTAAGTTATTTGTAAAACAGAAAGGTGGCCTGGATTTATGGAAAAATAGCTGGAGGATGAAGATATTATTTTTCTGAAGTATCAGCTGAAGCCCATCTGTGCACCACTGTATGATGATGTCTTAATTCTTAACCTTATTATCAAAAGCTCTCCGCAAAGTTCATCAAACAAACAAACAAGCATTTGTTAGAGAGAGATATTAGGAAAAATATGCATGAGTCACAGCATTGTTCTCTCCCTGTCCAGAGGAGTAGAATGTATACATTCTTCTAAACAATATATAGTAAAGCAATAAAGTCACTCATCCCAGAAAATGTTTTACCTCCTTTTCCCAATATCTATTAGGCTTATTCATCTCTTACTATTTCATTTTCAGTGTAAAAAAAAAATTCCTGAAAGGAAATGGCAAAATAATAAAGATCTATTTTTACAACAAGGGGAAGACCATTCAGATTTGTTGTATTCATTTTCTAAGCATTTTTTCTTTTGTAGTAAATATTGGATAGAAATCACATAGAAAAAAAGACTTACGAAAGAAGCTTTAATTATGGAACACACAAGATTCCTAGCTAAACAGAGTTCCTTTGTTTGGAGTGATTTAACACTCTTTCATGCACAATTCAGGAATTAGTCACCTGAGGACAAGAATGCTAGGTGCTTATGGTTCTTACAGAGTATCCCCTGTTGGGGTGTATTGACAAATTTTCCCTGCCAGTAAGCAGCTATGTGGTAAGATTCCCTGAGATTTCTAATGTCAGAAAACCCATGATAGTACAGCCTGAAAACATGAGAAGACACAAAGAAGGAAAGTACTTATTTTTGCCCATAGGAGAGAAGGCTACTGATAATGTGATTAAGTGTTCCCACCACAACAATTAATATTACTTGACATGAATAAGAAACAATTATCTTAAAGAGAAAACTGAAGCCTCAAAATATAGGCCATGGATAGGTTAATATGCTAAACCCCTTCTGCCAAAGATAATGACATTTACTCATTCATTCAATCTTTCATTAATTTACATATCAATTTATTGAGTACTACTTATGTGTTAAGCACTGTTTCAGGAACTGGGATACATCAGTGGAAAAGGCAGGCAAGCGGTGTCTTGGTTCATTCATGCTGCTAACATAAAGTACCTTAGACTAGGTAATTTATCAATGATAGAAATTGATTGCTCCCAGGTCTGGAGGCTGGGAAGTCCAAGATCAAAGCACCAGCAGATTCAGTATCTGGTAAACACTGTTTCAGAGATAGTGCCTTCTTGCTGCATCCTCACGTGGTAGAAGAAGAAAGGTTGAACAAACTCTGTCAGGCATCTTTTATAAGGGCACTAATCCTATTAATGATGGCAGAGTCCTCATGACCTAATCATCTCCCAAAGGCCTTATCTCTTACTACCACATTGGGGATTAGGTTTTAACATATGAATTTGAGAGGACACATTCAGACTACAGCAATTCCATAATTGAACATCCCAAGTTCATGTCCTTCTCACATGCAAAATACATTTATTCCATCCCATCACCCCAACATCTTAACTCATTTCAACATTAAATCCAAAGTCTAAAGTCCAGAGTTTTATCTAAATATCATCTAAATCAGATTTGTGTGGGACTTAAGGTATGATCCATCCTGACACAATTTGTTCTCCAGCGGGAACCCATGAAATCAAATAAGTTATGTGCTTCCAAAATATAATTGTGAGACAATGGACAGGCCTAGGATAGACATTCCCATGTATGGAATACATGAGATTAGATACATGGAATACATAGGAGTAGGATAGATACTCCCAAAAGGGAGAAATAGAAGAGAAGAAAAGAGTAATAGATCTCAAGTAGGTCCAAAATCCAGCAAAGCAAATAACATTAAATCTTAAAACTTGAGAATATATCTTCTCTTTATGTCTTGCTTTCCAGATAAATTGGAGCAGGGTTTGGTCCCTAAGACTCCAGGCAGTCCCATTCCTTGGTTTGCCAGGTTGCTGTCAGGTGCATGTGGCTCTTCCAGGCTAAGTTGCATGCACTACTATTTTGGAGTTTTGGAGGCAGCTCCACTTCCCACTGCTCCACTAGATATTGTCAAAGTAGGGGTTCTCTGTGGTGACCTTGCTCCTACAGCACCATTAGACACTGTCCTAGTAGGGGAGCTCTGCAGTAAGTCTACCCCTGTAGATAGTCTCTGTCTGGGTCCTGAGGCTCTCTAGGGCATTCTTTGAAATCTAGGTGGAGGCAAATATACCCCCACAGCTCTTGCACTATGTACACTGGAAGAGTTGGCACCATGTGGATGTGGCCAAGTTTTATCACCTCTTCCTCCAAAGGGACAGCTACTCTGGCTCATGCCACACCTTGGGCCCACTGGAGCCACACCTGGGGTGGTTGGGCAGGGAGCACTGCACCTGAATTCAGGGAGCAGAGACTTTAGTCAATGCTTGGCAGTGAGCCCTGAGGTCCCACAGGCACTCTGTGTCCCTCCTTTGAAACCATTCTGTTCTCAACGTTTTGGAACTTTGACTCTGTGATGAGAATGGCAGCCCTAAAGATCTCCAAAATGCCTTCAGGATAACTTTTCAATTGTCTTAATGAATAGCACCGGGATGATCAATACTGATTTCTTTATCCACACCGTTGGTGTACTCTTCCAAACATTCTTTCTCATTTCTTACAAGACAGTCTGAGAAGGCTGAGAATTTTCCAAATCTTTAAGTTCTGCTTTCCTTTCGCTTATAAGTTATGTCCTTAAATTACCTCTCTCTTCTAGCATTTTACTATAAGCAGTTAAGAGAAGCCAAGCTGCTCCCTCAACATTTTGCTTAGATCTTTCTTCTGCCAAATATCCTATTTCATCACTCAAGTTTCTCCTTCCACAAAACACCAGGACACAAACACAATCAGCCAAATTATTTGCAACTTTAAAACAATAATTGCCTTTCCTTCAGTTTCCAATAATTTGTTCCACATTTCCATCTGAAACCTTATCAGAATAGCCTTTACTGTTCATATTTTTACCAGTATTCTGTTCACTACCTCTTAGGTAATGTCTAGAATACTGAGGGTTTCTCTACAACTTTCTTTTGGTTCTGAGCCCCCACCAGATTTGCCCTTTACAGCCTGTTCACATCAATATAGGCTTTCTCTAGCATGCACTCCAAAACTCTTCCAACCTTTATCAATTACCCAGTTCCAAAGCCACCTCCACATTTTTAGGTATATATATGCATATATTTATCAACACCCTCACTTCTCAGTACCAGTTTCTTAGTCCATTTGGGCTGCTATAACAAAATACTTTAGACTGGGTAATTTACAAACAAGAGATATGTAGTTCTCTCAGTTCTGGAGGCTTGAAAGTCCAAGATCATGGTGCCAGCAGATTTGGTGTCTGGTGAGGGCTGCTTTATAGATCTTGCTTTCTTGCTTCATCCTCACATGGTCAAAGGGGAAGCAATAAACAAGCTCTTTCAGACCTCTTTTATAAGGACATTAATCCCATTTGTGAGGACATTAATCCCATTAATCCCCTCATGACCTAATCATTTCTCAAAGGCCACCTCTTAATACCATATTGAGGACTAAGTCTCAAAAATAAATTTCGGGAGGGAG
The DNA here is from genome assembly GCF_000001405.40 of Homo sapiens. Taxonomy (NCBI): domain Eukaryota; kingdom Metazoa; phylum Chordata; class Mammalia; order Primates; family Hominidae; genus Homo; species Homo sapiens. Next base: position 125,133,571 of record NC_000007.14, on the reverse strand, counting down.
TGGGACACATTCAGACCATAGTGGAGGGAAACAAGAAAGAAGTAATATAGATATATTAATATCTAAATGAACAAGATAAATTTACATAATTATTAGTGTTGTGCAGACTATGAAAACATTAGGAAAAGAAAGTAAACATAAAAGCATCTGGGGCACTTTCTGAGCAAGTGAAACTGGTGTCTGAAATGTGAATAACCTCAAGGAGCCTGACACAGAAAGAAGGTGATTGGGAAAAATCTAGGAAGAAAAAAAAGGAGCTAAGTGTGTTTGGGAAAAAGAAAGATGTAGTATGGCTGGAGTATGGGGGTAAACAGGATTAAGGGGGAGGTGAAGTTGGAGAGGTAGATAGAATTAAAATGGTCAGATACCTGAAGATCATAAGGAAATGCAGTTTTAAGTCTGGTAGTTTATAACTGTAGAATCTTAATAAAGAGAATGGCATGAATTTACTTATACATTAAAAAGAGTAGCCTGGCTAGAGAATGAAAAATGGACTATAGCCAACTAAGAGAAGCAATGAGAACAGTTGAGAGAAACCATGGCAAGATAGGTAAGAAAGACAGTAGTCTCTAATGGGGTGACAGCAGTGAATATGGTCATGAGCATGGCCATTCATAAAGGATGGGACATAGACTGAGTGGTGATGTGGACGAAGAGCTCAATCAATGAATGACCTCTAGGTTTTTGGTTTGTGTAAATGAGTGGGTGGTGGAGCCATTGTATGAGACAGGAAGAACTAGGAAGAAAAAGATTTTGTTGGACAAAACTAAAGACTTCCTATGTCAATATTAACTTTGACTTGCATATTTGACATGCAAGCAGAGATTTCAAGTAAGAAGTTGGTTTTACCGGTTTAGAACTGATATGAAGGTATTACTTAGAGAAACAAATGTGAAAGTCATAGACATAGAGCTGTTATTTAAAGCTATGGGACTGGATATTAATGTAAGAAGAGGTAATAAAGGACCAAGACTAGGGATACTCTAGCACTTACAGGGTGACCATAAAAGGAGCAGAGCAAAGGAAGCTGAGAAGGAGTGCTGTTGTGAAGGTCAAAAGAAAGGTGGTTAAAGGAGACAGCGAGTAACTGCTGAACACCAAGAAGTCAATAAGATGAGGACAGAAGATGGAAGGCACTGATGATTTTAATAAGAGCTGAATTGGTGGGATTGTGAGAACATGTATTAGGGAATGGTGGTCAAGATACGGTGTTGTAACAAATACACCCCCAAATATCAGTGGCTTAACCCAATAAAGGTTTATTTGTTAAACATGCCATGTCCAGGGGTCAATCATTGAACTCTTATCCGGTTTGGCAGCCCTCACTCATCTTGTATAATGCCATTTTAAACAAATGGCCTCCAAGTTTGTTACTGTAAAGGAAGAGAGTGAGAGAGAGAATGGCATATTGTTAAAGACCTTGTCTGAAAATTGTTTACATCATTTCCGTGCCCATTGACCAAAATCCAATGACATGGTATTGGAAGTTGGGAAATGTAGAAGAGAATGTGAGTGTTTGATGATCTCAAACAGTGTCAATCAGTAACAGGATAAAAGCCTGATTTACTGGATTGAAGGGAGGGTGAGAGGTGACGAGACAGAGAAAATAAAGACAATATAAATATCCTCCATCTCATAAAAGCCTTCCTTGAGTACCTCCTGCTCAAGCTATTAGCTCATCTGACATCTCCTTGGCGCAAAGTTCTTTGAGTTATCAACTCTCAGCCTTGACAAAAATTTTGCTGTGTTATATGCAGATTACTTTCAAATAATTGTAAGTAATGTATTTGACATTGGTATTGCTAAATTGTGTAGCTTGACATTGTCATATAATGAGCAATTAATGGCCAAAAACAGTGAATAAAATTTTCACTCTTATGTTTAGGTTTGAAACTATAATCAATGGTGAAAAAAAAAAAAAAACAGGAACTGCATCAAAGACAGTATAAAACACATAGTACAAATTTTGTGGAGTGTTTTGTTTTTTGGGTTTTTTCTTCAACTTTTATTTTAGATGTAGGGGGTACATGTGCAGGTTTGTTACATGGGTTATACACTATTGGGGGATTGTAAATTAGTTCAGACACTGTGGAAAGAAGTTTGGAGATTTCTCAAAGAACTTAAAATGAATTTTCAATGTGGTATTTGCTTCCAAAACAAACCTAAGGTCAATAAAAAGGAAGAGGATTAATACCTGTAAGTTCTTTCTATGTGTCAGGCATTTTAACTCACATGTTATATAAACCACAGAATAACATTAATTACTTAGTAATAGAATCCCATCTGACAGATGAAATTGAAGCTCTAAGATCAAATACTAGTAAGCAATGTTTGGAGTTTAAACTTAGCTAATCCTGATTCCAAAATCCATGCTCTTTCCACCCTATGATGGGTTCTATTCAAAGTTCCAATAAATCGTGGTGTAGGGCTATTCTGTTTTAAAATTATCATATCAAGAGCTTCTACAAAATTGCCTTTGAGGAAAAATTTTCTATTAAAGCTGTACATTAATTCTGATCATTACTTCTACTTAAATTCCAGTCTTTCATCAATCAACTGCTTTCAGAGAATCTGCATTAGGATATTTCACTTCACATTAAAATCAACACATCTAAAACTTGATCTTCCTCTTAAAAACTACTCTTTTCCCACACTTTTTCATTTTTGGACTATGTCATCACTTTCTCTGTCAGCTCACAATTCAATCTCTTGACCTGTTACAAGTTTTCCATTATTCTTATATGCATCTCTTCTCTGCTAGACTTCAACTCATTGAAAAAGGACCCCACGTCTTCTTCATCTTTTATGTCCATTATCTCTGCCATCACCTTGCTCATAGCATCTCCACAGCACATGTTTGTTGTTGCTGTTAATAATAAAATATAATGTGAACTCAATCTTTCTTTTCTTTTTTCACCATCCCAAATACTCTAATGTAGTTACTGTAACAGTTTTCTAATTGGCCTCCTGTTACTTCTCCTTCTAATTGCTCCTACAGACTAAAACTGTATCCAAAAAAAAATTAATAAAATACTACTTGGTCACATCAGTTATCTTTTCCAAAATTCTCCAATGGTTTCTTTTGATTATTTAGTTGGAATTCCCTGGCACACAATGCCCTCCCTAATCTAGTCCTTCTTTGTCTCTCAACTGATAAATATGTAGCATTTTCAACACACACAGAGATAGAGAGAGACTTCCTCTTCCAGGATATGATAGAGTGGACATTCATTTCCCTATTCCTCCTGATAAGTACATCTTAAACTCTGGACATAAAAACATACATATAAAACAACATAAGAAGATTCTGAAAGGTAAAAAGAAGAAAGAAGAATGCCTAGGGACCTCAAAACCCGAGGAACAACATGGTGGAAAGATCCCTGTGTTTTCTTTTAACCTCATGTAGCCTAGAGTTAGAATGGAGAAACAAGAAATTCAGAAATACCTACAGCCACAGAAAGAAAAGCCCCCAAAAAGTATGACTGAAAGGGTCAACCTAGCAAAGGCAGAAAGCATGCAGACAACAGTCACTCAATTCCAGCCAAATACCACAGAACAAAACTGTGTCCCCTTTTTCCACGTGAAAGACTGAGTACAGATTTTAAACATCCACATTCATGAGACTGTAATGAGCACCTCAACACATATCCCAGAATGGTATCAGAGAAGACTCAGTTAAAAGCCAGGACCTTGGGACCGGGCATGGTGGCTCACACCTGTAATCCCAGCACTTTGGGAGGCCGAGACGGGCAGATCATGAGGTCAGGAGATCGAGACCATCCTGGCTAACAAGGTGAAACCCTGTCTCTACTAAAAATACAAAAAATTAGCCAGGCGTGGTGGTGGGTGCCTGTAGTCCCAGCTACTCAGGAGGCTGAGGGAGGAGAATGGCATGAACCTGAGAGATGGAGCTTGCAGTGGGCCAAGATTGCGCCATTGCACTCCAGCCTGGGCAACAAGGCAAGACTCCATCAAAAAACAAAAACAAAAACAAAAAAACCAGGACCTTCACCAACACCCAGCATTAACAATAACACACCATAATGATGCCAGTAAAGACCGAATGGGGAACAAAACTTTCACCTTTACATAACAATAATGAGGAGTCCAAGTATAACTCAGATGTTAACAAAGGCCTAGTGGTGATACTGGACTTCTACATTCACCAGCCAGTAATGGGGTGGCAGAAAGGTATCCAAGAAATCAGTTTAAAAAGAGAGTTTGTAGAGACTGATAAATTGATTCAAAAGTTTATAGAGAAAAGCAGAAGTTTATATGGAAAAGCAAGAATAGCCAATGCAATATTGAAGGAGATGAACAAAATCATAGTACTGACACTACACGACTCTAAGACTTACTATAAAGCTACAGTTCAAGTAAGTGAGGTGTTCATGAAAGAATAGAGATATCTATTCCATGATTAATGAGACAACTGATTATTGACAAAGGAGCAAATGAAATTCAGTGGATAAAGGATAGTCATTTTAACAAATAGTGCTGGAAAAACTGTATATTCACATGCAAAAAAACTGAATCGAGACACAGCCTTACACCTTTCAAAAAATTAGGTCAAAATGGGTCAGAGACTTACATGCAAGACAGAAAAGTATAAAACTCCTAGAAAATAACGTAGGAAAAACAGTAGGTGACCTTGGGTTTGGCGATGATTTTTTAGATAAAACACTGAAAGCATAATCATGAAAGATAAAACTCTCAAGTTGGACTTCATTAAAATTAAAAATGGCTCTGTGAAAGACAGTATTAGAATGAAAAGTCAAATGACAAATTGTGAGAAAATCTTGGCAAAACCCATATCTGATAAAGGACTGATAACCAAAATATACAAAGAACTCTTAAAACTCAGCTATAAGAAAACAAACAACGCAGTTAAAAATTAGTAAAACATCCGGACAGACATCTCACCAAAGAAGGCATATAGATAGAAAATAAGCATATGAAAAGACACACAACATTATATGTAATTAGAGAATTGCAAATTAAAACAATGAGATACCACTACACATCTATTAGAATGGCTAAGATAAAACACCGGCAACATCAAATGCTGGTAAGGATGTAGAACAACAGGAGCTCCTGTTCATCATTGGTCGGAATGCAAAATGGCACAGCCAATTTGAAAAACAGTTTACAAAACAAGCATACTCACACCATACAATCTAACATTCACACTCCTTGGCACTTACCCTAATGAGTTGAAAACGTATGTCCACACAATACCCTGTACACAAGTGTTTATAGCAGATTTACTTATAATTACTAAAACTTGGAAGAAACTAAGATGTCTTTCAATGCTTACACAAACAATGGTACATTCATACTATGGAATAGAACTATTGATACATTCAACAACCTGGATGAATCTTCAGATAATTATGATCAGTGAAAAACCACACATGCTGTATGATTCCATTTATGTAATATTCATGAAGTGACAAAAATATAAAACTAGAAAACATATTAGTGATTGTCAAGGGTTAAAATGGGGCTGGGGCAGAGGGAAAGGTGGTTTGGCTATCAAAAGTTAACAGGAGGACTCCTATGGTGATAGAAATGCTCTTTGTTGATAGTGTCCATGTCAGTGTCCTGAGTGTTATATTGTACTACAGAATTGCTTGATGTTACCTTTGGGGGAAACTGGGTAAAAAATAGGTAAGATTTCTGTATTATTTCTTATTAGTGTAAGTCTACAATTATCTCAAACCAAAAAAGTTTAATAAAAAATTAAACACGTGAGAGAACAGATGCCATATCCATTTCCTTCTCAGATGTAGGATTCAAACTGGGAAACATGAATTACTCAGAGTAGTGTATAAAGCCACCTGCTTTCTTCCTAAAGCTCCTCTTTTAGAACTCATGAGGCTATGCCAATATTCTATTTTTGACCTTTGCTAGCAAATTGACAAAATTACCATTGATGGTAAAAGGGCTTCCGTGGTACAGGAGTGAGGCTAAAATAACACATGTGGCTGCAGTCGTACTGCTAATGGCTCTGTTTCTTGACTCCGGCTTCATGTTACATTTGTTTAAAGGAATCTTTTGGTGATTCACCTGTTTCTGTCACTTCCCAGGAATAAATGGTAGTGTCACTCAGAGTCAAGTAGTGAAATATTTCACGGTATTCTTGTCATGGATTTTATTCTGCTCAATTGCTTGCAGTTGCCTGGCTTCATTTTGCCATATCAATAGCTTTCAGATGACTCTCTGTCTTACATGGATCTTTTCTATTTGATTGTTCACATATCCAGTTTGGTAGAGCTATGTTACTCTGAATATATCCTCAGTGCCCAGTGATAGTGATGTTGTTTCCAAGCTTTACTGGGACATGAGAAATAGTAAACCTGGAAAGTCAAATAACCACAGAAGAATTAAATCTGACTTTCCAAGTTGGCTGATACATATATATATATGTGTGTGTGTGTGTGTATATATGTATGTATGTGTGTGTATATATATGTGTACACACACACACACACACACACACACACACACACATATCCAAACAACACGTTGTTTGGGGGATATCAGATGACTGACACCCCCCAGAAAACCCAAATATGTTGTTTTCTGACAACAGTTCAAGAAATTTGTAATAAGAAAAAAAAAGATTTTCACATCTTACTAAGTTTCTAATATGCTATTAGCTACATATTTTTTTAACTAGACGCCATGGGGAGCTTGTGGAGGGGGAAATGTGAGATGTGGAAGTTGATAGATTTTAGAAAGATTCCTTGCTGGAGTTGATGACAGCTGTGGCAATAATAAGTCTGGCACCCAATATGGGAAATTCTTTGCAAATCGAATTTCAGAAATTGTATGAAGTACAAATCCTTTTGTGTAAGTATTCAGCCTATTTGTGTAGTTGGTGATACACAAATAAGGCTTGCAGGAAAGCCCACAAGTTGGATAGAAGCCTAGAGAAAACTTAGGCCCTTTAGACCTATTATTTATGTTGACTGTTTCTGTGAAATAGCTGGGATATTTGTTCCCACTTAAATCTTATGTTGAAATGTAATGCCCTGTGGGGCCTGGTGGGAGGCAATTAGATCATGGGGGTGGATCCTTCATGGTTTGGTGCTGTCCTCCAGATGGTGAGTGAGTTCTCCTGAGATCTGGTCATTTAAAGGTAAATGGCACTTCCCTCCCACCACTCTCTGTCTCTTGCTCCTGCTTTTGCCATGTGATGTGCCTGTTCCTGCTTCATCTTCCGCCATAAGTCAAAAGATCCCTGAGGCCTCCCCAGAAGCTGAAAGATGTCAGTGACATGCTTATACAGCCTGCAGAACCATGAGCCAATTAAACCTCTTTTCTTTATAAGTTACCCAATCTCAGGTTTTTTTTAATAGAAATGCATAAATGGCCTAAAACACTCTAAATTTTCCAGAATAAATTTCTTTGCAAAACCAGCTGGACTAAATTTACCTCTATGGTGGTATGTCTTCCAATTCCACATGACCCAGTATCACTTCCAGACAGCTGGGGCAGAGTGGTTGTCCCCTGAATGTGCCTGCTTCTGAGCCCAGCTCCCCATTACCCATCCACAGGAAAATGCACTCAGTGTCATTGAGTTACTTACCCTCGCCTCTTTCTCTCCCACTGAATCCTTGTCACTGTTCAATATCCAGAACAAATAACAGCTCCTCTGTGAGGTCGACCCAGATTCCACGAGACAAAGCTATCACTTCCTCTACATTATCAAACTGTTGGGTATGCACCTCCACAATAGCACCTGTTTAAAATGTATCAATATTAGCACTTTCACTATATTGTGACTTTCCGGATGGCAAAAAAAAAAAACACTTTTTTTCTTCCCTTAATGATCAGGTCAGTGTATAATAACAAATAATAAGCTTCTAAACGATGATTGAGAGGCTCCTGGGCAAGATGGCCAAATAGGAACAGCTCCAGTGTACAGCACCCAGCGAGACCAACGCAGAAGGCCGGTGATTTCTGCATCTCCAACTGAGGTACCGGTTCATCTCACTGGGACTGGTTATACAGTGGGTGCATCCCATGGAGGGCGAGCAGAAGCAGGCTGGGGTGTCACCTCACCTGGGAAGCGAAAGCGGTCGGGGAACTACCTCCCCTAGCCAAGGGAAGCCATGAGGGACTGTGCCATGAGGAACGGAGCATTCCGGCCCGGATACTACACTTTTCGCATGGTCTTCACCACCCACAGACCGGGAGATTCCCTCGGGTGCCTATACCACAAGGGCCCTTGATTTCAAGCACAAAACTGGGTGGCCGTTTGGGTAGACACCAAACTGGATGCAGGAGTTTTTTTTTTCATACCCCAGTGACACCTGGAACGGCAGCGAGACAGAACCGTTCACTCCCCTGGAAAAAGGGCTGAAGCCAGGGAGCCAAGTGTCTAGCTCAGCGGATCCCACTCTCACGGAGCCCAGCAAGCTAAGATCCACTGGCTTGAAATTCTTGCTGCCAGCACAGCAGTCTGAAATTGACCTGGGACGCAAAAGCTTTGTGGGGGGAGGGGCGAAATGCTGGAAGCATTCCCTTTGAAAATCAATATAAGACAAGGATGCCTTCTGTCACCACGACTATTCAACATAGTATTGGAAGTTCTGCCCAGGGCAATCAGGCAAGAAAAAGATATAAAGGGTATTCAAATAGGAAACAAGGAAGTCAAATTATCTCGGTTTGCAGATGACATGATTGTATATTTAGAAAACCCGATCGTCTCAGCCCAAAAACTCCTTAAGCTGAGAAGCAACTTCAGCAAAATCTCAGGATACAAAATCAATGTGCAAAAATCACAAGCATTCCTATACACCAATAATAGACAAACAGAGAGCTAAATCATGCATGAACGCCCATTCACAATTGCTACAAAGTGAGTAAAATACCTTGGAATACACCTTACAAGGGATGTGAAGGACCTCTTCAAGGAGAACTACAAACCTACTGCTCAAGGAAATAAGAGAGGACACAAACAAATGGAAAAACATTCCATGCTCATGGATGGGAAAAATCAATATCGTGAAAGGCCCATACTGCCTAAAGTAATTTATAGATTCAGTGCTATTCCCCAAGCTACCACTGACGTTCTTCAAAGAATTAGAAAAAACTACTTTAAATTTCATATGGAACCAAAAAAGAGCCCGTATAGCCAAGACCATCCTAAGCAAAAAGAACAAAGCTGGAGGCATCACACTACCTAACTTCAAACTATACTACAAGGCTATAGTAACCAAAACAGCATAGTACTGGTACCAAAACAGATATATAGACCAATGGAACAGAACAGAGGCCTCAGAAATAACACCACACATCTACAACCATCTGATCTTTGACAAACCTGACAAAGACAAGCAATGGGGAAAGGATTCCCTATTTAATAAATGATGTTTGGAAAACTGGTTAGTCAAATGCATAAAACTGAAACTGGACCCTTCCTTACACCTTATACAAAAATTAAGTCAAGATGGATTAAAGACTTAAACGTAAGACCTAAAGCCATAAAAACCCTAGAAGAAAACCTAGGCAATACCATTCAGGACATAGGCATGGGCAAAGACTTCATGACTAAAACAACAAAAGCAATGGCAACAAAAGTCAAAATTAACAACTGGGATCTAATTAAACTAAAAAGCTTCTGCACAGTAAAAGAAACTATCCTCAGAGTGAACAGGCAACCTATAGAATGGGAGAAAATTTTTACAATCTATCTACATCTGACAAAGGGCTAATATCCAGAATCTACAAGGAACTTAAACAAATTTACAAGTAAAAAAACAACCCCATCAGAAAGTGGGTGAAGGATATGAACAGACACTTCTCAAAGAAGACATTTCTGTGGCCAACAAACATATGAAAAAAAGCTCATCATTACTGGTCATTAGAGAAATGTAAATCAAAACCACAATGAGATACCATCTTACGCCAGTTAGAATGGTAATCATTAAAAAGTCAGGAAACAACAGATGCTGGAGAGGATGTGGAGAAATAAGAACGCTTTTATACTCTTGGTGGGAGTGTAAATTAGTTCAACCATGGTGGAAGACAGTGTGGTGATTCCTCAAGGATCTAGAACCAGAAATATCATTTGCCCCAGCAATCCCATTATTGGGTATATACCCAAAGGATTATAAATCATTCTACTATAAAGACACATGCACAGATATGTCTATTGCAGCACTATTCACAATGGCAAAGACTTGGAACCAACCCAGATGCCCAGCAATCATAGACTGGATAAAGAAAATGTGGCACATATACACCATGGAATACTATGCAGCCATAAAAAAGAATGAGTTCATGTCCTTTGTAGGGACACGGATGGAGCTGGAAACCATCATTCTCACCAAACTAACACAGGAACAGAGAACCAAACACCGTATGTTATCACTCATAAGTGGGAGTTGAACAATGAGAACATATGGGCACAGGGAGGGGAACATCACCCACTGGGGCCTGTCGGGGGTTAGGGGGAAGGGGAGGAATAGCATTAGGAGAAATACCTAATGTAGATGATGGGTTGATAGGTTCAGCAACCACCATGGCACATGTATACCTATGTAATAAAACCTGCATGTCCTGCACGTGTATCCCAGACCTTAAAGTATAATTTAAAAAGAAAGATGATTGAATAAATGGCTTTCTTAGTGGCCCAGAAAGCAGACCCATTTATAGCATTTAGACCATGTTCTTCTAAAGCTTTCAATGTGTATTCCTTAATGTAAATAAGGGAGAATTTTCTGATCAAAAGTAATTAAACTTATAGCTATTCAATTAGCATATATTTGTAGCATACTTGCTACTGTAAGTGAGCTGGATATTTTATTCCTTTGACTTTATATAGACAAAAATTTCAGTTGTGTCTCTTAAAACATATTACATTCACTAAGTGTTTTCCACTTAAACCATTAAGATAGAATTCATGAAACAAACAGAAGGAAGAAAAACAAACCAAATCCTGCCGTAAGTTTTAAAATGTTGAAAAAGGATGCTTGGGAACTCTACTTAAATCTTTCTTATATACCATCTATTTTAAGAGTAAACTGCTCATTGAAATCTTTACAAAGCCTGAGTGGTAATATAGTGAATAACTACGTAAGAAACCAGCAGATGGTATTCCTCAGCACTGTAATGCAATTGGACTTGATGACTAAAGATAACTATTGTAAAACTGGCCCACAATTTTAACAATGAATGCTGTAAATTTCATAGGCCTGTAGGCTGACCATACCAACATGATCCCTCTCAATGTAAGTACATAAATATAACTGCTTATTTTATTGCACTCTTCAATCCTGCTAGCTCACTACTTTGTGGTTGCTAAGCAACCCTAGCAAAATTGTGGCTTGCACACTTAAAAAGACAGAGACACGAAAATGTGCTTGTTGATTTATTTATTGGAATGGAAATGATCCAGATCCAAAATAAAATCTTTTCATTGTGATAGCTAGCACCAACTGGATAACAACTTTTAACTTCACTGCAATCACAATGAGACAATTTTTTTTGAAAAGGTAAAAAAAAAAAAAAAGAAACCTAGATAATCCCTCACCCCAAATGAATATTTGTACAATCATTTTTGGTAAGGGTTGCTTATGAATATCTTAAGATACATTTTGGCCTTGAAAGTTTCTGTGAAGAAGTATTAAGTAGAGTGGAGCCCAGAGCCAGGGCATTTGTAGGACAATATGAGGTATAAATTATTGTAACTGTATTACCCAGTGAGCAAACTAACCCATCAAGCTATATAGGTTGTCACAAAATGTACTGAGGCATTCCGTTCCATTAAGGTGAGATAGGACGAAGGGCAGAAAGACGGAGTCTGAGTCCTAAAATCCTTGCTGCCTCAGGGTAATAGTAACTTATTTCACCATATTTATAGGTCACTAATGGTAACTGATCCAGAAGAAATGGTGGCATCAAATTGTCCTTGGCCTCTTGTCAAAAAGAAAGAAATCATAGAGGATTACAGTCACAGACCAAAAAAATCCATACTCAATAACAACTCTGTTAGCATAAATACAGGAATAATAATAATATGCAATTTATACCATTTATTTTTAACATTTTTCTAATGGAATTGTTCAGTGCATGCAGAGAATCTATTATATAGAGAAAAATAAAGTATACTAGTATACTACTCCTCAAAGTTACAGGAGACTAAAATTGCTGTTTTCACTTTTGACTCTTAGTAGTGAACAGAATATTACAATGAATTGTCTCTCTCTTTCACCCTCTAATTCTCTTTTTTTGGCTAGATGGTTTTGTCAGGTGAAGTCAAAATATTGGGAAATAATTTCAGCTCTTTACTCTGCATCTCAGAGCAGCACATGTACATTTTTCTAGGATTTAATTTTTATCTTTTCACTCTGTTCCTGAGCTGCCCCTTTCCATGATAACTTGTGTTAAAGAAAATTTGCATTATTTAGTGATATTGCTCATGTCTGTGATTTGTTGAGACTTGCTATGTGACCAGAGATGATACTGTTCTAGATTTTTGTTTGCTTGTTTTGTCAACATACTAAAATCCATTCCATAACAAAGTATCTTTGTTTCAGCAAAAAATGGATTTGGAATTGGGCCAAAGCCCAAATTTTGTTTTTGTTTTTGTTTTTTTCCCCTATGATAACAAGCACTGAAGGGAAGCAATATTATGCAATAAGGTAACTATTTTATTCCTAAAACACAAGTTATTATTCCATTCACTCCAATGTTATTTTGCTGAAATACTTGAAAATGGTGCTAAACCCAGGCGTAATCCCTGCTGAGAATCCTCAGACATATGTATGTTGCTTTAAAGCAGTCACACATTGCCTGTTTTCATAATATCTATGGCTAAGCCCTTTTAATCAAGCCTATATTGTTATCTTATTCTCCATTTTAAATTGTTAATTGTCACAAACATGGTGTGATAATCTTACTCATTGATTTGGAGCTTGAAAATTCATATGGAAAGTATGTGATAACTTATGACCACAGAATTTATTAATAGATTTCAGACTGTATCTGAGAACAATTTGTCTATTTCACTGATTAGTAATTGAGTTGGTTAATTCTTTGGCTATGTCAAACTGTCAATTTTGATCATATGTTAATACAAAGAAATAATTTTTAAACTTTTTCCATTTATTTAGATTGATGTCTACATTATATTCTTTCAGTATCTTGCTTCATATATGAGTTTTATTCCTGAAAAAATATATCCAAATCAAATTTTAATAAATTATATTATCTTAAACATAATAGAAAAATAATTTCTCAGCTTAGCACTACAAGTTAAATCCCTTTGGTTTTTTAATTTTTTAAATCTATTTCTTTTTTGAAAGAGGTAGTTTATATTATAAAAATATTTGGGACTTTATTAAGCAAACCATATAACAAATTGAAATCTAAGCTTAAAAACAAATATATTCATTACCTAATAAAAAGTCAACAATTGTTTCAATTAGACTCTTCCACCCAGAAACTCAGTTCAGGACAGACTTGTTAGCCCATGTAGCTTCAAATTCTGTTTATGATATTCAGACAGATGATATTTTCATCCAACTCAAGTGTCTTGTTTTCTATTCACAAGGCAGTAAATACTTTTAGTAACTGTTTAACTCAAATGAATGGCACCCACACATGAGTTGCCTAGGTTGTACTTACTCATGCTTTATTGTCGTGTGCTTATATAAATCTCCTTGTCTCTAGGAAGCACACTTCCCTTGAGAAGCTTACCTGAAATGTCAGCTCAGCCAGAGCATGAAGCTCTAGCCCAGTGAATAATTCAAAAACCTGAAGACGTGCGAGTACTGAGTTAAAGCTCTCTTTTCTTATTCACAAGAAGTAGAAAGCAAAACCTGCTGATTAGCACCTACGTAGGTGTTATTTATTTTCAACTTTTAAACATAAATCAATTCATATTTTGTGTTTTTGTCCACAAAAGGAGAAAAAAAAAGCAGAAGTGAGAGTACCACATTTTTAAAATTTAAATTATTCTGAAATAAGTACTTTATGACAAAAATTTACTAGTGTTCAAATGTCAAAAATATTATTGCATCCAAATATCTGAAAAGTAACATATTTGTAATGTGCTAATTGTTGAATCATAGCGTAGTGTTAACGTCTTCACATCTGAGGAGAATCTAAATTTACAAGTTCTTAAATGTGCTATTGCTCTGCTATATAAATAAGATTCACTAGTAGATAAATTTGTCATCATCTTACAGCTTGATCTTTGATTTAGATAATTCTTAACAAGAAGTTAAATAGAAGTCAATCTCTCTAAACACTTCAGTATACATTTAGGTGATTTATAAGCACTCAACTATATAGGTTAGTCATCATATGTTCTAGAAATTCTTGCTTTCTAACATCCTTTTCAAAACCCTTTTCAAGCTTTGCTCCTCTGAATATCAACAGATAGTGAGATGTTCTGTTAGTGGTCTGGTTTTTTTCTTTGCTATATACTGTAGTGTTGAGAGGGAAACCTTTAAATAAGGCTACAGCAGACCTAAATGGCATGTTTGTTTCCTACAAGCCATATGGAATAATTTTAGGATGTAAACATGCAATCATTACAAAAATCTCAAACCAAAAAAAATCACTTTCAAAGTGGTATACTTGATGCCACTGTCCTGAAAGTAGGATCCTTGCTTTTAATTACGATCATTGACTACCGCCACAATTTCTTGTCTGTGGATGATTTAAGAGATGATTGAATGTCACTGAGTGACAAAAACAAAAATAGTCTGTATACCACATAGTTTGCAATAAATTCTCCATGTGCACTGTAGTTAGGCTGTTCTTGCATTGTTGTAAAGAAATACTTGATACTGGGCAATTTATAAAGAAAAGAGGTTTAATTGGCTCACGGTTCTGCAGGCTGTGTAAGAATGGCACCAGCATTACTCAGCTTCTGGGGAGGCCTCAGGGAGCTGTTACTCATGGTTGAAGGCAAAGAGGAACCTGGCACATCACATAGCAAAAGCAGGAGCAAGAGAGAGAGAGAGTGGTGGGGGAGGTGCCACACACTTTTAAATGAGCTAGATTTCACTTAGCACCAAGGGGAAGGCCCAAGCCATGCATGAGGGATCCACCCCCATAATTCAAACACCTCCCACCAAGCCTCACCTCCAACACTGGCTAGGGATTACATTTCAACATGAGATTTGGGCAGGGACGAATATCCAAATTATATTAAAAAAACTTGCCGCCAAATTAAGTTTTATATCAACTTAAAAAGTCAAAATCCTCTATATTGGTAACATTGCCTTGAGTGGTTTAAACACAAAGATGTTCCTTTAATGAAATTAAGACTTTGTGTAGAAAGCTTTTGGAAAACTGTTTTATTGGGCTGTTTGTTGAAATACATATTTATTGAATACAAAAATGTTCTGTGTGTTCAAACATATTCACCTTTGGGTGTATTGAATGCAATAAATACTTATAGTGAAAGAAAAAATTTCTCTCTCTAGGCTATCATTGCCATTAGGTCATTAGATCTTCCAGACAATTTTCTATCATAGATTCGCTACTAGTTATTAAGGAACTAAAATTTAGAATGTGAAAATTAAGGTCAAATAAATAATAATGAAGGATTAATGAGAGCATCTTATGTATAGGTTTTCTGATATGGTCTTAATTATACATGTGTGTATGACTATATACAATATTTCTCTTGCTGAGGTGTTTTAAAAATAGAACTTTAAAATTTAAACTTTTAAAATATATTATTCTCCTTTGGAAGATTGCAGGAAATTAATTTTTGTTATTACATATTTTCCTTTCCCATATGAGAAGTTTTCCTTTAAGAAATTACCATATGAACAAATAAATATTCTTTTTTTTTCTTTTTGAGATTGAGTCTTGCTCTGTTGCCCAGGCTGGAGTGCAATGGTGCAATCTTAGCTCACGGCAACCTCTGCCCCCTGGGTTCAGGCAAGTGTCCTGCCTCAGCCTCCCGAGTAGCTGGGATTACAGGCATGAGCCACCATGCTGGGCTAATTTTTGTATTTTTATTTTTTTTTTAGTAGAAATAGGGCTTTGCCATGCTGGTCAGGCTGGTCTCAAACTCCTGACCTCAGGTAATCCACCTGCCTCAGCCTCCCAAAGTGCTGGGATAACAGGCAAGAGCCACCATGCCCAGTCATACATATTCTTAAAGGAGTCAATGTGATAGACATTGAACATCTATACTACCATAACAAAAAGACAAACAAAGATTTTGTCTCCTGAAAGAACACAATTAAAAGCTATGAAGTAGTTTTGCCAAACAAATTCAACATAACTGGAATCCAACCTCTAGATCCAATTTCTAACACAAAGGACAGGGAAGCATGTTAAACTATCTCATGGGAATGCAATAGACCCAAGAATCTGGGAAAGCCCAAAGGTCAAAATCAACTGGATTTATTCAATAAATAAAGTATAATAAAAAATTAAAAGTGGGGGTAATCTATACATTAAAATAAACTCTAAAGACTTAGCCATCCCTCCTAAAATAATAGAAACTATTTCCTGATTAAATATATACACTTGGGTTTCTCCCTCCCCGTCTCTGTCTTACCTTCCTCTCCCTTTTTCTCTTCTCACTGCTTCAATTAGTTTATCTTTTTCATTTCCAAGTGGAGGGGTAATGGCCAGCCAAGATATAAGGATCACAGCAGTGGTGCATTCTGTGTTATCAATTCTACATTAACACTATCTTCCCTTCTGAGGACTCTGTAACACAGAAGAAAAACTAGGAAATACATTTCCAAGAATCTCCTTTGTTGTATAGTATGGGCGTTAACTTTGGAATGAGAAGCACTCAAAATTTGGAAGGTGGGAGAGAAAGAGCACAGATGAACATAGTAAGACTCACATCAGCACCCTGATTTGCCACTTAACTGCAGCAGACTGCAGCAATTGGTGGGAAATTCCTAGAGACTATCCCTAATTCTGGAAGAGCTGCAGTTCCACAGTGGAAAAAGACAGTGCTGGTTTCTCCAACCTTAACTCCTCAGCTCTTCCAATAAGTGTAAACTCCTAGCTCTCCATATTAAAACCCCATAACAACAGGAATACCTAGAATGGATTCTGTTTTCTGAATAACTTTAATAACATAACACCCTAGGACTCTGTGATCAGAGAAAAAAGACATTCTTATCTACTTGTTCTACTTTTAAAATCCTGAACAAGAATTCTGGCCTAGTTTGAGCTAAATGCCCATCTTCATATAATCACTGTAATCAGAAAGATAGATTACTGTGATTATCTTAGCTTGTATAATTGCCCCACTCTGTGACTGGCACAGGGATTAGATAGAATGGTGTCAATTCTTAAGAGAAGCCATACTTAAATGCAATGTAAAGATTGTCCCTACAAGAGAAGTGGAGGTCTCAGAAAAAGAGAAGAGGTACTGGGTAAATCCACAAACGGGTTGCCACTATATACTTCATCATTGGAGCCCCTTCCCCTTCCATTTAGATATATGGTGTTCTGAAGACAGCTCAAAATAGATGTGATGGGGGTTTGTCTTATAGCTAAAGGTGGCCCTAGCCAAAGGAGAGTCAAAAGGAAACAATAGAAAATTCTAGACCAAATATGTGGAACTTGGCACCTAATAAGACAGGCAAGCCAAAGGCTTAAGTGAGAAGGTAAATTCAGAAATCCAGAAAAATATGATCATTCAATTTAAACTGACCATCTAACTGAAATATTACCCTCATTACAATTTACATTTTTATTCTGCCTTCTATTTATTCTTATACTGGTATAACTGTATCTTTATTTATTCATATGTCTTCCTACCAGAATTCACGTTGCATGAGGTCAGGGACATGGTCAGTTTCATTCACAAATCTGTCCTCAGTCCCAGGAAGAGTGCTTGACTCAAGCAGGTGCCCAATAAATAGTTAATAAATTATGGCATGATTGGTGTAAGTTGGGTTGGGGCAAGTTATTCTATGAAAAATTCACTGACACTCTGCTATTATGTGGTGTAACCTGCATCCCAGAAGTGGGGACTTTGCCTTCACTGGACAGTGGTTAAAGTTATTAAATATATAATCGTAAACAAGCAGGTACTGTCCTCAAGGAGCTGTCAGCCTAGTGCAACTGGACACAAAGGCAGATAATATACTACAGTCACATAAGTCCTACAAAAGTGGTGTAGAATTGCCTTGGAAGCATTAGAGTAGCCAGTGTCTGGCAGGAGGGAAAGGAGACCTCATTTAATGAAGAAGAGACAGCAGAAACTAAGAAGTTATGAAGGACAGCCTCAGTCCACTAATTTTTGTCCACGGTCCAACAAACTTTGATTTCTAAATGATAGTAAAAGTCTTAACCCAAAGAAAATGCTCCCCAGTTAGTTACATTATTTGTTTATCTTTAACTCAAAGGTTATCATAGTATAGTAAGTAAATCAATAGCTGCATTTCTGAAATGTTATTTTTATTATTTTTTCCCTCTTTATAATGCCCCTTTCCTAATAGAGAAAAAATAAATAATTTTCTTTAATGATTCATTAATGAGGTAGGGGCCGAGCACAGTGGCTCATGCCTGTAATCCCAGCACTTTGGGAGGTGGAGGTGGGAGGTGGAGGCAGGAGGATCACTTGAGCCCAAGAGACCAGCCCAGGAAACAAAGTGAGACCCTGACTCTACAAAAATTAAAAAAATTAGCTGGGTGTGGTGGTGCATGCCTGAAGTCCCAGCTATTCAGGAGGCTGACTTCAGAGGATGGCTTAAGCCCAGGAGGCAGAGGTTGCAGTGAGCTGAGGTAGCAACACTGCACTCCAGCCTGTGTGACAGATTGAGATCCCGTCTCAAAAATAAATAAATAAATAAATATATATATATACACACACACACACATGTGTATATAAATATATATACACACACATATGTGTATATAAATATATATACACACATATATGTGTATATAAATATATATACACACATATATGTGTATATATAATAAATATAATGTGTATATGTATAATAAATATATATGTGTATATATAATAAATATATATAATGAGGTAGGGGCTCATTGGGAATGACTGAAGAGCATTTCTACATGCTTTACATTTATATAGTGATGGCATTTCCACATAGAAGCTCAGGAAAATGTTAATTCAGCACCAAAATTAGCTGAGAAAAATTAGAGAGATCAATTCCCTGAGAGTTTACCGGGTGATGTATACTTACAGGCTTTTTAATTATTTTAGGAATTGATAGCTAGTTCTGGGCCTTGTGACTTTTCCTCTAGATGTGAATGCAAAACTCAAGAATAAACATTTTAAAAGTACAAACCTTAAACACTCATCAGACTTTTGTTGTTGTATTTATTTTGTTTGGTCCATTTGATCTTCAAAAAGATTTGAGTGACTATAAATCAAGTTATTCGGCATCCTGTACCCACAATCTTTCTTTCTTTCTCTCTCTCCCTCCTCTCTTCTTTTCTGCCTCTTCCCTCTCATTTTTTTTTTTTTTTTTTTTTTTTGAGATGGAGCTTCGCTCTTGTTGCCCAGGCTGGAGTGCAATGGCACTATCTTGGCTCACCGCAACCTCCGCCTCCTGGGTTCAAGCAATTCTCCTGCCTCAGCCTCCCGAGTAGCTGGGATTACAGGCATGTGCCACCACGCCTGACTGATTTTGTGTTTTTAATAGAGAAAGGGTTTCTCCATGTTGGTCAGGCTGGTCTCGAACTCCTGACCTCAGGTGATCCGCCCACCTCAGCTTCCCAAAGTGCTGGGATTACAGGCGTGAGCCACTGCCCCCAGCCCTACCTCTTCCCTCTCTTTTCTCTCTTTTCCCCTCTTTATTCTGTTCTTTCTTTTCTCCCATCTTCTCTATCAGTCTGTAATTCTTCCTATATCCTTAGCTTTTAAATACTTAGTTGAATTTCTAGTTGTAAAAATAATTAATTTACTAATAGACATTAGATAGTGAAACCTGACCAAGCAGATATAGATATGTCATTTTGCCAACTCTACCAACATCCAAAGTAATTTTCTGATTCTTGAGTCATCTCATTGAGATGATTTTCAATCTTTAAGCACTGATTTATCTGTAATCATTTTAGATTACTCCTTATTACACTTCATTTCTCTTGAATACTTTTATCCTGCTTTTTAAAATTTCACAACCCTGTCTTCTACCTTTAATAACACTGAATGCAGATTATCCACAACTTAACTTTTTTATACTCTTAAACACATACACTTAACTTGTTATTATGATCATTTAATCATTTAAAATTACAGTGAACTGGGTGCCACTTAAAGAATGTAGCCATTCCCCATTCCACAACCCTATATTGATGGTTTCATGACATACATTTAAATATTGGAATAAGTAAATTGTGGGTATAAATATAAGGAAAGGAAGAAAAGGATACAACCACACAGAGTATATCATATTCACTTGTGATCTTTGGAGGTATTATGACTCAGACTTACATAAGCTTAATGAAACTAATTTGGGAGTGGTTTGAAGGGACATTACTTTTTGGGCAATAAACGTACAGTTATGTACCACATAGCAATGTTTCAATCAATGACAGACCATATATACAACTGTGGTCCTATAAGATTAAAATGGAGCTGAAAAGTTCCTATCTCCTAGTGATGCAGTAGCTGTCGCAATGTCATAGCACAACACATTACTCACATGTTTGTGGGGATGCTTGTGTAAACAAACCTACTGCACTACTAGTTGTATAAAAGCATAGCACATATAATTATGTACAGTACATAATACTAGGTGTATTAGTCTGTTCTAATGCTTCTAATAAAAACATATCCAAAACTGGATAATTTATAAAGAAAAGAGATTTAATTGACTCACAGTTCCTCATGGCTGGGGGAGGCCTCAGGAAACTTACAATCATGGCAGAAGGCGCCTCTTCACAGGGTGGCAGGAGAAAGAATCAGAGAATAACAGCCAAGCCAAGGGGGAAGCCCCTTATAAAACCATCAGATCTTCTAAGAACTCACTCACTATCACGAGAACAGAATGGGGGAAACTGACCCATGATTCAATTATCTCCACCTGGTCCCACCCTTGACATGTGGTGATTATTACAATTCAAGATGAGATTTTGGGTGGGTCACAGCCAAGCCATATCATTTGATGATACTAAATGACTATGTTACTGGTTTATGTATTTACTATACTACACATCTCATCATTATTTTAGAGTAGACACCTTCTACTTATTTTTTTAAGTTAATCTTAAAACAGTCTCAGGCAGGTCATTCAGGGATATTCCAGAAGAAGGCATTGTTAGCATAGGAGATGACAGCTCCATGCATGTTATTGCCCCTGAAGACCTTCCAGTGAGACAAGATAAGGAGGTGAAAGACAGTGATACTGATGATTCTGACCCGGTGTAGGCCTAGGCTACTGTGTTTGTTTCACAGACAGAGTCTCCCTCTGTTGCCTAGGATAGAATGCAGTCTGTCATAATCATAGCTCATTACAGGCTCAAATTCTTGAGCTCAAGTGATACTCCCACTGCCTCAGCCTTTCAAGTAGCTGGGTGAGGTTTCTTATTATAATAAAGATGGAGTCTTGCTATGTTGTCCAGACTGAACTCCTGACCTCAAGCAATCCTCCCGCCTCAGCCTTTGGAGTAGCTGGGACTACAGGCACATGCCACTGTGCCAGCTATTGTGTCTTGGTTTTTTTAAACAGTTTAAAAAGTAAAAAAAAAAATAAATTTAAAAAATAAAAATGCTTATAGAGTAAGATTATAAAAAAAATTTTGTACAACTGTACAATATGTTTTGTGTTTTAAGCTGTGTTATAACCACAGAGTAAAAACGTTGAAAAAGTTAAAAGTTTATAAAGTAAAAAGTTACAGTAGGCTAAAGTTAATTTATTATTGAGGAAGGGAAAAAATTATGAATTTAGCATAGCCTAGGTGTACATTATTTAAAATGTCTATAGTAGTAAACAGTCATGTTCTATGCCTTCACATTCACTTACCATCCACTCACTGACACACCCAGAACAACTTCCAGTCCTGGTAAGTCCCCTACACAAGTCTACTTTTTTTTAATCTTTTACACTATATTTTTACTGTACCTTTTTTATGCTTAGATATGTTTAGATATGCAAATACTCATCACTGTATTATAATTGCCTACAGTATTCAGTACAGTAACATGCTGTACAGGTTTGTATCCAGGAGCAGTAGGCTATGCCATATAGCCTATGTAGGTAGTAGGCTATACCATTTAGATTTGTGCAAGTACAGTCAATGGTTTCCAAACAATGACAAAATCACCTGATAACACATTTCTCAGAAACTAGCTCCTTTGTTAGGCAACCTATGATTGTACTCTTTATAGTGCTGTAAGTGTCTGCTGGTGGAATCAAATAAATACAAAATTGATAAAAAGTGCCAGGGAGAAGAATGAGCACCAGTAATATAAGAACTAGGCTAGGTAATCTTTGAATCACTCTAGCTCTGAGCTCTAGCAATTCTATGTTCAATATTTCCCGAGAACAGAAGGCTGGTTTCCTACAAAGATGTTCTTAACAAAACACAGTCACCATGCCCCTGAAATTTTACACCACTATTTGTCAGTTTTGCTGGGAAAATAGAGAAAAGGCTGGAAATAAAATAATAATACCATCACCTAGTGTGCAAAAAAAGGGATAATGGCTGGAGTATATTTCATGTACAGGCATACCTCATTTTATTGCACTTCACTTTATTACACTTGGCAGATATTGCACTTTTTAAACGTTGAAGGTTTGTGGCTACCCTGCATCAAGCAAGTCTATCAGCTCCACTTTTCCAGCAGCACGTACTCACTTCATGTCTCTGTGTCACATTTTGGTAAATCTCAAATTATTTCAATTTTTTTTATTGTTATTATATCTGTCATGGTGATCTGTGATCAGTGATCTTTTAGGTTACTATTATAATTGTTTTAGGGTACCAGGAACCATACCCATATACAGTGGCAAATTTAATTGATAAATGTTGTGTGTGTTATGACTGCTTCACCTACTGGCTATTACCCCATGTAGATCCGTATCCATGGGCCTCCCTATTCCCTGAGACACAACAATATTGAAATAAGGAAAATTAATAATCATACAATGGCCTCCAAGTGTTCAAGTGAAAAAAAGAGTGGCATGTCTCTCATTTTTATATCAAAAGCTTAGTGATAAATAATCAAACTAAGTGATTAATGCTTGTTGAAAGCTGAGACAGGCTAAAAGATAAGCCTGTTGTGCCGAACATTTAGCCAAGTTATGAATGCAAAGGAAAAGTTTTTGAAGGAAATTGAAAGTGCTACTCCACTGAATGCATGAATGATAAGAAATTTGATATAGTTTGACTGTGTCCCCATGCAAATCTCATCTTAAATTGTAGCTTCCATAATCCCCGCATGTCATGGGAGGGACCTAGTGGGAGGTAATTGAATCATGGGATCAGGTTTTCCCATGCTATTCTTATGATAATGAATAAGTCTCATGAGATCTGATGGTTTTATTAAGGGCAGTTCCCCTGTACATGCTCTCTTGCCTGCCACCATGTAAGACGTGCCTTTGCTCCTCCATCGCCTTCCACCATGATTGTGAGGCCTCCCCAGCCGTGTGCAGCTGTGAGTCCATTAAACCTTTTTTTTCTTTATAAATTACCCAGTTTCAGGTATTTCTTCATAATAGTATGAAAATTGACTAATACAGTAAATTGGTACTGGTAGAGTGGGGTGCTGCTATAAGGATACCGGAAAATATGGAAGCATCCTTAGAACTGGGTAACAGGCAGAGGTTGAAACAGTTTGAAGGACTCAGAAGAAAACAAGAAAATGTGGGGAAATTTGGAACTTCCTAGAGACTTGGAGGGCTCAGAAGACAGGAAGACATGGGAAAGTTTGGAACTTCCTAGAGTTCTGAATGGCTTTGACCAATATGTTAATAGTGATATGGACAATAAAGTACAGGCCGAGGTGGCCTGAGATGGAGATGAGGAACTTGTTGGGAACTAGAGCAAAGGTGACTCTTCTTATGCTTTAGCAAAGAGACTGGCATTTTGCCACTGCCCTAGAGATCTGTGGAACTTTGAACTTGAGAGAGATGATTTAGGGTATGACGCAGAAGAAATTTGTAAGCAGCAAAGCATTCAAGATGTGACTTGGGTGCTCTTAAAAGCATTCAGTTTTACTCATTTACAAAGACATGGTTTGAAATGGAACTTACATTTAAAGGGAAGCAGAGCATAAGAGTTTGGAAAATTTACAGCTTGATGATGAGATAGAAAAAAAACATTTTCTGAGAAGAAATTGAAGCCTGCTGCAGAAATCTGCATAAGTAAGAAAGAGTCAAATGTTAATCACCAAAACAATGGGGAAAATGTCTCCAGGGCATATTAGAGACCTTCCTGGAAGCCCCTACTATCATGGAACCAGAGGCCTTGGAGAGAAAAATGGTTTTGTGGGCCCATCCCAGGGTCCCACTGCTCTGTGCAGCCCAGGGACTTGTGGCCCTGTGTACCGCTGCTCCAGCCGGTGGTTAAAAGGGACCAAGATACAACTCAAGCCATAGCTTTAGAGGGTGCAAGACCCAAGACTTGGCAACTTCCACATGGTGTTGAGCCTGCAGGTATGCAGAAGTCAAGAATTGAGGTTTGGGAACCTCTGCCTAGATTTCAGAGAATGTATGGAAACACCTGGATGTCCAGACAGAGATGTGCTGCAGGGGTGGAGCCCTCATAGAGAACCTCTGTTAGGACAGTGTGGAAAGGAAATGTAGGGTACGGGCCCTCACACAGAGTCCTCACTAGGGCACTGCCTAGTAGAGCTGTGAGAAGAGGGCCACCATCCTCCAGACCCCAGAATGGTAGATCAAACAACAGCTTGCACCATGCACATAGAAAAGCCAGAGGCACTCAATGCCAGCCCATGAAAGCAACGAGGAGGGGGGCTATATGCTGCAAAGCCACAGGGTTGGAGCTGCCCACCACTGTGGGCATGGGAACTTACCTCTTGCATAAGTGTGACATGTATGTGAGACATGGAGTCAAAGAGATAATTTTGGAGCTTTAAGTTTGACTGCCCTGCTGGCTTTTAGACTTGCATGGGACTTGTAGCCCCTTTGCTTTGGCCAATTTCTCCCATCTGGAATAAGCATATTTACCCAATGCCTATACCTCCATTGTATCTGGGAAGTAACTAAATTGCTTTTGATTTTGCAGGCTCGTAGGCAGAAGGGACTTGCCTTGTCTCAGATGAGACTTTGGATTGTGGACTTTTGAGTTACTGCTAAAATGAGTTAAGACTTTGGTGGACTGTTGGGAAGGCATGATTTGTTTGAAATGTGAGGACATGAGATTTGGGAGAGGCAGAGGTGGAATGATATGGTTTGGCTGTGTCCCTACCCAAATCTCATCTTGAACTGTAGCTCCCATAATCATCACATGTCATAGGAGAGACCCAGTGGAAGGTAATTGAATGATGGGGATTGATTTTCCCATGCTGTTCTCATGATAGTGAATAAGTCTCACAAGATCTGATGGTTTTATAAAGGGCAGTTCCCCTGCATATGTTTTATTTCCTGCTGCCATTTAAGATGTGCCTTTGCTCCTCCTTTGTCTTCTGCCATGATTGTGAGGCCTCCCTAGCCATGTGGAACTGTGAGTCCATTACACCACTTTTTCTTTATAAATTACCTGTCTTGGGTATTTCTTCATAGTAGTATGACAATGGACTAACACAAAAGTAATACAGTATTACTGCTGGTATGGGGACAGTTTTAGTGGTCTGGATAGAAAATAAAATTAGCCACAACATTTTGTTAAGCCAAAGCCTAATCCAGACCCAGACCCTAACTTTCATCAATTCTATGATGTCTAACAGAGATGAGGAAGCTGCAAAAGAAATGTCTGAAACTACCATACCTTGATTTGTGAAGTTTAGAAAAAGAAGCTGTCTCTATAACATAGAAGTGCAAAGTGAAGCAGTAAGTGCTAATGTAGAATATAAATCACAACTTATCCACAAGATGTAGCTAAGACAATTGATGAAGGTGGCTACACATAACAGCAGATTTTTCAATACAGACAAAACAATCTTCTCTTAAAATAAGATGCCATCTAGGACTTTGATAGCTAGAGAAGAGAACTCAATGCCTGGCTTCAAAGCTTCAAAGGACATGATGCCCCTCTTGTTAGGGACCAATGCAAATGGTGACTTTAAGTTGAAGCCAATGCTAATTTATCATTCTGAAAATCCTAGGGTCCTTCAGAATTATACTAAATCAACTCTGCCTGTGCTCTGTAAATGGAACAACAAAGCCATGGCTTACTGAATTTTTTAAGCCCTGTTGAGACCTACTGCTCAGAAAGAAAAATTTATTTCAAGATACTACTGCTCATTGACAATGTGTCTAGTCAAACAAGAGCTCTGATGGAGATGTACAAGGAAGTTAATGTTGTTTTCATGCCTGCTAATTTGACATCCATTCTGCAGCCCATGGATCAAAGGATATTTTCAACTTTCAAGTCTTATTTAACAAATACATTTTGTAAGGCTATAGCTACCATAAACAGTGCTTCCTATGATGGGTCTGAGCAAAGTAAATTTAAAATCTTCTAGAAAGTATCCACCATTCTAGCTGCCATTAAGAACATTTGTGATTCATTGGAGAAGGTCAAAATATTAACATTAACAGGCATCTGGAAAAAGTTGGTCCCAAATCCTATAAAAGATTTTGAGGAGTTTAAGATTTTGGTGGAAGAAGTAACTACAGATGTTGTAGAAATGGCAAGAAAACTGAAGTTAAAAGCAGAGCCTGAAGATGTGACTTAATTGCTGTAATCTCAGGATAAAACTTTAACAAATTAGGAGTTGCTTCTTATAGATGGGCAAAGAGTTTTTTTTTTTAATTTTATATGTGCACAATGTGCAGGTTTGTAGCATATGTATACATGTGCCATGTTGGTGTGCTGCACCCATTAACTCGTCATTTACATTAGGTATATCTCCTAATGCTATCCCTCCCCCCTCGCCCCACCCCACAACAGGCCCCGGTGTGTCATGTTCCCCTTCCTGTGTCCAAGTGTTCTCATTGTTCAATTCCCACCTATGAGTGAGAATATGCGGTGTTTGGTTTTTTGTCTTTGCAATAGTTTGCTGAGAATGATGGTTTCCAGCTTCATCCATGTCCCTACAAAGGACATGGACTTATCCTTTTTTATGGCTGCATAGTATTCCATGGTGTATATGTGCCACATTTTCTTAATCCAGTCTATCATTGTTGGACATTTGGGTTGGTTCCAAGTCTTTGCTATAGTGAATAGTGCCGCAATAAACATACGAAAGTGGTTTATTAAGATGGAAACTACTCCTGGTGAAGACGCTATGAACATTGTTGAAATTTCAATTAAAGTTTTAGAATATTACATAAACTTAGTTACTAAATACAGACAGGGTTGAAAGGTTTGACTCCTATTTTGAAACTTCTACTGTGGGGGTAAAATGTTAACAAACAATATCACGCATTGCAGAGAAACCATTCATTAAAATAACAGTTAATTGATGCAGCAAACTTCACTGTTGTCTTATTTTAAGAAATTGCCACAGCCACCCAAACCTTCAGTAACCATCACCTGATCAGTCAGCAGCCATCAGCATTCAGGCAAGACCTTCCACCAGCAAAAACATTAGGACTCACTAAAGGCTCAGATGCTTGTTAGCATTTTTGGCAATGGAGCATTTTTAAATTAAAGTATGTACATTTTGTCTTTAGACATAATGCTATTACACACTTAACAGACTGCAGTATTATGTAAACATAACTTTTATATGTCAAGGAAACTAAAAAATGTCATGTCTCATCTGATGGAGATATTTCCTTAATGCAGTGGTCTGGAACCAAACCTACAATATTTCTGCAGAATGTCTGTGTATCCTTAAAAGACCTTTTTGTAATTGCATGTCCTTTGCCTATTCTAGAATTAGCAGAAAAAAATCCCAAGAAATAGCTACATGTGTTATAGACCTGAAGAGCTTCAAAATCCCTGATTTATCCAATGTTAAAAGGTTGATTTGACTAAAATATTTAATTGGTTGACTTTGCATTATATTAGATCTAGATGTGGCCAAATATGTTGCTATGCAAAAAACGAGGCTGTGAGAATCAATACAACTGTTATTCATCGCCAAGACAGGATACTATGGCTGTAGGTACAGAGTTAGTGATGCTCATGAATGAGGAGAAAGAGGAAAGGGCTTCAGTGACCGGTACTCATGCAGAATTCTGTTTGCACAGTATAGATACTGATTGTGGCCACTTACACTCATCCCCTGGCCTTGTCATTTTACCTGCTTTTAGCATTCATGTTTCCTTAGTCCTTTCTAAGTTTTTTCAGTTACCTCCTATTTCTAATTCTTTCACCCCAGGTTAACTTTTTCTTGCTCACCTGTTCACAGCTGTGGCATCTCATAGGCAACACTATGGGTTTGGATCCTGTTGGACCCAGAAAGCCCCCTCCATGGCAAGACCTTCCATTTGCTAGGTGCCTGTTTGCATAAGATTTTTAAAACCCATTTATTTAAACAATACATCCAGTTTCACAAGCTTCCTTGCTTCAAAGAGAGTTATTTAATGCAAACTCTGGCTTCCAGGTTCTCCATACACCTGGATATATGTATTGCTATTCTAACTCTTCACTCCTAGCATTGCCTTAAGTACTTCAGAAAAAAAAGCCACTTTTGTTCATGTCTAAAATGGTTTAAATATTAAGCTCTTCAAAATATATTGTTCATTTTAGTTAGTAACAATCTACCTAACAAATTGTTGAGATAGTAACCTCTCAGATTAATTCAACCATGCTTACAGGTGAATTCTATGTAAATCAAGCAAAACTTAGGTGTGAGTGATATTTCAATGACACTGTTTTTGGTGGCTGCACACATACTTGGTCAAGGTGGAATTATCATCTTCAAATGTATTTAAATAAATGTATTGAATGAGTGTATCTAAATGAAAACATTACTAAAGAGAGCTGACCTAGCAAAAAGTTTATATGTAAAGTATCTCAACAGTGGCAACTACTTGAAGACTGCTCCAAGGATATCTAGAAATAGAGCATCTTTAAGTATTTGAAGGCCTACAGTCTGCCTTGCCCAAACCCAAGTAGTCTCAGCAGATTCTCTTTCCAAACTTTTTCAACAACCCACTGCTTTCTGCTTTTTCGCTTTTTTTTTTTTTTACTCTAAGTTCTGGGATACATATGTAGAATGTGCTGGTTTGTTACATATGTATACACGTGCCCTGGTGGTTTGCTGCACCCATCAACCCATCATCTAGGTTTTAAGCCCCGCATGCATTAGGTGTTTGTCCTAATGCTCTTCCTCATCTTGATCCCCACCCCATGACAGGCCCCAGTCTGTGAGGTTCCCCTCCCTGAGTCCATGTGTTCTCATTCCTCAACTCCCACTTATGAGTGAGAACATGTGGTGTTTGGTTTTCTGTTCCTATGTTAGTTTGCTGAGAATGATGGTTTCCAGCTTCATCCATGTCCCTGCAAAGGACATGAACTCATTCTTTTTTATGGCTGCATAGTATTCCATGGTGTATATGGGCCACATTTTCTTTATCCAGTCTATCATTGATGGGCATTTGGGTTGGTTCCAAGCCTTTGCTATTGTAAATAGTGCTGCAATAAACATATGTGTGCATGTGTCTTTATAGTAGAATGATTTATAATCCTTTGGGTATATACCCAGTACTGGGATTGCTGGGTCAAATGGTATTTCTGGTTCCAGATCCTTGAGGAATCACCACACTGTCTTCCACATGGTTGAACTAATTTGCACTCTCATCAACAGTGTAAAAGCGTTCTTATTTCTCCACATCCTTGCCAGAATCTGTTGTTTCCTGACTTTTTAATGATTGCCATTCTAACCGGCATGAGATGGTATCTCATTGTGGTTTTGTGTTTGTCTTTTTGCTTTTGACTCTGACTCTTCTAACTACCCCTGCCTCCTACGACCATACTGAACTGTGGTATTTCCAGACCAAGCTTTCCAGAAGCATAGTGTAGGACTTAGGATATTGCTGGCATTATGCTAGCATATAATTTTCACTTTTAGTGATATCTATTCCTTCACATTTTTAGAGTACATTGAATGTATACATATGCCTCCTATATTGTTTTTATGCATGCTGGCAAAATTGCTAACTATGCATAGCAAGATTACAACTTATTGTAAAATAGAGATTGTTCATATTTGTGTCAGTTATATGAAATAAGTGAAAATCCTTTTATCAATAAGAAATAAATTTATTTCATTTTCCAGTCAGAAAACTCTATCTGAGAGCTATATTATAAAAGAAATGCCAGTGATTAACTACCTGCAATGATCTTCTCTTCCCTGTGGCAGCATATAAGCATTAAGGGGAGAATGAATTTCTTAGTTATAGAATGTATTTATAAAAAAGAAAAAGATGTAAAAGATAGAGGAAGAACAAAGTCTTCTTCTCTTTAATAGCTGTTTCCTATTTATAGGGGCAGGAAACAGTCATAGGCACTAGAGCCATTTCCCCTCATTTGGGACCAAAAGCTATAACCAAAGTCTATAACCAAAGATATATGGGACTCAATCATCTCCTTGAAAGTTACTGAGTAGGAAAATGAGGCCGAATTTTAACAGGGAGGAAGAATATTCTAGGAGGGAAAGGGAAGACTGAGTTTTCCATATGACCCATCTAGGGGGTTCAGACTCTATCCTAGGAGTTCCCATCTCACCAAAACTATCCAAGTAATGGTCCAAATTTTCAAGCCATAAAATAAATTTGGCAAGAGATCTCAGTTTGAATTGATGATCAAGGAGTTGACTTGCCACTTTGTTAATTTCATAAAACCATAAAATTATTAGAGTTTGGTTTAAAATTAGAATTATTTTTATTTATTTTTATTTTAAAAAATGTTTTATAGAGATGGGGTCTGACTTTGTTTCCCAAGCTGGTCTCAAACTCCTGGACTCAAACAATCCTCCCACCTCAGCCTCCTAAAGTGCTAGGATCACAGATGTGAGCCAGTATGCCTAGTCTATAGTTAGAATTTGATTTAATATTGAGATTGAAGAGAATCTGGGAATTGAATTTAGAAATGTTAAGACTCTTGAAAATCTTACTTTATGGAGCAAGTAATACTCATCAGACTTGTATTCTGCATTAATTTTAGTCAAGGTCAATGTTGTTCTTAGAAATTACCTGTCTTCAATGGAAATGAAAGTTAATGATCTATTATTTTCATTATGCTACCCCTAATGCCTGGACTTGATCAAAAAAAAATTAGTAATTAAATATAAGAATAAAAGTATGACCGGACTTCAACATATCGCTTGAGGTCTGGAGCCAGCAAGTAACTAACAGTATTTAATAGGGTGAGAGCTTTACTGTGGCTTAGAAGAGAATCAATAATGTAATATCAAAATGTAATGTAATCAAAAATGTCTTTCATTGCTGTTTATATATTGTGTTAGTTCATATGCATTACTGTAAAGGAATACCTGAGACTGAGTAATTTCTAAAGAAAAAAGGTTTATTTTAGCTCATGGTTCCGTAGACTTGTACAAGCATGGCACCAACATCTGCTCAGCCTCTGGTGAGGGCCTAGGAATCTTCCAGTCACCACAGAAGGTGAAGGGGGAAGCAGGTGCATCACATGGAGAGAGAGGGAACAAACAAGAGGTGGGTATGAAAAGGGCAGCAAGCCATTCAGGAGGGATCCGCCCCCATGACCCAACATGTTCCTCCAGGCCCCACCTCTAACTTTGGGGATCACATTTCATCATATTTGGAGGGGACAACATCCAAACAGTATTATATAAATATACATGAGAGAAGGTAAGTAGAAACATAAAATGAACTGAA
Source organism: Homo sapiens (assembly GCF_000001405.40). NCBI lineage: Eukaryota > Metazoa > Chordata > Mammalia > Primates > Hominidae > Homo > Homo sapiens. The sequence goes on along the minus strand of NC_000007.14, from coordinate 125,101,706 downwards.
TGTTGTCTTATATTCTTGCTATATAAGGAAATTTCTTTTTATAGCTACAGTGTTTGTGGATTTCAGAGTTGTTTACCTTAACCTATTGAAGACAGCATTGTGGAGAATTGCTCTCTCTGCCACACCTAACAGTTCACTTTACCTACACATCATACAGTGGTGGCTTGTGCAAATTTCAGTTACGTGTTCCTTGAGATTACAACAAATTGTGAAATTTGGCAAAATAACCAAATCTATATAAATGTTAGCAAGCGTCTAAAGTTATTTCCCTGTCATTGTTTTCCGCTCTTTTACAATGATCAATTAGTTACAACTTAGGGCCAAATTATATATCCACAGAATTTTAGAGCTCAGACATGAATACAGAGAAACAAAAAATTTTTTTTAGAAAAAAATATTAAATTGGTTTCCTCCAATTATATTTTACCTTTAAAACAGCCCATCCTTATTTGTAATTTGCCATAAAGTATTTTTTAGAAATATTTTTCTACCATTCTACAAAAAAAGTTGTAAATTGTAATACCACTATTTCCTTATTAAAATAAATTAAATTTTAGTAAGATTCACGGCAAACAGTACAAGCCCAAAACATCTATGTCAATCCACTGAACCTAGTGTCTCTGAAGAAAATAGTACAGGCCGGGCATGGTGGCTCATGCCTGTAATCCCAACACTTTGGGAGGCCGAGGCAGGCAGATCATCTGAGGTCAGGAGTTTGAGACCAGCCTGACCAACATGAGGAAACCTCGTCTCTACTAAAAATACAAAATTAACAGGGCATGGTGGCACATGCCTGTAGTCCCAGCTATTCAGGAGGCTGAGGCAGGAGAATCGTTTGAACCTGGGAGGCGGAGGTTACAGTGAGCCGACATTGTGCCATTGCACTCCAGCCTGGGCAACAGAGCAAAACTATGTCTCAAAAAAAAAAAAAAAAAAAAAAAAAGAAAGAAAGAAAATAGTACAAAATTGTGTTATAAATAACCATAAATTTCTTAGTGATTCTTACTACTTTATTAGTTACTCCTATTCTACCATAAAATTAATTTGCAAATTTGTTCCAGAAAAACATGATGGCCATCACTATATCTCAAAATTTATTTTACTAATATTACATTTTACGGTGTTAGAAAACCCATTGCAATACCATATGAGAAGTTTCTATTCCAAATGATTTAGCTTTTAAGAGTTATCAGATTTGTTATTGGCTAATAATGAGAAAATTATTTTCTTCTAAATCTTTATATTAAGCAAAATCTAAAGCAATTTCTCCTTATTTAAAGGCTATAGAACTTATATAAAATAACAAAAGTTGGTAAATCTTCATTTGCTATTGAACTAGCCTAATGATTATATTTCTAATAACTTTAAAATTTTTTTTGCTTTTTTTAATATTGGAAAAATAATCAAGATCAAGGTTAAAATATTTAAGCCTTACTTTCTGTGTCTCTAGCTTCTTTAATTTTTTTTCTCAATTATATGAAGTACCCTACTATAGCTTTATAGCCCTAAGGTTTAATGGAGTTTCATTTAATTCTGTGGCCTCAAATTTTTAATGATTGTGAAAAATGATAATATGGATCATGTGATATATATAATAAAAACATTCATTATTTTGTTTGACTCTGTTTAAAGTAACTAAGAACAATACTGTTCTTTAAGAGCTCACAATGGTAACCTGAAATTTAAGACTCATTGTGAGTGGCTACACACCATTTTGCATGAAGGCTGGCCTCCATCCTAATTGGTCAGGCAACTGTCTTATTGGTCTGTGTTCATATATGTTGTTTTGAATATCATCCCTGAATATAAGTGTACTTCCTCTAAGCCAGTCTCAGCAAAGTGTTGATTTATGAACAAGCACACAAACTGAAACTCATCAATCTGACATTCAAAATGCATTAAAAAGACATCTTAACTGCAGTCTACAGTGACGCTATTAATGGTGTGTCTTTCAAACTATCTATGCATTCGAGCAGCTGCTGTCAAATCTCTCTATTGCTACATCCCTTACTTTCTGGCATGCATATTTTCTCACACTTCCCTGTCTATGCAGGTATTCCTCCTCCACTCCTGCCCACTGCTCCAAACATGCAGAGAATCTCTTCTCTGCTTGACATCCATCAGAGGAGTCTTTTTCAGCTTAGAATATGTGCCAACATTTCTCCATCCTCCTTGAAAGGACTCTTTCATTACCTGCCATTTGCTTGTCGGTGCTCCTCTAGATCCAATCATTTTGTCTCCTCTTCATCCAATATTAGCAACAACAAAACTCAAGAGTTAAGAAGACAAATACAGAAATCTTCCTGAATGAGGAGAATGACAATTTTAAACACTTACATATAATATTTTGCCCCCTTCACACAAAATAATTGCTACTTGACACATTTGTTCATATACCACCATTTTTGATGTCTTAATAAGTATTTGGTTATTTTAAAACTGCTCTGTTCACTCTTTTTGGAGGAAAGCTCACTTCCACTTTATTTTCCCCCAAGATATCAAAAATGCAGCTTAGTGAAGTTTGTTCCTTCTCAGCATTTGTTAGGCATTTATAATTTGTATATGATACCCCTACCTTTCTGGCATGAGACAGTGGCCTTTCCTGCCCAGCCTTCCTACTTTAGAACACCTTGATAAGGTGTTGGGAGAGTGGAGGAAGAGGATGAATTATAAATTTTGCTCTTATTCACTGAATTGTAAACCACTTGCTCCTAAAAGGTTTCAGTTTGAATCCACCAGCTTCTAGGACTGCAGAAAATGATTTACCCTGCATGGGCAAGTCTCCTGTGAGGAATAATAATCACAAGTATAACAGACCAAAAGTAAGAATCATTGTTAAGGCACCATTTCCATTGGTATGGCATTTTCTGAACCAGAAAGCTAGTGCAGAACTGACTCATAGATACTCATGTTACTGATTTATTTCTTAAAATAGCTATTCTACAGAAGGTATTCCTCAGAGACATCACCAAATACTGACCCAGGCTATTCCTGCTTAGCTTAGCCTGACAGTTTCAGTATTTTAGTGTTATTGTCTTAGCTGGGGTAAAAATCCTACTCGCTTTCTCTTAACATATTAATAGTGTGGAAACACATTGCTGTCACCTCTGCTTCTCAACAGTTTAAGATGAAGTTGTTCTCTAAATGAGTCAGTGTTGACTGGTTGGCTGGCCCTTGTCAGGCTTCAGCTGTCAATCATAAAAGAAAAACTTCTCAAGTGGTATATGAGAAAGTTGTCCTAATACAGCATTGTTCAAAGATGGGCATTAATAAAATATTTGACAACAATGTTTCCTGGAGCTGCTAAAGTTCATGGCTACTGGAAAAGGATATTTTAAGTTATCTAAAGGATTTTCACTAAACATTGAAATATCATTAAGCCAGCAATGACAGTTGAGTTTGATTAGTGTTCTGACAGAGGACGGAATACTAGAGGACACAAGAGGAGTGTCTAAATCAGACATGAGAGATGAAGGTTGACTTCCCTCATGAAGTCACATATAAACTAGAACCCGAATGAAGGGTGGGCAAGATTTAGCCAAGCAAAGAGGTAGGAGAGACTTTTATCAATGGTCTACCTCCCCCAACCTCCTTTTTCAAACAAAGAGCTATGAAAGGGCAAAAGAGTATGCAAATCATCTATGTGCTTAGAGAGGACCACATAGCTTAGATCAGAACTGAGATAACATAAATTATTAATTTTTTATTTTTATTTTTATTTTACTTTAAGTTCCGGGATACATGTGCTGAATGTGCAGGTTTGTTACACAGGTATACATGTGCCATGGTTGTTTGCTGCACCTATCAACCCATCATCTAGGTTTTAAGCCCCACATGCCGAGATATTTGTCCTAATGCTCTCTCTCCCTTTGCCCCCAACTTCCCAACATAAATTATTTAAGGTCATTGTATGTGCATTGATTACAAATTCAAAGAAAAACACCACTATCAGAAATAGGTCCTCACTAGCACCATGAGGCCATTAGGACCATGAGGAATAAATACCCAAGTCAAAGGGCTAAACTCATCAGTTTAGAAACTGGCCCGAAACTCATCCTTCCCCACAGACAGAACCACTCATTTTGTGGTCATTTTTTCTATTATTTGATCTGACTATAATAGGCAGAAATAGACGCCTTTCCTCAATCTAAACACAGGGCAATTGCACACTTTCCTGCCAAAGATTTCAGGACTGAACGTGTTTATCTCATTTCACAACTAGTTTGTACCTCCCATCTATGGTTTTCCAAAATATTACCCTCCTATGTTGTGCCTGCTCATACCACTGACTTAAGCTTTCAAAACATACCCCCAGTGACATGGCTGTTTCCATAGCATTTTCAAAGGATATTTATTCCCTCTTTACCCATCTCAAGTGATGGAGTCAGTGTTCTCACTTTCTATTTCATTGTGCAAACCATTGTACATGAGGCCTCTGTACTTTGTAACTCATTCCTTCTGAAAGTTTCCTTCTCTTCCTCCTCTTCACAGTCCTCTAGCACAGCTGGGCTCACTCATTTCTATCTACCTTTCACACAAGAAACCCAACATACTGGCCCCGCAGTTTCTTTGTTTTCTTTAATTGTGTGGAGAAAATATGTCATATAGACAAAATAATGTTTAAACTATTTCTGTTCATTTCAATAAGAATAATATAATGAACACCTACATAGCAACACCGATATTCCTCTGGTTAAGGAATGGATCTTTCTTTCAAGCCAGTTGTGTGCCCATCTCCATCATATCCCTTTAGCAGCACCCCCCATCACCCCATGCATATTATTTCTATTCATTTCTCTTCATTGTACCACCTATGAATAATCAAACAAATTTACTGTTTTTAACTTTGTTCATTCTTGAGCTTTATACACATGAAATTATACTATATGTATTTTTGTGTGCATACAACAACTGTATGGGGTAAGTTCGGGTTAAATCTCAAAATCTTGACATAAGGGCTGTGATGGCTATTGTTTACTCATTTCATTTTTGGATAGTACTAAATTGTGTGACTACACCACAATTTAGTAATCTGCAGTATATTAGTTGTAAAAATGGTCAAAGGAAAATATCTAAAGTAATTTTTTGAAATGCATTACAGAAATTAGCATGAAAATTGGTAGAGGTTCTAATATATATATAACTGGAGATTCAGAAGGAGGAGGGAGATATAAAAGAGTAGAAGAAATATTTGAAGAGATGATGACAGAACTTTTCAAAACTAGTTATTTTGGACTGAATACTTATGTCCCCCAACAAATTCATATGTTGAAGCCCTAACCCCCAATGTATTGGTATTTGGAGAAGGGGCCTTTGAAGGTAATCAACTTCAACAAAATCATGAGGATGGTGCCCTCATGATGGATTAGCATCCTCATAAGAAGAGGAAAAGAGACCAGAGCTCTCTCTCTCTCTCTCTCTCTGCAGTTTGAGAATACAGCAAAAAAGGAGTTGTCTGTAAAACAGGAAGAGGGCCCTCACCAAGAACCTAATTATACTGTCACCCTGATCTTGGACTTGCAGCTCCAGAACTGTGAGAAATAAGTGTTTGTTGTTTAAGCTACCCAGTTTATGGTATTCTGTTATACCAGTGCAAACTGACTAAGACACCAATTAGAGAAGCCCTAGGAACCCAAACAGGCTAGTAATAAAGAAAACCACAACTAAGGGTACCTAGTAAAGTTACTTAATACCAGTTAACATCAATTTTCCCGCTCCATCATGGCTATGGTCTTTCTCCAAGAAGGGTTTAAAAGAGAGGACTTCACAGATCTGAGTTCAGACACCATGTTCCTAGAATTTCCTTTTAATGTACATAGATTAAATTAAGAAAATACCTTTTATTTCTAAAGTAGAAATATTACCATGACATTCTCCTGCTCAAAATTCTTTAGTGATTCCTGTTGGTCCAGTATAACACCCATTGCCCAAGACTACAATTTCACTTGATAAAATTATACACATGCTTTAAAACTCAAAATCGAGGTTAATTTTTTATTGCTGTGTTTTCTAACTTCCTACTCACATTTTGGGTGAGCTGCTGACACTCTGTAGGTCTATAGCACACATGACAGCACTTACACTATTCAATTATGCTTGTTAACTGGCATCTCCTCACCCCTCCACACACATATACTCTAATAAACTTCTTGAAATCAGGACTATGTATTTTACATCTGAATCTCCAGTACTTAGGACAGTCATAATGCTTTATAAATATCTGAGGGTAAATGAAAGGCTTAATGGCTACTCCCTTTGGGTAGCATCTTGGCTGCTGTGTTTGAGTCACTTATTCTGATCTTGGATTATTATCCACTTCTGAGTTGCAATATGCCTGGTAGTCAAGCATAAACAACTAGTAAGTTCAAAGCAAAATGATCAAACCAAAAAATCACTTTTGAGCAAACCAACAAATAAATTGAATTTTGTTTAAAAAAAAGTTTTTGAAGACTCAGCCATTTTCCCTATATCCAGACTCCTTAGCAAGATCTAAAAGAGTATAAGTTACAGTTTGCCGAATTATGTAGATACACTGCATATAGTATACTAAATATTTTAATTTTGCTTTTATTAAGACTGAAGACCATCTTCCTTACTAAAGTTTTTGCAAAATCAAACTCGAGATGAAATGTAACACCTTCATTTGTATCAAGCTATCTGATAAGCCATATAAAACAGTTTGCTGTTAGGTGTGCCTGATGAATATATTCAATGCTTTCAAATGGTAAAGACATGTAATAGATGTTGTTGTTGCCCCATGCAGATCTCCTTGATCAGGCAGGCCTATGCATACCACTGCCACTGTGAATGTTGGCTGCTAACTACAGATTTTCTTTATTCAGGAAATGGCCTTAGTTGTACATTCCCTCTGACCTTCTTCCACATTAACTATTGACTAATTGATAGGCCCACTTGCCTCAAGATGGAAACCATGTTCATGCATAATTCCTATCGAAAGCTTCTCAGGGGATCAGACTGAAGCTGGACTTCAACAAAGGGCAACCTTGCTTAGCTCCTCCTGACCTAGGATACTTCCTTCATTCTCTTTCTCCAGAGAGTGCACCCTCCATAAGCACCTTGAATGAAAATCCCTCCTCAAACTCTGCTTGTAGGGAAACTCACCTAAGACAAACTATTCTAACTAATAAATTGTTAAATATTTTCGAAGTCACTGTCTACTTAGTTTGGTAAGAAAAGTACAGTATTCCTGACTTTTCTTATAATGATTGGAGAAAATAATGATTGGAGAAAAATAATATTCAAGAGTTGCAGCTGAGATACGGTTGAGGAAAATCTTTGATAAATGAGAGAAAAAGAAAAATGCAAGTAGAATGGCAATTGGATCCAATTCAGCATGTGCCATAGCTGAATAAGTACAGTTTCAGAAAAAAATAAGAAGAGTATATTATAAAGAAAATAATTTCAAAACATTCTAGAGGGATATCTGAAGGATATGAGATTTCTCCTTAGAATACTCACCAAGTGTTCAGTAAGAGAGATGAGAAAAGATTCATGACAAGGAATGCTGTTACAAAAGTTTAGGGAAGAAATGTCATTGGATTCCTCCACAGTCACACTAGAAAAAAGACAATGGAGCCAACGTAGCATGCTTTCAGTCACCATATTCTCAATTTTCAACTTGGAATTCCATACTGAACTGTACTCTCAATCTCACATGAAGGTAGAATATGTACATTTTTAAATATGCAATTCTCAAGTTCTCAAAAGATTAATCTCCCTTGTATCATTTAACAGGAAGCTTCTAAAGGATATATTTTAATAAAATAAAGAAGTAAATCAAGAAAAGATCCAGAACACCAAGGATGCCTCATGGAGAGACAAACGAAATCCCAGAATGATGAGAAAGAGGGGTTCCAAAGATATATTCTCAAAGTTAAAATATATTTGAAATAAATTTATTGTTCTCAGAAAGAGTTTAAAGATGAGTAAGTGAAATGTACACTAAAAATATGCAAAGAAAAAAGAAAATTATTGAACCAAAGCAAAACAAAAAGCTACTCAAGAATACAACAGTTTCAGGAATTTGGATGTGTCTTACTCCTATATACACAAAATTCTTTTTACATGCTGTGCTCATCCAATTCTAATTTTCTAATTATATCTATCTTCTGGCCTATTAATGGCTTCTCAAAAAGAATAGAAGGACCAAGAGGACAGTGTGCGAAATCCTAAACTCCAAATGACATCTTCGTCTATGCCAGACTCTGCCTCCAAGATAAGTTCTGACCAACCTATTCTATTTTTCCACATAGTTCTAATAAACTGCATCTATCTGGCCTGGTTATAAGATGTCAACATCAGAATTTTTCTATCCTAGTTGTGTTTATCTAACAATGATGGGAAAAGCTAAAAGTAAAAAAAAATAAGTTAGCAATGAGATAGATGAGGTTCCATATTATTCAGTCTTTGCTAAACCAATATATATTATCTTCATACTTAGCAAGTTTACTTTCCTGTTTGACCTACTTCATAAAGCTTTACAGAAAACAAGATTCATATAATGCTAGGTATAAATAAATGTGTCCATATAACATGCTTCTGAATGAAATACAGAAAGAAAAATTTCTTTTTATACCTGTGGGTATTAAAAATAGACAAGTTTAGGTAACTAGGTAATCATTGCTATTACTTATTTGTAATATGGGTAAAACCTCGTGATTTTACAAGTTGAGGTGGCATAAAAACTGCTAAGAACTACAGAAAAAATTACAATGTCAATATAACATGGGTGTCAAGGGAGAACAGTACACAACAGAAAGTTTATATCTGTACAAAATGACCTACTTCATATAAGATAAAATTAAATTACTGCAGGGATGAGTGTCAGACAATATAAAATGCCTATTTGTCCCAAGCAACCTACTTTAACTTTGAGCATTTCTGGATGATTTCTTATCAGAGAAACTACAGTTCATAGTCACACTAATTTAAACACATGTACTATACAAGATTATGTGTAATTTTCATTGTGATATTTATTTTAGGTATGGAATTTTTGTATTGAGGATTCTATTTAACAGGCATGGTGTTGAGAGAATGATTTATAAATAGTTTATCATGTTTTAACAATCGTGAATGGTGCAAACCTGTACTTTTTTTCAGCAGTTTAATCACAGAAATTCCAGGTTGGCATTTGGTTGTAGATAGTTTAAACCCTTCCTCTTTATTAAATTCATTCCCATTTATTTGTGTAATTTTGTTACTGTAAGCTATGGGTTTTCCCTATAATCATTTTAATCAGCTTACTGATTATTTACATTATATTTGATGACTGGAATATATTGATTTCATACCTGTATCACTCGGCTCATGGTCTTTTCACTGCCCAGGAATGCCTCAAACTACATCTCTGTAGTTCTAAATTCTGACTACCTATTCCTATTAAAATGTCAGTTCTCCACAAAATCACTTCTGATCCCTCAGCCCAGAAGGAATTTCTCCCTGTCCCTAAAATCATAGCAGTTTAGCCTTGTCACCTGAAACAACACCCAACATTTTCCATCTTGCACTTTTTCCTAGAATCCCTCTTTGAGGGACGAAGATTTCATTATTTACCCGTTTAAACTTCAAGTATTTATTCTATGGGAAAATTCATGGTATTTGCTTAAGAAAATCTCTGGAAAAACAGGCACTTGAAAAATCCATACATTTGTATCCTGACCACGAAAAGCAGTGGCCAGAAATAAACGTTATTTTCAACACATTGCTTAAATTAAGCTGTCGGTCATAAAAGCTTGGATTATTTAAACAAATGACTGCTTCAGACATCTGTTACCAACTGATGCTGCACAAGTACTACAAAATCTCCTTCTGTATAATTCCTTAACCATGGAATGGGAGTAAAAGCAGGGAGGTGGATGGCAACTTCCCTACATGCAATCAATAGGCTGATTTTAGAGACTCACTTCATACTCTCATTCCTCTCAGACCTACCCAACTCTCATAACACAAGCAATTAATTATACAACTTCCAAGGATCTAAATCTAGTTTCTCCTAACAAAATGGTTAGGGACAATTTTCAGGTACTCCATAAAGACGAGAGGCAGAGAGATAGAAAGAAATTTGAAGAGAAATCAAGAAAGAGAGAGAGATTCTAATAGTTTCTGAAAGCTTTATTGTTTTCTATTTCCTGTTAAACCTACAGTCCACCCTGAAATGATTTGCTTTGTATGGTATAGGTAGGGAATTGCCACTTATTTTTATTTCTACCTAGACCTTTAACTAACCCAGCACCATGTATGAAAATGACCACTCTTTTCCCTCTGCACTGCCATGTCAACTTTGTTATAAATCGAACGATCTTATACATGTGATTTCTGAAACAGTTATTCTACTCCATTGCTCAATTTGTCTATCCTTCTGTTAATACTTTAGTCTTAACTACTATTATCAAATAATAAATCTTATATCTGGTATATAAATCTTCCAGCTTTGTTCTTGCTCAAGGGTGCCTTGGTTATTCATGGCCTTTGATTTTCCGTGAAAACATTAGAAATAACTTGTCAATTTCCCCCAGACAAACCCTGCTAGAATTGTGATTGTAGTAAACTAGAGAAAACTAAGTTCTTAAAAACATTTAATCTTCAATTCCATTTATATGATATATCATTTCATAATCAAATTAAACTAAATTATTATTTAGGCATAGATTGTGGTCAATACTTCTTCCCAAACTCCCTGTTTGCCTATTACTGTAAAAGTTGATAAATACAAATATTCAACTTTCTAATGTCCTTTGTGGCCAGGAACATCATGTGACATGGTGCTTATGGGACACAAGAGGAAAACTAAAAAGCCTTTTACATTCTTAATAAAAAGGAAGAAATGTGACTAGCACTGTATTTTCCTTTTTGTTACGCCTTAAATGCCTGAGTGATTAATCACCATCCAAAGAAATTAACAGCCCAGACACCAATGAACCAAGCTAAGGCCACCTGCGGACTACCTTCAAGTTATTGCTAAATTAAAAAAAAACCCCTTATTTATTTATATTTAAGTTAACATTAGCTAGGGAGAATCTACTGTCAACTAATACTAACATATTGGAGGGGAAAAACGAAAGTACCAGATTAGAATACTATGCCTTTTTTCTATGTATGAGGTCTCTCATAACTAAAACTTCTAATAAAAAAAATACAGAGCCTTCATTCTACTATAAATTATAAGTATTATAGAACTACTCTAAATGATAATATTATTTTTCTGGGTTATCTATAAAATCTGCATACATTAAAAATTATTGAAACATTGATTCTTACTGCAGTGTCTTATTTGACTCCAAAAAGGAACTGTAATATTTCTTTCTTCTGACTAAAAGTTTTATGGGTTACTCCCAATATCTCTGATTTTTAAGACAAATAAAGCAAAAACTCTTATGGATGGTAAACAGTGTTCTTACTTTAAATATTTTTTCACTTACAATGAACTGGTGATTTACCAACTATTACTGGACTACTTCTGCTTTCAATTATTTTTAAATATTAATATTTTGAAATATTTTAATATATATTTTATTTGCTTACATTTTATAACTACATGCAAATAAAGTATTTTAAAAATTATTCCAAACAGCGTGTGCTAAGTAAAAGTAAAACGCATCCAGCGACTAATATGTATTTTATAGATAAGAATTTATATTTATTTGAAAAGTTGCAACAGAATCGCCTCTCAAAGACATGGAATCATTTTCCCAGAATTCTTGTATCCATAAAGAATTATATTTAAAATTTTTCTCTAAATACTACATTTATGCTTATTTGGAACAATCACCCTGTGTCAATTTGAGTCTCTAAAAGATCTCTGCTTATGGTAATTTGGAAGGCATTTTTCCAGGGTAGTACTAATAAAAAATGGAACTAATGAAACCAAACTATACTCCATAGCCCCCAAGGTACAACTTTATACCTACCTGTGTAGAAATACCTGTGGTAGGTTTCAAAACAATTCTATAAAGGGACTATATTCTTTAGGCACAATTTTTTTTCACAACTGGAATCTAAAATAAAATAACAAAAGGAGATGACTTATTGTTCATGGTAATTTGTACTGTATTTATTACTAGCTAGAGAATATACATTCCTAATATAAGCATCCCTATACATTTTCAGAGAATAATGCATATTCCTAAGGTGCCATGAAGATTGACCCATCGTTCTACTTACTTGAATGTGTCTCTGGGCCACAACTTGATTCATCTGATCTTTTCAATACTATGAATGAATCCAGATAATGCTATTTTTATTTTTGTTAATTTTTAAGTTCAGGGGTACATGTGCAGGCTTGTTACATGAGTAAACGTGTGTCATGGGGGTTTGTTGCACAGATTATTTAATCATTCAGGTATTAAGCCTAGTACCCATTATTTTTTTTTCTGATCCTTTCCCTCCTCCCACCCTCCACCTTCGGAAAGGCCCTAATGTGTGTTGTTTCCCTCTGTGTGTGTGTGTTCTCATCATTTAGCTACCACTTATAAGTGAGAACATGTGGTATTTGGTTTTCTGTTCTTGCATTAGTTTGTTAAGCACTACAGTAACCAAAATAGCATGGTACTGATATAAGAACAGACACATAAACCATTGGAACAGAATAGAGAACCCCAAAATAGGACCGCACACCTACAACTATCTGATCTTCCACAAACCTGACAAAAACAATGGGGAAACGATTCCCTATTCAATAAATGGTGCTGGGATAACTGGCTAGCCATATGCCAAAAATTAAAACTGGACCCCTTCTTTATACAAAAATTAACTCAAGATAGAAGAAAGACAGATAATACTATTTTTATATTGTCTGTTATTGTACTCATTCAAATTCAAAACTCTTTTTGAAAAGTTCGAAGAATTTTATCACAAGTGAATTAATTGCTAAAATCTATAGCAACATGTAACACCCAGTTCCACTGGATTGCAGAAAATAATGAATCATTCTTTCTCTTCCTCATACCAATTGCTCCTCTCCACTAATACTCTTCTTTTTCTTCTTTATTTTTAGAGCTTAGACTGTATTCCTTAAAGTTAATTGAGCTTTTGATTCAACATTAAATTTTCTGACTTATTGAAGTTTTAAATTCAAGTCATCATAAGACTATGTAGGTAATGTAATGCAAATTTTAAAAATAGGTCAGGTGTGATAAAACAGAGAACACATGTCCTGTCTAAAGAAGGCAACATCTAGTGAGTTATTCTTTTGAGAATTGGGGCACAATTTTGCTAGAACTTAATTTTCAAGAGAAGTCATAATTATTTCAGTAATTGGTTGGTTTTTCAGTGAAATAGTCTAATTGTAAATGCTGGCAACTAATTCAAACTTAGTAAGAAACAAACAACTGCAGTGTGCAGGATGATACTTGGATTAAATGATACATATTTGTGTGCTGCAGTCAGTCTTAAGCTTTTTACTTCTATGCATTATGGATATAATCAGTGGAATGTGTACAATTATATCTTTCTTTGTTCTTCCCATATATTAAAGTATTTGACTTTCTGGGGAAGCAGAAAAATTCTGCAGTTGCTCCTTGTCAACAATGAAGCTAAATCCTGTATAATTGTAATGCATAGCATTTATTCGCAACCAGGAGGAATTTTGCCTCCTAGGGGATATTTGGCAATGTTTCCTGACATTTTTGGTTGTCATAATGAGGGGAAGAAGGTCAGGGCACTATTACCATCTAGTGAGTAGAAACTAGGAACACTGTTAATCATTCTACAATGCACAGGACAGCCCCCCAACAAAGACTTATCCAGCACTGAATATCAGTAGCACTAAGGTTGAGAAATCATGGTTTATAAGACTCCCGGATCCTCAATATTTCCTAAAATTCCTATGGAAGCATAAGAAATGTATGTATGAGAAATGGAATTGAGATAATTAGATTAAAAGGTGTGAGGTAACTTTAAAAAACATTTCAGGTTTCTGGGGTACATAACCAATATGTATAGATCCAGGAGTCTTGCTCCACTTGAGCTCAGGAATAATTTAATGAGTCAGATCTCTTACTTGAAAAGTTTCTTGCATTTTCTAATTCATAATCATTGTAAATTATTTGCTTGTACTTTATATAGAAATGTATATTTCATATTTCAGGGACAGTGGGTACAGCTGTAATGTTTTTAAGGTTTAAGAGATCACTAGAATTAGTTGGATTTTCTTAATGACTTCTGACAAGCATCAAACTCATTTAGACTGAGGAATTTTGAACTTTAAAAATTTCAGTTCATCTTAATCTATGGCCAAATACACCATCAATTTCACTCAATTTATTCCTTACGTGCAGGGTTGGAGAAGTTTAATTTATTTCAAATATCTACTGGTGTCTATATATATTCTTGTAGGTTTTTTTGCTAGTTTGGTTTGGTTTCTGTGAATAGTATTTAATTAGATTCGCTGATTTTTTTTTTACCTTTGCCAGTTTATTTATTTATCCTCCACATAGATGCAGGATTTATGTGATTTCACGTTATTTAAATGGTAGCTACAAACCCAAGAATCCTTGTAGTTCAAAGCTAACTAAAGATTTCAGGCTTTTCCATCTTTCTAAAATTAAAAGACCTTGAAAGAGAAAAATTTTATATTCTAGCCAAGGATAAAAATTATGATAATTTTTTTATTCTTAGCAATATGCAATCTCTAACATTCAGAAAGGTTAGAAATCAAGGGTTTTGTAAAATTATCTTATTAACTTTAAAAAACAATTTTGCCAGAATATAGAAATATACAGACATGCTGTACAGAGTTGTGAATAGTTCCAGAAAACTGCGGCTCCTTGAAACTTCTGAACATATAGAGCGCAGGGATAGTGTAATCCCATATCTGTTGCACAAATTCAGGAATACTAGCCCTTCTTTCCTATTTCTTCAAACTCAAGAGAATTAATTTAGGACAAATAAATTAATGCACTGCTTTATGCTATACAACTTTTGTGGATAATATCATGGAAGAAAACCATTTTCTCACATATAATATTCCTTAGTGTTCTTTCTTTTGTTTATTCAGGAGACATCACTAATTTATGAAGTTTCAAGTAAAAGGATCAGTTCATATGTGCATATATAGAGCTTTATTAATTCTTAAATTATTATGAGTACTTAAAATACAGTCACACTGAAACTAAAAAGAATACAATTCATTCTTAATTAGATCAACTTGGATTATCTCCACTTAAAAAATTATTTCATTAAACCACTTTGAAAGTTTGGATGTTCTAGGCATTTTAACTCAGGTCTGCCTCAGTACTGCCTTTATATCTGAACATTAGATCTCTGCCTTAGGCCCCACACCTCAAGAAATGCATGCTTCCAAGTACCTTCCTCAAAATTTTCTAAGTCCCTCTCCTATGCCTGGCATGGTTTGGGGCCACCAGTGCCATCTAAGTGTAGTCCAGACTGAGCATAGACATAAATCCTAGCCCCTGATTTTTTACTTGGGACATTTTGCGACCCTCTATTCAGTACATAGACTCAACTGGATGCCCCGAGAAGCTCTAGGACTCACTCAACCTATGTGGTCTTTCTGGATATCATGGTTGAGCCTCAGACCTGTAAAGACAGCCTAGCAAAAAAATTGTTCCAGCTGTTTGGTAAGGTATTTATTCCATGGGATCTCATAGAATTGATCTACCATAATGGTGTGGGCACATTAATTTGGGTGATTCTCACTCACATTGGAGATAAGATGAGTTAAAGGCTCTGGGCTGCTGATGGACCATCATTGAGCCTTGGGCTCAAGTCACGCATGTGACATATGTGGACTCATTCATTAGCTCTCGCCCTTGTTCCAACCATAGTGTCACCTCTAGTCCAGTGGTGCCTGGAGGGTAGCAGATGACTTTTACCATACATCCGCTTTCTGCTAACACTCAAGGAGATCACGCTAGCCCTTTAGTAGCAGGCTTTGTGCCACATTTCAAGCACTGCCTTCTGCAAAAGCTTTAGAGACTCATGCACATAACATCAATCTTTCTTTGGTTCTTTCTTTTCCTGATAAATGTCATAGCTTATAAGCTCCTGGGTCAGTCTTAGACTATGCCAGACACACATGGATATTCCTTGAACTAATGGTACTACTCTTTCTCCCTCCCTCTTGCCTACCTAACCCACTGGATGCCATATGTGGAAGGCGGAGGTCCAGTCCACATTGAAAGATCACCTTCTAGAAATGTAGTGAACATAATGATTACAGCCAAAAGAATACATGTTTGAAGGTTGCATTGCTCTACAATTATACTAGAAAATTTTCAATAATAATTTAATGTGAAAATCAATTATTATTCAGATTTCCCTGCATACTCTGGGTAAGACTGGCAATTGTGGTCATTATGAATTGAACACAGCAACAGTCTTTGAGGGAATCATTGGAAGCCAGTGTCTATGGGCAGCACAATACATAATAGAGCATCATTATTACTGAGTAATCAGCCTTACATGAATAGAAATAACAAACTAACTACAGAAGCAAAAAAGGCCTATATTATTTCAATACAAGTACATTTCAAAGAGCCATAGCATTGTGAGATAGAAAAGCATTGTTAACTATCTTATCATGGGATAGTAACAGAAATTAAATTGGGCATGAATAGTACTTTTGAAAATAAAAACCAAAAAGGATTATTTCTGGACCTGAACAGGAAGAGATGGTGCCTGGACACTTCAAAAAAATTTCTTGTTCACTGATTGAACAATAAAGAAATATCTAAATATTTCTCCACCCATAATTATAAATTATCATCAGAAAATCACTATACCTCGCAAAAAGCCTGTGAATTATGCAACAGATTTTTACTCAAATTGCTTATATAAACTGGGGTCCATTACACTCTGGGAGATGGACCCTGGACTAGTCGTCTCTCTCATTGGCTATTGCTATGCATTTTAAAATACTTTATCAAGAGAAAAGGAAAAGTAAGGCCATAAGGCAGAGAATATGTAGTATAAAGAGATAAAGCGAAGTTAAATATATAAAAATGAAACCATTGTTAAAGAGAAAGTTCTCAAATTCAGAATCCATCTTTGATGTGGTTTATTAAGAAAATATTGAAATTTACTTAATCAACTCACTTTTAAAAAACTTTTTCTCTGTGTTTGTATTGTGTGTTTGAATGTTTGTGCATCTGTGTTCTTTTTTTACTAACAAGCAGAAGATCTTGAAAAGAACATTCTCTGGCCATGAAAGTGTAACTGGTGCCAGACTAGTCCTCTGGCCAAAAACAACTGTAAAACTATGAAATATATAAGGCAATTCTTTTCAGAGGACAGCATACAGGGAACAGGAGTACAGATAGGAAAATACGTAAGTAAGCCTAACAATCACTCTTCCTGGAAACACTTTCTAGACTGCAGTGCAGAGAGGTGAAACCCAAACAGAGCACAAGGATTCTGCTTAGCTGGGGAAACAAGGACTACAGTTCTGAGCCACTAAGTTGGCTAGAGTCTGCAGAATAGAAAAAAGGAGGTGCAGAAATTTTGCATAGGGTTCTCTCACTATTTAACTATATACTAAGTTGTGTATGCTCTGGGTGAAATTTCATGAGACCTAGCAACAGATATCTGTGACAAATTATGATCTGACATTCCAGCCCACACTTGGCCTCAAATAATATGTTAAATTTTTAACTGATTCTTACCACTTACCTGGTAGCCATTCTTTCTCCCACACTCAGCCACACATAAGCCACTCTGTATATGCCATTATCCCTGGAGGGGTCATTTCCACCTTTATTTCATGTTACTTGATTGTCCTGCTACTTCAGCTCTTTGATAGGCTCAAAAAGTTAAGATTTTTTGGTTTATTTAGCTACTTATAGTTGTTAGAATGGACAGGGCACTCTTTCCATTTTTCTACGTGCCAGGCAGAAGCAGAAATCTCATTCAATTGATTTTCAATAGAGGTCCCAAAGTAATTGAATTGGGAAAGTCTTTTCAGCAAACGGTTCTGAGATAATTGAATATTCATGTGGAAAAAAGGTGAGACTCAACCACTATTTTATATCACATATAAAAATTATCTTGAGATGGATCATAAACCTAAATTTTAAAGCTAAAGCCCTAAAGCTTCTTGAGGAAAACACAGAATACATTTATGGCTTACCATTAAATCTTGATTTCTTAGACTGGACACAGAAAGCAAAGGCATAAATTTTTTAAAATGCTAAATTGTACTTCATTAAAATTAAAAATGTATGTTCATCGAAAAAGACACAATGAAGACAATAGATAGGCAAACCACAGACTGGGAGAAATATGTGCAAAACATCTAACTGACAAACACATTCACTTTAGATAGATGATAGATAGATAGATCCTACCACTTGGCAATATAAAAGCAATCTACTCCATAAAAAATAGGAAAAAGGCTGGAACAGACACTTAAAGAGGAAATATGATTGCCAAAAAGCCATGAAAAGGTGCTCAATCAGTCTTTAGAGAAATACAAATTAAAACTACAATAAGATATTAATAAATAATGTCCAACAGCCCTAAAATTAAAATAACATAACAACAAAAATTGGAAAAGATACAGTCATTAGAACTCATAAATTCCTGGAAGGGGTGTAAACTACCTTGGGAAAGGACTGTCAATTTCTTACAAAGTTAAACGTTAGGTTTATACTATTACCCAGCACTCCCAGTCCTAGGTATTTCCTGAGAAAAATAAAAACTTCAACCTACTGAAAATCAACAGAATGTTCATAACAGCTTTTTCATAATTGCTAAATGAAGCAACTCAAATATTCACTACCATGAGTGCCTGCAAATGTCCTTTAATGCTAAAGAATTCTTTATTACACAATGGAATACCACTAGGCAAAGGTATCTCACCCTCAAATTTTGACTGAGATGTTTAGGTACCTCCTATTTTTTCTTAATAACTGGAACACTGGCTACCTTAGACACTCAGTGTAAAGCTATCTTCCATATAAGGTCGAGGAGACAGCATCACAGTAACATAAACCATCCTCCTAATGACTTCTGCTGAGCTATGTATGAAATTAGTGAGAGTAGAGAGTAAGCAAAGGCTAGATCACCAATGGCTTTGTGTCCTGTGCTAAGGTGTTTTGTTGTCATAACGGGGGCAACAGAGAGCCATTGAAGCGTTGTAAGCACATCATATCGGGTTCAGATTGACGTTTCACAAAATTACTTTGACAAACTGGAAGATTGCAAATTAATGGCAGGAAAAGAAAGTAGGGATATGTTGCTACAATCTTGGAGTAAGAAAAAAAATAGAGGCAGTATGGCTACTGACTGTATCTGAGAGATAATGAGGAGGCAGAATCAAAAAGGTTATTGTTTAATATGGTGGTGAGAAGGAGGAAAAAACAAAGTATATATTTTGTGAGATGGGAAATACACAAAACTGTAAGAGTAGATTCAAAATGATTAGCTCCATTATTAATTTACTGAGTTTTTGTTCTCCACCTAATGGCCAAGTGGAAGTGATCACTGAAAATCTGGGGCCTCAGGAGGAGATAGAAGCTGGAGACATTGCTTAGGACGCATGAGCACTTAAAGCTGTCTTTCTTTCGCTGTGAAATACTGAGCAAGTAACTGCCTAGAATGAAATATTTTGAACCCATAGGAAATTCATTATTAAACCTCAGGTATTTAAGTCTGTTATCCAAATTAATAGACTAAAAAAAGCATTAGTAGTAAATGATATAAAACATATGAACCACTAGAAACAGTAAACATCCATTCTAGTTTCTTTAAAATAAATATCTCTACATATTCTTTCATAATTTTCTTTTCTTAATTCAACTAAATGCTGTTTTCTAAATGTTAATAGTTTTGGTTTTTGCATGAGAAAAATGTCTGTAGGCCAATTTTCAAAGAGTTGATCCTCCAGTTCTCCAAGCTGTATCACTTTTTTTTTTTTTTGAGATGGAGTTTTGCTCTTATTGCCCAGGCTAGAGTACAGTGGCACAATCTCGGCTCACTGCAATCTCTGCCTTCCGGTTTCAAGCTATTTTCCTGCCTCAGCCTCCCAAGTTACTGAGATTACAGGTGCCCGCTACCACGCCTAGCTAATTTTTTTTTGTATTTTTAGTAGAGACGGGGTTTCACCATGTTGGTCTGGCTGGTCTCGAGCTGCTGACCTAGTGATCCACCCTCCTCAGCCTCCCAAAGTGCAGGGATTACATTTTTTTACACTCTGTTTTAACAGTATTGGACATATGTAGTTTTTTGCCAAATAGAAGATCTCTTCAAAAATCACCAGTAGGCCATGTCGACCTGTCTAAGAACGCAGAGGAAGGATAATGTAATCCTGACACATGAGATTCTTGGTGGTGTTTACTAGTTAAAATAGTACAGATCCCTAAAATATGAGTACCCCAAAAGTTCAGCAAAGACTTTCTGACAAAAACAGCAATAAAAGTTCAGATATAGGCCAGGGGTGGTGGTGCACGCCCATAATCTCAGCACTTTGGGAGGCCAAGACAGGTGGATTACCTGAGGTCAGGAGTTTGAGACCAGCCTGACCAGCATGGTGAAACCCCGTCTCTACCAAATACAACAAAATTAGCCAGGCATGGTGGCACATGCTTGTAATCCCAGCTACCTGGGAGGCTGATGCAGGAGAATTGCTTGAACTTGGGAGGCGGAGAGGTTGCAGTGAGTGGAGATTGCACCATTGCACTCCAGCCTGGGCAACAAGAGCAAAACTCTGTCTCAAAAAAAAAAAAAAAAAAAGTTAAGATATAAATTGAGAGAAAAAAACAATTCACTCACCCAGCCACTGAAGAATACCCTGGAAGAGTGTGTGTGTGTTTGTCTCTGTGTATGTGTGTGTGTTCACACACATGAACAACATTAGCAACTTGGAAGACTTGAAAAAAAATCAACCAACATTTCAGAATTGTTCTCAACCACTTACCAGGAGATCAAAGTAGAACCTTCTAAAGAAGTGGAATGTTCTTTTTTCTCTTGTATTGGACATATAGGCAAACCTTAAACCCATATTTTCTGGGCTTGGCTTCTGGTAAAAATAAATAAATAAATAAATACATAAATACGTAAATAAATAAATAATTTTTTGTTTTCTGAAACTTTGGCTTGTCATGACTCATCCCTTCTTTCCCTGTTCAGAAGTCACTTTTATACTATCTAAAATAATTATAACCATTCTGCCAACAGTAATCATGGAAATATAAACTTAATGTAGATAAAACTGTACTCTTTAAAAATATATTCTCTGACTTGTCACATTTTAAAAAATTACTTTTCATTTAGGAATTAAGACTATTGGTGCTGGAAAAAAATCATGACTGGTAGCAATCTGAATATATTGTAAATTTACTCAGAGTATACTGCAAAGATTTTTTTAAAATGATGTGCCCAACAGCAATAACTAAAAGGTTAGTTGAATTTCCTGGAGTAGAAGGGAATTCTGAACAAATCCTCCTACTCTAAAAAGATTGAATATTGTGGTCTTGGTGAATTATTTAAAGACAATAAAATGTACCTTCATTAAATTTACCTAAGCATTATCCAAGAAATCACTGTTCTAAGACGGGCAATCTGAAATTTCCTCATTGACATTTAAACAATGCCTTTCCACATAACTAGAGTTGAGAAAATAATAGATTACACCATATGTTCTTATCTGGTTCATGCCCCCAAAGGCCTAGAGCATGGGCATGGTTTTTATAAATCTAAACAAATTAAATAAATGTTTGCACTTGTAACTCTGTTACCTTTTAGCAAAAAAATAAATTAGTGCCAGGGGAGCCACAAAGTTAAGAGACTCTGTAAACAAAAGAACAGAAGGCTGTCTACATCCTCACACCAAATTAACAGAACACTAGACATGCTATTACAGATTATTGACAGGTTAGAAAAATAGACAGTTAAATTACTGCAGTTTATCTAGATAGACTGCATATAAAAACATTTCTAAATTTCATTTCTTATTTTAATCATTAATGGGTAATGGGAAAATATGACAAAAACTTCAAGTTTCTCAAAAAAATTGAATACATTTTGAACAGCAAGATTAAAGAATCTTGAATATTCTTCTCTAAACGTATTTCAGCTTCTGCTTATGATAAAGATCCAAATACACATGTTTCTTCTTCCTGTATCACCTCACTATACACCAGCATGTATGTCTGAACCTCAGTCTTGTATCCCACACTCCTGGAAATCACAATTACATTCCTCCCAAGGTCCATCACTTTTAAAAAAATTTTGGCTGGGTGTGGTGGCTCATGCCTGTAATCCCAGCACTTTGGGAGGCTGAGGTAGGCAGATCATGAGGTCAGGAGATCGAGACCATCCTGGCTAACACGGTGAAACCCTGTCTCTACTAAAAAAAAAAAATACAAAACATTAGCCTGGCGTGGTGGTGGGCGCCTGTAGTCCCAGCTACTTGGGAGGCTGAGGCAGGAGAATGGCGTGAACCTGGGAGGCAGAGCTGGCAGTGAGCCGAGATCGCGCCACTGCACTCTAGCCTGGGCGACAGAGCAAGACTCCATCTCAAAAAAAAAAAATTGCTACATATAAAATTAGTCAAGTTTCTAATTCACATACTATAAGAAATCAATACAAATTAATAGGCATATAAATTTTTCTTCCTATTTACTTGTTGAATTTGTTGTCTTTTATCTACAATCAAGATTTTTCTCTGATGAATCTATGTACTAAGTAGATTTAATTCTTAGGACAGTTATCATCTCCAAATTGGGACCAATATTGTAATGACTCAATTATTTTTCTTTCTTACTTGACTTTCACACGGTCATGTGATGTGATTTATTTTGGGCCACCCAGTGCAAGTTATTTAGGGAAGTCTCATTCCCCCAAAGCCCCCTTCTCTCTCTTACTGATCATGGACCTTGAAAGACGTTTATTTCCAGCACTGGCAGCAGCATGTGCACTTATCTCTCTTAATACTCACAATTTTTACCTGAATTACTTCATAGCCCAGAGAAACCATCTCAGGAAAGAAACTAAAATTTCCATTGTAAAGATAATTAATAAATTGGGGAGGTTTCAAATGCTGTATGAATTCATTTAAATCACCCCAAAATAAAAAGTCATACTCAACAAGAAGAGGCTCAAATCCATGTCAACAGAAGCAAATCAAAGATACAGGACATTCCCAATCAGGACTTTTTAAGTTACACTAGTCATTAAAGTTTCAGCCATTCAACTTATTCAGCAAATTTCTAAAGCTGATATTATGCCACACCTGAGGGCTAGTTGATTTCACACATTATCTACAGCTCTCATTTCTCTCCTTTCACTGGCAACGTATAGTACATATCGATGTTCTTCCTGAAAGGAAGGAAAGCCTCTTTTGTCTAATCCTGAAATAGAGGCAGCTGGAGAGGAGGAAGTAAGAACAAGAAACCATACTCTCTTATCTCTTCATAAGTTCATAAAGTGTTTTTTCTTTCTCTCTTTTTCTCTCTTCCCCCTTCCTGACCTCCCCCTCTTTTTTGTTTTTAAAGAATCACAATCTTCAGGCCAGAAGTTTATATGTAAGAATTAGAACTCAGTCTTTTCAGAACTCCCCAGTGGACTGGTACCAGTATCTGTGCCCTCCCCTTTCTTCTACCAGAACTTCCCTACAGTTGTACCACAGTGCACCTGTGCTGGAAATGGCTTACAGGTGTAATTAGATTTTTTAATTTTTAAAATTTTAAATTATTATAGATACATAATAGTTGTATGTATTTATGGGGTACACATAATATTTTGATATAAGCATACAATGTGCAAGTGTAATAAGGTTTTGATCCTCTCATTCTTTGGAGTGGCTGGCTATGGCCTGTTGTTGAATGCTCTTCGCCTGCTGCCTTTGCAAATATTTTAAATTTTTAGGAATGCCATGGCTTATAAAAAGTTTGGAACTACACATACCCAATTTTCTCCATCTTTCTGGGCCAGTAGAATCTTTATCTAGTATAGAGAGGAAAGGGGATTAAGAAACAAACTGACACTGACTGATCTCATGTTCTTCAAAATCACCTTTTAATGACATAAACTTCAGTCTGTGTCTTCCAGGACTTAATTCTAAAGATGGAAATAACTTTTTTTTCCTGCCTTTATGAGGTGATGATTTTCACTGACTGAGAGGGAAAGGCTTTGAAGACTTCAAAGGAACTGCCAGGAACCAAATACAATTTGATTAGTACATGATGATAATATCTTCTATCTTTATGCAGTGTCTTCATCAAGAATCAATAATGATTGCAAGCGATTTTCAAACCAGCTTCAGAAAAAAAATGCAGGGAGGGGAAATGGATTTATGCAACAGAGACATTGCCAATGGCAAATGGTATAATGAGCCTTTTGTGGGGCTAGAACCAAGGTTACCCTCTCTGTCTCTCTTGTAACACTTGATCTTCTTTCTAGATTTTAGGTTTCTTCTTCCTTCAGTCTTCTCTTGTGCACAAGATATTTTCCTAGTTAATTTGCTCTTACATACTTGGAGGAGACAATGTTATACCTCATCTATCTAGAAACCTCCAACACCTTCTCATACCTTACTGTCAACTGATAAACTTACCTCATCTTTCACTAAAAAATAAAAGCAATTAGAAAAGCATATGTTCCTCTACCATCATACTGACCAACTGTCCTCCAACTGTCCTGTGTCTGTCCGCATATATACTGACTCCATTCTTGTTAGTGTGGATAAATTGTTCCCTGTCTATAGTCAACCCCTTCATCTCAAGGATATCCTCTCAAGGATATCAGTCTAACAATTATCCCCTCTCTCGTGTCATCATTTTCCTATACTCTTCAAAATTATTCCCATAGTTGTACATATATTCAAGTTATAATGTTTTAAAATATTCCATCTTAAAAATTCTTTAGACCCACAATCCCCTTATGGCTTGTAACCTCTCTCCATCTCCTTTCAAAAAAACTCTTTGTACCAGTTGTCTATATACCCATTGTCTTTACTTCCTTTCTTCTTCTTCACTCTTGAACTCACCTCAAACATCCTTTTGTCTCTGCTAATCCAGTAAAACTGCCTTGATAAATCACTCTGCTGAACTCTAGACACATATCCTGGTATCTACTTAATATATTCATTTCCATGTCTAATAGGCATCCTAAATTTAGCACGCCCAAAACCAAACTCTTGATTCTGTTGCCCACTTCAACCTCCTACTAACTTGTTTTACCCCAAGTGTTCTCATTACCATAAATGACATCATATTCACTTAGCAGATTCACCCAGTAAATCTCTTTAGCTAACACTTCACATCTAAACTATCAGTAAATCCTCTCAGCTCTACTTTCACATATATCTCGAATCTAGGCATTAGCACATCCACCACTGTATTATTCCATACTCATACTGCTATAAAGACATACCTGGAACTGGGTAATTTATGAAGTAAAGAGGTTTAATTGTCTCACAATTCTGTGGACTGTACAGACTTCTGCATCTAGGCAGCCTCAGGAAACTTACAATCATGGCAGAAGGCAAAAGAAAAGCAGGGACCGTCTTCACATGTCAGAAAAGGACAGAGAGAGTGAGAGCAAAGAGGGAGGTGCTACACAGTTTTAAACAACCAGATCTAGTGATAATTCACTCAATATAACAATGAAAGCAAAAGGGAGGTCCACCCCATGATCTAATCTCCTACCACCAGGCCCCCCTTCAACAATGAGGATTACAATTTGACATGAGATTTGTGTGGGGGCACAGAGCCAAAACCATATTAATCTGTGCCTGGCCCTTCTCAGATCTCATGTCCTTTTCACGCTTCAAAACACAATCACGGCTTCCCAACAATCCCCCAAAGTCTTTACTTATTCCAATATTAACTCAACAGTCCAAGTCCAAAGTCTCATCTAAGACAAGGCAAGTCCCTTCTGCCTATGAATCTGTAAAATTAAAAAAAAGTTAATTAATTCTAAGATACAATTAAGGGTACAGTCACTGAGTAAATGCCCCCATTACAAAAAAGAAAAATTGGCCAAAACCAAGGGGCCACAGACTCCATGCAAGACTGAAACCCAGCAGGGCAGTCATTAAGTCTTAAGGCTCTGAAATAATCTCCTTTGACTCCATGCCTCACATCCAGGCCACACTGATGCAAAGGGGTGGGCTCCAAAGGACTTGGGCAACTCCACCCCTGTGGCTTATAAATGGAAACAGAAACAAATTAAGGTGCTAACGATGGTGAAGAATAAGATAATGGCTTAGATTTAGACGATAGTGGTTGATATGGTTTGGCTCTGTGTCCCCACCCAAATCTCTTGTCAAATTATAATCTCCAGTGTTGAAAAAAGGGCCTGGTGGGAGGAAATTGGATCATGGGGCAGACTTCCCCCATGTTCTACAAGCTGTACAGGCTTCTGCTTCTGGGAAGGCCCCAGGAAACTTAAACTCTTGGCAGAAGGAGAAGCTGAAGCAGGCACCATCTTCATATGGTAGAACACAAGAGAGAGAGAGCAAAGGGGGAGGTGCCACACACTTTTAAACAACTTGATCTCACGAGAACTCACTCACTATCATGAAACAGCAAGGGGGACGTCTGCCCCATGATCCAATTTCCTCCCACCAGGCCCCCTTTTCAACACTGGAGATTATAATTTGACATGAGATTTGGGTGGGGACACAGAGCCAAACCATATCAACCACTACCATCTAAATCTAAGCGATTATCTTATTCTTCACCAGCATTAGCACCTTAATTTGTTTCTGTTTCCATTTATTTAACAACCAGAACCACCTTTTCACAACATAAGTCACACCTCTTTTTAAAACCTTCAAATATTTAATCATGCTCTTAGAATAATTTCTGAAGTCCTTATTTTGGTACTCCAATCCCACTCCTAAATATGCCTCTAGTCTCATCTCCTATTATAGTCTGTCTCACTCACTTCACTCCACCAAGTCTTTGTGCTTTCAAGTGTTTGTGCTTGATGTTTTTCTGCCTAGATCATTATCCTTCCAACTCTCCATATGATTTGCTCCTCATTTCATTCAAGTCTCTGATCAAATGTTACCAGCTCAAGAGTCAGTCCCCAACTGCCCTACTGAAATATCTATCATTTTACCCTGCTTTATTTTTCTTCATAACACTAATTTCTTCTTAACATGATTTATGAAATTATTTTTTATAATCTATACATTCTTATAAATACAAGCATAAAGGCACGTTTTATTGACTGCAGTATTCTTATCACCTGAGAGATTATAAGTGATTAATCGTCACTTGACCATAAAAAATTCACAGAAAACAGCCAGTCTAATAGTCACCCAGTTCAAGTGCTGAACACAGCCTCATGAAGCCTCCATGTCCCAATTGCATATTTTCCAGACAGGGAAGTAATTGGCCATATTTATCCCTGGCTCTCTCAGGTATGCATTCCATCAGTCATCGTGGAAAGGGTTGAAATACAGGTTCTGCCATATACTCACTCAGCTAAGGCTAAACGAGCATAATTTCAGAAAAAGGGATGTGAGTAGGCAAGAAAAATAAATAGCTTGTCTTTGCTTTCATTTGTTCAACAACTGTTTATTGAAAACTGACAGTGTGCCAAGAACTCTGAAAAGTGGGATACTACAGGAACCTGGCAAACAAGAACCCTTCTCTTATAAATCTGTCATTTAGTGAAAGGAGCTTCAAATATATATGGCATTCTAACCTATGATCCATGGATAAAAGAATCAAGGCAGAGAAAATAAAACTGAGTTATTTTGTCATGCTGTATGCTGCACATATTCAAATGTATTAATTATAATAGGAATACTTAAAGAATTCCTCATACATACCACTTTTTCATAAGGTAAAGATTGAATAATTTTCACCCTGGCCTTGATTATAATTTCACATATGCATTTATATTGAGAATTTTTGTTTCATATATGCTATATACTCATAATTTATAAATTTGAATATTAATTTCAAAGAGAATACAGCTCTTCCAATGTGTAGTATATATGCATTTGATTTCTTCTGATAACCACTACATTAACTCCTTTATATCAATTCACCGTTTGATCTTCAGCATGTTGCCCAGCCTCTCCCAACCTCATTTTCTTTATCTATAAAGCAAACATGTTGGACTACATGTTCAGCAAGACTTTTTATGAGTTTTATAGATTTTCAATTCAATAAGAAAATTGATTGAGACAGGTCATTCTATTCCATGGAATGTGCAAATATGGTCTACTATTCTTATTTTATGAGAATGTCCCATTGACTCCAAATGATCTGAATGGTTAAGACTGTGCTATTTAGAGAGCAATAATTGAACACAGCAAGATGGATAACCACAGGGAAGGTGTTTTCTAGACAGTTCAAACTTAACCAACTAAAATCTGAGGCATTCTAGAAATTAAAGGTATCAAATCCTGTTAATCTGCATGCATAAACTCATGTTCCATGGGATAAATTCTCCTCTCAGATGTGGTGTTTTTATTTTGTTTGGGGCAACTCAGTTTGTTGACCTTAGATTCTAATGCATTAGCACTTTCTAGTTTACTGTCACCCACTACTCCCCATTATTTGATACCAGGGGTTCTCAAACTTAAGCATGAGTCAGAATCACCAGTGGGGATTGTTAAAACATATTACTGGGCCCCTCCCCAAGTGTTTGATCTGCTGGGTATTCAGTGGGGCCTGAGAATGTGCATTTTTATAAGTTCCCAGGTGATTGATGTTGATGCTGCTGGTCCCAGGACTACATTTTGAGAACCATTGTCCTACACAACTTCTGCATTTACATTATTTGTCAAACCCCTAAACATATCTAAATTTATGACCCATTGTGGGGTGTATGCCAAAATAATTTGCTATAATCCTAAAACATGGTTAACCTTTAATGAGAAGACAATGAAAATGAACTGAACTGAGCTTGGCAATCCATACCTGGCCTGGTTATGATTAATACACATGGTGTTTTTAAGACTGGCTGACCAGATTTTATGTGACTGTCATGTTAGAACCACATGACCAGACCATATACCCAGAGTCCAGTATGAGGTTTCCCCTGAAGGGAATAGATATTCCCAGAGTCAAATACCTTGGAAAAAATCAGATTGATGTACTCGAGAAGCATGCTTTAGGCAGGACTAAGTAGAAAGTCTTTTTCTATTCAGGAGCAGGAGTTTGATTTGGCCAGGATTCTTGGGCAAGGAGGTAACCAACATTTTCTATGTGATAAAGAGAAAACCTCCTAACCCTAGCTAGAAGAGGGAGCAGAACTTACAAGGGAATCTGAGGAAAACATTCTATACATTGTTCTTCCTTTCAATTACATCCCAACCTTTATCACTGATTCCTTAGGAATGACTGCCTGGTTTCAGTTAAAATCCAGGGAAGAATGGTAGAGTTTGGATCCAATATTGGGATACAAGCTTGTGGGAGTCCCTGTGAAAGACTGCTAGGTTCAGGGAGACAGCCATCTATTAGGAAATAAATAGCAGGGCCAAGAAAGCATGAACACATGAGCAGCCCAGAGAGGAAGGCTATGAGGGACCTGTTTCCAAGCCAAAAACAGTAATGGTACAAGAAATAGTGAGGAATCTTTTTGGTGTAGTAGATGATAATTTGTGTCACCATGTTTTAGGTTACGTAAGGCTTATGTTATGGGAAATCAAAAATATTCTTATCATTAATCTGATTATGATGTCAGATTTTGTCTTTTTTCTATGCATCATTATATTGCACTTGATAAGTACAGAAACATAAATTTGTGTATACATACCTGTATATATTTTATAAAGTATTTATACTATATATGATAATATAATACTTCATATATGTAAAAATATATTTATGTATATGTATGTATATGTAGCCTATATCATTTTATTCTTTCAACTCCCCTAAGAGGTAATACCTCCATTTTATAGATAAAGATTTAAAATATTTAAAATAATTACATAATTTTATCAATGTCCTAGGATTAGAACTGAGGCAGCCTTGAACTTCATGCTATTATCTATAAAGTGATTTTACCTTTTGGTAAGACATAAAACATTAATTAGGGTAAAAATAATTATGGTTATCACTTTTATCTTCAGACCCAGAAGATAAAAGTTATGTTGTATGTAGTATATAGTATCTGGTAGTGATGTTGTATGTAGTATCAATAACCTGCCATGTTATTTCCTGGGGAGAAGGAATATATATAATTATAGTGAGAAATAACATGGCAGGTTATTGATACTACATATAGTATCACTACCAGAAAATATAGTGATAGATAGATAGATAGATACACACACACACACACACACACACACACACACACACACACATCCCAGATGGAAACATCTGCCTGTCCACTAGAGTATTTCCACAGTGGAAAAGCATTTGCGTTTTTTTTTTCTTTCTTTTCCTTATCTTTCTTATCTTGCCTAAAGAATTACTACTGATTATCTTTTTCCAGAAACTACCTGCTTTTCAAGATTAAAATGCATTGCTTTCTGACTTGGACTCTGGACTGTCTCACCTGTAACTGTGATAGAGAGCATTCCAGGTCTGGCATGAGGAAATAATCACTATCAAGTTCTACCATTTATTTGGAGCATAATACTCCAAAAAAGAAAAAAAGCATTTGACAGATAAAGAAAACTAGTTTGTCAGAAAATTAACTACTGTGGCCATAAGACTTTTCTAGCCTTTTTTCTTTATTTTTTATGTTATCTATATAAAAACTTGTTTATGCAGAGAAATTGATGTGTGAAAATGTCAAAGCAATATTAAGTATCCAAAAATATTTATGCTAATCATCATATTATCAATAATATCTAAATTCCATATAGGTTAAATAGATCTTTGCTTCAGAAATTTAAAAATCTTTTAGAGTACACCATCTAATTGATTTATTGCCAAATCATTAGAAATAATCAGCATCACATTATAAGTGCTTAAATTGTTAAAGATCTTTACCTAAAGAAGCGACGAAATTGCACATTTTATTTATCATAGTTACTTCTCGAATAACTTGGCTTATTCTGTTTGTTGTTTGTTTTGTTTTGCATTGCTTTTTTCATCTTGCCCCTCAGTCTTATGGCATAGATTCATTGACCAAGCTGGTGAGTTGGTGCCATGTGTGGGAAAATGGTGGGATGTAAAGGGAAAGAATGCCACCATAACCTCTGGCTCCAGCTCTCAGAGAGCTTGAAGCAGAAGTGATTTGTACACATGCACTCCTCAAAGGGATTTTGCCCTTTCTGATGCCTCTACCTAGAGTATTTTCATTCCCCCATCCCCCTCCTTTGCCTAGTGAACATCTACATATTCTTCTCTTAGTTCAGTCATCATGCCCCTAATTAGGTCAAATTTCCAATTATATCCTGTCATAGCACAACTAAGTTCTTTGTTATTGCACTTAACCCAGTTATAAATTACATGTTTATTCTTATATTATTTGATTAATGCCTCCATCACTCCAGAAAGTGAGCTACCAAAGGGCAGGAATAGTGTGGCTTTGTTCCTCGATGCATTCTCAATAGTAGCACTAGGCCCGATATACAAGAGGTGCTTAATTCCTAAATTCATGTGTGTGTGTGTATCTATTAAATGAATGAATATATGAAAAGATCTTTCCTCTTGGTCTGACACTATTTGGACTTTGAAAAATAGAATCATTAATGATTATATAAATGGTATAATAATTGTCCATTTATTCCCTGTAAAAATGTGAAATATAATCTACAATAGGCAACTGAGTCTTATAGATAAAGAGTCTTATAGATAAAGGTAGCTCATTAGATTACATTTTAATTGAACGATGGGTGATAGAATGTGTCGGTGCCCATGGGAGGATATTAAAAAGTGGCATGAGCTAGCTGAGAGCTCAAGGAGGGCAGCAGGGACAGTGGAGGGCAAAGCTGCCCATCTGGTTGTGGTAGAGAAAATGCTGAAATAACGGAGAGTGTTGCTTGCCATAGAAACTTGTTTAAGCCCAAGTATACTAGATGCATACTAGTCTCATGAATTTTTTCTTCTTGTTAGCAGGATATTGAATATGAAAGACTAATATTATAGCTTTAAAAGGAAAATGAGTGTAATGGGACTTCTGACCTTCATTATATAATTTTTAGCAATTTATATCATTTGATTACAGTTTGATGAAAGTTTTAATTCCATTTAATAGCCTCTATTCACCCATATGGAGTCCAAACTGGAAGTTCACAATTTTCCTCTTCAATGAATAATGGAATAGTTTGGTCTTAAGAAGTTTTGGAAGGGTTGCTGGATCTTACCTTGTGCCTGCGTAAGAATAAACATTGTATTATTTTGATTAGTTTTCTAATACTGTACACATAAACACTTACTTGAATACTTGAATATCATGGTACAATACCATTAATGGGTCATATATCTAGAGAACTACGGTCATTTATAGTACAGTATAAAGACATTTGTATTTTAAACTTTTTACTGTGAAAATTTATTTAAATGCCCGTGGTTATTTCCCTATTTAATATGAGTTTCAATTATAAGTGTTCAAAAATGTTACAAAAACATTAGACTATATGCTTTGAGATAATAAAATTTAAAATATTTTATTTTCTTTTGCATTTTAATAGCTGAGAATAATAAAAACAAGAAAACTTACCCAGAATTTTATGTGTTTAGCATAATTGTATGTCTGATCACTTTAATATGGTAAGTTAATCATGGATGGTGAGATGTTACCAGAATTAATAAAGCTTCCTTATGTAACAAATTAGGATTTTTACTTACGTGTTGATAGTAATGTACAATTACACCTTGGTTTAACCTAGTTAAGAATTCAGTTATGTTAATTTGACTCTCCTATTTCTAAAAAATAATTGTTCGAATGAGTAATTTAAACCAAATTTCTAAAGAAATATAGACTTGCCTCTCAAATCTATTCAAAAATACTTTAATATCAAGGATTTATCAGAAGTTGTGGCTTCAGTGGCTTTGCATATCTAATAGTTATCTTGCTATTTTCTTAACTGTCTCCTGAAAAGTTAGTAAAGCTGAACAGCATCCTTGGCAGCCATGCTTTTTCTTGCTGCCTGCAATTCTCACAATCTTAGTTCCAGATTCCTCTTATAAGCCACTAACCTTGTTTCAAGCTTAATACATCTTTAGATGTAACTACAATTGATACAGAAAGGAGGCAGGGAAATACTAGGCTGAACAGGGTGGGGTCCCTGGCAAGGGCTCCACTGTCAAGCCTGGACCCGTGGCCATAAATGAGAACATGCACTCCTGTTTTCCTGCCTAAATGTTGCCTTTTCCAAAACCATCCTGGTTCACAACACCCCTCAACGTGTACTCATAAACACCCCAAACTCCACTGGCAGAGGAACAGAGCAGCACAGCAGAGAAGAAGAGAAGAGAAGGGAAGTGTCTGAATGGCAAGAGGAGAAGAGACAGCTGGACATTGGAGACTAGGGATGGCCAAACTCCAGGGGCAGGTTATCTTCCCTCTCCATCCCCTTTCCAGCTCCCCACCCCACTAAGAACCATTTCCATCACTCAATACAATCCTACACTTATGCCACCCTTCAATGCATTCGTGTGACCTGATTCTTCCTAGATGCTGGACAAGAATTTGGGATGCACTGGGTGCAAGAACCCAAAAAGGCTATCACATTGACTAGTCACTGAGCAGTTTAAACTTAAGCAATCAGCAGACAGCAAAGCTAAAACAGCATTGTTTGTAACACACACCCTCTGGGACTCCAGAGGTCATGGACTACCCCAATACACTGCCACGGGTTGCTACAGGGTTTTTTCCTGCCAGCACCCAAAGGCACTTGTCCCAGCTCCTGCACCCACTCACTTGTGTGCTCCCCCTCCTGCAAGGGGTTTGAGTGAGGCTGCCAAGTAAGCAAGCCACCCCAGTCACAAGTCCCGTGAGGGGGTCAAGGGAATTTTCCTGTCTCACAATCATAACCTGATAAAATTACCTTGCTGTTGTTCCTTTGTTTGGAGTGGCACTGAGAACGACTAGAATTATCCTGGAAACTTTCCCCATGTGAATATTCTAACTGAATAAACAGAGTTAATTAATAACTTGTCTATAAATTCATAAATATCAAACTTTTCTGTTCAGTTTTATGATTTTAAGTTTATGAATACACTTTTGTAAACATTCACATATTACCAACTGGATAAACTTACTCTGATAAGGTAATCCTCCAAAACCTCTGAACTCATCCAGTTTCAAGCCAGTCTTAGTGTTAAGACTGAGAAGAAATCTGAGAGTAAGAAAATTGATTTTTCAGATATTGATGGGAGACTTGGGAGGCTAGCTAAGAAGCCCTCTGCAGCATTATTATGACTTCTGCAGCTATTCTCTATCCCTGACATCTTTGTGTTTTCTGGGAATAATTTCCATCTTAATGATATTACTTAAATGCCATATGCTAATATTACTACTTAAATGTATTGTGTTAATAATTAAATGGTAGTACTGTCATTCAAATAATTAGTAGCAACACATAGGTACGTTTTAAAAGAAAACAATTCTTCATCAAAATCAATAGATAAGCACAAGCAAAGAAAAAAATGGTATTCATTAGGAAGACAACATAAAACAATCAATAATTTAAAACACAAAACATATAGGTTTTCTTTTGGTTGCAAATGTAAACCTTGAAGAATATTTTCAAATATAGAAAAACACCAAGAAGAAAATTAATATTTTGGATAATCTCGCTCACAATGATAATCACTAAGAACATTTTTGTATATAGACTTTCAGGATTCTTCATGTATATACATATATATTTAAATTCTCACAAAAATACAGTTGTTTAATCTGCTCTTTTATGTTCATAACAAAGCTTTATGATTATTTCCCCCTCTAAAGTTAAATATCCTATAATATAAATTTTAATGCTTGTCCACTGCATTAGGTGTACCAACATTCACTTAACCAATTCCATACTGTTGTATATTTAAGCTATTTCCCAAAATCTTAATTAAATTAAATTTCTCAAAAATTTATTTAGTTCATAATTCTGTGATAAATGTCTTATTTGTACATATTTGTAAACATCTTCAATTATTTTCATAGGATAAATCATTAGAAGTAGAGTTTGGGGTCAAAGTTCATGGATATTTTTAAGCTTTAAATATATACCACCTTGCCAGGCACGGTGGCTGACTCCTGTAATCCCAGCATTTTGGGAGGCCGAGGCAGGCAGATCATGAGGTCAGGAGTTCGAGACCAGTCTGGCCAGCATGGTGAAACCCTGTCTCCACTAAAAATATAAAAATTAGCCGGGCATGGTGGTGGGCACCTGTAGTCCCAGCAACTCAGGATGCTGAGGCAGGAGAATTGCTTGAACCCGGGAGGCGGAGGTTGCAGTGAGCCAAGATCACGCCACTGCACTCCAGTCTGGGTGACAGAGCAAGACTCTGTCTCAAAAAAATAAAAATAAATAAATAAATGAATGAATAAGTAAATAAATAAATAAATATCACCAAACCAAATTTTGACATTTTGTACTAAAATCACCAACAGTATAAAAGACAGTACTAAAGTTGAGCTTCACAAAACCTCAAATGGATAATCAAGAATTCTCTTTGAAAATTACAGATAATACACACATCCATCTGTTCTTAACATTGACTACTTATATTTGCCTGTTCCCTCCATTATGGTATGGCAAGTGACAATCATTACCTTGTATACCTAATTAGAATTATATGTCAAGTCATTCTTTCCTTTCCTAGCTCTACTTCCCTCGTCCTGTCCTATTGTCACCGAAAGTTGATTGTACTGGAAAAGGGATTTTTCCATCAGACATACCTCTACAAGATACCTAATAATCTGAGGGACAATTCTAGAAAAATGAGGGTAACCAGTAATAAGAGTACTTAAAGCCATGTTAAAATAGGAAAATTGGGGATATTTTTCTTGACATTTTAATTAGTGTCACCGTTGGTGAGGCAGTAAAGACAAGAAAAGACAAGAGCCACTAAAGACAAGAAAATCTTATAGAACATTATTGCATCACCATAAAGGAAAGATCATGAAAATCAGAACCAAGACAGGGGCAGGGACAATGGGAAAAAAAAAAAGAGGAAAAATTAAAGAGAATGTATGTATACATTTACAACCAAATACTAAGAAAATGGCACCAGGAGGGGGAGAGGCAATGGAAATCAAACAAAAAGAGAAACCAAGGATGATTTGAAGGGTATTTAGATTAACAGTTACCCTGTCCATTTATATATTGTGCATACGCATCCAAGCCAATTATATTTATTCTGTGTGAAGGTGATTTCATGTGCTCAGAAACTCTCCAAAAATGCCTCCATGACTCAGGTGATATTACACATCACAACATTAAATAAAATGAGGAAAATACTGAGAACCTGTTAAAATTTCAAGGATAATAATCATTTCAGTCTTCTAAATTAAAATATAGGCTATGGTGCCTTATTTTAAATAGACAACATTTATTATTGTGTGCCTTTAAATGAATCCTGTTTTACTTCTGACATTTTAGCAAGAAGCTGGATGGAAATTTAGCTAATTGGTTCATTCTGTCATGGGAGCAGGGCTACCAATTAGAATACAGGCACTGAAGGCAGAAGGTAGGAAAGAGCCCTCCAAGGTATTTTCCAGCTTACCTTGTGTGGTAATTAGACATAAAATAATTATGTCTCAAAATTATTGCTTCTGACATGAACTAATTTATTTGTATTTAATACAAAGTAAAAATTACCTAACTAGGCAGTGTTTGCTTCTTTCTTTCTTTCGGCTGACAGATGCAAGAGCCAATAAATAAAATTAATAAAGAAGGGTATTTGCAGAGCAATTTCTTTTTCTTTTCTTTTTTTTTTCTTTCTTTTTTTTTTTGAGATGGAGTCTCGCTCTGTTGCCCAGGCTGGAGGGCAGTGGGGCGATCTCGGCTCACCGCAAGCTCCTTTGCAGAGCGATTTCTATAGTCTAACTATCGTGGCTTCAAATCTTGATTCTGCTGCTTATTAGCCATCTGACCATGAATACACAATTTATTTCTCTAAGACTCACTATCCTCTAAAATAGAGGCAATAACAATATCTACTCTGAAAAGCCACTGTGAAATTTAAATAAGAAAAGGCATGTGAAACACCAACATATCTAACACACATTATATAGTCAATAATGATTAGCCATTATTATTATTATTTATATAAAAAGCAATTCCCTCTAATAATTCTGGAGCTAAAAGTCTTGAGAACTCTAAAGTAACAGATGTAAAAAATTTCAAAAAACTGATTTGCATCTTTAATGGTTAATTTCAGGTGTCAGATTGACTAGATAAAGACATACTGAGATAGCTGTAAAATCATTATTTCTCGGAATGTCTCTGAAGATGTTTCCGGAAGAGATTCATTTTTAAATCAGTGGACTGAGTAAGGAAGATCCACCCTCACCCAACATGAGCAAGCACCATCCATTCCACTTGGCTGAGGGCTGGAATAGAACAAAAAGGGCAAAGAAAAAGCAAATTCTCTCTCTTCTCTCTGTCTCCTCTCTCTCTGTCTCTTCTCTCTCTCTCTTCTCTCTCTCTCTCTCTCCTCTCTCTCTCTCTCTCTCTCCTCTCTCTCTCTCTCTCTCTCTCTCTCTCTCTCTCTCGTTCTCTCTCCTGGAGCTGGGACACTCTTTTTTTCCTGCCTTTGGACCTCAGAACTCCAGGTTCTCCATCCGTTGAACTCTGGAACTGGCACCAATGGTCTCCCAGGTTCTCAGGCCTTCAGCTTCAGCCTGAGAGCTACACCTTTTGCTTTCCTGATTTTGAGGCTTCTGAACTTGGACTTGCCCAAGCCACCATCTTCCCTAGATCTCCAGTTTATTTATTATGGGACTTCTCAGCCTCCATAATCACCTAAGTAAATTCCCCTAATAAATCCCCTCTCCTACATCTCTATCTCTACCTGTCTATCTGTAAAATGAGGTGGCTAAGAAAAAGGGACTTCTTCAAAGAAATGTTCTATTAAACAGGGTTCTCCAGAGAGACAGAACCAATAATATATAAGATATAAACAATATATAAGGTCACAATATATATTATTAGTTCTGTCTCTCTGAAGAACCCTAATAAAACATCTTCTTCAAGAAGTCCCACCTCATCTTCTTATATTTATGGAAGTTTAATTGTAAAAATAGCCCCAATTCTCTACCTTTTTCTCTGTCCACATCTTTCGTCCTGTGACTTTTCAGCTTCTTCCTTCATGAGGTAGAGAATTTGGCCATCCAAACCTCAGCCTCAATAACCTTGCCCACTTCCTCATACTCTTTCTTGGAAGAGAACCAGTCCAGGATGGATTAGCTGAAGGTTGAGAGAACATGCGAATCAGAGACAAGATGACCCAAATGAAATAGTCCTAAAGAATCCTGTTCCCAGCAATAGAAATGCGTTCTGCCAAGACTAGGTCACCAAATCAAGGACTGGTAAGCAAAAACATCTATTGCTGTATGTCACTGAATGTTTTAGTTGTTTGTTAGACAGCATTATCCTGACAATAGATAATTGGCCATTCTCTACGTAATATAAGAAACTGAGCACATCTTTAATGAAAGGACTGAGGATGAAGACTTGAAAAACATCAAAAGAAAAAAAAATAAAACAACAAGTTACCATTTGAGCACTTACTAAGTACCAAATAGTAAGCTAAATAATGTAGATACAATACCCCCCCACACACATATGTAATCCCATTTAATTTTTTAAAAAAATCTTTAGAGAAACTGATCAGAAGAAAACAAAGCTGAGGGAATTTAAGTAACATCTAACTTATCACTGTGATTTGTGCTCAGTTTTATCTGACTCCAAAGTTTTGTTTCAACTCCTCAGAGTTACTGTCTTTCAATACAGATTTATTCATAACTTGAAAAGCCTCTGCATTTCTTAACTATAACTTGATTAACAGATAGTTTGGTCAATGACTTAGATATAGTTTCTAGAGTAATCATGAATTATTACCCCAAACTGGTTTTGGCTTCATCTGTTAGAAACTAGGAATCAAAACTAGTCTAGATAAAATAAATAAGACACTTTCTAATAATAATATATCCATTTAGAAATAATTAACAAACTAGTAAATTCTAAAGAAATTTCAAATCACATATACAATCTGAGGACAATTGAGAACTAACTTATTTAATTAGTAATACTAGAAGGAATGGGTCGAATTAAGGGAAGGGATATTTCATTGTTCTGTTTTCAGAGTCTTTAGAGAGCAAATTCTCTTTTCTAAAAGCCTAGTGTAATATAATTTTGTAGAAATTATTCGATGAGATAAAAAATAATGTAAACAGTTGTCAAAAAAACGAATGTACTTCTTTTTCGAAAAGATTATCTTGAAATTTTATGGGCATAGGAATATTACTATGCAGTGTTCCTAGGAGAATTCGTGTCCAATTTAAAGGAAAATTGTCATCAGCTTTACTGAATAAAATTTCCCCGTGCTGCTTACTCCCCAAAGAAAAGGAGAAGTCTGTTTTTCTGTTCTAGAAGCTGCCAGTCATGCTGCAGTGAACATGAGCCATCATATGAGTCACTTTCTTTCAGCCCTAATCTCTTTTCACAGTGACAAATGAATCACAGAAATCAATCTCAACTCTGACTCTAAAAAATTTTCTGAGGGATTTTTATCTGAAGAGAGTCAAGACAGGCAACCTAAAATTTCACTTTAGGAGACAAACAAAATGAGTGTGAGCTCAAGCTTGGAGCCAGGTGTGTCTTGAAAGGGTTTTGGAGTTCTGTTTGGCATAGTGGAGAGTGCTCAGGCTCTGGAGACAGAATGGATCTAAATCCAAATCCTGTCCCATGGCCTATTAGCTGTGTGAGTGGGTAGATTAGTCAACCTCTGCAGGATTTAGTTTCTTCATTTATCAAAAAGTAAGGATAATAGTATCTACATGGTAAGATTTTTATCAGTCTTAAACAGCATATTTAGGCTTTTCTTAAAAAAACATTCTAACAAAAGCATTGATCAGAAATCAAACAGGCACTAATCCATCCCACAATTATTTTACATTATATTACTTAGTTCTATAAAATGTGGGGTTTTTTTTTTTTTGCTACTGCTTGCCTGAATATGTTGATTCAATCTCACTAATTAAGTGGCTATTTCTCAAAAGCATTGCTTTCTATTTACTTTTAAAAGCCTCCTTTAGTTCTGAATACTTTACAGATATTCTGCCCATAGAAGGAACTCAATAAACATAATGAGTAACGATCCAGCTATGTACTATAAAGAAAAGACTGTGCAGCCATAAAAAAGTATGAGTTCGTGTCCTTTGCAGGGACATGGATGAAGCTGGAAACCATCGTTATCAGCAAACTAACACAGGAACAGAAAACCAAACACCACATGTTCTCACTCATAAGTGGGAGCTGCACAATGAGAACATATGGACAAAAGGAGGGGAACATCACACACCAGGGCCTGCCAGGGAGGTGGAGGGCAAGGGGAGGGAGAGCATTAGGACAAATACCTAATGTATGCGGGGCTTAAAACCTAGATGACGGGTTGACGGGTGCAGCAAACCACTGTGGCACATGTATACCTATGTAACAAACCTGCACATTCTGCACATGTATCTCAGAACTTAAAGTAAAAGAAAAAAAAAGAGTGAACTGTTGCTCAACTATGTATTTGTATAGATTTGGAAGGCACTGAAAGGATCACATCAAAAATAAAACAAAGTAACATATGTACCAATGCTATTTCTGCTCATTAGTAAAGTTTTATACTATGTCCATGGTTCTTTCTTCCCCACAGAATCTAAACCATTGCTTCATGAACAAGTTCAAAACACATAATTTGTTTCCCAGTCATTAGTAAGAATTGGTAAGGTAATACTGAATACCTCAATTGAACTTTTGATGAATATTCTGGTCTGTCTACTTATTAGACACAATTACAGTCAGGTTAACAGGCCTTAGTGGTTGCTGAGCTCCTGTTGCTACTCATTAGAAAATTCTGGAGCCAGGGCAATGTAGAAGGAAAGGTGTTTATTAAGTTTCATTTTTTATGCTGAACAAAGTCCCATTATTAGCATGCATTGAGGCATTTCCCCTTATACTAAATTAACTGCCTTTTAAAAGACATCTATATTTAATGACATTAAATCAGTGGTTGAAGGGATGCTTGCAG
The DNA here is from genome assembly GCF_000001405.40 of Homo sapiens. Taxonomy (NCBI): domain Eukaryota; kingdom Metazoa; phylum Chordata; class Mammalia; order Primates; family Hominidae; genus Homo; species Homo sapiens. The sequence continues at coordinate 125,060,616 of NC_000007.14, read as the reverse complement.
GACTTCTGATGAAAGACTGTGTCTTGCTGTAAATAAAATGCAATGTAAACATGCCTCTGGGATGAATGTTAACTGACTATTTTTAAATATTAAAAAAAATAAATATACAAGCTATTTTGTGGCTAGTTACATGGAATCATCACAATTTTAAGTTTTGGTTTTGTTTTCTTTTGTTCCATTTTTTTCAGACCCAGCACAGAAGTTATTGGTGTGTATGTGTATGTTTTGTGTGAGCATATGACTTTAAAATTATTTCAAATTTGTTAGGTAGCTCTAGTTTTAAAAACCACTAATGAGCAGCTTTTTTTATACCCAAATTGTCTTATGACTTGAAAAGAAAAAAACAATAAAAATATGAGCAAAAAATGATACTTTTTATTCCTTTCACCTCCAAATGCATAACAAACTTTTCTTTTTAAGATATAGGCATATAAAATGAGCATATCATTAGACAGTTATTTGTCAAGCCTTAGGAGCTGCTTTTATTTTAATACTTCAACAATATTTATCTGTATTTCCTAGAACACTGAAAAGATTATACTTTATTAATATAGCACCATCTTCTGGCAAATATTAAGAAAAGCAGTTGGTTTTGTACCAAAAACGTATTGAAATCACTTAAAGAATTTAATGAAAAATTGATCGTTCATAACAAATGTATAGAATGGCTTTCTACAGGGCTTTCTTAACATTTTAATATTACATTAATTTGCTACTCATTAACCTTGACTTCTAACCTTTTCCGGGAAGTTTAAACACTGTCAAATTGCTACCGCATGGCATATATTCAATTAAACAAAATTGTAAGACAAAGCTTTGTATAATATATGTCTTTATAGATAATCTAGAACTTTAAATGTAAATATATATATTACATGCATTTATAAAAAACAAAATATATTTGGTTAATCATTTTAAAAAGTAGAACTATTTCTTCCACTGTATTTCAAGTAGAAATTCTATGAATAAGACCCAAAATATAGGAACTGGCCAACATTAACAGTAATAGAAAAATGATGATCAAAATGGATGAATTTTCTAAATACATCTCATTAAAAGTTAAATGCAAACAAAATTTAACAAAAGTTTTCAGTATATATGAAAGAAAAAGTAAAAGGGCTAATAACTCCAAAATATCATTATAATCATCGTCAATGACAAATGCTAACCTCCTTAATGTCAGTAGTTCTAATAAATCAATTAGAAAAAGATAGCGCCGGGCGCAGCGGCTCACGCCTGTAATCCTAGCACTTTGGGAGGCCAAGGCGGGCGGATCACGAAGTCAGGAGTTTGAGACCAGCCTGGACAACATGGTGAAACCCCGTCTGTACTAAATAATACAAAAATTAGCCGGGCGTGGCAGCGGGCGTCTGTAGTCCCAGCTACTTGGGAGGCTGAGGCAGGAGAATGGCGTGAACCCGGGAGGCGGAGCTTGCAGTGAGCCAAGATCGCGCCACTGAACTCCAGCCTGGGCGACAGAGACTCCGTCTCAAAAAAAAAAAAAAATTAAATAAATGAAAAAGATAGCTACAATAGAATGACACATAAATGAGATAAACACAATTTTATACGTGAAGGAATAAAAATTAAACAAAGAACAAGTTTAATTTAAAAATCCAAAAAACACTTATGCAATTAACTATAAACAACAAAAACAACAGTTTCGGTTTTTCAGAAAAAATTAAAGATTGGTTAATTAATCCTTTTAGAAGTATAAATTTGAACAATATTTCTGAAGAGTTACTTAGCAAAATATCCCCTCAGAAAAAGACTTTTTAAAAAATGTATATATCCAAAATGTATATATCCTCAGAAAATAACAAAGCATATAAGAAATGTGCTAATAAGAAAACCTAAAAATTTGAGTTTGTTTTATTTGGTTGTGTTTTGCATAGGGAATCTTTGGAAACAATCTAGATAATTTAAAATAGAGGATTATATAAGTTGCAGTATTTATGTGATAAAATGTTGTTATTAGTTGACACGATGCTCACAAGATATTGTTCAGTAAAATAAAGAATTAAAGAAAATGAACAGAGTAATACACACATTATGATCTCATGGAAAATGAATGGATGGATGGATTAGAACATTAAATTTCCAAAAGTTACAAATTGTGTAATTTCTTAATTTCAAAGCATATGGAAAAATTAGAGAAATTAGTAAATATTTATTAAAAGCCTAAGTTCTGTGGGTTTACACAAGGCATAACTATACATAATGTAATCAAGGAATTAAGATTATAGATAAATAATAAAAGAGGGTAGATGAAAAGTATCATTTGAGTGAATATGTCTGTCAAAATATTTTAGCTTTAAGAAACTGAAACCTTGTTGAGTGTATTTAAGAAAAAGAAAAGGCAAATTATTGGCTTACACAACCAGGTAGGGCACAAGTAGAGCTGACCTTAAGGAGAACTGTAAACAAGGACTTGAGAGCAGCTGGTCTTCGACCCTGTTTCTGTCCACGTGACATCTTCATTATCTAATATCACCTTCTCTATATTGTGGTAGCAGGACATGGTACTGAGTGGCTTAGGGCTCACACCCATATTACTTCACTAAGAGAACTGCAGTTGAGAAAAACACTGTGACTGGTCAAACCCGTGTTATATTCAACTCCTCTCTCCCAGGGTGTGGGTTAACATGATTGGCACTCCCCGCTGTTAAATAAAAATTATTCTGACGCTTGCTAAAATGGTAAGGGAGATTTTATGCAATATGACTGATAAGTGTCATGACTATCACAATAAGGGAGAGATAGGGCTCAATTGCAAATACAGCAAAGACAGCTGGGGACTTAAAACCAATAAGAAGAGGGAGGTCGTCAGTGGGTGGAAAATTACTGAAAGGAGACATGAAAAGGATTACTGCCAAAATTGGGCTAAGCAAGCCAAAGACAGTACCCAGTTCAAAAGCAGGCTCAGAAAAGCCTGAATAAACTTTGTTCTAGGATAGAGTCTTTGTCAGACTAAAATCAAATTTTTGGAAAAAAGGGAAAGGTATAAAAAATTAATTTGAATTTTAAAGATACAGGATGGGATTTGAGGAGAGCTGTTTAATTCTTTGCTCTCAGGATCTTCCAGTTCCTTTCCATCTGCCACTGAGTAAAAATTCTTGAAAACTGTGCTGAAATCCGGAAGAAACTGACAAGGATGTATGAGCATGGAAGCAGCATAAGGGAACAATTGTATTTTATGAAAATTAATACAGTGATGTATATACAATTAGTAAAAGGGAGTAGGACTAGAGAAATGAAAGCTAGTTAGAAAACAAATTTTGTAATTCATGCATCAAATAAAAAAAAAAAAACATGTATACCCAAGACTGTTGTCACTAGGGATGGAAAGCAAAAGGAAGGATTTAAGATACGTTATAAAGGAATAAATATATGCACCATATATTTGAACAGGCTTTCTTATTATCTTAGTGGAAGTAAGTAATTTTAATATGTTGTTCAATCAAACTTAACACTAATGTCAAGCCTTCACCAACAATGACTGCTTAAGACCACTGGGACATTTGGCCCAATGCATCTTTGTGTCACCCCTTTGTACCTATCTGCCACAGTACAGGTGAGAATAATACTGATGACTAAGAAGATATAGCCATGAACATCACAGATACTGTTCCCATCAAACCTCAATTCTTGCATGGTAAGAGACACAGTAATAGTGAGCAAGTCATTATTTGCTCCAGTTTTAATATGATTTTGCTTTCCCTTTGAGATAGAAAACATCAGAGGAGTTGATTAAAAAGCCAGACTTGAGTGCAATTCTGATGGCATGCCTGAAGAAAGACAACATAAAGTTTGAAGAAAGGACAAGAAGTAGCTAAAATCAAGAATTTGCAGAAATTTTCATATGAGGACATGAGCTTCATTAATCTCTAAAAAATAAGTTTGAAGGGGAATATAATTAAATTGTATAAAACAGTGAAAGTGACACAGAGGAAATAGATGCTGAAAGAGAATAGCACCTCTTCTGTGCTAGAAAATTGTATGTGCTGTAATCTATTCTATTTTGAAAATATAGCTAGTCATTATTATGACATTTCAAATGAAGAAACTCAGGCTCAAAGAATTTCAGGACTATCTAATAACGATTAAATGAAGTAATGTCCCATAATATAAAAAAAAAAGTAGCACTTTGCACTTCAGTGGATGGAGACAAGAGGTATTGGAGGCCAAAGTAAAATTAAAATGTAAGTTAATAAAAACACAAGGACAACTCAGATTTATGAATGATACCTGCATAATGAAAGTAAGTGAATATTTTTAGAGTAGAAGGCTAATCTTCTGAGATTGCAGCAAGGAAAATAATTGAAAAATCTTATAACACTACCTTCTTGCCTCTCTCAGAAGCAGAATTCTAAATATGCTACAGCCTGATACACCTCATAGTTGTTAATGTGGAACCATTATTTATCAAGTACCTGTAATATACTCAAAATAGCTGAGCTCAATTGACTTTTCTAACAAGAAATTACTGTGCATAACCAAACACCATGTTAAAAGTGACTCTTTCTTCTATATCTAATTGCTCTGCTCTTTCCCAGAAACCTGAAACTATACTGTAATGTTATCCACAGGATCCATGCCGTGGGACTTTATTATAAATGAAGCCTTGGTACAATGAGATCCTCCTAGTATTGCCAGTAATAAATCCCCTTGGATAGGGTCAAAAACACATCCGCTCTATCCTGAATTCTGCATTCTCTACAGCAGTGTTGGAAGACTCCAACTTTACATCACAAACATGAAGTAAACCCTCAAAAAATTTTGATTTAAATAGAAAACCTAAGAATTATTTTTAATATCACCACCACGTAATGTCATGCAGAGTTCCTGGTAGCTATTGTATAACTACATACTACTGTCTCATGAGATCTATGTACCAAATAATAGCTGCCAATCAAGTTGAATTCAAAGCCAATTTCTAATTCATTACTTCATGGGGAGCTTTGAAATATGCTCATTTAAAAATCTGCTACATAACAGCAAGTTCTGTACCACTCTTCTGTATTGTCAGTGTAATGTTGCCAAGCATGAGAGTGAAGTATGAATGTTGACACTTAATTATGGATATTAAATTCAGTCTCCCATTTCAGATATATGTCAGATGTCACCACCTTCAAGAATTCATAAATGAGCAGTTATCTTCCTCTAGTCAATGTAATATGAATTAGAAGATTAGAAATACTATGTTAAACCACTCTTCTTTGGTTACACACTTGTAAAATATTCTTTTGCTTCCCAGTAGCTCTGGATCACAGAAATTTCCCAAATACTTCATCTATCACTATAATGTGATTACCTCTAGGGGGTGATTTCAACAGTCAAAGGTGAAATGGAGCATAACGGATCATCACTTCTTACTAATTAATGATTTCAATAGGTATGGCTGGTAAGCTTGAGAGTTTTTCAAAATGAGAATTGCAGTGTCCTATTTTTAGGAGCAGCACAGTCTAAATTACAGCTATACAGCTGTATATGTGTGACTTTACTAAACAGAAAAATACAAAAGGGTGTGCTGATAATAATAGAGATGTTTGGAGTCACTTTTTGGTTGTCACTTATATATTTATTTGCAGGAACTGAAAAAATGATTTTTAACTAAAATTATTTTTAACATTCTTTAACTACTTAAGTTGTGTGCCAAAGTCTAAACGTTCTATGAAAAGCTGACGTTTTCCAATCAATTGTGTCTAAACTTAGAGTTCTCTAACCTTAGAACTCAGCTGCCACAAATATTTTACAGCATCTCTGGAGACTTGCTGTTCATGGCATTCATGCTGTGAAATCATATTATAGCTGAGGCATTTGTACAACTTTCTGTAATAAATGCCTTCAGACAATGGCCCCAGATCTAGAGATTTTCATGCAGAGGGTTCTGTTCTGTAATGATTTATTGTGTAGCGAGGACCAAGATAATCAAACGAATGTGAGTTCACTTTCAAGTGAGAGTTAAACATTTTTGAGTCCCTAAATCACAGTTCATCTGCTTTTACCAGTCATGATTACATTTAATAACCAGTAGACTATGAAAATTTTAAAAAATACATGTATCACACATTGATGACTTATATCACCAATTCATTATTCCTAACACTTTTGTTGCCATTTTATCATTCCTGACTAATTGAATGTTCTGACAGTTTCTATGAAATGTGTGATACCAAATAATAATTATTGACTATTCATCCAGCAGTGGCAGCAAATGTAGCCAGGGGAAAATATGTCCCAGATGATGAATCGGCAAGTGCTATTTAGACTTCCATAATTTCCTGTTAATTAGGGTTTCAGTAGTAATTAGAGAATTTGTGCCTTAAAACTTTTCACTTTCATTGACATTTTCAAATGCTTTTAGTGGTTCATTGACTTTATAAAAAAAAAGTTTCTTATTGATTAATAGGGTTAGCTTATCAATATAATACATTTAAAAGCTTTGGCTTTTTTAAGGGAAATTTTGTACCAGTAAAGAGTGGCTTGGGAATGGTTTAATCATAGGTAGAAGTTCTGTTTTATTAGCAGTTAGTTTCCTTCCTCAAAATAATTCAATCTTACGTTCTAGTTTAATTGTACATTTGGGTGTGATACATATAAAGGGAGAGACTTCATGTGGACAAACATTATAGCCAAGCTGTAACCCATAGATGCCATATCAACTTCATGTCCATCTTTACTCATGCAGTTCAGCAGAATTGCAATTTAATCATAAGAGATCACTACAGTGGTTACGCTTGAAACCCAACAAAGTGAGGTATTACTAATGGCTGTTCAGTGAAATTGCAAACACAGTTCACTAAGCTTTTATATACGTTCTAGCTCTTTAACTCAGCCATGCAAAGAACCCGAAGAAATCTGACCTGCTAAGTTGCCTGAAAATATGGAACTGTCTTTCTAAATAGTATTTCTCTGAAATAACTCAAGTATGGCTTTGGTTTTATTATAGATTCCACTTGGAGGCAATGAAAAAAAATAACATGCTTCACATGCTGTCCTTACTAATACAGCAACACCTAGTTTGGGGCTAAGAATATAGGGGACACATAGTAAATACTTATTAAACGAAACTATGTTTTGCATAGTAAAATAGTTTCAGTGATAGAGAAGTATCCCTATGCCTGCACAATTCCATATTCATATAAAGTATATATTTATTTTTTCCTTACATCATCACAAAATTTAACAGGATGGCAATAATCAGTTTGCATATAATCAGCTAATTTATTGGGTAAATTGAACGAGAATCTGTGATGTTAGGTATTAGAGATAAAAAAATAAAACTAGCCCCTAATATCAATGGTCATCCAAGTTTGCAAGAGAAATAATAATATTTAAATATTTCATGGGAGCCGCGATGGCTCAGGACTGTTGTCCTGATGCATAAGGAGGCGAGGCTAGGCATTCGAGGCCAGCCTGGGCAACATAGAAACCTCTAATCTATGTAATAAACAAAAAAGAAAGTTTGCTGGGCCTGGTGGCTCACGCCTGCAATTCCAGCACTTTGGGAGGCAGAGGCTGGTGGATCACGAGGTCAGGAATTCGAGACCAGCCTGGCCAATATGGTGAAACCCCATCTCTACTAAAAATACAAAACTTAGCTGGGCATGATGGTGCGCACCTGTAGTCCCAGCTGCTGGGGAGGCAGAGGCAGGAGAATCGCTTGAACCCGGGAGGCAGAGGTTGCAGTGAGCCAAGATCACGTGACTGCATTCCAGTCTGGGCAACAGAGCGAGACTCCATCTCTCTCTCTCTCACTCTCTCTCTCTCTCTCTCACTCTCTCTCTCTCTCTCTCACTTTCTCTCTCTCTCTCTCTCTCTCTACATATATGTGGAGCATATGAATCTAGAGGGTTGACTATACAACTCTTAGTGCACCAGGAAGACATAATTACAAAAATAAAATTTAAATCAGGTAAGAAGAGATAAATGTAACTAAAATACTCTCTATTTTCTCACAGATACAGCTATTCATGCCCAGGTACAGTCATGAGTCACATAATGATGTTTTGGTCAATGATGGACTACATATAAGACAGTGTTCCCATAAGATTTTAATGGCGCTCAAAAATTCCTGTTGTGTAGTGACATCATAGCCATCGTAATGTCACAGCACAATGCATGACTCACAGGTTTATGGTGATGCTGGTGTGAAAAAACCCACTGCACTGCCAGTTGTATAAAAGTCTAGCACACATAATTATATACAACACATATTTTATAATAATAAACCACTGTTATTGATTTTGTATTTACTATACTCCTATTTATTAAAAAATGTTAATGATAAAATAACCTCAGGTAGGTCTTTCAGAAGGCATGTCAGAAGAAGCTGTTGTTATCATAGAAGATTACAGTTCTATGTGTTTTATTGGTCCTGAAGGCCTTCTAGTGTGACAAGTGGTTGAAGTGAGTGACATTGATGATCTCGACCCATGGATAGGCCTAGGCTAGTGTGTGTGTGTGTGTGTGTGTGTGTGTGTGTGTGTGTGTTATGCGCACGCAGGTGAGCGGGTGTGCACACACGCCTTAGTTTTTAACACAAACTTTAAAAAGTTTTTTAAAAAGTTAAATAGTAAAAAGATTATAGAATACAGATATAAAGAAAGGAAATATTTTTGTATATCTACACAATGGCTTGTGTTTTAAGCTAAGTGTTATTACAAAAGAGTCACAAAGTTTTGAAAACTTAAAAAATTTTATAAAGCAAAAAAGTTACAGTAAGCTAAGGTTAATTTGTTGTTGAAGAAAGAAAAAAATTTAAATAAATTTAGTGTGTTTATAAAGTCTACAGACCTGCAAAGCAATGTCTTAGGCCTTCACATTCACTCACCACTCATTCACAACTCACCCAGAGCAAATTCCAGGCCTTCAAGCTCTATTCATGGTAAGTGCCCTATATAAGGGTAACATTTCTTATCTTTTATACCATATTTTACTATAATTTTTCTATATTTAGATATGTTTAGATACTTACTGTGTTACAATTGCCTACAGTATTCAATACACTAAAATACTGTGCAGCTGTGTAGTCTAGGAGCAATAGGCTATACCATATAATCTAAGTGTGTTACTACACACTTAGGCTATATGATCTGGGTTTGTGTAAGTACATGCTATGATGTTTGCAAAGTGGCAAAATTGCCTAACAATGCGTTTCCCAGAATGTCTCCTCATCATTAAGCTAAGTGTAACTGTACATTTGTACAGGATGTCAAATAAAAATGATAGTGTCATACTTTAGCATAAATAACAACGAAATAGGAATTAGGGCATGAAAGATCTCTGAGCCTCAGTTTCCTCATTATAAAGTAAAAGCGATGTTTCCGTATGATTTCTCTGATGTGTGTGTATTGAAAACTGTTAAGGACAGGGTAAATTATCCTTAACACTTTTCACATCCCTGAATATCCAGAGCTATAGAGATACAATCACAAGAGAAAAAAAATCTCTAAAAATCAGACAATAAAATTTTATTGATTTATTGTCATATCCCATCATAGGTAAGACAACATTATTTCTGCAAGCTATATGAAATACTTTTAGATTTTTTAAGATGAAATCATGACATCATATGCCTTCCAAGAATATTGTTCTGCTTATCTGAATATGAGATAGAAATTTATTATACTAATCATGAGCCATGAGTCTTTCTTAACATTTAGATAATGGAAAACTATAACTGCCTTAGCACATACTGCCCATGGAACCAGCTATGAAGAACCTTTCTGAAGCCTTGTCAATGTGGAAGAATCATTTAGAGTAGTAGTTCCCAGCTGGAAGCAGAAATAAGCAGTGTTATTTCTGAACCAATCGTATTTCGTAAAGCATCTTCTCACTTCAGACTGTTGTCTTTATAATTAGAATATTGCTGTGGGTAAGGGAGTTGTAATTTGAAAAACATCATTTTCAAATCCTTCCTCTTCTGCTCACCAAAGGAAGAATTAATCAGAACCATTAAGGAATTTTGCAGAAACTCTCAAATTGCATAATAATTCTGATGCACACCCAAGCCACACCCTACCTCCTACTCACTCTATATTCATTGATAAATTATTCATTTAAGGGCTTCCAAATAAAATCAATAACAAAATCACTTATAAATCATTAATGACCTCAGTTTCCACAAACACCTTCAATTTCAAAGAACTCACTGGACAAATATGTTTACATATATAGCTTGGATGTTTGTAGACTTTGGAAATAATGCATTTGGAATAATGAGGTAAAACTCTCTTAGCAAGTTAGAGCATACAAAATGATCTTGCTAATCACTGGTTTGGTAAATGCATGCTCTCAATGACCTTGACATCCTCTCTCTTTCTCTCTCTTCCTTGTAGATTCTGGATATTAGCCCTTTGTCAGATGGATAGATTGCAAAAATTTTCTCCTATTTTGTAGGTTGCCTGTTCACTCTGTTGATAGTCTCTTTTGCTGTGTGGAAGCTCTTTTGTTTAATTAGATCCCACTTGTCAATTTTAGCTTTTGTTGCCATTGCCTTGACTTGATCACAGTGGATAAGCTTTTTGATGTGCTGCTGGATTCGGTTTGCCAGTATTTTATTGAGGATTTTCACATCAATGTTCATCAGGGATATTGGCCTGAAATTTACTTTTATGGTTGTGTCTCTGCCAGGTTTTGGTATCAGGATGATACTGGCTTCATAAATTGATTTAGGGAGGAGTCCCTCTTTTTATATTGTTTGGAATAGTTTCAAAAGGAATGTACCAGCTCCTCTTTGTACCTCTGGTAGAATTCAGCTGTGAATCCATCTGGTCCTTGACTTTTTTGGGTTGGTAGGCTATTAATTACTGCCTCAATTTCAAAACTTGTTATTGGTCTACTCAGGAATTCGACTAATTCCTGGTTTAATCTTGGGGGGATGAATGTGTCCAGGAATTTATCCATTTCTTCTAGATTTTCTAGTTTATTTGCATAGAAGTGTTTACACTATTCTCTGATAGTAGTTTGTATTTCTGTGGGATCAGTGGTGATATCCCCTTTATCATTTTTATTGTGTCTATTTGACTCTTCTCTCTTTTCTTCTTTATTAGTGTAGCTAGCGGTCTGTCTGTTAATCTTTTCAAAAACCAGCTCCTGGATTCATTGATTTTTTGAAGGGTTTTCCGTGTCTCTATCTCCTTCAGTTCTGCTCTGATATTAGTTATTGCTTGTCTTCTGCTAGCTTTTGAATTTGTTTGCTCTTGCTTCTCTAGTTCTTTTAATTGTGATGTTAGGGTGTCGATTTTAGATCTTTCCCACTTTCTCCTGTGGGCATTCAGTGCCATAAATTTCCCTCTAAACACTGCTGTAGCTGTGACCCAAAGATTCTGATACATTGTGTCTTTGCTGTCATTGGTTTCAAAGAACTTATTTATTTCTGCCTTAATTTTGCTACTTACCCAGTAATCATACAGAAGCAGGTTGTTCAGTTTTTATGTAGTTGTGTGGTTTTGAGTGAGTTTCTTAATCCTGAGTTCTAATTTGATTATACTGTGGTCTGAGAGACTGTTTGCTATGATTTCCATTCTTTTGCATTTGCTGAGGAGTGTTTTACTTCCAATTATGTGGTTGATTTTAGAATAAGTGTGATGTGGTGCTGAGAAGGATGTATATTCTGTTGACTTGGGGTTGAGAGTTCTGTAGATGTCTATTAGGTCCACTTGGTCCAGAGCTGAGTTCAATTCCTGAATATCCTTGTTAATTTTCTGTTGTGTTGATCTGTCTAATATTGACAGTGGGGGGTTAAAGTCTCCCATTATTATTGTTTGGGAGTCTAATTCTCTTTGTAGGTCTCTAAGAACTTGCTTAATGATTCTGAGTGTTCCTGTATTGGGTGCGTATATATTTAGGATAGTTAGCTCTTCTTGTTGCATTGATCCCTTTACCATTATGTAATGCCCTTCTTTGTCTTTTTTTTATCTTTGTTGGTTTAAATTCTGTTTTATCAGAGACTAGTATTGCAACCCCTGATTTTTTTTGCTTTCCATTTGCTTGGTAAATCTTCCTCCACTTTTCTTTTTATTTTGAGCCCATGAGTGTCTTTGCACATGAGATGGGTCTCCCAAATACAGCACACCAATAGGTCTTGTCTCTTTATTCAATTTGGCAGTCTGTGTCTTTTAATTGGGGCATTTAGCCCATTTACGTTTAAGGCTAATACTGTTATGTGTGAATTTGACCCTGTCATTATGATGCTAGCTGGTTATTTTGCCTGTTAGCTGATGTAGTTTCTTCATAGTGTCGATGGTCTTTACAATTTGGTATGCTTTTGCAGTGGCTGGCACCAGTTTTTCCTTTCCATATTTAGTGCTTCTTTCATGAACTCTGGTAAGGCAGGCCTGGTGGTGAAAAAATCTCTCAGCATTTGCTTGCCTGTAAAGGATTTTATTTCTCCTTCGCTTATGAAGCTTAGTTTCGCTGGATATTAAATTCTGGGTTGAAAATTATTTTCTTTAAGAATGTTGAATATTGGCCCCCACTCTCTTCTGGCTTGTAGGGTTTCTGCAGAAAGATCCACTGTTAGTCTGATGGGTTTCCCTTTGTGGGTAACCCAACCTTTCTCTCTGGCTGCCCTTAACATTTTTTCCTTCATTTCAACCTTACTGAATCTGATGATTATGTGTCTTGGGGTTGCTCTTCTTAAGGAGTATCTTTGTGGTGTTCTCTGTATTTCCTGAATTTGAATGTTGGCCTATCTCGCTAGGTTGGGGAATTCCTCCTGGATAATATCCTGAAGAGTGTTTTCCACCTTGTTTCCATTCTCCCTGTCACTTTCAGGTACACCAATCAAACTTAGATTTGGTCTTTTCACATAGTCCCATGTTTCTTGGAGGCTTTGCTCCTTCCTTTTCGTTCTTTTTTCTCCAATCTTGTCTTCACGTTTTATTTCATTAAGTTGATATTCAATCTCTGATATCCTTTCTTCCACTTAATTGATTCGACTATTGATACTTGTGTATGCTTCATGAAGTTCTCCTGCTGTGTTTTTCAGCTCCATCAGGTCATTTATGTTCTTCTCTAAACTGGTTATTGTAGTTAGCAATTCCTCTAACCTTGTATCAAGGTTATTAGCTTCCTTGCATTGGGTTAGAACATGCTCCTTTAGCTCGGAGGAGTTTGTTATTACCCACCTTCTGAAGCCTACTTCTGTCAATTCATCAAACTCATTCTCCATCCAGTTTTGCTCCCTTGCTGGCAAGGAGTTGTGATCCTTTGGAGGAGAAGAGGCATTCTGGTTTTTGCAATTTTCAGCCTTTTTGTGCTGGCTTTTCCTCATCTTCATGGATTTATCGACCTTTGGTCTTTGATGTTGGTGACCTTTGGATTGGGTTTCTATGTGAACATCCTTTTTGATGTTGTTGATGCTATTTCTTTCTGTTTGTTAGTTTTCCTTCTAACAGTCAGGCCCCCTCTTCTGCAGGTCTGCTGGAGTTTGCTGGAGGTCCACTCCTGTTTGTCTGGGTATCATCATTGGAGGCTTCAGAACAGCAAGACTGCTGCCTGTTCCTTCCTCTGGAAGCTTCGTCCCAGAGGGGCACCCACAAGATGTCAGCTGGAGCTCTCCTGTATGGGGTGTCTGTCAACCCCTGCTGGGAGGTGTCTCCCAGTCAGGAGGCATCGGGGTCAGGGACCCACTTGAGGAGGCAGTCTGTCCTTCTGCAGAGCTGGAGCACTGTGCTGGGAGATCCGCTCACTCTTCAGAGCCGGCAGGCAGGAATGCTTAAGTCTGCTGAAGCTGCACCCACAGCTGACCCTTCCCCTCAGGCGCTCTGTCCCAGGGAGATGAGAGTTTTATCTATAAGCCCCTAACTGGGGCTGCTGCCTTTCCTTCCGAGATGTCCTGCCCAGAGAGAAGGAATCTAGAGAGGCAGTTTTGCTACAGCAGCTTTGCTGGTCTGGGATGGGCTCTGCCCAGTCCAAACTTCCTGGCAGCTTTGTTTACACTGTGAGGGGAAAACTGCCTACTCAAGCCTCAGTAATGGTGGACACGCCTCCCCCCACCAAGCTTGAGCATCCCAGGTTGACTTCAGACTGCTGTGCTGGCAGCAAGAATTTCAAGCCAGTGGATCTTAGCTTGTTGGGATCTGTGGGGGTGAGATCCACTGAGCTAGACCATTTGGCTCCCTGGCTTCAGCCCCTTTTCCAGGGGAGTGAACTGTTCTCTCTCACTGGCATTCCAGACACCACGGGGGTATGAAAAAAACCTCCCGCAGCTAGTTTGGTGTCTGCGCAAATGGCCTCCCAGTTTTGTGCTTGAAACCCAGGGCCCTGGTAGCGTAGGCACCTGAGGGAATCTCCTGGTCTGCGGGTTGTGAAGACTGTGGGAAAAGCATAGTATCTGGGCAGGAGTGCACCATTACTCAAGGCACAGTCCCTCATAGCTTCCCTTGGCTAGGGGAGGGAGTTCCCTGACCCCTTGCACTTCCTGGGTGAGGTGATGCCCCACCCTGCTTCGGTTCACTGTACCCACTGTCTAGCCAGTCCCAGTGAGATGAGCCAGGTACCTCAGCTGGAAATGCAGAAATCACCCACCTTCTGTGCTGACCTGGCTGGGAGCTGCAGACCGGAGCTGTTTTTATTCGGCCATCTTGCCAGCCACACTTATGTGTCTTTTATATTGAAGACACTGTTTCATCATTGAAGAAAACTTTTAAACTAATCATCATTAGAACTAATACAACTTCTCTATAAGGATTAGAATATTGGCCCCCAAGTTGGCCAATATCAAAATATTAGCATTAAATCACTGTGAAAATATCAAACTTCCAATGTCTCTGCTTCATTTCTAATTCATGAATAAAGAGTAAAGAATTAAAGAAAAGACTGGTGCAGATTACAATAAATGGGAGATAAAGATGTGGGATTTTTAATATCCATATCTGTCTGTAACATTTATAACCTGCAAAAAAAATATTCCATTGCAAATTTATTCAACAAATGTATATTTTTCACTAACTTTGTACCTGGTACCACGCTAGGCACTGGAGTTATTCCTTCCATTTATTCCTATCTCTAAAACAATCAAAATTAATTAAAATCCAGAACTGTTGATAATTCTGTGTTCTCAGTAAATGTAATAACACCACATTTTTCTATAAAATATTTTGCAATGCTATATTCCAAATATTCTATAAGAAGTTAATATCTAATCCTCTTGTTGTCTAAATTTGTTATCTTTTACAATGCTGTTAACATCTTTGTTACAATGACCATCTTAGTTCCTTGAGGCAATTAATAATTGAGTCATTTTCTACTTTAAAAACTCATATTATTGCAATTTTGCTCTTGCCACTTAATTTATCCTGGCTTTTATAGAATAAAAAATAAAAGAGGGGAAGTATGGGTTGTAGCCAGTATTGTAAAGGAATACATTTTATGTAGTTTACCAAAAGGATCTTTGTTCTCCTATAATTTGAAAAACACTATCTCTCAGCCACACAATAAAATGCTTTTTCTTTTGCAAAAAAAAAAAAAAAATGGAACTAAAACTTCTGTGAGATTTTTTTAACCTGAAAGGCATAATTAGATTAAAAGGAAGTCTGTTAACGAAAATGTACCAGTTAGATCTTCACCAGTTGACATTGGCTTCCACATTTTGATGCAATTCTCGCTATTTCTTCCTTTAAATTCATTGTATTTTCTCAGATGAACTTGAAAACAAGATAATGAGAGTAGAAGTAATCTCCTTGAGAAGATTCAATAACAATTACTATGGGGTTAATTACCATTTTTTAAGATTTTTAAATCACAAATAAATATTTGTAAATATTAATAGATTGTGAATTCACTGGTGGTTTGAGAATGGAAGCACATGGATTAAATCAAACTGTGGTGGTGGGAAGGTTTCTGAAGCATGGGCACCTTTCCCAGATTGCAATTAGCCCCACCCTGATAAGATTCATAGTGTTAAAACTGAGGTGGTTATAAGGTGTGTGTGTGTGTGTACATTCAGACTGAAACCACACAGTATATTCTAATTTCCTCAACCCTCACTCCCCTGCAAAACTAAATCAGAATCTCCAGGAAGAGACTAAAATATATATTCTGAGAAAACTCTACAGACTCTCTTTTATTTTACCCATGTTTAATCTCATTTTCTCATTTTCGTTTACACAAAAAATTGGCATCTCTGAGACAGAATGATATCTTAAAATACACAGATGCTGCAAATAAAACATCTCATGGCTGTTCAACAGAAACATAAGGCCACTGAAATACATTAATTTGTCAGTATACATGTAAATATGGATGAGAAAAAATTTGGCAAAAGAGCAAACATATTCTCATTCAGAAAATACAACACAGTAAAAACATAAGCACAATTAAATGAACCGAATTATAACACATCAATAGATGAGAGGCATGCCATTGACTATGTCTGCACAGTAACTATACTGTCAATTTTCTGGATTATTAGACAAAATATGCACAAAGCTTTTGGATGATTAACTGTGTATATTAAAATCCCATTAATTTAACCATCATTTATTGAATACCTATCATATGTCATGCACTGTGATGAACACTGGGTTTACAAAGATTAAAAACAGCATGGTCCATGCATTCAAGAACCTGCCATCTAAACCTCAAAATCATGCAATATACCCATATAACAAACCAGCACATGTACCCCATATCTAAAATAAAAATTGCAATTATTAAGAAAAAATAGGAGGCTGTATCTTGTTTTTGCTCTGCCCCCATCCCCAACATCAATTCACACAAATGCATTTCAAAACCAAATAAATGCTCTTTTTGTATCAGTAAAAAAATAAAAAATAAAAAAAGAACCTGACATCTTAAGTCATTTGTTTACTACATAGGTTTAAATGTCTTACAGGTCACCTTACGGTTTTTGAACATCAGCATATGCCTGATACAACATGATTCACCTATGTTTTGTGATGCTCTTGTTTTACATAAGTATGCAAAAATGAAACTTACTTTACTCTTTGAAATTTTAGCAATTATAGAGACAGTTAAAATATATTTTTTAAATGTCTCATTCATCCCTTTTTTTATTTAACAAATATTTATTGAAAGCCTATTTTGTGCCATGTTCCCTGCCAGGAACTGGAGACAGAGCAATGAAATACCAGTCTAGTTCTTGTTGTTTAGAACGTCAACTTTATATTTATTCTTTTCCCAATAACAAAGCAGTTAGATGCTTCCATCTGTCCAGATCATTCACTTTGTTTTCCTGCTGCTAGAGTTTTTGCCCTCCTTGTCCTGAGACTCTAAATTTTTCTCATCTCCATCAACCTTATTTGGTGCAGTTTCTGTTTCCTTCTCTATACAATCTGACATGCTAATTTATACTAAACTGTCAAGAAAATATCTCTTCTGTGTGATCATTGTACATTTGTGCAGTGGCCTTTTAGAAATCATGTATTTAAGCCAAAGTGAGTCTAGTGCTAAAGATTTCAAACTCTAAGAAAGTCTTAGGAAATGTCTGAGGTAGTTATCTACATACCTACCTACCTATGCAGGATTATGCTTAGAGCCACCTGGTGTTAAATGATGTGAAAAGTATTTTGGTATTTAACTGCATTGCCCATCTCACAGAGTGGTGCCCCCAACATGATGCTCTCCCCTTCTGTTTGAGAGACTCTGGCATAGACCTTTGATTGATGAATGCAGTCACTTCATAACAGGAGTTTTGTTTTTCATCCTTCATCCTGTTGTGTCCTGCTAATCATGTACTAAAATGAGCAGAGGACATTCATCCTCTAGACTACTTTAACAGTGTTTAGTTCAAACATACTTTATCAACCTGATCTGCTGTCAAGCTAAGCCAGTCATCAGGAATACTTCCTACTACCTCTGACAAATTTCAGTTTTCAGAATCATTTATTTCAAGGATACATTTTAAGAAAAGCTTATATCATTTATGTGATAGGAACTGTGCTGCTTCTTTTAAAAAATTATTTTACTTTAAGTTCTGGGATACATGTGCAGAATGTGCAGGTTTGTTACATAGGTATACATGTACCATGGTGGTTTGCTGCACCTACCAACCCGTCATCTAGGTTTTAAGCCCCGCATGCATTAGGTATTTGTCGTAATACTCTCCCTCCCCTTTCCCCCCACCCCCCAACAGTCCCCAGTGTGTGATGTTCCTCTGCCTGTGTCCATGTGTTCTCATTGTTCAACTCCCACTTATGAGTGAGAACATGCAGTGTTTGGTTTTCTGTTCCTGTGTTAGTTTGCTGAGGATGATGGTTTCCAGCTTCATCCATGTCCCTGCAAAGGACATGAACTCATTCTTTTTTATGGCTGCATAGTATTCCATGGTGTATATGTGCTACTTCTTTATATCTGCCATCTCATGTAATTCTCTTCATGGTCCTATGAGTTAGATTGAATATGTCCATTTTTTAGATAAAGAAATTGTGATTAAAAGAGGCTAAATCTTTGGCCATAGTCATGTAGCCAAAGAGTCTAAAAGTTAAGATTGAAGCAACTGTAACAGATTTCAATGGTGCCAGAAATAGGTCATGACAAAAAATATATTTAACACCACTTATCACAGTGACTGAAAGTCTACCTTAGTAAATAATTCTTTGTGATTCTAACATTAGTTTATTTGACATTTTTAATTTTGAAACTTTATATATGTACATCCCTAAGAGGAGTAATGCCTGCAGTTTTCAATCTAAATATTATTGGATATTCAGACATATCTCTAGGGAGACATTTTTTTGTGAATTCTATGCCTTATAACTAATTTGCCTAATTTCACTAAATCCAGGATACCATTTATTATAAAACATACCAGTCATTTGCATACCACCAAGAAAAAAAATGCCAGTTAACCATGACAATGATAATTTTTTATCATATTGACTTAAAGTGGTATCTCAATTTCAGAGACGTTAAAATATGAAAAATGTGCTTCTTATTGACAAAATAGCATACTATTCTTTTGAACCGGAATAAAGTAAATAAGATGGAATTTAGAGTATCATTAAAGACTAATTTTACCTACTTTACCATTTAAATGAAGATTACTGAAATTGCTAGATACTTTTATTTACATTGGTTTGGGAGACTACAAATTAAATAGCTTTGTTATTGCAGATTTTGGCTATGCACCATCATTATATTCAGGGGACTGTAGTTGCTATAGTTATGAGCATAATTAAGAAAATACTAATTTATTATATATATATTATTTAATATCACTTTGTTCTCCACAATGTAAAGGCAAAGTAGAGAGACAATATTCTGTTTCTCAAAATTTTAACTCTAAAGCCAAGATGGCAAATCATGTTTGAGTTTAAGTAAATAGATAAACCTATCTGTATTCTAATCTCACTTATAAAGTACTTCTGAGAATATTTTGTATTCAGTTCAGGCACAACCATCATTAACAGTGTTGTTCCAAGAATACCATATACGCATCACTACTTATGTAACTTGCAACAGTCTCTGTGTGCCCTCTCTTATCATTGTAGCCTTATTTTATTAACTATCTAAGAGTTCAACAGTACTTGCTTAGTGGAAAATGGTTCCCATTATTTTTAACAACTAAGAAAACATCTGAGCAGATAATTTTCAAAATAGCTTAAGCTTTTCAGTTATTGAATTTTGAGCACCTCTAAGACTTGATTTATTAGATTTAAAATATAAGAATTAAATGAGGTAATATAAATGTTAGTATTTCATGGTGTAAAAGCCACTTGTTAATGTACAAAATGTACTTCAAAGAGTTCCTTTTTAATGCTCACCTCTTTTATTATACTTTAAGTTCTGGGATACATGTGCAGAATGTGCAGGTTTGTTAGATAGGTATACATGTGCCATGGTGGTTTGCTGCACCCATCAACCCGTCATCTACATTAAGTATTTCTTCTAATGCTATCTCTCCCCTAACCCCCAACCCCCGATAGGCCCTGGTGTGTGATATTCCCCTCCCTGTGTCCATGTGTTCTCATTATTCGACTCCCACTTATGAGTGAGAACATGCGGTGTTTGGTTTTCTGTTCCTGTGTTAGTTTTTTGAGAATGATGGTTTCCAGCTTCATCCACATCCCTGCAAAGGACATGAACCCATCCTTTTTTATGACTGCATAGTATTCCATGGTGTATATGTGCCACTTACTTTTTAAAATTTATTCATCTTTCCTTTTTATTTTTCTTCCCCTGCCACTTCTTTTAACTTTACATTTTCTGTCTGTACTCTGCTGCAAAGTCCATACTACTGAACATCTGGGACTTGGTTGGTTAATGCCTAGAAGTTTTACATGAACATCAAATATACAGAAAATAAATCCCAATGACTTTTTAGTTCTTCCCGTATAAGGAAATACTAGAATATGTTTCTCTTAAATCGTCAATGACATGTTTTTCTCTTCCTACTCAGCCCATTGATTCAATGATTTGTAAAACTCTAGACAAGTTTTATCAACTGTTCAAAGCTAGTTTTGATAAGCAATAATTCTTCTTTGTTATTTACTGGTTCCTGAATTAACATTTTTGAAAAGCTACCACTTCAAGTCTTTTTACAGTAATTAGGATCTTTGGTAGGAGTTTGTCACTGTCAGGTGACAATCTTCAAGTAGTTAATTAAGGATCCTTTCCCCCCACCTATGGCATATTGGAAATGTACCTATAAATATTTCATCTTAAAATTAAAATTTCAATATTTCTTATGGCTTATTTTGGTTTTAGATGACTTCTTGTACATTGGTAAGTACTATCCTCATTTTCTTTTACCATTCCTTAACTGCTATTCTATGCATCTTACAACTTTATATTAAGAATGTAGAAGACGTTAGTCTTAATTCATGAAAATTTATAGTTATGGAAAAGTTTTTAAAAGCAACACCTGGCTGGGCATGGTGGTGTGTAACTGCAATCCCAGCAACTCTGGAGGGCGAGGCAGGAGGATCACTTGAGCACAGGAGTTCAAGGCCAGCCTGGGCAACACAGTGAGACCCTGTCTCTTAAAAAAAATTAAGAAATAAAGGTCCAACACCTGAATTCTTTGTCTTAGTTTTGGTATTTCGAAACAAGCAAGTTTTTGTCTAATAATTCCTTTTAGAAAAATGTTTTAATAAACAGACAAATAAATCAAAACATCTGAAATACATTTTTCTGGTGTGGGATAATTACTAGAGCTTCTACAATTTTTTGAGTAAGTAATTTTCTCAGCATACAACATCTACTTTTAGACATAATAGTGAATGTATTCTTTACATTATTTCTTTTTAGGATTCTCAAAAATTCTCTCATAATAAAGTTCGATTGCAGATTCATTTAGCCCCGTGGTTTCTGCCCTACTTTCTCCATGTTTATACTGTTAGCAGGGAGCTGCTAATGTTCCTCAAAATATATAATAAACTATGGTCAGCTGGCAGTCAAAGTAGTTATATACCTGAAGTTATCATATGTGAGGCAACTTTGCATTAATACTAACATGCACTGACAGATTTTATGAAATATTTATTCAACATAAATCCTACTGAACCAATTAATTGTTTTACTATGGCATTTTTATTTTAAATATAGGTGCATACTGAAAAGTCAAAAACAATTTGTTTCAAATGCATTTTTTTTCTTTTAAACAAGTAATAGAATATTTCATGTGGTCAGATTTACAACTGCACAACTCATAGGCGAGCTCTTATCTAACCTAAGCTCTTGACTTAGCAGATCCCCTGCGCTTTACTGGCAGAGTAGACTTTTGGGGAGAACTCCACCTCTATAACCTTGTTCCTTAACACTGTACCCAAGATATTACAATGAAGAAAGATAATCTTATAGAATTATTTTCAAAATAAAACAAAACCTTTGGAAACATTGACTATAGTTCAATCATCTGTTTTGCAAATGAAGTAACGGCAGGCCTCTCCCTCTTACCTATAATGACTTCTATATTGTTAGCTCCTCCTCATCTAAGAAAAAAAAACATTAATCAAAACCAAATCTTCATGTACAATATTCTTTTTCTCAGAGGCATTTATTAAGCATTGAGAATCCAGAGATGAATAAGTATGGTTCTCTGATTCGAAAGATCTGTAGTCTAGTTGGAGAGAAAAACGACAAATAACAATCCTTCACTATACTGATGCTATAATAAAAGTTTATGTAAAGTGCCAGAAAGCACAGAAGGTGGAAAGACTACTTACCAACCAAACTTAGAGTAGCTTTTATATCTGATCTCTTTTTCCTCTGACCTTTTTTGACTTTTAAATAAATACCATTTAAATAGTGATATTTTGAAATTGATTTTTTTTGTGCTGTGCTATACGGCATTTCATGAAACAATTTATTGAATTTATAATAGAAGGTACATTGATTCTAGCATTCCCTTATCTAGTAAATCCATCATTACATTAAAGAGTGATTGTTATACTTGTTTAAAATATATTTTTGCTATTGACCATTTTTTAGACATTTTATTTCCAACTGTTCACATTTCACTAGTATTTCTTGAGTCACAAATTTAAGTCGGTCTGTAAATACTATGGCTCAAACTTATGAAAACTTTCTATACTTTTGAACTATATCCATCCCAGAGTGAAAAACTTTCAGTCCAAACTTCTCAGTGCATCAAACCTAAAGTGGAAGCTGAACAGGCTTTTATAATGGTGTTTCTATTAAAAATAACGAATGTATGATAGAGTAACTCTTAGTTAAGCTTTTATTTTACCTAAGCTCTTACCTTAGTAGACACATGCCCTTTTTTAATATATAATAATAAAAATCATTATGATAAAAAATAAAAGCTACTGAGAAACTAATAAATACATTGTTTTCCATAAAATTTGTATGCATGTGAATCATTTAGTCCTCAGAAAAATTCTGTGAAGCACTAGTTATTATCCCAATATTAAATACATATGCAGAAAGGTATTCTGAAAATTTAAGAGATTTGCACGAGAACATACAATATACAGCCTAAGCAGAACTTCAAGTTTTCGATTTTGAAATTTCATAGTAGTATATTTTCTAATCTAAAATATAAGTTTCACTTCTAAACATTTCCATTTATACTTAAATGTAACAGACAATTATGATTCTAAGTTTCACTATATTGTAACATATATAAAATCAATTTAAAATGGTAAGATTTTTATACTTAGTCACAAACACACCAAACATTCATACAACTTACAATAAAATCTTTACAACAAAGACTTAGAAAGAAGAGAAAGTATGTTATATGGACTGAATATTAGTGGCTGTGAGTTTACTACTAATGATTTCACATGCCTACAGATAAGTGGTAAACTAGCTTGGGATTAGAACCAAAACTTAGTTCTGTCACTTACTGTGTGACCTTGGACAAATGTCTTAAGTTATCTGCGCTTCTGTTCCTTCTCTGTAAAATAATAATAGTACATCGCACATAGTACTTCAGTGGAAGATGAATTCTAGGGGAAATATACAGGATGATACCTGGCATATAGCAGGCATCTAATAATTATTAGCTAATATTAAATTTGCTATAAGAAAAACTATGGTAGGACTTGATATTATTTTTAAAGTTGTTAACACTATTTTTGATAAGACAATCCCAAAGTTCAGTTTTAAGACATTATGCATTTGTTCTGCCCGTAAATATAAAATAGCTACTTAATTTAACAAAGTATTTTCCCTTTGAATAATAAATGTTTAAAGAGAGCTTAGTTGGAGACTATTCTGTGAGGTTACAGAAATTAAAATTTTACATGAGTATTTTCAACTTTATAGTCAATTGGAAAGCTATTTGTTAACAAGGCTGCCAAGGCAGTCATTATCTGAGAGACCAAGATCTGAAGTAATGGGAACCACAAAGAAGTGAGTGTAACATACTAATACAATTTCCTCTGGAGGTATTTTCAGACAACTGATCTGAACAGGCATAAGAGGGAAAGTCAAGAAAATAAGAAAAAACAATGCCTTAAAAAAAAAAAAACTCAAAAACTATGCAGAGATTTTGACACTCTTTTAATTCTGGGGTTATAAAAATTGGAATTTGGGATTCTCCAAGTAGGAAGAGGTCTATGGGAAACACTTAATGCCTTCAGTTAAGATCTTGAGAGGGCTGTTCTCTAGTGTAGGGGCAAACTGGAATTAAAATAGTTCTTAAAAATTCTGAAATTATTTCAATTCATATATGGATAAAGGTGATCTTGCCTACTAGAAAATTAGATTATCTCTGGAGGAAGAAAACATCATCTCTAGTCTCTATAACTTTTCACCAGATAGGAGCTTTAAAATAACTGATCATGTTAAAGAAATAGATAAGAAAATGGAAAATTTTACTCAACAAATCAATGAACAATAAGCAAGTAACCCCATTAAAAAGTGAGCAAAGGACATGAACAGACGTTTCTCATACGCCCCTTGCATTTCACCTTTTGTTTCAATATCATATATATAATTATTTCACTATGGAGTGTCTTCTCCGCCATCCTGCAAATTCCATGATAATAAAGACTGTGCCTATTTTATTTGCCTCTTTTTCATGTAGGTCTGTGTCAGATACAGATGAAGTGAACAGTGAATGAATAAATTAGCAAATGGACAAATTCAAAGAAATCCACAAAAAGCCTATGTGTTTTTCTTTATTTTCTTCTGCTATTTATAATTAAAGCAAAAGTATCTAAGGAAAGGTACATTTTGCTCTGTAGTGAATACGCTATATAGTCTAAGCATATGCTTAAAGGATTTTTTAATCCTATTTTGAATTTAGCACAAATCTGGGTATTCATGAAGTGTTTTACAGTCTGTTTTTTGTTTGATTTTGGTGTTTTGTTGTTGTTGTTGTTGTTGCTGTTTTTGAGACAAGGTCTTGCCATGTCACCCAAGCTGGAGTGCAGTGACACAATCACAGCTCACTGCAGCCTCGACCCCCTGGACTCAGGAGATCCTCCTCCCTTAGCCTCCCAAGTAGCTGGGACCACAGGCGGACATCACTATGCCCAGCTAATTACCCTGTCTCTACAGTCTGTATTATAGAACTTTTTTAAAAATTTGGAATAATTTGGATTCCAAGTGTAATTATGTCCATTATCAATGCAAGATCTTGGGCAAAAGTGTAAATAACAATAATAGCTAACACAAAGTGCTCCGTTTTGTGTCAGATACCTTTCCAGGAGCTTTATTAAAAATACAAATTAATTCCAAATTAATTGTGATGTTAATTTTATATCGATGAGGCACCTGAAACAAGCAGAGATTAAGAAAGTTGTCCAAAGGAAGGAAGCCATGTGGGAGAGAAGAGACTCGTTTTTTTTCAATGTTCAGTATCCTTTAATGACCCCCGTCTCCCTGAAGGGGCAGGTGCAAGCAGGTAGGCGTTGGCAAGAGACGTTCACTTGAAGATCTTGCCCCGATTGGAGGTTTGGCCAACATGCTGGAAGGCCCCCTCCCAGGAAAAGTACTCTCGAACCAGCATCTACGTCTCCTCACTGCCAGTATCCAGTTTCCGCCATGTGTATGATTCATAGTCCACCTGCCAATTTGGACTCAGCAGAAAGGCAAGCTCCTGGCCTCAGAAGACCCAGGCTCTAGAAATGGAGCTGCTACTGTTGGTTCCAAAGAGGATGACACTGGTGAAGGCATTCTTCCTCAACTTGTCCAGTCGCTGGAACATTCCAGTGATGAGATTGCAGCTCATGGAGATCTGAGTGAGTTCTTCAGGGATGCGATACTCTGAGTATCACAGGGACCAGCCATCCTCATCAAAGTGCCCCCAGAAATATGGCAGTGCCACAAGGAGTGTGTCCTTGTTGGAGTCCTTGCCGCTTAAATTCATCCAACACAGCCGGGTGTGGCGGCTCACACCTGTAATCCCAGCACTTTGGGAGGCCAAGGCTGGTGAATCACAAGGTCAGGAGTTCGAGACCAGCCTGACCAATATGGTGAAACCCCATCTCTACTAAAAATACAAAACATTCGCTGGGCGTAGTGGTGGGCAACTGTAATCCCAGCTACTCAGGAGGCTGAGGCAGGAGAATCGCTTGAACCGGGGAGGTGGAGGTTGCCTTGAGCCGAGATCACACCACTCACTGTACTCCCGCCTGGGCGACAGAGTGAGACTCCGCCTCAATCAATCAATCAATCAATATAAAATAAAAATTCACCCAACACAAAGGTACTCTTGGGCAGGTGATCGGAGGGATCCTTGGCCTTAGGCTCAGCGGCCAGCGCCTGCTTACATTCATCCATCTCCTCCTCTGGAGCAGGGGCAGCTGCCTTTTTCTCCTCCTTCCACTCAGCCTGGGGCTCTGCTGCTCTTCCTGTGAACCCTGCGTTTTCCACAGGGTGTCCTTTTTAGGTTGGCACTCGGCAAACTTTTTAGCATCAAACTGGGCCATCTTCTCACACAGTTTCACTTCCCCCAAGACAGCCCAGAACTGAGACTGGTTAATGCAGGTGAGGAACCAGAGGTTATAATATATATAATAAATATATTATATATTATATTACTTTAATATTTTACAATATATTACAAAATAGTTTACATACTATATATAATATATACATTATATATAGATATAACGTATATTTTATATATAAATTATATATAGATATATAATAACATATATTTTATATATAAATTATATATTATAATAATGATATATATTATAAATACAATAAAATATATTACAAAATTGGGAAAGGCTTGGTGGAAAGAAGGTTCTATGACCTGCTTATAGAGCCACAACAGGGTGCAGACGACTCTGATAACAGCCAGTCACTCATTCGCCCACCAGAAAAGTCCTCATCTTCAAGTAAGCGTCCAGCAGCCCCAGAATTCGCCTCATTTCCTCCTTTGCATTCTGAATGGCCTGCTTGTTGTGGTGCATGATGCCCATGATGCGGAACACCCAGGCACTGGCTGGGGGCACTCTACCACTATCAGCAAAGCTCACCCACTGCGCCACCTAGGCTGCTGCTTCGGGTGTACTTCCCCACAGCTCCTCATTGCTCACATATGGCATTGCTGTCAAACACACAGAACCCACTGTCACCCTCAAATGCTGGAAACTTGCCAGCAGGAAATTTGCGGAGAAATTCAGGCGTGCAGTTGATTTAGCCAAAGTGCAAGTGGGGTGGTGCGGACAGCACATGAACCTGAGCCCCGCTGTACTGAGCAGCAATGAGGGCCTTGAAAGCCCTCCAGTTTTCAGGATATGTGTACAGGGTCCCAGTCGCCATGGTGCTTCCGCAAAGAAAGGGGTGAGAAGAGATTCTTTTTGATGTTTAAGATACATACCATCTATATGTATTTAAAATATATATTCATATGCATAGAAAAGGCATGTAAAAGAAGCTCAGCAGAGGCTACTTCCCGAGAGGACTGCAGGACTTAGAATTTACAGTGAGAGGAGAATTAATATTTTACTATAAATGTTTATCTTTGTACTGTTTGAAAGGTTTACTATGTGCGTATGTCATATTGTCAGTTGAAAGAAGAGACAGAGCAAATCCTACCTACCCTGAAATGTGTGTTTTGTTCCACTTGGCAAGGAATGCCAAATAAAGGGAAGAAAGCCAAGGCCTAAATTGTCAATATCACAGTGTTGCACATGGCTAGCCCTGCTTAGCAAAGAAAGTATTTCGGATAATTTATAAACATCAAAATACGTATTTTATAAATTTTATATCTATGCCTTTGGAGAAAAATATATTACAAAACAAAGTGTAGCTTGTATCATTTTATTTGAATTATTTTACATATTGATTTACTTTAGAAAGCAATTGTGAAATGTGCTTCTACTGTAATATACGACTGTGTGCTGGTCACTTTATTAATAGAATAATTGCATTGTGCTTTTTTTTTCCACAGGTACTGCTACTCAAAAGTATTTCTTTGAAAACAGCACTGACTTTTTGATCCCCATAATTCAAGTCTTGTAATCATTCAACATCAAATAGGGAGCAAATCTCATCATTTTCAAAGCTACTCTGAGGTGGTATTATGAGATATCATTCTAAGATACTGTTTCACTTGTCAGAAAAACTCCTGTAAGAAAGAATTAGTCTATTTGTCTATTTCAAAAGGAGTTTTTTTAAAAAGGTGAAATCTGAAAAACAAAATAAAAAACGACGTAAGACAAGACTTGTAGTAGGATGAGCCACTGTTATTTTGCCTTCTGCTCAATCCAACTCACAAAAGAAATACTTGTTTGGCAAATGAGTAAATGGTGGTATTACTTACTGAAGTTGACTATACAACGTACTCAAACAAAGATAGTTTGAGAATAAAAGGATGTATTATCCACTATCCTCAGCAATCTAACACAGAAGCAGAAAACCAAACACCGCATGTTCTCACTTGTACGTGGGAGCTGAACAATGAGAACACATGGACACAGGGAGGGGAACATCACACACTGGGGCTTGTGGGAGGTGGGCAGGGGGAAGGAGAGCATTAGAAAAAGTAGCTAATGCATGCTGGGCTTAATACCTAGGTGATGGGTTGATATGTGCGCAAACCACCATGGCACACATTTACCTATGTAACAAACCTGCACAACCTGCACATGTACCCCAGAACTTAAAAAAAAATGAAAAATTGTTAAAAAGATGCAATGCCAATAATTACTCTATGACAACAGGTGTGAGCTAAGACTGTCCCAGGCATATCAGATGGCTTTTGCTACATAGCATACTAGCCATTGGATTTAAACAACAATAATTTTTTTTTATTTTCATGATTCTATGGGTCGCTTAGGAGGATTTTGCGGCTTGGGCCTGCTTGGCTGATTTTCTGTGGGCTCATAGACAGAATGTAGGCCAGTTGGTGGCTGAATGATCTAAGATAGCTCCTGAATCATTCTAGGCTCGCAGCTCTGGCAGTTGTCAGCTAATGTGCAGCTTGTCTTATTATCCACTGGGCTGTCTCTTCCACATGATAGCCATAGCATTCTACAGGCAACAAAAGTTGAACCTAAGACCTCTTGAAGCCTGGGCTCATAACTCGTACATCTTGTACCTCATCATTTTTACTATATTTGATGTATTAAGGAAAGTTATAAGGTCAGTCCCAGATTTAAAGAGTGGAGAACTAGACTCCACCATTTGATGAGAGTTACTGAAAAGTATTGTAACTATTTTTGCAATCCAAAACTCTAGGCACACTAGAATATATAATCAGCCTTCATTTTCTGAAACTTGGAAATCTAAAAGAAGTACAGTTTCTTTCCAAATACCACAAAACAAAGGCTATGCTACTGCCCTGTGACTTCAAATACAGGTCTTAGAATTATGAAAACATCTTTGAAAGCCAGAACAGGACCTCAAAATGCTAAAAAGGTTATATAAAATGAACCCTCTGCGTTGTTAATAAAATAATCCTGTAAACCCTCCCTAAGTCATCCACATTCTCAAAATGCAGTAGGTACCTTTAAAGCCAGATATTTCAATCAGGCCTATTTACTCACAATACTGGTCAAACAGAAGGTATTTGCCTGTTCTTGATCTTTTGCCCCAGTCTCTCACGCTGCCTCTGCAGGCAGATACTCTCATAGCTCATGGATTCTTATCTTTGGAAGGGACATGTTGATCACAGTTGCAAAATTTTTCATCACAAATGGACCATTAATTAGTTCTGTGTAGCTTTGCCCATTTTTTCCTAAGGAAATTAAAAGCAGTTCAGATGGAACTCGGAGCATCACTTAAATGGGAAGGATGTGCCAAGTCCAGGGATCTTATGACGTCACAAGTTCTTAACTTCAGTGCTCTTCTGGCATTTTCACCTGCCTCCTTTGGCTCAAAATATAAGCTGTCCACTAGTCCACATGGTAACCAGGTCTTCACCTCTCCCTGCACCCAGTCAAATCTCAATGGACCAAGTTGTAAGGGGAATCTTTATGTGTTATTTTATTTATTTATTATTATTATTCATTTTGTGTTTTGTTTGTTTGGTTGTTTGTTTGTTTTGAGATGGAGTTTCACTCTTGTCTCCCAGGCTGGAGTGCAATGGTGCATTCTCAGCTCACTGCAACCTCCGCCTCCCAGGTTCAAGCGATTCTCCTGCCTCAGCCTCCTGAGTAGCTGGGATTACAGGCGGCAGCAACCACACCCAGCTAATTTTTGTATTTTTAGTAGAGACAGGGTTTCACCAAGTTGGCCAGGCTGATCTCAAACTCCTAACCTCAGGTGATCCATCCACCTCGGCCTCCCAAAGTGCTGGGATTACAGGTGTGAGCCACCGCGCCTGGCTGGAATCTTTATTTTTAAAAGCTCTTGAAAGTATCTTGCTGAGTTATTAAGTTGGGGACACACAGATATTATCAACAAGTTTATATTTGAACCTAAATCTTTTATTTAATCTTTCTCCAAATGACATTAAGGAACCTAAACAAAGAAGCAAGAAAAAACCAAAGAACCCCATCAAAAAGTGGGCAAAGGACATGAATAGCCAATTCTCAAGCAAAGATATACAAACAGCCAACAAACATATGAAAAACTGCTCAGCATCACTAATTATCAAGGAAATGCAAATTAAAACCAAAATGAGATACCACCTTACTCCTGCAAGAATGGCCATAATTAAAAAATCAAAAGATAATAGATGTTGGTGCAGATGTGCTGAAAAAGGAACACTTTTACACTGCTGGTGGGATTGTAAATTAGTACAATCACGATTGAAAACAGTATGGAAATTCCTTAAAGAACTAAATGTAGAACTACCATTCGATCCAGCAATGCCACTACTGGGTATCTACCCAAAGAAAAAGAAGTCATTACATGAAAAAGCCACATGCACAAGCATGTTCATAGCAGCAGAATTTGTGATTACAAACATATGAAACCAACCTAAATGCTCATCAACCAACAAGTGGATTAAAAAATGTGGTATGTATACACCATAGAATACTACAGAGCCATAAAACAGAATGTAATAATGGCCTTTGCAGCAACTTGGAGCTGGAGGACATTATTCTAAGTGAAGTAACTCAGGAATGGAAAACCAAACATTGTGTGTTCTCACTTATAAGTGGGAGCTAAGCCATGAGGATGTACAGGCTTTCAGTACTTGTGGGGAAGAGTGGGAAAGGGGTCAGGGATAAGACTACGCATTGGATACGGTGTACATTGCTTGGGTGACGGGTGCACCAAAAACTCAGAAATCACTACTACAGAACTTATCCATGTAACCAAAAACCACCTGCACCCCAAAAGCTATTGAAATAAAATAAAGATAAAAAACTTTGTAAAAGAAAGAAACTATAATGTATAGATTATTTTCTAAGAAGAAAGAAATTATTATTTTGGTTTCTCTGAAACACTTTTACTAGAAAAAAAAATTCGCATCACTGACTAAAGACATTCTTGTAGTCAAACACCTGCTTCCTGTAAATTAGAACAGTTTCTTAGGGATATAGCTGACAGATGCCACTTTTATGTAGTGAATCTTCAAAACTGGTACATTATTCTCTTGAAAAGAAGGCTGAAATGTATAAAAATGAACAATAGCAACTACAGAATACATGGAAAAGAAAATTCCTGCTCAATCAGACATAAACTAATGGAGAGCAAAATCTGTGCAAAGAGCAAGATTTGCTCTTGCTTCTTCTTTCCTTTGTGTGCACCAAACACTATTAAAGTAGTAATGGTGGCAACAACTATGATTATCAAATCCTCCACTAGGTGCCAGGCCTTTCACTAAGCACTTTAGTTGCATTCATCTATTAAATCCTCAGAAAACTATGAGGTAGCAATGTTAGCCCCACTTTAAAGATAAAGAATCTGGAATGTTAAGTAACTTGTCCAAAGTCACACAGCAGATAAGAGACAGAACTGAGATTGGAACCAGGTTGTCATCCTCCAAAGCCCATAAAGGTCAACCATTGCTACAACGTACCATGGAATATGATGACTAGAGGTAGAGCAAAGGAGGAAAAGGTGACAGGATCTGAAAACATGCTCATGGTTTCTCAACCTATGCTTAGTAATAACTACAAATTTGACCTCTAACTTTTGGATTCTCCCAAAACCAATCATCAATCCACAATGCAGGTGAGTATATAATATTCAAATACCTACATGTTTAAATATATGCTTCCACTTGAAAGTGAAAGAAACATCATGTTCCATAATACATTCATTTTCTAATCCTTTATACTTAACATTATTAAGCTAAAGTGTGAATTTTCATTATATTTTTAGGGAGATTTTAGTTGTTCATTTTTGTTTCCATATCTTATTCAGATTTGTCAATAAGATGAACATATATTTGCTGCTAAATCAATAAAAAGTAATAGCACTCAGGGGCTGCCAACCATGTGAACAAAAATCTCTAGCAGGAATTAACTGATAAATTCAATTGACTGGATCTCATTCAAGGGGGCAAAGAGGAAACAATGCAACTCTTCCTCTCCCACATAACATTATATGAATCTTCCTGCAAGAAAAAGAACATTTCACCAATTTGCCAAGTATTTGAGTTTTTTCACAACCAGTGTAGCAAAAGTTAGCTGTATGCATTATCCTTAATTTAAAATAATTTTATATAAATGTGATTTATGCCTCAATTGGCAGTAAATGGCAGATGTAATATATATATATATAATACACCTCTTATTTTTCTTTGCTTCTGATCTTATATATTTTAAATGAGAATTTTTCGTTTTAAATTTCAACAGCAAATGCTTTGTTTTGTTAGATATACATTGTTTCCAAGAAATAAAACATTTAAATATCTATTATCTTTATTTTCTCCTGAGTATTAGACACAGAGTTTCTCTCCCACTATTAGATAAGATTTATATTCAATTATAGTGTTAAGAATTATCTAAATTTATTTTAGGTACAGTTTAAAAATCAAATTTAATCATTTTCTAGATACCATAAGATTGTCTTCTGGTCCAGATATTTGAAGGTATCTAGATAAAAGTCAAAGTAATAGGACTATATATTTTACGGGAGTGTGCTGTTAATTCCATAACACCTCTAGAGTCATTCTATTTGTTTATAAGACCAAAAGGAAGTGGAAAGAGAGGTACAGGACCAATTGGCTCAGCTATCATTGGTTTAGAGATCTGTGCCTATGTCTTAGTAAAGTGGTAAGTTTCATAGTGAATGCGAGCCCTACCTGAAATCCATACATGCTAGCTATATCTGAAGAGAGGGCAAAACCAGAGGTGAGGATTTGCATGGTAGGAAGATTAGATGGGTCCCAACAAAACTCACAGAGGATGTCATTTTTCATCCAAATGCTATGTTTAAATCAGTTCCTAATAACTGTTAGTAGAAAAAGATAAAAGTGTATCTTTTTCCTTCAAACAACTTGATAAAACCCCATATTAACATCCAAACAGAGTTTCAGGTATGTCAGGAAGCCCACTTTAAAGAAATACTTAAGAAGCAGATCTTCATTCAGTCCATTTGGACCACAAGGCCTAAGAATTCCCTTTGTGGGGCTAAAATAACTAAGACGAGCTGTCTACATTAATCAAACTACATAAGAAATGGGCAAGAGTCTACTATGTGCTGTGTAAAGACAGACACTGACAACTAAAGCTAGGGAGTTTTAATGAGGAGACTTAATTAAGATACACATCATCTTCAGAAATATGAGTCTTTAATTTTCAGAAAATCACCGCCAACCTTAGCTCATCTGTGCTAATTAGCAAAGACTGGGAATTCAGAAAATCAGGCTCTTAGGGAAAGGTGTGCTAAAGAGAGACTTTACAGAGCACTACCCAGATAGTATACTGTTGTAACTCTGATCCTATCATAGAGACTTTTGTAGATTTTGGCAGGAACAGGATTTTAAATATACCTGGCTAAATTGCCCATGAAGCACATTGTTCCCTAAACATCCTGACACTTGGGAATCTCAAGAACACCAGAGACAAGGACTCATTATGCCCTGTGGCTGTTCTACCAATTGTTGAATAGCTCAATTTAATTGAAAGTATAGTCTTAGGCTAAGCCAAATCTGTCTCTTTGAAGTTTTCATTTACCGTTTAACTCTTACTCTCTGAAATTATGCAGATGAAAACTAACCCACGTTTCCATGTCTCTCTCTGTTAGATTTTTTCTTTTCCAACAGAATTCTCTGTTTTTTCCATTGTTTTTTGATAACTCCATTACAGACCTTACCACTATCCTGGGCAGCCTCCTGGAAGAAAGCCAGTTGCTGTCCTTCTTAAAAGTTGGTGCCTCAAAGTGTGATCTACTCAATGTGTCATACAGGAGAACTTTGCCTCTGGTCCTCTGGACAATTAAATTCTTTAACTGCTACCTAAGTTTGCATTAACATTTTGGCAGTTACAGCATGCTATTGGCTGGTTTTGAACTTGCAATCAAAAAACACCTGTCTTTTTTTATGAACAACTGTTGAGCTAGGTTCCTCTATATTTTGTGCTTCAGCAGTTGATTTTTAATTTAAGTCCAAATTTATTTAGTCTCTATTAAACAAATGACCAATGTCCACTTGCAGAAAAGTTAGAAAATATGGCAAGATAAGCAAGATGAGCAAGCATAAAAATTAAGTATAAATCGTCGTTATATTCCCAACATTTGAAGATAACCACTCTTAACATTTTGATATATACTTATCAGTATGTTTTTCTGTGCATACACACAATGGCTGTTGGGTATTTATGTGTATTTTTGTGCACACATACATGGAATGTAATTATTTATACTCTTATGTACTTGTCATTTTCTGTAAATGCTATAAAAATATTAGTATATATTTTCATTTAAAATTGCCTCAAGAATTTCATTTTTACATGTGTTATTATTTCATTTACTATGGCTGTGTAATAAACCACTACAAAATATAGTGACTTAACAACATTTATTTTGCTCATAATTCTGCAATTTTGCAGACTCAGCAACTTGTCTCTGTTCTATTAAACTAGCTGTAGTGGCTTAAAGAGTGGAGGCTTGAATCAGTTGTGAAATCTACAGTGGCAACATACTCCCCATCTTCCCTTTTCTCTAGTGGAACCCTAGTGCTTCTCTTGTAGCCTTAAAAACTTTTAAAAAAAAATAGAATGGAGGCTGAAATCATCTGAAATCTCTCGTATTACTAGCAGATGCTAGCTATTAGCAGGAACCTAAGCTAGGGATGTCTGTTACAACACTTCCTTGTGACCTTGCCACATCACCTGGGCCTTCTTAAACATGGTAGCTGGGTTTCAAAGGAGAAATACCCCAATAAAGAGAGAGCCAAGTGGAAGTCATGTTGCCTTTTTTGATGAACTTTAAAATCACCCTACGTCACTTTCATTATAGTCTATTCATTGAGGGAGTCACAAAGTCTTGCCTGGGTTCAAGGGGAAGAAAAATAGACTCAAACTCTAAATGGGAGTGTGGTAAGGTTGAGGTTGCGCATATGAGACTGAAAATACTGTGATGGCTAGTTTTGGAAAATATTGTCGCTGCAGCTGTAACTCATTTATGCTACTTAATATTGTTTAAAATTTTTACCTTTAGAAAAAATACTGCAAAGCAGTCTCTACATGTCTGAGTATTTGTGCAATTATTTCCTTGGGATACATTCTGAAAACAGTGATTACAGGGTCAAAATTTACACACATTTTTAAGGCTTTTGACAGATACCGGCAACTTGTCATTCAGAAACAACGGAAATTTCTATCCCAGTCATGAGCCTATGAACAAAAAGTCCCATTTCCCAGCTACCATTTAAACACTAGCTATTATTAGACTTGTTAATATTAGCCAGTCCTATCTTATTGTTATTTACTTTTTAATTTCTTTTAGTACTAGTATATTTGAATATTTTTATATGTCTATTAGTAATTTGTATTTCTTTAGAAGTTGTTTTCATTCAATTTCCTACAGTATGTACTCTCTGAGACTTATATCTTTATCTTTGAACATATCTCATGGATATAACTCCTAAGTATTTTATAATTTAGATTATTATTGTTAATGAGCTACATTTTTCATAGTAGGTTATATTTGTTTCTTGATAGTACATAGGAAAACTATTATTTTTAACAATTCTTTCTTATCCAGCCCCTCACTGAATGATTTCAAATCTAATTGTTTTCATTTTGAATCCTCTGCGTCCTATATATGCAATCAAATTATCTACACCAAATATATTAATAGCATTGTCTTCACTTTCCCAGTATTCAGATAATTTATACGTTATGTTAGAATGTTTACAATATATATTTTAGTCTGAATATCTAAAGCAATGCTAAATAATAATGAAGATAATACACTTCTACTTTTATTTTTTAATGCATGAGTTAATGAGAATGCAGCTAGAATTTCACCCGTGCAAAATAAAAATTCTTACTGTGCTCATTTCCTTCTGTTCTTCATAAGTTTTTCTTCTATTCCCAGATTATTAACCATAAATGCCATTTTAATTTCTTTGACATATGATTCACAAACCATATCATTCTCTTTTGTAGTATACAATTAAATGGTTTTAGTATAGTTTGGTACAAAAGTAATTACAGTTTTTGCCATTTAGAGTGAAACTGTGAAACTGATTCCATTAAGACTCCTTTTCTTTATAAATTACCCAGTCTCAGGTATATCTTAATCAGCAGTGTGAAAACAGACTAATACAGTCTCTAAAGTTGGAAATACTGGACTGAATTAAATGATAAAGTATTTATGTGAAATGTTCAGAGTAGACAAATTACTTTTAATGGCAAAAACCATAATTACTCTTGCACCAACCTAATATATTGACAAAGTTGTGCAACCATCACCATTATCTACTTCCAAGACATTTTTGTCACTACAAAAATAAACCATTAATTGGTAGTCACTTCCCATTCCCCACATCCCTCACCCCTTAGCAATCTGTAATCTACTTTCTATCTGTATGGATTTGTCTATTCTGGACGTTTCATATAAATACTTTCTCACTTAATTCAGTCCAGTATTTCCCACTTTATAGGCTGTATTAGTCCATTTTCATACTGCTGGTTAAGATATATCTGAGACTGGATAATTTATAAAGAAAAAGAGTCTTGTTTGACTCACAGTTTCACGTGGCTGGAGAGGCCTCACAATCATGGCAGAAGGTGAAAGGCATGTCTTACATGGTAGCAGGCAAGACAGAATGACAGCCAAGCAAAGGGGGAAACCCCTTATAAAATCATCAGATCTCATGAGACTTATTCACTACCACGAGAACAGTATGGAGAAAACTGCCCCCATGATTAAATTATCTCACACTGGGTCCCTCCCACAACATATGGAGATCATGGGAGCTAAAATTCAAGATGACATTTGAGTGGGGACACAACCAAACCATATCATTCCACCCTGGTTCCTACCAAATTTCATGTCCTCACATTTCAAAACAAATCATGCCTTGCCAACAGTCCCCCAAAGTCTTAACTCATTTCAGCATTAACTCAAAAGTCCACAGTCTAAAGTCTCATCTGTGACAAGGCAAGTCCCTTCTGCCTATAAGCCTGTAAAATCAAAAGCATGTTAGTTACTTCCTAGATACAATGGGGGTGCACACATTGGATAAATATAGCCATTCCAAATGGGAGAAACTGGCTAAAATGAAGGGGCTAAAGGCCCCATGCAAGTCTGAAATCTAGTGGGGCAGTCAAATCTTAAAGCTTCAAAATGATCTCCTTTGACTTCATGTTTCACATCCAGGTCATGCTGATACACGACGTAGGTTCCCATGGTCTTGGGCATCTCTGCCCCTGGGGCTTTACAGTCTCCCTTCCAGCTGCTTTGAGTGTCTGCACCTTTTCCAGGTGCACAGTACAAGCTGTCAGTGGATCTACCATTCTGGGGTCTGGAGGACCATGGCTCTCTTCTCATAGCTCCACTAGGCAGTGCCCCAGTTGGGACTTTGTGAGGGCATCAACCCCACATTTCCCTTCCGCATTGCTCTAGCAGATGTTCTCCATGAGGGCCCTGCCCCTACAGCAAACTTCTTCCTAGATATCCAGGTGTTCCCATACAGCCTCTGAAATCTAGGCGAAGGTTCCCAAACCTCAATTCTTGACTTCTGTGCACCTGCAGGCTCAACACCACATGGAAGCTGTCAAGGCTTAGGGCTTGCACCCTATGAAGCCACAGTCCGAACTGTATCTTTACTCCTTCTAGCCATGGTTAGAATGGCTGGGACACAGCTGGTCAGGCACGGTGGCTCACGCCTGTAATCCCAGCACTTTGGGAGGCTGAGGCAGGCGGATCATGAGGTCAGGAGATCGAGACCATCCTGACTAACACGGTGAAACCCTGTCTCTACTAAAAATACAAAAAATTAGCCGGGCGTGGTGGCAGGCACCTGTAGTCCCAGCTACTCAGGAGGCTAAGGCAGGAGACTAGCACAAACCCAGGAGGCAGAGTTTGCAGTGAGCCAAGATTGCACCACTGCACTCCAGCCTGGGTGACAGAGCAAGACTCCATCGCAAACAAACAAACAAAATGCGACTTCTCATTAGTTATGCAAATTTCTGCAGCAGGCTTGGATTTCTCCTCAGAAAATGGGTTTTTATCTTCTATCATATCATCAGGCTGCAAATTTCCCAAACTTTTATGCTCTGTTTCCCTTTTAAAATTGAATGCTTCTGTTACCTTTTGAATGCTTGGCTGCTTAGAAATTTCTTCTGCCAGATACCCTAAATCATCTCTCTCAAGTTCAAAGTTCTACAAATCTCTAGGGTAGGGGCAAAATGCCACCAATCTCTTTGCTAAAGCATAGCAAGAGTCACCTTTACTCCAATTCCCAACAAGTTCCTCATTTCCATCTGAGACCACCTCAGCCTGCATTTCATTGTCTATATTATTATCAGCATTTTGTTCAAGCCATTCAACAAGTCTCTAGGAATTTCCAAAGTTTCCTACATTTTCCTGTCTTCCTATGAGCCCTCCAAACTCTTTCAACTTCTGCCTGTTACCCAGTTACAAAGTCACTTCCATATTTTTGGGTATCTTTACAGCAGTGCCCCACTACCTGGTACCAATTTACTATATTAGTACATTTTCACATTGCTGATTAAGACATAACCAAGACTGGGTAATTTATAAAGAAAAAAACGATTTAAAGACGCACAGTTCCACGTGGCTGGGGAGGCCTCACAATCATGGCAGAAGGTGAAAGGCACGTCTTACATGGTGGCAGGCAAGAGACAATAGAGCCAAGCAAAAGGGGAAACCCCTTATAAAACCATCAGATTTCGTGAGATTTATTCACTACCATGAAAACAGTATGGAAGAAACTGCCCGAGTGATTCAATGATCTCCAACTGGGTCCCTCCCACAACAAGTAGGAATTATGGGAGCTATGATTCAAGATGAGATTTGGGTAGAGACATAATCAAACCATATCAGAGACTTTTCTGAATTCTAATTCTATTCAAATTATATGACTAGATGAATGTTGATAGCTTTATAAGTATGCCTCTATGTCTTAAGTTACTAATATATTTTAAACACAAAAGTCCCAATTATTTGCTCAACTTCTATGTAGGAACCATTTGTTACATTTGCATAACAAGCTCACAATTTGCTCATTTCTAGAACTATGTTGCCTGCATATCTCTATTTTGCCTTTAAATATGTAGTGAAAGACTAAGTGATTAGCTAAACACATGATACGCTGTTTCTGCTATGCCAACCAAAACCTTGCCAAATGACAAAACTAGGGGGTTTTGGCAAAGTTTATTCTAAGTAATTACATAGGAACTCATATTAATCAATGTACCCTTCTCTGTATGGGAATAAATCACCCCTTTCATAACGCAATCCAGACTCTTTCACTAGTATTAACCGCAAGCCTACTAACTCATGGTTTTCAGAACAAAGCGTTTTTAAAACAAATCATTCAAGTTTTTCCCTTCCTCTAAACTCTGTAATCTTTCCTTTTTTCACAGTATCTAAAAAAGTCACAGACAATGTGGCAATTGCTAAATCTCAACTTTAGTGTCTGCTTTGTAAACACTACAGCCTAGCTGAAGAAGCAATGAAAGGGAGAACAGTATAATTCACATTCATCTATCAAGTTGCTGGTGGTTCTCAAGACATAGTTTATGGAAACTTTCATATTGAATTTTATTATAATTAATAATTCAATTTAGCTTTCTTCTCCCAATTTGGTTGCTATAAATTATCATGAAAAAGAGTCATGGACTAATAACATGTTAGGTAAAATTTTCATTAGTATCTACATGCAGATTTATAATTAATATGGTCATAGGATCATAAACATTTGTGAAATCTTGTTGAGGGCATGCATAAGCAAATCTGCAAATATGTAAACAAGGACACCTTTACCTGATGTGAAGTTCATGAATGTTTCATGGATTCTTGAGTGACAGAAGCTTTCAGGAACAGTGTTTCTCTGATTTCCATTGCCTGCAAACAGGATACACTGGTAAAAATTTATTGCAAGTTTTGTCTCTCACCATCTAATTAATGAGAAATGAATGTAAACCTGAGTATATTCAACCACTGAAGAAAATTAAAAAGATACTAACTACTAAAGAGAAAAAAATTTGTAATAGCTTATATAAGACCAACTTTGTTGTTTATTAAATTATCTGTATTTACAGAAATCTGTTAAGATAAATATAAGCCTGATGGTGAACTAAATGTTTTATTTTCTATTTATGAATATGATGGACAGGAACTGCTACAAAACAGAAGAAAGGTAAATTCTTAAAATATTCAATTCTAGAATGTGTCCATGACATTTTGTGCCTTATGCCACAAAATGAATTATTCATAGAATATTGATAACTATGTTATACACAGTGGATTGAAGCATTGAGCTGGAAGATGGAAGATTTTAAGTCTCATTTTGGCTCTCCAACTAACCATGTGTCCCTGGACAATACATTCATTCATTCATCCACTCAGTAAAATTTTTGAAACTTCTGCCATGTGCTATGTACTCTACCAGGCAATAGAATATAGTAATTAACAAAAGAGAAAAATGTCCCTGATTTCAAAAAGCTTAAGTCCAGTCATTTACCCTCTATTCAAGACTTTTACTTTCTAGTCAAGACACACAATTTCTTTGTCTCAAGTGTTCTCATTTATAAAATGAAAAAATTGGATTGCAGTATTTATAATATCCTATCAAAGACTCCTGAGTCTTCATCAATAAAACATGTGTTTCACTCATGTCCTCAGTAATGACTGTAGGTTGTCCTGAGTTGTCTGTATACCAGGTTTCAAGATCTCCACATGATCACTAGCAACTATTTCTTCAGCAAATTGACATTTTTGTTATGTGGTCTATCAATACACCATCACAATTCTTGCTGAACAACACGGGTGTCCATTCCATAAGCACAACCTCTTGAAGTTTCATTTCAAAATTCAAAGCATTCCAACCAATGTGGATAAGTTACATCTGTGAGTGTGAGGAGACAGCGTTTTCCTCTAGCTTCAGGGTGTTCTGATAAAAGTATGGGAGGCTGGAGCATGTGGCTTGTTCTCTCCAAAAGTAAGCATCTTTATCTACTGCCCTTCAAGTACTGCATGTATATATCATTTTCTAGGTGTGCCATGACGTAAAAGAAATTGGTAAGTATTGATCTATCCAATCAAGTTATAAAATTTAAAATGCTAATATTACAATTTAGATAAAGATATAAGTAAATTAAAGAACAGAAGAAAAACAGGAAAAAGGGTATGGTCAAGTTCTAAAAAGTCTTTTGTATCACCAAAACAAACTTATTGTTATATGAATAATATTGAAACCAATAGATCTTAGACTTCAAGGAGTATAAAATTACACATAAATATGACATTTAATTTAAAGTGAAGTGGGAACCTTTTGAAAAATCTAATGGAAAGCTATAAATTCATCATTTCACTTTATCAGGCAGTATCACCTACCCATTTATTTAATATGTTTATAAATATAATGATCTAAAGTGCCTATAGATGCTATATTTGTAAATTCAATTAATACATATTGCAAAACTAAATCCCACTGATTGTATATGGAGCCCTAAGGGAACAATATTTTAAAGCTTTCTTCTTCTCACTTAAATATAAATAAATAAGTTAGATCAAAGTCCTGATTTATCCAAGTCCTGTTGATCCAACAACCCCTCCAGTTGCTCAGATCTGTTGACCTCCCCATTTGCAGCCATTGCTGTAAGTCAAGCTTTCATATCTGTCATCTAATGTACCTCCTCATTGTTTCAAAAATGCATCTCTATCCTCTGCAAGACATTTTAAAGGAACCTCTTTGCCTACATAATGATTTGCACTGAAGGAATGTAAAAACTACAATAATCTCAAATTGTTTTAGGAGAGATTTGTTACATATTTCAAATGGATTTTCTTTAAAAGTATGTAACACTGGTCAGCCAAATAAAGTCTAAATTTCTTTGTATGGCATGCAAGATCCATCCTGATCTGGACTCAGCAAATCTCTTTAGTCTCATCTTCTCCCATCCCTATTTCAAACAATTCTAAACTGTCCATAGTTCTTCCAAGCATTGGTGCATCAAATACTGGGTGCATTTGAACATGCCTTTCTTTTGCCTATAATCACCTATCTCCATTTGTGATATTCTTCAATTGTATTTCTCACATAATCACAGATAAAGTTAATCATTTCTCCCATGTTTTACATCTGCTGCTCTTATAACAGAGTTAAAAGTATGTGTATGTCCATCTTATCTACCAAACTAGGCTCTCTTTGAGTATATAGATTGTGTATTGCATGTTACTCACCAGCATATATTAGGTAGACAATAAATATTTATTAAATTAGAGAAAACTCTTTCCTATAAAGGTATTCATAATATTCTTTGCAGCCTTGGAAATCAAATTATAGTTAAGGATTCTTATAACACTATATGTCAACTTGAAAAAATATTACAAGATTAATAACATATTAGCTCAGTGTAATAAAAGAAGAATTTGCAGTTACAAAGCCTATATTCAAAATTACCTTATCATTTTCAGCAATGACAGTGAAACAGTCAGTGTGCTAAGTAGTGAGAATTGAAAAATAAATAAGAAAGGATCACTAGAATCTTCAATTCAAAAATGTATGTGGTCATCTATATTTATGATGTCTACTCAAACTTTACTCAAATACTTATGAAAATACTTATGAAAAAATGATAGTTTCACGATTACCAATTATTAGGACTAATAAAAAT
This sequence comes from Homo sapiens, assembly GCF_000001405.40. Lineage (NCBI taxonomy): Eukaryota > Metazoa > Chordata > Mammalia > Primates > Hominidae > Homo > Homo sapiens. Next base: position 125,017,558 of record NC_000007.14, on the reverse strand, counting down.
CAATATCAGTATCTAGAATGAAATGAATATGAACTGATAAATTTTCACTGTCAGTTAATGTCATATCTTGCCGTTGTTTCACAAAATAAATTCAGTCTGCAATAACATGGAATATGCTTTAAGTTTCTGAGAAAAATTATTTTAAATTTAAATTCTATACCTATCAATAACAGGAAAGCCATCTCTAAAGGAAGCTCCTGGCAAACTAGCTAAAATCATCTTTATTAAAAGTAAACTTTGTGCAAAGAGAACTTTCACTTCCCAATATTTCCAGGAAAAACAAGCATCAATACCTCTTCTGAAGGCACCAACATGATTCATATTTCTGAATCAATCACTGTGGCCAAGAAAATTAAATGAGTTAGTTAGTCAGACAGGTTACATCTCCATCCATGAAGAGACAGCAGTAAGGTCAAGAGGTCACACATACCTAAACCCCATGGACTAACAGTGGGCCCTTCCAAGTATAATCAGGTTACTGGTATATGAAGAAAATAAAAGAGATGCTGAAAAAAAAATTAAAATGCAGGTTCACTATAGAATAAGGATGGAGAAAACCTCAAAATCAGTATTAGTCTATGATCTCCCTTCAACATTATTCTTTACTAAGAATATGTTGATTATTGTGCTATCAGGTGTTCTAGATATGGCAAATAATATCTTATTATAATTATGAATACAGGTTTGACCTCATAGACTCCATGGAATTACATTAAAAAGCTTCAGGAATACATAAACTATTTTTTGAGAGCCACAGTTTTAGATAATGCTTCTCAAATTTTAATGTCTATATAAATCACCTTGGGATTCTGATAAAATGTAGACTGTAATTTAGTTGGTCAGAGATGGGACCTAAGACTCTTCATTTCTAGGAAGTTCCCAGGCAATATCAATGCTGCTAGTTCATGGACGACTCTTTGAGTGGCAAAACTTAAACAATGAGGACACAATCGACTCACATAAATGAAACTCCAGAGGCAGAGAATAATTCATGATGGGTTTACTCTGGGATTGTTTTCTCTCTTCTCTCTCTGTCTCTCTCTGTCTTTCTTCTCGCTGCCATTCACAGTGTCACTTTTGTTCTAAGGCTGATATCATCTTTAATCATAAGACATCTGCAAGAAATATTCATGTCCAGCAGGAAAGAACTCTTCTCACCCTCAGTGAATCAGAGGCTTGAGCCTATATTCCCTGAACTTCTCTTGAAACAGTTCCTGCAGACGGAAAAATGCCACATGCTGAATGATTGGCTCAGATGGCTGGGGTACCTGAGCCATTACGGCAGAAGCAACTGATTTACTAATTAACTGAAAAGCGAAATGGTGAGATATAACATTTAGCCAACAAATTATACTTCAATTTAGCATAAAATATAAGGAGATAACATGTATGAAATAAATATTGAGAAACAAGAAAAACAGATATGGAAATGACAAACAACACAAAAAAAGAAAGGAATAGAGTGAATAAAGAGATGGTATGTTAAAGAATTAGATTAAAAACTAATCTTCTAAGAAATTTAAGACAGTGCTAGAAAATGGAGGGGTAATTGTAAAATTGTATAAAGTTAAACACTTTTTTAATGTTTAAGAAAAATGAGGTATATAAAATGCAGCAAACAATAAAGGAGGAGAAAATATGACAAATAGAAAATACAAAATAAGACCAAAGATATGGGAGAGATTTAATATTTTACATGACAGGAATCTTGAAAATAAAGCAACAGAAAAGGAAAGTGATACATCCTCATGTTATTTTCAGTACACTTTTGTACTTTGATTTTTAAATAAAGTACATTTTAAAATAACAGTTTCTTAAAATACCAATAAGATGGAGAAAATATAAAATATTTTATGCTTTTTAGCAAAAATGTAGTATCTAAGAATAAGTGAAAAACCTACAGAATAAACATCACAAAATTATACCAAATGTCTAAAACAGAACTTAAACAAATGGAAAGCATTTCATGTTCAGAGCTGCAAAAAAAGGATATTAGAAAGTTCTTTTCACAATAATGTCATTTTTGTAAATAACCCTCAGGACTCTGTCAAACTTGGTAAAATGGTAGCAATTTTTGAAAGAATAATATAACAGAACAACATAATAACATAATATGAATGGAACAAAACAATAGACAATTTTGAAAACTACATCAAATGATTACAATCTTAAGTTACCAGGTATTGTAAGATCTTAACAAACTGTGTAGAACACACATATGGGGAAATATTAATGGAACGAATGGAAATTCCAGAAGCAGATTTATTTAGTGTTTGCTAAAAGAGGCATTTCTAAATCTCAGTATAAGATTGGATGATTAAACAACTCTTTTTGTAACAGCTGGTCAAATCATTAGAAAAATGATTAACTTTCTTATATTATTTAGAGAAACAAATTCCAGAGATTTTCCAATGAACTAAAAGTACCAAAAAAATTCTAGGCATTTCAAGCAGGGGGAATTTAATATAGGGAATTGGTTTTTCCAGTCATGAAACAGCTAAAAGCCAAAAGCGTGATACAAAATGTAGCAACAAAATAAAGCTGTTATTACTCACTTGTGATTAGTGGATAAAGAGGGGTGGCAGTCTTACCAAGGCCTAAGATCCAAGATAAAGGAAAGAGTACCAAGAAGAGATTGTTGTGTTAACTTTAAAAAATTAATTTTCTATATGGCAAAAAATGTCAACAATCAAAATGAGGCTAATAAAATGGATAAAAATATTTGTAATATATGTAATATCTTTAATATGTTAAGAATTGTAAAGAAAATTTGCAAAAGAAGAAATGTAAAAAATTACTTTTCCATGTTCAATCTTATGCACTAGAAATAAAATCATGCAAATTAAATCAGAGAAGATTGTATTAACTGAATGAATATTATGCTGATTTAAAATCAATAAGCACAACAAAATGTAGACATGGGATTTTTTTCATAGTAGATGTACTTTTATTTTTTAGGGTATAAAGATATTTAATCCTAACAGGATATTGAAAGGGAAAAACTCCAAGTTCACTTTGTAAATAATGATCTTAAGCCTGGAGACTGAAGCTGGAGACTCTGTCTCAAAAAAATTTTTTTAAATTTAAATTTAGAAATAAAGTTCACACCTTTGGCTTCCCAGTATAGACAGTATATAGAGCTGATCTTCTGATCTTCTAGCCAGGGTCTCTGCAGTTCCTACATCTAGTTGTAAATTCAGTTTTTCTGATTGATGCTTAAACCTTCTTTAGTACTTTCAGGATGATGATCACGGTGATTCCAAGATGGTGATCATAGCTTCATTCCCAAGATCTGAGGGTTGCAGTAGTCTTTCCTTAATCCCTAGCACTGGTTGTTGCAAGTACCATGAGAGTTTCCAAAGAATCAGTTGAGTTTCATCCATACTTCTTCCTGCCCGTATTGTGTATCAATATCCTATTTTTAATTAATACTCTAGGTTAACACTTCAGCACTCATGGTAACACTATCCTTTTGTTGATATGTACTACAGTAATTCTATTTAAGCCCATTTAATCCAAAATAAATATCTTTCTTAGCTTTTAGTGTTTTTTATTGTTGTGGTTTTGTTTTGTTTTGTTCTGTTCTGTTTTTGAGACAGAGTTTCGCTCTTGTTGCCCAGGCTGTAGTGCAATGACGTGCGAACTCGGCTCATTGCAACCTTCACCTCCCGGGTTCAAGCAATTCTCCTGCCTCAGCCTCCCAAGTAGCTGGGATTACAGGAGCCCACCACCATGCCTGGCTAATTTTTTGTATTTTTAGTAGAGATGGGTTTCACCATGTTGGCCAGGCTGGTCTCAAACTCCTGACCTCAGGTAATCCACCCACCTCGGCCTCCCAAAGTGCTGGGATTACAGGTGTGAGCCACTGCACCCAACCTAGTTTTTAGTTTTATAAGTACATACCAGGTGTGTATATATATATATATATATATGGAATATATGAGATATATTTAGTTGCAGACATACAATACATAATAACATCAGAGTAAATGGGGTGTTCATTACCTCAAGCATTTATCATTTCTTTGTGTTACAAGCATTCCAATTATACTCTTTTAGTTATTTTAAATGTATTTTTGTAGACTGTAATCACTATGTTGTGATATCAAATACCAGATTTTATTCATTCTAATTATATTTTTGGACCCAGTAGCCATCCTCACTTTCCCCCACACTCACTACCCTTCCCAGCCTCTGGTAACCAGCATTCTACCCTCTATCTACAATTCAACACAAACATCTTTTGAGGAATGACAGAATCTGTCCAACTAATTAACCTGCTAGTAGGTAGCTTATTGGACCACTAAAATATAGGGCTCATCAAGTAAGAGCCCATATAGTATCCTGATCGTTCATAAACAAACTGATCACCATTGGATCTACTGAGTCTTAAGGGCTAAGAAGCACAGTGCTTGCACATCACCCTTTTATTGGTCTTGGTGCCTCTAAAGGTGAGTGGTCCTTCAAATCATCAGTCAGATAGGTTTGATAAGTGTATACATAAATGTAATAAACTAGCAACCCTCTTAGCCATCTCCATGTAACTTTCACCTTCTTGCAGAATTAACAAATGCTGTCATACACCCATATACCATTGCTCCCAATGGTATTATTGAATTATTATATGCTTCCCAAAGTTCCATTATATTTATTCTGAAACCTGTTTGTGCTTTCATCTATAACACATAAGTTAGTTAACTATCATGTAAGCTAGTGAAATATGTATGTAAAAAAGGAATTTGACTCTATAAAAACTAAGTTGAATATGTGGAAAGGTCCAAGTAACTTAAATAACTTTATAATCATTTACATATAAGACAATAATAAAAGTGGAGAAAATCTGGATTTCTGTAAAGACCTCCACACTTAAATTTCTTTGAAAGTACTTCTAGTACTCACCCAGTTTATAAAAGCTGGATGTGGTTATGAAAAAATACAATAATAAGCTAACCAAATAGTAATCTAAGCAAATCAAAGGCACAAAGAAAGCCTTTATTCTATCTCAAAATTTGATGAATATACATTTTTACTGTAACTTACTGAATTTTTGCCTCATTGAATTATACAAGTCTATATGTTGTCATCAAAATAAGAAGTGGTCCTACAAGCATTGTGCCTCTTTCTTAAAGTAGGTGATATAAGGTGGAACCACTTGCACTTGGGAAAACATATCTCAATGTATACTCTTACTCACTAGTCTTCCAGAAGCTCCACTGAGGCTGCAGGAACTTAATTTTCATGGTTATTATTCCCTATCCTTTGATACATACTTGTCCTACCTAGGCATCTCGGCATAAACAACTTCTCATTCTCCAGGTATTGTCAGCCTAATGTCATCAGTAGACCAAAGTGACAACCTATAGGATGATGAGATAATTAGTTCCCACAGACTATACCTTTCATGAATCCTTGAGACAAGACTATGAATTTGTATTATTCTCCTTGCTCAATGTAATAAAACTCATTCTGGAGGGTTTTTTTTTTTTTTAGCCATTGGGCAAGATTAAACATTATTTCCAAGGTTACAAATGTGTTTACCCACTATTTACCACAGTTGGTAAAAATTTCCTCAGCAAGGAAATCCACCAGCTTGACAACATTTATAATAATCCACTAACATTATCCAAAATGCATTCATCTTCTGCACCTGCCAAATCAGGTGGTTAAACAGGGACATAATAAGAATCACTAAAACTGCAACTTTTAAGTTTTGATATTACTTTTGATATCATATTGCTTTTGCAAAGAAGAAAAACTCTAGGATCTTCCCTTGCTCCACACTATCCCTTTCTCCTTAAGTCAGGAAACCAAGTGAGGGAGGAGTTTGTCGTTTACTTTAACATTTTGTTGGTTGATAATTTTATTTCTGTCAGTGAGTAAGATTATGAGCAGCCCTGTCTTAGAGAAAACAGTTAATAAATGATTTTTGAAAGATGTTGTCACTCACCATTTATTTCTCATGGCTTACAGGAAGAGAGTGTGGTATTGTTCTTCTTTGGAGATATACTTAGAGGCTAATTCACACAATCTGCTAAAAATTTTAGATTAGTTTTGCTAGTAATGTTAACAAGTTTTACGGGTGGACTTTCATATGGGATTTAAGGGACATACCTAGTAGATAAATATTGTGTCTTTGGCTTGAGAAAGTTTGCAGTTCAGGAGAGAGGGTAGTGGAAACCAATTCCTTTGTTTTGTACATGTAAAATTTTGGATGCCTATTAGATGTTTAAATTTATAGATACAAGTGGCACATTATATAACCTAGAGTTCTGGGATGTTTGGAGCTAAAGATACAAATTTGACAGTCAGTCAAAAGTAGATGGTATTCAGGTATTCAGAGCCACAGGATTGAAAAAAAAATTATCTATGGAGAAAGAAAAAAGAGCCAAAGTTCAATCCCTGGGACATCTATTGTTCAGAAATCAGTCACAAAAGAAACCAGAAAAGTAGGATGAGAAGTAGAAGCCACTGAAGTGTAGTAGTAGAGAAGTTAAGACAATAAGGTGACCCAAGAAATCAATAATGGTTAACCATCTACTGCTGCTGAAAGATGAAGATGAAGACAAAGGAGTTATCAAGAGATTGGTAACATGCAAGAGCTATTTCGCTGCAAAGTTGGAAAAAACAGTTCATTTGGAGTTTATTAAAGTAAAAATGAAAAGGGAGAATAGGGAGACAGTAAAAATAGCTTTTAAAATAAGATGCTGTGAAAAGTTGCAAAAAATTATGGTGGAAATTGAGTAGTGTGTAAAGTCAAAAAAAAGGATAGCTTTTTTTTCTTGTTTGCAATGATAAAGATGTATTTATGCTGACGTAAGCTGAAATTTTAAGTTGTTAAGGCTGAGCAGATGTTGGCCAGATAAGGAGAGAAGAGAATCTCTTCTGAGAGAGTAATGTGTAAGAAAGTGAAAAGAAGCTTAATACAGTCAGTCCTCCATATCCATAAGTATTCATGAATTTGGATTGATTGAACACATTCAGAAAAAAATAAATGGTTGCATCTGTACTGAATATGTACAGACTTTTTTCTTATTCCCTAAATAATACAACAGTGTTTACATACAATTTACATTGTATTAGGTATTATAGATAATGTAGAGATGATTTAAATTATATGAGACAACGTATGTAGGTTATATGCAAATACTTACCATTTTACATAACGGACTTGAGCAACCATGAATTTTGGTATCGCTGAGGGTCCTGGAACTAACCCATTACTGGTTATTTACCCAAAGGAAGGAAAATCAGAATATAAAAAATACCTTCACCCCCTGTTATTGCAATACTATTCACAATACCAAAGACAGAATCAGCCTAAGTGTCCATCAACAGACAAATAGATAAAGAAAACACGGCCAGAAGCAGTGGCTCATGCCTGTAATCCCAGCACTTTGGGGCGGGCAGATCATGAGGTCAGGAGATCAAGACCATCCTGGTTAACACGGTAAAAAAAAAAAAAAAAAAAAAAAAAAAAAAAAAAAAAAAAAAATTAGTTGGGCATGGTGGCCGGCGCCTGTAGTCCCAGCTACTCCAGAGACTTAGGCAGGAGACTGGCGTGAACCCGGGAGGTGGAGCCTGCAGTGAGCCGAGATCGCACCACTGCACTCCAGCCTGGGCAACAGAGCAAGACTCTGTCTCATAAAAAAAAAGAAAGAAAATATGGTATATATACGTAATGGAAAACTATTCAGCCCTAAAAAAAAATTAATGAAATCATGTCATTTGCAGCAACGTGGATGGACCTGGAGGTCATTATGTTAAGTGAAATAAGCCAGGCACAGAAAGACAAACATGGCACGTTCTCACTCATATGCGGGAGTTAAAAAAATGAGTCTCATGAACGTAAAGAATAGAAAAATAGTTAACAAAGGTTTGAAAGAGTGTGTGGATAGCGGAGTGAAGAGTGGTTGGTTAAAGGGTACAAACATACAGAAAGATAGAAGGAATAAGTTCCACCATTTGATAGAAGAGTAGGGTGTCTATAGTAACCAACTATAGTTAACAACAAGGTATTATATATTTCAAAATGGTTCGAAGAGTAGACTTAAAATGCTCCCAACACATAGAAATGATAAATACTCAAAGTGATGAATATCCTAAATACCCTGACTTGATCATTACATATTCTATGCATGTAACAAAATATCACATGTACCCATAAATATGTACAAATATTGTGTCAATCAAATAATTTATAAAATAAAGAAGTAAAAACTAGCGAATTTGCCTAGAGCTCAGAGAGAAGTGTGAGACAAGAATTAGATGTAGGGAGGGATAGTGGTGTGCTCTTATGCCCAGTTTCTTATGCCTGATTTTTGAATTGGCTCTGAGGAAAAAAAGCACAAATTTGCAAATAATTTACAGAGAATAATGAAATGCATAATACTCTGCTATAAATTCTATATAGCAAATTAGTTCTCACAGAGTGATTTTATTGATTTTTGCTGAACTCTTATGTTCTATGACTGCAGTTAACAAGTGTAGCTTTAACATTAATGTTGGTTGATATTTTCATTTCCATTAATAAGCCAAAAGTGAAATGAAGATATACGTCTGAACCTTATTTGTTGGTCAATGACATAAAGGCCTTCCTTGTTGAATTATAGAATAGTTTTCCCAAACTGGAAACATATTTTTTATTTTTTGTGATATTCACAATGTGACAGGAATAGACATGACACTTAAAAGTTTACTCTGTATTATTAAGAAAGCATCTCCTTCACACTATTGTGTAGGCGCCATATGATATATTTTCTTTTGTCACTTTCTTACGTCTATACGGTCAACAAAACAGTAAATCAAGTTCTGATTTTTAGCATTTGCCAACTCCTGTGGTGTAAATATTCCCATCATGGCCAATTTTAAGAGATCAACATATCATCATAAAATGCTGAATTGGAAAGAGCTGCCAGTAACACTCCATTAAATGGTATTTCCATGACACAGACACAATAAGTAACCTCAAGATAATAATAAAATATAGCCAAATAATTATGAAGTGATGAGTTTCAAATATTTATTACCTATGTTTGTTATATAATCTATTTAATGTTAAGTTTATATAATTATCTTAAAATAATATCTGGGTTTAACAACCGGCTCACAAAATTTCTGAAAGTTTAGCTCTTGCAAGTTGGTACAAGCCAGCTCCTTCACATTATCATGTAGGGGCTGTAAGACACAATGCCTCACAGGTCATATTAAAAATGTTTGGTATCAAACTATGTGCAAATTTTGTGTTTAAAACATTTAAACGGAGAGTAATAGGAAGAATTAAGACCACAAAAATATATTAATGTTGGTCTCTTAATACTTCAACAAAACAGGAGAGTTTAGAAATATGGTTGGAGAACAGTGGGGAAAACTTACTTTGGAACAGGCCACAAATTGTTAGAACCAAATTATTTCCTAAAATCCATTCCACTTTGATTTTTCTGCAGTTCTCCAATGACTATACCAACTACTGAAAATATGAAAATATAAGTCCCACACAGCTGATGATCCACCATAGAGATTATTAGGTTAACTGATGATTCAAGCCCAGTAGGTTTCAGCAGAAAGCATGTTAAACTGAACTCTGATAAGAGCTTTTCAAGGTCTAAAATTTTCCGATAAATAATATGATGTAACATATTGGTAGATTTTTGGATATTAAGCCATCATAGCATTTGTGAAAAAATCTTACTTGGTCATGAGGTATAATTATTTGTATATGTTGCTACATTCAGTCTGCTAGTATTTCTGAAAATTTATATGTCTATATTCATATGGAATATTGGTCCACAGTCATCTTTATTTGTAACTGTTGTATCTGGTTTTGGTACCTGAATAATTAATAAAATAGGAAATATTACCTTTAAAAAACTGAGTACAATTAAACAATCAGTAATTCGGGAAAATAAGATGATATCCCTGGGTTCCCAGTACTAAATCAAAAATATGTGAATGGTGTGTATAAAAAGTGGTGAAAATAAATTTTCCTTTATTGCTATAAAGCTAATTAAAACCTCATTTCAGAAAAGAAATGAGGTCATCATAATATTTACTGGTACATGCAATTCCTAGAAGGAAAACTTTAAAAAGAGAGGGAGAAATGAAATCACTCCCCAATGAGAAGGCAGCCTGATCAAACCTAAAATGCTGAAAAAAAAGTTAAAATGCAGAATTAAAAGATGTAATTACTACACCTGTGGCACTATCAAATTGGTTGTTTTCAATGTGGCTCTTGAAAGTGGTTTGATGGGAGCCAAAGTGTCTTTTGGCTGGTGAGGCTAAGTGATAAATTGCTCGTCCAGCACATTCTCCCTCTCCAAACCCGTAGAAGCCTTCATTACACTCACAGTGACGGTTGGTTAACAAGTCTGGATAGTCTGGATAAAAACTACTCGTATTAAAAGTTTAGAGCTCTATTAAAAGTGTTGAAAATAACTTGAAAAGTGTTCTTTGTAGTGAAATTATATTGTAAATGGTTAGTCACAAAATATAATTGTGGATTTAACAGCTATGGATTTTTTTTATTTTTAATTGGGGAAGCTTGCTGATCAAAGGGCAAGTCTTAAGAGAATTAATTGAAAATTTATTTAGTTCTCTTTTAGATTGTGTTTAAAATGTGATATTTCTTGCAGTTATGAGTAATATTATTGAGAACAGAGAGTTAAATTAACCTACATATTTTTTATAACTTACCCATGTATTTAAGAATGTTATTTATTACACCCATTTTCACATTATTTAGCTACATAAAGAAAAGGCAGCATAATGAAGTTATTATTAAAA